>NC_000001.11:38303835-38928835 GCF_000001405.40 Homo sapiens
TGAGATGATTGCATGGTTTTTCTACCTTAATTTGTTAATCTGGTAAATTTAAATGACAGATTTTCTTTTTTGCTTCAGTTCTTTTAAAAATAAATAAAATATTTCAGATATAATTGAAGCTGTGTATGCTCCTAGTTGATCTCATTCTTTTTCCTCCCTCTCCTGAGGCAAACACCACCCTCAACTCAGTGTTTTTCATTCTCATGCATAGTTTCATACTATTGCTACATATGTATGCATCATAAACAATATGTGGTGTTGTTCTGCATATTTTCAAAGTTTATGTAAATGATATCTTACTATGCATATTCTAGAATTTGCTTTTCCATTTTGATAGTTGTAGCTCTAGTTCATTCTAATTGCTACGTGACATTGCATTGTGTTACTATACTACAATTTATTCCTTCTTTTGTTTAGGAACACTGAAGTCATTTCTAACTTTTAGCTATTACAAACAACGGCACAGATAAATATTCTTGTAAAAGACTCTCTGCAAAATGCAAAACTGCCCTGTTGGGCCATAGAATGTGCTTTTCTTCAATATTGTTAAATGTGGCTAAATTGCTCCCCAAAGCATGCTCCCAGAAGTATAATTAGAGATCTGTTTTTTCATATCCTGAACAATACTTGGTGTTGTCAGCCTTTTAATGTTTGCTGGCATGATGTCCATAAAATGATATTTCATTGTTGTTTTAATTTGAATTTCTTCAATTTACTAGTGAGACTGAGAATCATATATATATGTGTATATATAATGTATGTGTATATATAATGTGTGTGTGTATATATATACACATATATATCATTCTCAGTTTCACTAGTAAATACACATACACACATATGTATATATGTATGTATATGGATATATGTATATATGTGTGTATATATATTTATGTGTATGCATATACATATACATATATGCACATACACAAAACTACATTACTCTGTTCATATCTTTTGCCCTCTTTTTCTTATTAACTTGAAGACTTTAAAGACTATATATCCATTTTTCACTCAAAATGGATTAAAAACTCAAATGTAAGACCTGAAACTGTAAAACTACTAGAAAAAACATATAGGAAAACCTTTCTGACATTAAGTTTGGGCAGTGATTTCTTGGATATGACCCCACAAACACAGGCAACAAAAGCAAAAATAGACAAATAGGATGGCATCAAACTAAGAAACTTCTACACAGCAAAGGAATCCATTAATAGAATGAAGAGACAACCCACAGATTGGGAGAAAATATTTGTAAATCATACATTAGAAAAGGGGCTAATATCCAAAATATACAAGGAATTCAAACTACTCAATAACAAGAAAACAGATGATAACCCTATTAAAAATGGGCAAAGGACATAAGTAGACATTGCTCAAAAGAAGACACACAATGGCCAGCAGATATACGAAAAAGTGCTCAATATTGCTAATTATCAGAGAAATGCAAATTAAAATCACAGTAAGATGTCTCCTCATTCCTGTTGGATTGGCTATTATCAAAGATAAGTGTTGGTGGGGATGTGGAGAAAAGGGAACCCTTATACACTATTAGTGGTATGGTAAAGTAGTAGAGCCATTTTGGAAAACAGAATGGGAGGTTCCTCAGAAAACTCAAAATAGAATTATGATATGATCCAGTAATCCCACTACTGGGTATATATCCAAGGGAGTTGAAATCAGTATATTGACGAGATGTCTGTTCTCCCACAACTGTTCCAGTATTACTCACAATAGCCAAGATATGCAAACAACCTAATTGTCCATCAAAGGATAAGTGGATTCTTAAAATGTGGTATATATACACAATGGAGTACTATTAATATTCAGCCTTACAAAAAACCCAGGAAATTCTGTTATTTGTGACAACATAGATGAACCTAGAGGACCTACACTAAGTGAAATAAGCCAGGCGCAGAGAGATAAATATCATATGATCTCATTTATTTGTGGAATCTAAAAAAGTTGAACTCAGAAGTAGAGAGTATGAGAGCTCAGAAGTAGAGAATGCTGGTTGCCAGAGGCTGGGGGCAATGGGATGGGAAGAGAAGGAGAAGATGTTGGTCAATGGGTACAAGGTTTCAGGTCAGGAGGCATAAGTTCTGGTGTTCCATTATGCAACATGGTGACTACAGTTAATGATGTATTGTCTATTTCAAAATAGTGAAAAGAGAGGATTTTAAATGTTCTCACCACAAGGAAATGATAAATATTTGATATGATGGATATGCTAAAAATATGTATTCTGAATATTATTTGTTGATCATATGTGTTACAAAGATATTCTCCTAGTCTGTGACTTGTCTTTTTCTTCTAATCTTTTAAAACTGTAAAATGAAACATACCTTCAGAAAGGTGCTTAAGTCCTAAATGTTCAGTATAATTACAAAGTGAACACTCAGGAAAATTACCACTCAATTTAAGAAGTAGAAGGTCGTCAGTTCCAGAAACCCTTCATGTGTCCCTTCCTAATTATACTTACTTCCTTTCTCCTGGATGTAACCATTATCCTGATTTTTATTGATCACATTCTTGCTTTTCTATATAGTTTAGCCACCAATGTAGTTATCTCAAAACACTATAGGTTAGTTTTTCCTACATTTGAACTTTAAATAGGCGAAATCATTTTGCACTTTTTCTTTTATGTCTTACTTCTCTGATTCAACCTATGTTTGTGAGATTAATTAAACCTTGTGATATGTGGCTGTAGTTCGTCATTTTCACTGCTGATGGCATTTTATCAAATGAATGTTCCACAAAAATTCTACTATTGATTTGCCTCACTCCTCCAGTTTTTGAATATTTCAAACAATATCACTGTAAACATTCTTGTACATGGCTCTGGGCACACGCATGCATGAGTTTCTCTAGGGACTATATGTAGGAGAGAAGTTTCTTAATCAGAAGGTATGCATATCTTCAGCTTTATTAGAGAATGCCAACTTATTTTCCAAAGAGACTGTTGTGGCTTGTCTTTTACTTTGCATATAATAACTATTGCTGAATAAAGTTTTAAAATAAAAGTTAAATTTATCAATATTTTTCTTTTCTCATAGTGTCTTGTTTGAGAAATTCTCTACCCTGAAGATGTTTTCATCTTTTTTTTCTAAATGTCTTAAAGTTTTGCCTTTTCTATTTAGATTTTTAATCTACCCAGAATTAATTTTCATATGTATTAAAAATGTAAGCAGCTAGTTTTATTTTTTTCAATAAGTAAGTGTGGTCGGTTGTCTCAGTGCCATTTATTGAAGAAGCCATTCCTTCCTTATTGATTTGTGACATAACCTCTGTCACATATCAAGTATCCATTTAAGAGTGGATCTTTTCGTTGAGGTGGTTTTACTTTTATTTGCCATGTGATTTCTTTAATGGCTTAATTTATTCAAGTTTCTTATTTCTTCTTGAGCCAATTTTGGTAATTTTTATTTTCTAGAAATGTAAAATTCTTTGTGTTTTCAAATTTTAAAACATAAAGCTGATCATATTCTATTATGATTATTAAAGTCTCTATTTTAGTTATATCCCCTTCTTCATATCTAATTTTGTGTATTTATGCCTTTTGTCTTTGTTCCGTTGCTTAGTCTTACTGGAAAACTGTTTTATGAGTTTTCCTTTTTAAGAGAAATAGCTTTTGTCTTAGTTGATTCTGTTATTTTCTTGTTTTTTTGTTTTATTAATTTCTACCCTTATTTTTAATATTTACTGTCTTCTGTCTTGTTTTTGTTTACTACAATCTTTTTATTGGTTCTTCAGTTAAATATAACATTTATTTTCTAACTTTATTTTAATTGGTGCATTTACAGTTACAAAGTCTCTTGCAGGTACTCTACTAGTTACATAGTTTTAACATGCAAACTTCAATTACAGTTCATGAGAAATACTTATAATTTTTATTGTGATGTCCTCTTTCATAGTAAGTTATTTAGAAAAGCATTTTAAAAATTTCAATGTGCGTCTGTGTTGTTTGGATTTAACGTTTATGGTTGCTTTCTAATTTACATTTATTGCCACAAGAGAAAATGATCTACATGATATTGCTTCTTTGTTGAGATTTCCTGTGTGTATAGTATTATATGTAGTCAATTTTTGTAAATAATTCATATGAACTGAAAGAGAATGCATTCTTTCTGCTTATTGGTTGAAAACTCTATATGCATTTATTAGAAAATATATTGATTTAGTTGTTCAAACCTTCTATACCTTAATAACATTTTGTCTACTTGGTATATGGTTTCTTTTTTTAATTTTTTTTGAGACCGAGTCTCACTCTGTTGCCCAGGCTAGAGTGCAGTGGCACGATCTCAGCTCATTGCAAGCTTTGCCTCCTGGGTTCAAGTGATTCTCCTGCCTCTAACTCCTGAGTAGCTGGGATTACAGGCGTGCACTACCGCGCCTGGCTGATTTTTGTATTTTTAGTAGAGATGGGGTTTCGCCATGTTGGCATGGCTGGTCTGGAACTGATGACCTCAAGTGATCCACCCACCTCAGCCTCCTAAAGTGCTGGGATTACAGGCATGAGCCACTGCACCTGGCCACTTGGTATATGATTTCTAATAGATGTTTGTTGAAATCTCCCATTATTTTTTATATTGGTCATTTTTTTTTCTAATCCTGTCTGTGTCTGTATTGTATGTTTTCAGGTAATTTTTTTAGGTGCATATAAATTCATTATTGTTATATTTCCTTGGTGGATTTTTTCTTTCTGTAAGTATATATATTAAATATGTATGTAATATATTGTTACGTACTATCTATTATACCTCAAGTTTTAGTTTGTCTGATATTAATATTACTACACTAGTTTTGTTGTTGTTGTTAGTAATTTCATGGTGTATATTTTCCATGTCTTCATTTCAACATTTCTAATTAATTTTATTTCAGATGTGTCTCTTGTGTTTTACTGGATTTAAATCTATTCATCCGATCTATTTTAGTAGATAGGCTTTTAAATTTATTTGTTTATTTTACATTTGTCTTAGCAACAGAGCCTGAAGCAATGTTGAGTCATTAGGAGAGAGAGAAAGGCTAACTGAGGCAAAGGAGAATGGAAAGCATGTGTAAGGACTTCACAGCACACCACAAGACAATGGCAATGCTTGACAGATACACTCACTTGGCCTCTTGGCACATCTCCACACATGCTGTACAGGCATATGCTTGCCTTGGAAAAGTCCATTGAACGGAAGCAAATAGAAGGCGTTTATCTGCTGGCTCTGTTCTCTTATCTCTACTTAGGCCTTCTGCCCTTGGGGATTTAACTCTTTTGAACTTCAGGCTGAGTTACCTGGTTCATGCATTGTAACATAAAGTGCCAATGGAGTGGGAAAGGACAGAGACAATGGGCAGTGGCCTCCAGCCACGGATCCAACAGAGTGGACTGTCACTTGGCAGTAGCTGTAGAAAGGCAAGAGGCTGAATGTTTGGGAGACAGGTGAGGCCAAGAGAATTTGAGGGTATGTGCAAGATGCATCTCATACAACATTTATTGTAACGATCTACATATTTGCATATTTTTTTAACCAACTTTTTCTCTGCTTTGTTTTCTGTTCTTTTTTTTTTTCTCCTTTTCTTGCATTCTGTTGAACTGAAAATGTTTTCTATGTCCATTCTTCCCCTTCATGCCCTTTTCCCCCTCTGTAGCAGTTTGGAAAATAGACTGTGTTTTTCATTTTATTGTGGTTATCCTTCAATTTTTATATACTTAATTGCATACACATACTTAAGTACTCATTTTTTTCTAACAGATTTAAGTCATTCAATATTTCTATCCTCTTCCCAAACATGACACAGACTTTAACTTACTTTAATCACTAATTGAACATCATTCTTATCTAGTTATTATTTCTAGTCATAGTTTTGCCTATTAATAAAAAAATTATCTCTTTCAGTTAATAGTTAATTAAATTTACTGACATATTTTATTTTCTAGCTCATTAGCTTCCCTCTAAATTCAGTTTTCTCCTTGCTGAAGTATATCCTTTAAGTTCTTTTTTTGTTTTTGTTTATTTAAATAGACATTATCTTTTTAGCTTTACAGAAAAAGTTGAGAAGACAGTAGAGATTTTCAAAATGTCCTCCATGGTTTCCCCTATTATTAACCTCATACATTGGTGTGAAATTCTTGTTATAATTAAGGAACCACTATTGACATATAATTATTAACTAAAGTCATTTTTTATCCACATTTCCTTAGTTTTTATCTAATGTTGTTTTTCTGTTCCAGGACTTCATCCAGAATACCATATCACATTTAGTAAGAGAGTTTTGAGGAGTAATGGCCAAGTAGTTTGTAGGATGCCTCACTATGGGAGTTGTCTGCTGTTTTTCTCATGATAAGACTGGGGTCATGGGTTACTGGGAGACAGACTACAGAGACAAAGTGCCGTTTTCATTGCATCATGTCAAGGGTACATAACATACCATCAACACAATTTATGACTGTTGATAGTGGCCTTGATCACCTGGCTGAGGTGGTGTGTCAGGTTTCTCCACTGTAAAGTTATCCTCTCCTGCCCCCTCCATAGTGTATTGTTTGGAAGGAAGTTGCTATGTGCAGCCCACACTTAAAGAGTGGGAAGTTATGCTCCCCTTCCTTGAGGGTGGAGTATCTATAATTTATTCAATCACTTATTTATGTAAGCATGGACTCAGAAATATTTATTTTTTTACTTTGGATTAGAATCTGGCATACCTTATTTGTTTTGTTGTTCAAGTTGTTCCAGCTTTGGCCATTGGGAGCTCTTTCCATTGGCTCTTGTCCTCCTCTGATACACCTCCATCATAAGTTGTTGTTGAACACTTCCTTATTTTATGGCACTATAAGAAGTTCCAGTATCATTTTGTATATTTCTTGCTCCAGTCCTAGAATCAACTATTTCTCAAAGATTCCTGCTTTCTTTACTGGAGGACAGTATTAGAAACCAAGATCTAGGCATTAGGTGTGCTTGTTGCTACTGAGGTGTCATTTCTTTTATGCCCTTTCAGCTGATAGCACAAACATTTTTATGTTAACCCATGTATATATACACAAATGTATTACTGGTCAGGTGCAGTGGCTCATGCCTATAATCCTAGCACTTTGAGAGGCCAAGACAGATGGATTGCTTGCGCTTAGGAGTTCGAGACTAGCCTGGGCAAAATGGCAACACCCTGTCTCTACAGAAAATACAAAAATTAGCTGGGTGTGGCGGTGCATGCCTGTAGTCCCAGTTACTTGGGAGGCTGAGGCAGGATTGCTTGAGCCTAGGAGGTGGAGGTTGCAGTGAGCCGAGGTTGTGCCACTGCACTCCAGCCTGGACAGCAGAGTAACACCCTGTCTCAAAAAACCCCCCAAAACCAAAAAGCACAATATATTAGTCTGGGTTCTTCAGAGAGACAGAACCAATGGTAAATATATTATAATAAGGAATTGGCTCACATGATTATAGAAGATGAGAAGTCCAAGATCTGAAGTTGGCAAGCTGGAAACCCAGGTGAGTTGATGTTGTAAATTCCAGTCTAAGTCTGAGTCTGAGTCCAAAGGAAGGAGAAGACCAGTGTCCCAGTCTGAAGAGAGTCAGTCAGAAAGAATTATTTTTAAAAGCACAAACACATTTATTTATTAACCAATGGGATGATCCTAATCAACCCAATACTTTGAAATAGTTTCAAGCTTTGCAAAAAACTGGGTGCAATGGCCAAAACAAGAATTTTTTCTTATTCAGCCTTTTCTTCTATTCAGGCCTTCAACAGATTGAATGAGGCCCACACACACTGGGGAGAACAATCTGCTTTACTCCATCTACTGATTCAAATGTTAGTCTCATCTAGAAACACTCACAGACACACCCAGAAGTAATGGTTAACCAAATGTCTGGATACCCCATGACCCAGTCAAGTTGAGACACATAAGATTATAACATAATATTTCTGTAATTAATTAGAAAAAAACTCTTGTAAAATTCACATGGAACCAAAAAAGAGCCCAAAGCGCCAAAGCAATCCTAAGCAAAAAGAACAAAGCTGCAGACATCACATTACCTGACTTTAAACTATACCTCAAGGCCACAGTAACCAAAACAGCATGGTACTAGTATAAAAACAGACACATAGGTCAATGGAACATAATAGAGAACCGAGAAATAAAGCCACATATCTGCTTTCCACAGTTACTGAACTAATTTACATTCTCACCAGCCATCTGATCTTCAACAAAGTTGACAAAAATAAACAATGGGGAAAGCATTCCCTATTCAATAAATGGTGCTGGGATAACTGGCTAGCCATATGCAGAAGAATGAAACTGGACCCCTACCTTTCACCATATACAAAAATTAACTCAAAAGTTGATTGGATTAAGACTTAAATGTAAGACTTAAAACTTTAAAAATTCTAAAAGAAAAAATCTAGGAAATACCCTTCTGGACACTGGCCTTGGCAAAGGATTTATGAATAAGTCCTCAAAAGCAATTGCAACAAAAAGAAGAATTGGCAAGTGGGACCTAATTAAACTAAAGAGCTTCTGCACAGCAAAAGAAAATATCAACAGAATAAAAAGCCAACCTACAGAATGGGAGAAAATATTTACAAACTATGCATCCAATAAAGATCTAATATCCAGAATCTATAAGGAACTTCATTCAACAAGCAAAAAATAAGTAACCCCCTTAAGAAGTGGGCAAAGGACATGAACAGATACTTCTCAAAAGAAGACATACAAGTGGCCAACAAATATATGAAAAAATGTTCAACATCGCTAATCATCGGAGAAATGCAAATTAAAACCACAATGAGATACCATCTCACACAGTCAGAATGACTATTACTAAAATGTCAAAAAATAACATGTTGATGAGGCTGCAGAGAAAAGGGAAAGCTTATACACAGCTGGTGAGAATGTAAATTAGTTCAGTAACTGTGGAAAGCAGTTTGGAGATTTCTCAAAGAACTAAAATATAACTACTATTCAACCCAGCAATCTCATTACTGGGTATATACCCAAAGAAAAATAAATCATTCTACCGAAAAGACACATACACTCGTATGTTTACTGCAGCAGTATTCACAGTAGCAAAGACATATACTCAACCTAGGTGCCTATCAATGGTGGACTGGATAAAGAAAATGTGGTATATACATATCATGGAATACTAGGCAGCCATAAAAAAGAATAAAATCATGTCCTTGCAGCAACATGGTTGCAGCTTGAGGCCATTGTTTTAAGTAAATTAATTCAGAAACAGAAAATCAAATACCACATGTTCTCATTTATAAGTGGGAGCTAAACTTTGGGTACACATGGATATAAAGATGGGAACAATAGACATTAGAGACTACTAGGCTAAGGGGTGGGGATGGCTGAAAAACTACATATTGGGTACTATGCTCACTACCTGAGTGACAGGATCAATTATACCCTAAGCCTCAGCAACACACAACATATCCATGCAATGAACCTACACATGTACCCCGAATTTAAAAGTTGATATTTAAACAATAAACCACTTAACAAACAAAAAAAAATTTCTGTAATTAACCATTTGTGCCTGTATTAAGCTAACCATGAGTTCATAGTAATATCTCCAATTCTAATCCTTGGGTTATTCTTGCCTTCCCCTTTTATCTGTAAACTCCCACCTCAAACATGAGAAACCTGGCCCCCAACATCCTCCATCCATTTACTTAGTTGTCCAGTTCCAGTATACATGTACACTGGTACTGGAAACTTTAAACCATACCCTGTGAGAAACAATAACTTTATCCAGTAGAGAAGAGTGCTAAAATGCCTTTAGTCTTAAAGACTACTAATTTCCAAAGTTACTTAGGTCAACACCTTGATCTCTCACCCTCTTCAGTGAGGTTATTTTTACAATACCGGTAAATTCTCTTATCACAGTCTGCATTCCTTTCTGGGATTCCCTTCCTCCTAACTGACTTCTAAAAATTTGTGTACATTAAAAAAAATTAGCTGGGCGTGGTGGCAGGCTCCTGTATTCCCAGCTACTCGGGGGGCTGAGGCAGGAGAATGGCGTGAACCCGGGAGGTGGAGCTTGCAGTGAGCTGAGATCGGGGCCACTGCACTCCAGCCTGGGAAACAGAGGGAGGCTCTGTCTCAAAATAAAATAAAATAAAATAAAAATTTGTGTACATTAAGTTTTCTTTCTGCTGTCAAGTTCTATGGGTTTGAGAAATGCCTATTGTAATGTATCCACCATTACAGTATCATACAGTATCATACAGTATCATAGTTTCTCTGCTGCAACAAATACCCCATGCTTCACCTATTTATTTCTCCCTTCTACCCCAAAACCCTTGGCACACATGGATCATTTTTCTTTGTCCATAGTTTTGCTTTTTCCAGAATGTCATATAATTTGAATCATACACAATATAGTATTTTCATAGTGTCTTCTTTCATTTAACAAGGGGCATTTAAGTTTTCTCCAAATCTTTTTGTGGCTTGATAGCTCATATATTTTTTATGCTAAATAATACTCTATTGTGTGGATGTAACACAGTTTGTTTTTCCATTCACATATCAAAGGAAATCTTGGTTGCGTCCAGTTTTTGGAGATTGTGAATAAAACTTCTATAAACATTCCCGTGCAGGTTTTTGTGGGAACAAAAAAATTTCAAATCAATTTAAATACCTAGGAGTGTGATTTCTGGATTGTATGGTGTGATTTCTGGATTGTAAGACTATGTTTAGCTTTGTAAGATACTGCCAAACTGTCTTCCAAAGTGGCTGAACCATTTTGCATTCCCACCATCAATGAATGATATAGTTCCTGTTGTTCCACATCCTCACCAACATTTGGTATTGTCAGTTAAATATTTGAAAAAATTTTAGCCACTGTAATAAGTGTGTAGTGGTATCTTATTATTGTTTTAATTTGCAATTCTGTGATGACAAATGAAGTTGAACATATTTTCATAGGCTTATTTTTCATTTGCATATCTTCTTTGGTGGGGTGTCTGTTCACATCTTTGCCAATATTTAATTAGGTTGTTTGTTTTCTTATTGTTAAGTTTTAAGAGTTTTTTTATGTATATTTTGGATGTACAGCTACTACGCGTTTTGCAAATATTTTCTCCCAGTCTGTGGCTTGTCTTTTAATTCTCTTAACTGTATCTTTCACAGAGCAAAAATTTTAATTTTAATAAAGTTCAATGTGTCCATTTTTTTCCTTCATGGTGTGATAATGTAAAATATATATTTAGTCTTTGTCCCCTTTCCCTAAATATACAAATCCTAAAATCCTTAGACTCTATAAAGTTATATTTTTGTATGCTAATGATTAACTGATGGTTGGCAACCTCTACATAGCTTTAGGATGGGGGCTGGTCACCAGAAAGACCAACGCATAATTAGAGGGTTGAAACTTTTAGCTCCACCCCCAACCTCCTGAAAAGGGAGAGGGGTTGAAGGTTAAGTTGATCACCAGTGGCCAATGATTTAATCAATTATGGCTATGTAATGAAGCTTCCATAAAAACCAAAAGGAATGGATTTGGAGAGCTTTCACATAGGTCTACACGTGGGAGTTCCTGAAGAGTGGCACTCCCAGGGGGGTCATGGAAGCTCCATGCATGCCCCTTCCTCCATATCTTGCACTATGCATCTCTTCATCTGTATCCTTTGTAATTTCCTTTATAATAAACTGGTAAACATGTTTCCCTGAGTTCTGTGAGCCACTCTAGCAAATTAATCAAACCCAAAGAGGGGCTTGTGGGAATCCCAACTTAAAGCTGGTTGGTTGGAAGTTCTGGAGGCCTGGACTTATGACTGGTGCCTGAAGGAGGGGCGGTCTTGTGGGACTGAGCCCTCAGCTTGTGGGATTTGGCCATTATCTCCAGGTAGATAGAGTCAGAAGTGAATTGGAGGACCTCCAGATGATGTCTGCTGCAGAACTGATCGCTTGCTTGGTGTGTGAGGAAAATCTTGCACACATTTGGTCACAGAAGTCTTCTGTGTTGATTAATGTATTGAGTGAGAGAATAGGAAAAACACAGTTCATGTGTGTTTTTCCACTGTCACATAGATTGTACTTTTGGGGTGGTATCTAAAATGTCATTGTCAAACACAATGTCACTTAAATTATGTCTTATGTTTTCTTCTAACATTTTATAATATTGCATTTTATATTTAGGTTTGTGCTCCATTTTGAGTTAATTTTTCTGAAAGGTTTAAGGTCTGAATCTAGATTCTTTTTTTTTTTCATTTGGAAATCCAATTGTTCCAGCACCATTTTTGAAAGGACTACCCTTTGATAGTCTTTTCAAAGATCAGTTGACTATGTTTGTGTGGATTTATTTCTGAGCTTCCTATTCTTTCCCATTGATCTATGAGTCACTCTTTTGTCAATACCATACTATCTTGATTAATTTAAACTTATAGTAAGTTTTCAGATTGCGTAGTGTCAGTCCCCCAAGTTTGTTCTTCTTCAAGTGTTGGCTTTTCTGAGTCTTTTGCTTTTCCATATACACTTTAGAATCAGTTTGTTGATATCCACAAAATACCTTTCTGGGATCTTGATTGAGACTGAGATTGATCAATCTGGAAACAATTGACATCTTAGCAATTCTGAGTCTTGCTATTTATGAACATGAAATGTCTCTCCACTTATTTAGATCTTTGGTTTCTTTCATCATAATTTTGTAGTTTTCCTTATATAGATCCTGTACATGTTTTGTTAGGTTTATATCTAATTTAACTTTTTGATATTGAAAATTATACAGTGCTTTAAATTTCAAAGTTCAATTATTCTCTCTATATATATCTATACATATATATGCTAATGATTTTGTATATTATTCTTATATCCTGCGACTTTGCCATAATCATTTACTAATTCTAGGGTTTTTTTTTTTTTTGGCTGATTCTTTGGAATTTTTTACATAGACAATCATCTGCAAAAAAAGGTAGCTTTATTTCTTTCTTCCTAATTTATATACATTTTATTTCCTTTCCTTATCTTGTTGCATTAGCTAGGACTTCCATTCAGTGTTAAATGGAAGTGGTGAGAGGGGACAGCCTTGCCTTTTTTGGAATCTTAGGGGAAAACATCTTTTTTTTTTTTTTGCTGTTAAGTATGTTAGCTGTAACTTTCTTTTGTAGTTTCAAAAAAATCGAGTTGAGGAAGTTCTCTATTCCTAATTATCTAAGTTTTTTAAAAAAACCAATTAATGTTGGGGTTGTCAAATGCTTTTTCTGCATCAACTGATATAATCATGTGACTTTACTTCTTTATTTTGTTGGTGGGGTAGATAACATCAGTTGACCTTTTAATGTTGAAACGGCCTTGTATATACCTTGAATAAATCCTACTAGATTATGGTATGTAAATTTTTTTATACATTGTTGGATTTAACTTGCTAATAGTTTGTTGAAGATTTTTGCATCTATGTTTATGAAAGATATTGGTCTATAGCTTTTTGTTCTTGTAATGTCTTTATCCAATTTTGGTATTAGAGTAATGCTGATCTCATAGAATTAGTTAAGAGAGGTTCCCTTGGCTGCTATTTTCTGGAAGAGATTGTAAAGAATTGATATAAATTCTTTCTTAAATTTTGATAGAATTAAACAGTGAACCCATCTAATACTGGTGCTTTCTTTTTTGAAAGGATATTAATTATTGACTTAATTTTTTAATAGATTTCCTTAATAATCTATTCAGATTGGCTAATTCTCCTATTGTGAGCTTTGGTGGCTCATGTTGTTCCAAGAATTTGTCCATTTCATCTAAGTTATCAAATTTGTGGTCATGTAGTTATTCATATATTTATTATCTTTTTGACGTCCATGGGATCAATAGTGGTGACTTCCTTCTTTATTTCCAATATCAGTAATTTGTGTTCTTTCTCTTTTTTTCTTTGTTAGGCCAGCTAGAGCTTTATCAATTTTATTGATCTTTTCCAAGACAGCATTTGGTTTTGTTGATTTCTTTATTTTCCTGCTTTCAATTTCACTGATTTTTGTTCTAATTATTACTTATCTTCTTATGCTTACTTTAGGATTAAATTGATCTTTCTTTCTCTAATTTCCGAAGGTGGAAGCTTGGATTATTGATTTTTTAAATCCTTCTTCTTTTCTAACATTTGCATTCAATACTATAAATTTCCCTCTAACCACTGCTTTTACTGCATTCCATAAATTTTGATAAGTTGTGTTTTCGTTTTCATCTAGTTTGAAATATTTAAAATTTCCTTTAAGAAGATTTCTTCTTTAACTCATATGTTATTTAGATGTGTCTTGTTTAATCTGTAAGTATTTGAGGCTATTTTACTGTTACTGATTTCTAGTTTAATTATATTATGGTCTGAAAACAGACATTGTATAATTTCTATTCTTTTAAATTTGTTAAGGTTTGTTTTATGACCCAGGATGTGTTCCATCTTGGTGAATGATTCATGTGAGCATGAGAAGAATGTGTATTCTGCTGTTATTGCATGAAGTAGTTGATAGACATCAATTATATCTAGTTGATTAATCTAGTTGATTGATAGTGCTGTTGAGTTCAACTATGTCCTTACTGATTTTCTGCCTACTTGATCTATAAATTACTGAAAGAGGAGTGTTGAAGACTCCAACTCCAATACTTGGCAGTTCTATTAGTTTTTGTCTCATGTATTTTAACAAACTGTTTTTTGGTGCATACATGTTAAGGGCTGCTATGTCTTCTCTTGTTTTAATTGAGCATTTTATATGTTTGTATTTTCTCTCCTCTCCTGGCATATCAATTATACTTCTTTTAAAAAATGTTTGTGACGGCCAGGCGCAGTGGCTCACGCCTGTAATCCCAGCACTTTGGGAGGCTGAGGTGGGTGGATCACCTGAGGTCAGGAGTTCGAGATCAGCCTGGCCAACATGGTGAAACCCCATCTCTGCTAAAAATACAAAAAGTAGCCAGGTGTGGTGGTGGGCACCTGTAATCCCAGCTACTCGGGAGGCTGAGGCAGGAGAATCGCTTGAACCCGGGAGGCGGAGGCTGCAGTGAGCTGAGATGGAACCATTGCACTCCAGTCTGGGTGACAAGAGCAAAATTCTGTCTCAACAAAAAAAAGTTTGTGGTTTCCCTAGAGTTTGCAATATGCATTTACAACTAGTTTAATTTTACTCTCGAGTAACACTATGCTTACTTCTGATGAGAAGTATACTATACTTCTTTCTGATGAGAAGTCTTCACAGGTAGGGAAGATACCTTATAGCAGAGTGTGTTAGTCCATTTTCACACTGCTATAAAGAACTACATGAGACTGGGTAATCTGAAAACAAAAGAGGTTTAATTGACTCAGAGTTTCTAATGGCTGGGGAGGCCTCAGGAAACTTACAATCACGTCAGAAAGCGAAGGAGAAGCAAGGCGTATCTGACATGGTGGCAGGAAAGAGAGAGCATGTAGGGGAAACTGCCACTTTTAAACCATCAGATCTCATGAGAACTCCCTCACTATCACAAGAACAGCATGGGGGAAACTGCCCCCATGATCCAATCACCTCCCACCAGGACCCTCCCTCGACATGTGGTGGATTACACTTTGAGATGAGATTTGGGTGGGACATAGAGCCAAATGATATCACAGAGTATTCCCAACTTCCCTCTCTTGTCCCTCAATACAGGGCTGTCATTCATTTCACTTATTCATGTACTATAATCATCTAATACATAGCTACTGTTATTACTTTGAATAGTTATCTATTAAAGCAATTAACAATAAGAAAAATAAAATATTTTACTTTACCTTAATTTATTCCTTCTTTAATGCTCTTTCTATCTCTATGTAGACCTAAATTTTCTGACTTACATTATTTTTCCTCTTCCTGAAGAACCTCTTCTTTAAAAATTTCTTGCAGTGCAGGTATACTGGTGATAAATTCTCTCAGATTTCGTTTGTTTGAGAAAGTATTTCTTCATTTTTTGAAGGATAATTTCATTGAATATAGAGTTCTAGATTCTTTTACTTTCAAAGGTCTAAATATTTTCCTCTGTTCTCTTTCAGTTTGCATAGATTCTGATGAGAAGTCCGATGTATTTCTTATCCTTGTTCCTCTATAGGTAAACTGTTCCTTTTCCTCTGCCGTTTTCAGGATTTTTGTCTTTGTCTTTCTGCAATATGAAAGTGACATGTCTAGGGATAGCTGTTTTGGGATTCTTCCTGCTTGGTGTTCTCTGAGCTTCCTGGATCTGTGTTTTGGTGTTATTAATTTTGAAAAATTTCTGGCCTAATGGAATAGTTCTTCTGTTCCCTCTTTCTTCTCCTTCTGGTATTCCAATTACCTGTTTGTTGCAACTTTTGAGTTGTCACATGGTTCTTGAATATTCTCTTTCTTATTCTTTTGTTCTTTTTGCATTTCAGTTTGAGAAGCATTCATTGACGTATTTTCAGTTTGTGAATCTTCCCTTGCCTATGTCTAGGTTAAGAATCAGCCCATGAAAGACATTCCTCATTTCTGTTACAATGTGGCTTTTTTTATTTATAGTGTTTTCTTTTGATACTTTCTTAGCATTCGTCTCTCTGCTTATATTACCCATCTGTTCTTTCATGTTGTTTACTTTTTTCATTCTTAGTTCGATAATTCCAAAATTTTGCTATGTCTGTGCTCTGATGATTGCTGTCTGATGATTGCTGTCTATTTAAATAATTTTTTCTTGATTTTTATTATGCTTTATAATTTTTTGTTGAAAGCATGACGTGATGTATCAGGTAATAGAAACTGAGGCAAATAGGCCTTTAGTGTCAGATTTTGTGTTAACCTGGCTGGGAGTTGGGCTGTGTTTAATGTTTGCTGTGGCTGTAGGTGTTAAAGTCTTCCATTTCCTCGAGTGTACTCATTATTTGTTTCACCTGTTGTTTTTAGACTTCCCTAAAAACCCCTTCTTAAATAGAATCTGAACATCACAGCTGTTTTATATGTATATAATCTACTGTTATTACACTGGAACCCTGTTGATATGTTGGTGAGGTATGGGGTAAAAATTATAGGGTCCTATAATTCTATAACTAAGTGTCAGTCTTTTATTGGGCCTGTGTCCCTGAACTGTGACCATCACAAGTGTTCCTCAGCTTTTTTTCTCCTTAGATGAGAGAGGAAGTCTAAAGGGGGTTGGAGTTAGATAATTTCCCTTTCCCCACATCAGACAAAGCTCTGATTAAAGTCATTTCCATTGATGACTGGGCCTTTGTTAAGGAGAATACTCTGGATATATTTCAAAATTGTTACTTTCCCTTTATCCCATCCAAAAACATGGGATTTTAAAAAATTGACTCTTCACCATGACAATTTGATGAGGTTCATGGAGGTAAAACTGAGAAAGTTTGAGGCCCCCAAAACTGCAGCTCTGAGGAGTTTCTCATTTTCATGCTAGTCTATACTTCTAGCAATTCATCAGAGTTACCATTTGAGGGTAGATACCAGCTTATGGCTCCAACAGCTTCTGTTCTAGGTAAGCTGACCTTGGCTGTGATTTTTTTGTATTCACCTATCTCTCCAGATTTTGGTGGTGATTTTTTTTTTCTGTGCCCTTAATTCTCTAGTTACTCTAAGAGAAGACAATGGTTTTCAGTTTTTTCAGCATTTTTATTGTTGTAAGGATGGGAGTTCCACTTTTACATGTCAGAGATAAAACTGCAAGTCTTAAATTGTTCTTTTAATGAGTTGGGAAACTCATAGTCTTTGTATGCCTGAAAAAGACTTCCCCCTATCATTTGGAAGGCTAGTTTAGGTATAAAATGCAAGCTTGTCAGGTATTTTCACTCAGCACTTTGAAGCTACTAGTTTACCGTATTTTTGCCTCTATTATTGTTGCTGAGAACTTTTGTTGTCACTCTAGTATCATTCCTTTATAAAGTATCTGTTTTTTCTTCTGGCAGCTTTTAACATGTTAGTTTTTTCCTTAATGCTTTACAGGCTTTCTATAATATGTCTTTAGATATAGAATTATTTTTATTTAATCAATTTTTGATATATTTAACGGTATTTTCTTTAAAAGTGAAAAATTCTCAGTTCTGATCATTTCAATGTTGCATTTCAACAATTATTTCCATGCCCCTTTTCTGAAGCTCCATTAGACTAATATTAGCTTCTCAGTGTAGCCTCCATATCTCTAAACTGTTCTTTTATACCTTCTAATCTATTTGTTTTTGTTCTTGGGAAATTCTTCTTCATCATCTTTCATTGATTCTCTGTTTATGTCCATTCTAGAGTTCATTCCATTATGATGGTTTTGTCAATGGGAAAGTTGTTCTATTGACCCAGAATCTTCCTCTAGTCTTGGTCTGTCCTCTGAAGACACCCACTCAAATCTGCCTCCAAAAATTCCTTCAGAAATTTGACACTGGGGGTGACAGCTTCTCTTTTTCTTTAGTTTAAACAATTAAAAGTCATCGTGAATGTAAGTAGGTCACAATAAATACTATATTCACTACATAATAATCTCTTGCAATACATTAATGGGAAATTTGCAAAGCAGATTAATATTTAAATTTTAATCAATAATCTAGATGTGTTGATTGGGAATCTGTTTAGGTGTTGGGCATGGAGTGGGATTCTTGTATTAGCAGAGGGCAGGGAAAGAGTTTCCCAGTTAATTGCTTCCCAGTTTATCAACTGTGCCTTGTTTAAATAAAACAGATATGAAAACTTTAACTTATATAATCCCTACCTGAAAGGTGACTATTGGCATCTTACAAAGAGATTTCATATAAGTAGCTTGGTAACTCCCCTATGTGCCTCATCTGGGTTTCCTTCATTTATTAAATAATACTTTGCTATATGTTCACTTCATGTTAATACCCTCCCAAGTAGAGGAGATCTGGGGATCAGGGGGTACTGGGGATCAAGACATCATTTCTGCTTTCAAGGAGCTTACAGACTAGTTGGGTGGGGGGACAAAGATAAGCAAAGAGGCATAAAATACAATGTGACAAGTGCTATAAAGGCGATACCCTGGGTAAGGACATGAACCAAACTATGGATGAAGAATGTTTTCTCTGAGAAAGAGACATTTGGGCTGAGATTTGAAGCACAAAGAGCAATCGGGTAATAGGGGAAGTGTGAGAGAATATTTCCAGCAGAAGACATAGCATATGCAAAAGGTTGAGGTGAAGTCAAGATGCCATTTAAATGATTTAAAGAAGTGGAGAAGATAACATTCACACAGCAGAAAGGAGAGAGTTGAGGCTGGAAAGCTACACAGGGGCTAGGTACTGTAAGGTTCTGTAAGTTATGTGAAGATATTTGGGCACCGGGGAGCCCCTGAGGAGGTATAAGCAAGGGAGTGACATGAATAGATTTTCTTTTTTGAAATACCCTTCAAGTAGGATATATGGTAGACGGTTGAAATGCCAAAAACTTTCTAATTACGGAGATATGGGATGGGGCTGGATTAGTGAGGGAGAAGTGGGAGTTAAGGGTGACTTCCAGACTTCAGACTTGGGTGACTGGGTGGGTGGTAGGGATAAAAGAAACCTAGGAGGAAGATAAGGGGACATTTGATGAGGGTAGGGGTTAGTTCATTTTTAGAGTGATGACCTGTGGGACACACAAGTGGGGATACACATAGAGAGCCGAATGTATGGGTTTGGAACTCAGGAGAATAATCTGGGCTAGAGATTTAGATTTGGAAACCATCTCTTTATAGAGATCTGTATTTCTCAACATTGGTCATGGTGGGATATCTATCAGAACACCTTCGCAGAATCTTTCAGAATTATCACAGCACATCTCAGGGTCTGATATCTATTCAATGCTCGTCAGGAGACCTTTTTCTCTCCCTCTCCCGCAATTGTCAATTTAAAGCTATCAATCTACAGAGCCTCTGCTCCCAATGGCCCCTTCAGCTCTGTTAGGGCAGAAGAAAAGTGGTTGAAGTGGTGAGAGGGGATGTAATTGTCCATGCAGAATGTGCAGAGAAGAGAAGAGTGGCAGCACCCTGAAGATCCCACTATTTTCATATTCTCACACAACATTTTAGTGGCATTCCAATTGTATAAAACAGGGTTCAGGTATAGCCTCAGGGACCATCCAGGAGAGGTTATTTGCAGCCCCTCATATAACACTCTGAGGGCCAGACCTAGCTCTTGAGCAAAGACAGGAATAATAAGTGGCCTTACCCTACAAGCAAGAGAGTCTGGATTTACTTTTGTTCCCACTGATTTCCACTTTAAACATTTGTTGATTTTCTCACTGTGGTGGATTGATTACACCAATGACCTGAATTAATGGCATCTCTGCATCCAAACCCTTTGCCCTGTAACTTTGTAGTTCCCTCCTATTCTGACTCTGGGCTTGCCCACATGACTTGTTATAGCCAATGTGATGTTTGCAAACGTGATACAGGCAGAGCCTGGAACAGTGTTCGTAGGTTTCTACATCTTCTCTTGCACCTGCTGTCTCCATGACAGCCTGTCCAGACTAGTTTCTTGGACTCATGCTGCTGACATGAGAAGATACTTGGGTTACCCAGTTGAAGGGATATGAGAAACATGGAAGGGAGCTGTGTTGGTCCAGATGAAGCCATCCTAAGCCATTGAGCCTCTTAGCCCACTTCCAATTCCTAGTAGATGCATGAGGAAACCCAGCCAACATCAGTCAATCCTGTCCCAGATTGGCAGAAAGCAGACTCAAATCGGCTGGGTGTGGTGGCTCATGTCTGTAATCCCAGCACTTTGGGAAGCCGAGGTGGGCAGATCACCTGAGGTCAGGGGTTCAAGACCAGCCTGGCCAACATGGCGAAACCCCATCTCTACGGAAAATACAAAAATTAGTCAGGTGTGGTGGTGCACCTTTGTAATCCCAGCTACTCAGGGGGCTGAGGCAGGAGAATTGCTTGAACCCTGGAGGCAGAGGTTGCAGTGAGCTGAGATCATGCCACTGAGCAAGACTCTGTCTCAAAAAAGAAAAAAGAAAGCAGACTCAAATAGACAGAACATCTAGCCGACCTATAGACTTACAAGCAATAATAAATGGTTATTTTGTAAAGCCACTATGTTTTGGGATGCTTTGTTACTCAGCAAGACCTAACTGATAAAGTAACTGCAGCTAACTGATGCTCAATCATTCAACATGCCTCGGTGGAGCACCTAATTTGATCCTGTGTGATTGTGTACAGCTCTGTGAAGACTTTTCTTACCTGCCACCTACTGGTTCTGTTGGCGTGAACAAGATTCTACTTCAGTGCCCTTGTCCAGAACTTCATATTCCTGCTGGGACTAGAGCTGCCCTAATGCCTCCATTGACTTGGTTGGGCTACTCACCCCTGCTAAGTTCTTTTTAGCCTCACACTTGCTGAGTTCCTGCTTTGACTGGACAAATCACTTGTAATCACTATACATCACCTAGAGCACTTCTCAGCACCTAGGTGTCCACTCTTGGTCACACTGGACCTACCTGGGTTTGGACACTGGCCTGAAGTGTGCATATGTTCATTGCCTTCCTTTAGACACTGCATTGACAACTGGATGAAGAATTATCCTGACTGCCTGGCTTAAAAAATAATGTATGTCCTCACAGTTCTGGAGGCTGGAAGTCCATGATCCAGGTTTCAGCAGGGTTGATTTTTTTCTGAGGCCTCCCACCTCAGCTTATTGATCTTCTCCCTGTGAATTTTTGTCACCTTCCCTCTGTATGTGTCTATGTCCTCATCTCCTCTTCTTGGAAGGACAACAGTCATATTGAGTTAGGGTCTATCCTAATAACTTCGTTTTAACTTAATTATCTCTTTAGAGATCCCATCTTCAAAAACAGTCACATTGTGAGGTACTGGGAGTTAGGATTTTAACATATGAATTTTGGAAGGACACAGCTCAGCTCAAAACACTCCCCAAATCCCCATGATGCTCAGTCTAGCTTTCTTTGTGTCCCTCTGACCTGTGCATTTGAGGTCTCCGCATGCTGGACCTCCAAGGCCCCTGAGCTGTAACAGTTAGGTTTACATGAATATTTTTCCCTGCATATCATTTCTTGGTCATTGAGGTGACAGTGCCCAGTTTTCATTTGTACCTAGTTGGCTTTCATACTTATTAGCAATAATAGTTTTGGTAGTATTTGTTTGCTGAAATGAAGAGGCATGAGTCATGTGAATGTAAACTGCTAGGACCAGATCCACATAGCCACTTCCCAGAGGGTGCAGTAGCTGCTCTTCCCACATTCAGCCTGCAAAAGGCCAGGGTCCAAGTGGTATATGCTTGGAGGTGGTGCTGCAGGAGGCAGGGTCTATGTCAGTCCCAGAAGAATCACAAGTTTCTCGGATAAGAAGCAGCCAAAGCCCAGGAAGCAGCACAGAATCACAGAATGCTTCAGAGTGAGGTAGAGCTACATTTGATCCCAGCTCCACCAGCTGCTACTATGGCCTTGGGCAAGCCATTTTACTTCTCTAGACCCCAGTCACCTCATCTGTAAAGCAGGGAGAGAACCTCCTACCTCACAGAGCTAGTAGTGCCAAGCTCTGCGCCCAGCCCATATCTCATTGAAAGGAGAACAGACTCCGAGCTGGGAAGACAGGAGAGGCCCATCTGCAACCTTTTGGGGATACTGACATCTCATGGAGTGGTTGAATAACATCAGTCTGAAAGCCTATTCAGAATTTTTTCTTCCTTTAAGCTCCCTCTACTTGTGTGTGTATATACTTGTATATACAAGTACATACAGGATGCATATATAGGATATACGGTATGCATACAAACAAGAAGCACTATCCATAGGCTATGGACACACATGAATACACAGAGCACACACATCCATGCACACAGGGACTCGCACATCCCCAGGCCATCCCTCCCCTACAGATAGACACATGTGCACAAGTGTGCACATACAGACACTAACACTCCCAGGCCCAGTTCACCATGGCTGTCTCCCTTTATAAAATGAGAGTCTCAGTTCATCATTATATGGTTTCCAATCACCAGGTCTTGTTTCCCCCACCATATATCTAAAATTAAATACAAAGAGGGGAAAAACCCAAGCCGAGAGTAGGAAGCCATACGTACAGATTGCAATCACCACACAATGTTGCTGGTTGAAAGAAATGGATGTTGAGCATTGAATGTTAAAAATTGTGTTGAATTAGATAAGAAAATCCCATGTAGACTTTGTTAATGATTCATAATCAGCTAATAAGCTCATCTTGAGGAGAATAATGATCCGCGGACCTGTTGGCTCGTTTATCACTGTGTTTTACAACATTGGCAAAGAAACTAATTAAATCCCCGCATCATTACAGAGAATCCCTTTTAATAGAGATACAATGATGCACTAGAGGCTACAGATTACGCTGCAAATTGTACCAGGAGATTTTGGACAGCGGGCTTTAATTAACATGTGAGCCAGGAGCAGCTCGTTTAAATAATAACCAGCGCTGGAACCATCTGCAAGTAAAGCCAGGCAGCAGGAGGAGGTGGGACTGAGGCCTTGGAGGCAAGCAGGGCGTAGGCTGTGGCTAGGGAGTGTTTTGGAGTCAGGGCTCTGGGGAGATTGGAGAAACTGAGGCAGGGCTCAGCTCCAGAGGGCAAGGGAGAAACAAGAACTGAGGCATGTTGGGGTCGAGAATCAGACCAGGTGAAGAAATGCAGCTGTTGCTGGAGAATTTGGAAGCTGGCTCCACACTGATGGTGGCAGCAGAGCCAGATGAGCTCTCGGTAACCCCCCCCCATTTTCCATGTGGAAAGAAAAAACTAAGAAAGACCATGCAATGAATGAGCATTCACCACAGACCGCTGCCTGGTGTGGATTCCATCTCTTGCATGCCAGTCAGCTCAGCACTTTGCTAAGACCTGCTGGACAGCAGGCTGGGCAGGTGTCTTGAGTGGGATCCAGCCCTCTTGATTTTACTTGGAGGTGAGGAATGCTTAAGTGGCATAGCCAGCGAGCCCTTGGTAAAACCAGAGTCCAACACTTTCCTTCCATGGTCTTCTGTAGTCTGGCTTTCAAAGCGAAACTTTGGCCAGAGGCCAGCAGACACACAGAAGTACCAGTGGGCAAAAAGGCAGACAACTGAGGAGTAAAGCAAGAAACTGTTGGCTATGAGGGGCACACACATTCTTGGAAATGAGTTCCTGACACAGGGCAAACTTTATGCCTTTAGGGCAAATGTTCATCCTCCTGGGAGGCCTGAAGGCTCCCCTGGAGAGGCTGCTCCTGCTGAGCTGAAATTCCTGAGGGAACAGGCCTATTTGGGGGCTGCCTGGGTCACATAGCAACTCCTTGGCCTTAGCCTGAACTGCTTGTCATTAATTTTTCTTGGCAGTCCCCAAGTCTCGGTACTTCTCTGTTCCCTCTTCAAGATCCACCCTTTCCTTCCCAGGCTGAGGCTCAACGCTGAGGTGGCCTGTGCCACAGGCAGCATCACAGTCTTCAGAGAGGCTTTTCTGACAGTTGTGGAGAAGATAAACTACCTGCACAGGCAAGAGGCGAGAAGGAGTTCTTTCCAAGTTCATGTCCTTCTCTTGGAGAAAACAAGCTGAAGGCTTCCTCCACTGTGGCTTGTATATTATTATTATTTTAAGATCAGCAGCAAAATGATTCATAAAACCTTGGAAACAGATTTAGTGTAAAGCCTCAAAGAACAAGAGCTCATTGTGCACTGCGACTCCCACCTGATGTTCTGCCAAAGGCGTGATACAGGCTTCTTCGAGATGGAGCTGCACCCAACAGTCACTTCCCAGCCTGCACTTCTCCTGAGCTCCCATGGCAACACCAGGAGGATCAGCCCAGCATCCTGTTAGCATCACTAAGAAGTACCCACCCTGTACATAGGCCCCAGGATCACCCCAGGGCTGGAACACAATTTGTATATTGGAGGTACTGCCAACACCATGCACACAGGCTTTTCAAGCTAAACTCAGCCCCACCATGCACGTGCACCTGCACACGCACACACTCACACACACACATAGAGGTACCTGCATAAGCACGCACATGTTAATCCCTCTCACCCTGTTTCCACCCTTGAGGCTGAGAGTTCTGAGCCACTGGGTCCTCCTCCTCCTCTCGCTTTAGCCCGTCTGGGTCAGTTGTCTCACATGGGCCACATGTCCCACATCCTTCCCTCTTCTCTGTCTCCTCATACTCACATGGCTTCAGAGTAAACAGCAGTCAGATTGGGAGTAAGTCAGATGCCATGTAGCTCAACCTCCTCACTTTATAGATGAGGAGGGGGGCGGTGCAGATCAGAAGGAAGGAACCTGTTATCATGCATGTCACAATGGTAAGCAGGACCAGAGTTCGCTTACTCCCAGGCAGGCACTATTCCACTGTGCAATAAAAAGGTCTCTTGTGGCCGGGCGCGGTGGCTCACGCCTGTAATCCCAGCACTTTGGGAGGCCGAGGCGGGTGGATCATGAGGTCAGGAGATCGAGACCATCCTGGCTAACAAGGTGAAACCCCGTCTCTACTAAAAATACAAAAAATTAGCCGGGCTCGGTGGCGGGCGCCTGTAGTCCCAGCTACTCGGGAGGCTGAGGCAGGAGAATGGCGTGAACCCGGGAAGCGGCGCTTGCAGTGAGCCGAGATTGCGCCACTGCAGTCCGCAGTCCGGCCTGGGCGAGAGAGCGAGACTACGTCTCAAAAAAAAAAAAAAAAAAGGTCTCTTGTCACCCTCTCAGCTGCCTGCCTCTTTGGGATTTTTCAGCAAAACCAGCACAATTGTTTCCTATCTGGTCTCTACTTCCCAACCCACCCTTTCCACGAGACCCTCCAGCTCCTGCTCTGAAGCTATCAGAACCTCCAGCATGGCTTAGGTAGTGAGTCAGGTCCAAGGACTTCAAATATGGGAGGGACGGGTCCAACCTGCTCATTTTGATAAAGAAGGAAATTGAGGCTCTGGGAGGTTGGGGAGTGGTGGTGGATGGATGACCCTGACCACTGGTCCAACTTTTGGGAAGAGTAACAAAATAGTCCCAGAAACAGACGTTATGACATTATTGCAAAAGCTGCTGCTGCCTTTGATCAACAGACAGGGCAGGTGGCTGCTACCTAGGCAGAGACCAAGACTTGTGCAGTGGCTGGAGGGAAGCCAGGGCAACTTTCTTCCATGCAGTGCCTACAGATGAGCATCTCCCTCTGTTTTTTCTAATGGTGCCCTGGGGCCAACCAGCAATTCTAGGTGGCCAGATCCCTACCTTACAATGCAGGTAAGAAGCTGATGGAAATGTGTACTCTGGAGTCAGCCAGACCTGGGTTTAAATCCCACTTCACCCCTACCTCAGCTCTAGCATAGCCACGATTCTCAGTGTTGTATTAGAGCTGACTCATGAGAGCTGCTTGTTACATTTCAGGAATTTTGTGAACCAGTCATTAAACACAACCATTGTTAAAGTTTAAAGTATATAAACTTACATAATTTATGTCTAAAACAAATGTAATAAACACTGAAAGTCACATCATTTTCTAATTATTTTATTGTGATTTCTACTCTAGAGATAGTACTCTGGAGGCTGTCTGCTGTATCTGTAGGGAGGAAATATTATACAATGGTGTGGTAACCCATGTCTCTTCCCAACCCCACGTGCAGGGATGTCACCTTAGTAGCCTGACATCAGCCAAGGTGAGAGTATTTACACCATGGAAATCAGGAAAGACTACACATGCAGGCTTCATTTTTTTTTTTTTTTTTTTGAGAGCTGGTTATTACATGTTTACTGGCATGCCCATAATTGTATGTACTTGACCCTTCCAACAATGCTATGAGGTAGGGATATATATATTTTTTTTTTGAGACGGAGTTTCGCTCTTGTTGCCCAGACTGGAGTGCAATGGCACGATCTCGGCTCACTGCAACCTCCACCTCCCGGATTCAAGCGATTCCCCTGCCTCAGCCTCCCGAGTAGCTGGGACTATAGGCGCCTGCCACTATGCGTGGCTAATTTTTTGTATTTTAGTAGAGACGGGGTTTCACCACGTTGGCCAGGATGGTCTCGATCTCCTGACCTCATGATCTGCCTGCCTTGGCCTCCCAAAGTGCTGGGATTACAGGCATTAGCCACCGCACCTGGCTGGGATTCTTGTTTTATAAGGAAGAAACTGAGGCTTAGAAAGTGAAGCAACATCTCCAAGGTCATCCAGCTGGTGGGTCTTAGAGCTACAAACTGAGCTCACTTATGTTTTATGGCTCCAAGTCCAGCACTTTTTTTGTAAATTTGAATTTTCACCTTGAGCAGAGTGTGACTGCAACACTGCTCTCTTCAGGTCTCTGGCCGGCAGGAGGCCTTCCTCCAGTGACTGACATGCAGGACTGCGGTGCGGCTGCAGCTGCTGTGCACGTCCTTGCAGATCTAAGGGTGGTGGCTGGGGCAGAATGTCCAGAAAGCCATGTGTGCTATGGGAGGAATACCTGCTTTGGAGGGAAGAAAGACCTGGATTTAAAGCCCGGCTTGTTGCTGCTATCTTAGATCTGCATCATCCTGAGCAACCTAGAGGCCTGGGTTTCTCATCTTTACAGTAGGGATAATACCACCTCACATGGTTGGCTTGAGAATTAAACAAGTGAATATTTCTAAAGCACTTGACATGGTGTTGCTTGCAATAAGCATGAAATAAATGTTTATTTCCTTTCTTCTTTCTTCCACTCATCCTCCCAGTAAAAATTCTCTGTTGTCATCCAGGCCAACGATAGGCTGGGAGCACTGATGCAGACAGGCTGCTTCCCTCTGGAGGTGGCATCTTTGGTTTCTATGCCAACCTCTTGGTCCATGTTCTTCCCCATGACTGGAGCAGCTTGGAGCTTTCTGCCACTTGGTGGGATTCTGTGATGCTGCATTGGGCTTCAGGAGGCTTCAAAGCCAGAGAGGTGAGAAGGTAGGAGAAGCTATAAGAAGCAGGAGTCTGGGACACCAATAACATGCTCTGCCCCTGCCTGCCTTCATTGTCTCACCCACCTGCCTTCCTCCTCCTCAGCACTTGACATTCCCTGCTGCTGCATAGAGGTCATCACTGCATGGCTGTGGTCTGACTCCATCCTAAAGCACCACCATGGCTGCCACCACTGCTAAAGCCATGATGCCCAGTGCAGCAGATGTGGCCACTAGAGGTTCTGCCATGTCCAGAGTCTGGCCACTGGGGACCCACGCTCAGCATGGTGTGGCTAAAGACCTCCTTCCCCATCTCCCTCCCTTCCCCTCCAGCTTCCCAGTCATAAACCTATCCATACCCAATCTCAGGCCTGTCTTCTTTCATCTCATCTGGGAGGCAGAGCCAACCTTCCTGTTTTTCCGGCCAGGCAGACTCTGCATCCAGTCCCCAGGATCCTGTCAATCCTGCTCTGACAATCACCTCCACTCTGTCTCAGAGCTCCAACCTCACTCCTCCTCTCCCTCTCTCCTGGCTAGTTCTTCTTGGATTGGATTATGAACAAACAGAACATTTTTCATCTAAAAATAAAATCCACCTCCCTCAACTCAATGATTATTTATCCTCATTGCCTTTTTTCTCTCCTTTTCAAAGCCAGATTCTTGGAAGGGTGGGCACCATCTTCACTTCCTTATCTCCCTCTCACTTCTCTCCCCATCACATTCCAATTTTCACTCCCACGGAAACCAATCTCATTAAGGACTCCATGTTGCTTCTTCTGAATCTAATGATTATTTTCAGCCTTCCCAGGACTTCTCTGAGCCTATTTGACACCTGACCACCGTCCTTTTTTTGGAAACCCTCTCCTACCTCATGTGGCAGTGTCCTGGGTCTCCTCTTATCTCTCTGACTCCTCTTCCGACCCCTCTGCTTCGGCCCTTCCTACCCCTTCATTGTTGGTGATCCTCGAGGTTCTGTGTCCAGACCTCCTCTCTTCCCACCATAAACACCTTCCCTAAGCACTCAAGTCCCTCCCTTCTCCCATCGACTCTGATGACTCCCCAGGCCAAGTTTCTCTCCTGACTTCAGACCTGAAGTCAGCACACCCATCCCAGTATGGTGACACTCAGCAGCTCAAACTCAGTAGGTCTGAAAAGTGATCGCTCTCCCCTTGACGCTCTCCTTCCTGCTGTGTTCCACTCAGCAAGGCATCCCTCCAGGCACCCACATAAGAAACTGGATGCTCTCCCAGGTTCCTCTTTTTTTTCTTGTCTCGTAGCTCATCCAGTTCTATTGACTCTGTCTCTTTAAAACCCCTCAAATGTATCTACATCTCTCTGTTCCTACAGCCGCCCCACTGGCTTCTCATCCAGAGTATTCCAACAGCCTCTTAACTGGGCTCAACATCAGGTCTTCCTCTACTTTCAACCTTTTCTACCACTGCCCAGCTGAAATGCAGATGTCAGTTGTGTGAAATCCTTCGGTGACCCTTCAGCTGCTTTCAGGTAGGCTGCAAAGTCCTTATCACGGAATGCAAGGCTCATGCAATTTCACCCCACCCATCTTCTCACTCTTGTCTCTTGTTACAAAGTTTTTCAGACTTTAGTTCTAATCACGCTGATCTCTTGCAGTACCCTGAATATAGCATGGTTACCATTACCCTGAAACATAAGCTCAATACAGACAAAGATTTGGGACTCTTTTGTTCACTGTTGCATCTCCAGCCCCTAGAATAGTGCCTGGCAGAGAGAGCCAGTGAGCAAAATCAGTGCGGTAAATGAATGAATACCTTCTTGTCTTCTCTCTGGGAGATTCTTCTCCCACTTAGACATTCCCCTCCTCTAAAAGCCTTCCCACGCCTCATTGGCTGGGTCAGTGACCTGCCCTTTCCTCCCACAGCACCCTCAGTGTCCCTGCCATATTGTTTATGTCTTTTCTTAGGAATCCCCACTGCTAAGCACAGAGCTTGGCACCCAGGAGGCACTTGTGCAATAACTGTTGAGTAAATGCTGTACTGGATGGGGGCCAACCCATTTCAAGCCCACCTCTCTTTGTGCAGGAATTCTCCCCTTTCCTCAGTGACCACAACCCCCAGCTCAGCCTCCTCCCTAATGTTCTCATCATGACCCTTTGTGGCTTCTGCATCCCTACAGGGACTTTTCAGGGTCAACGAGGCTTGTAAACTCATTTGATGCAGCTGAGGGCATCACTGTTCAAAAGTCCCTCTCTGGGGAGCTAGAATTCTGGAGACTTGGTCAATGGTGTTGGGTCTTTCTGGTTTCTGCCTGAGAGGATTCAATACAGGACCTCATCTCCCTGAGGAAGGGACCCCCAAGATCTAGGCAAGAAAAGGATCAGAGTGAGTCTATCCCTACAGACTGGGAGGTGGGAATGCTTCTGTGCTAACGAGGACTCAGGGTGTTGGCCATGGAAAGCAAGAGGGAAGCCCTGCCATACCTTGGAGGAAGGCAGTGACTTGGGGTACAAAGGAGCCAAGAAGTCACCTTAAGAACACCAGATGCTGGGCCTCATAAGGCTGCACAACTAAGTCCGACCCCTGTCTGCTGCTTGGAAAGAAACAGATGCTTATGGCCTCCCTTCCCCCATTAGGATGGTCTCCAGGAATGAGAAGACCCCAGCTCTGAAGAAGGGCCCTGTTGTTAGCTGCTCAGCCAGCCTAAGGTTGGTCCTGGAATCCCAGTGACCCCCAAATTCCCTTGCCTTTTCCATATCCTTCTGTTTTGTCCCTTCTAAACCCTGTTTTCATCTTCAACAGGCTCTCACCCGCCTAATTCTCTTGATTCTCTTCATCCATCCTCCCAACCTTGACCCCATGGTCAAGGGCTCACAGCCTCCAAGCATCTTTTATGCTCCTCCAAGCATCCTGACTGCCTGTGTTCTGCAAATCCTGAACTCTGGAAGAACGATTCTCCTGCTTCTTTTCCTTCCTGAGCAGAGCAAGGAAGCCTTGCTGATTGTCTCCAGAAGATGGTTATTTGGAGGCCCAAGTTGGAGCCCTCTCTGATCCTTTCATTTTGAGTGCCCCTGGATGAGAGCCCTAGTATGACTACCCCAGACCTTCTCCACTCTCCTCTGGGCACTTGCCTGAGACAAGTGAAGTCTCCTGGTCTTCTCAGAGAACAAAATAAGGAGAGACTGAAGCTGCTAGTTTCCTTCTTTTCCACATCAAAATTGCTGGGTATCTTCATTGCTTCCCTTCACCACTGGAGGTAGATTCCCTCTCCTATTCTGAGGCCAGTCCCTCCTCCTCTTTCTGTTATTCTGTTCTCACCCAACTCCTGATACCTCTGAGACCTTACTCCATCAGTCACCTCCCCTTTCTTGCATTTCCAATCTTTCCCTTTCAGGTGACATTTTCCTCGAATCTTATAAATGTGCTCAGGTCCTCCTGACCCCCTTGAGTGACTGCTCTATCTCTCTCCATCATTCAACTTGTCACTGCTGCCACTTCCTCACCACCCACTCCTTCCTTAATCCTTGTGCAATCTGGCTTCCGCCCCCACTTCTCTATGGAAACTGCTCTTCTAATTTCTGTAGCAGCATGCTCATCACCAGATTGAATGTGTTCATGGCCCATAGGAAGCACCAAGAAAGGTCAGACCCCCCTCCCAGGACTGGCAAGGGCACTGGAAAGGTCAAGGCTGGTAGATGAGCATATTCAGTGGTAGATGCACTCACAGATAAGTTGGTCTTTAAATGGCTGCACCCCTGTGCCTTATGCCCAGTCATCCTTGTGTGATCCTATTGGGTCAACAAACAAATGACCTCGCTCAGCAGCATCCTCCTTCCACTGCCACCATCACATGGTTCACTTTTCTCCAGGCATAACACTCCCAGTTCTCTAATATCCCCATAACCTGCTCCTGTTACGAAACCATCCTCAGACTCCTCCCTACTCTCACCAGCCTCCTTGGAACGAAAATCTGATTGATCAGCCAAGCTGATCTCTGCCCTTTCTGTGAAGAACTGGTCAACAGTAGCTTCATCTGCTAAAGAAGCAGGTGTTCTTAAGCCATCTGGCATATTGGTTCTGACTAGAAATGTATAACAGCAGGTCCAGCAAGTATGGTACCTTGGTATAGAAATATGATCTTTGCAATGGGTTTTATGCAATTGAAAGTAACGTACTCACACTTCTTTAAAAGCATTCTGTAAATTTAGATGTTCTTTCCCTTTATTTCTCTACTTGGTAAGATGTTCCCTTATTTGTACCTTTTTTGGTACATTTTATCTTCAGTGGGCACTTGGTAAATGCCAAATGAATGGATAAACACCTGAATGAGTGAATACGCATTGCAAACATTGGATTTTTCTTTGTAAATTTATCATAAGCCAACTGTCCCTTGCTAATGCTAAGACTGTCTTGTGAATATTGACCTTAGCCAGAGCCCTGTCTTTGGATATAACACAGAAGAAAACATGTCCTTGATGAATAAAAAGTTTAACTAAATCCACATGTCCAAGGGTGCTCTATTTTCCAGCGCCTGGAGGCTCACCACTTTGTGGACTGTCTTACCCTTCCCTCCCCCATGGTGGGACAGTGACCCCCAGCCCTGCTCTACAAGCCCAGGGGTTGACTTGGGAGGCAGATCTTTAAACACATGTCTTGCCAGGACATTCTTCAGCACTTCCTCCTGCCAAAGGGTGTCATGGGGGAAGCCACAGTGCTGGCTGAAGCATTAGGGTGGTGCCCATCAGAGTGACCAGCCTCCTGCAGAATCCAGCTCACTGCCTCCCTGCCATTGATTTGGCTGGAATCTTTATTGTCTGCTCAAATGTAATTAAAGAGTCCTCTGATGGTGCCAATTAAAGACTCGGAGGGACGGGAGCGGGTGCTCACGGCATCACATGGTGCTGCGCGGTGAAGCTGTAAACATCCATTAGCCATTACAGTTCTCATTAGTCCTTGAAAAACAACTCATTAGTGTCCATAGAACTGACAGGTAAATACAGCTAATGGGCTAAATCTATCAATAAATTCATTGTGTGCAAAATCAGGGTTTCTGTCATTGTGCTGCTTGCGGTGACTAATCAGAAGGTTAAATACTCCTCCTGCAAAAATATATATAAGTTGCAAAGCACTTAGCCTGATAGACTGTGAAAAAATGGCATGTGAGAAACTAATGAAGACATCAAAGGCTTTATTTATACGTAGGGTGGGTTCATTTCAAGTTCAGGTTGCTATGAACTGTCACAGCTGTTTAGCTGAGACTAAATTTTAGAAAGCATATTGATTTGTTTTAATTTAAATGGGGCAGTTTACAAAAGCTGCTTGAATCTGAAGTTATTCCAGAAATGATTGCTCAGTGCATGGTGGCAGGGAGGTCTCTGCTTGCTTCTCCAGCCACCCCAGGGAACATCTCCAGAGAAGATGTTCATCCTGTTGCTGTCGGGGCAAAGGGATCCCAGCAGTGAAGGACTGCAGAGTTGGACATGCTCTTCGGGCACATCTGCCTCCACCCCTTCATGGTGCAGAGGGGAAACTGATGCCCAGGTCCAGGGTAATTTGATATGTTTGTGGCAGAGCCCAGGTCTGTTACGCCATTGCCTCCCTGCCTGACGTTGCCCATTTCGCTCCAGAGAAACCATAATGCTTTTGAGATGGGCAGAGTCCCTGAAAGATGGGGCAGTCACCCTGGGTATTTGCTCTACTTCTCCACCCTTGGCCATCTCCACCCCAGCTGCAGCTGCCTTAATCCAGGAGTGCCACAACTTCCTATTGTCTACATCCGGCTCAGCCTCTGCCCTTGGACTTCTGTGCTTTTGGGAGCAGTGGAAGCTCAGCTGCTTCCTTTTAGCTAAGAAACTTCCATCTCCAGCTGACTCTTTCCCAGCCCTCTGCTAAAATACTCTTCTTTTGACCTTGTTAAATGTGAGGAAGGACTTCCTCATCACAAAAGGATAAAGCATTAGGAGAGAGGTTATAAACTGGTCCTTGGTAAGCTATGTCTGACCTCTCTGCCCTAACCTGCAGGGTTTTTAAAATTTGAATTTGTAATCAGCATAAAAACTGGGTGATTTTACATAAGAATTTGGCATCCCAGCTTCTTTTGGGAAATCTGAAGATCTGGCTACACTGGTCTTATTGCCTGCCTGGCCCAGGTCCCTGGAGCCCTTCGGATGGGGCCTGTGCTTTCCCCACACCCCCATGTCCTCCCAGCCCATTGCCCGAATTAGAACAGAGCAGCACCTTCTTTGATGGCCACAGGGAATGCCACCGTTTGCTGCTACCTCCACAATGACTTCTGAATGTCCTGAGTCACTCTGTGTCACTAGCTTCAGATCTAAACCCCAGGCAGGTACAGCTAGCTGACTGTTGGGGTTCATCTCTTGCTTCAGCGGTAGGGGTTAAGGAGAGCAAGTCCCTGTGGTTGTAGCTCCCGGCATGCAGAATAGGCCCTACCTCCCCATGGGACTCCCAGAATGGTGGATCCCAAATCTGAGAAGGGCTTTCAGAGGTTGAGCAGTTATAGAGATGATAAGTGTTCACTCCAGCTCCTAATGTGTCTCCCTAAAACTGCTTTTGTTTCCCCCAGTTCATGCTTCTTGAAGCTTCTCTTAAAGAAGCAAATCTAAGCACATGGTTCTCCTGCGTAGAAGACTTCACTGTCCTCCCACTGTTTTTAAGACAAAGCCCAGAGCCCTTGCAATGCTGTGCAAGGTTCTCAGCTCTGGCCCTGCCTCCCTCCCGCACTGTGCGCATGCCCCTCTTCTCTTCCCTCTGCTCCAGCATCAGTGCCCTTCTTTTAGTCCTTCCAACAAGTCTTATTGGCTTCTCCCTCCTGAGGGCTTCAGCACCCTCTATTCTTCCCAGACTGGAATGTTGTTTTCCAGATATTTGCATGTGTAGCTCCTTCGTTCCTGGCTCAGCAAGCTTCTTCTTTCCTCACAGCATTGCTAAGCTGATCATGGGGCCTCTATGCTTGCTATTCCTCCTGCTTGGAATGTTTTCCCTGGATCTTTCCATTGCTAGCTCCATCTCATCACTCAGGTGCCAGCCCGAATATCACCTCCTCAGAAACTCTTTTGCAACACTCTCCTAACCCGTCACGCTTCTTTATGGCATTGAGCGTGGTCTGAATTTATATAGTTTCCTTGTTTGAGTTCTTGGCAATTTTCTAACTTGCCTTCCTGCCTAGAATACAAGCTTCATGAGAGCATGACATTATCTCTCTTGTTCACAGGCACATCCTTTGTGACTTGAAGAATGCTTGCTGTGAAAGTTGTTCAATAAATAACTGTCAACTGAATTGCATCAAAGAGCACTGGAGCTGGAACAAAACTTGGAGATGACCTGAGCAGAACTTCTCAGTTTTATAAGGGCACTGAGGCCCAAGTGACCAACTTAAATAGAAAGTGAGCAAAGAAGAGGAAAGACAAGTCATAGGAAACAAAGACAAGATACTCAACCTCGCTAATAATTAGGGATATACAAATTAAAGCCACACAACACCACTTTGACCCAACAGTTTGGCAAAAACTTAAAGTGTTGGAGAGGATCTGGGAAAATGAGAAGGCCATGTCCCAACCACTTTGGACAGCAATTCAGCTGTATCTATGGAAATTGAAAATGCATATGTCCTGTCAAGGAACAGTTCTATTCCTTGTGTCTGATCTAGAGAAACCCACCTGTAGGGCAAAGATGCACATACAGATGTTCATTCATTCAACACATGTTGATTATGCACCTGCTACATGTTTAACGTAATAGGGATAGAACAGCAAACAAGATGCCCATTACCCCTCCTATCACATACCTTACAATCTACTCAGGGAGAGTCAGGTAATAATCAATCAATAGATAAATAGGTTAAACAAAGAGCATGTCAGATGGCAGTTAAGTGCTGTGAAGGAAAGTTAAGTGAGATGAGGGGGAAAAGGAGCCTGAAATGGCTATGCTATATAGGGCCGTGCTATGGACTGAATGTGTCTCCCAAATTCATGCTGAAGCCTTAATCCCCAATGTGATGGTCTTTGGAGGTGGGGCCTTTGGGAGACAATTAGGTTTGGATGAGGTCATGGGCAGACAGCCCCCATGATGAGATTGATGTCCTTATAAGGGGATGGAGAGATCCAAGCTCTTTCTCTTCCTGCCATGTCAGGAAACCAGGAGGAGGACCCTCAATAAGAAACCTACCATGTTGGCACCCTGATCTTCGACTTTCAGCATCCAGAACCATGGGAGTAAACGTTTGCTGTTTAAGCCACTCAATCTATGGTATTTTGTGATAGCAGCCTGAATTGACTAAGACAGGGAGTTAGGGAAGGCCTCTCTGATAAAGAGACATTCTGACAGAGTGAAGCATCAAGATATGACTGTGGGAGGGGAGGGGGAGTATTTTGGACAGAGGGACCAATGCCCCCTCCAAAGGCCCTGAGTTGGAAGTGGGGCTTGGTGAGTTTGAGGAACAGCAAGCGAGCCACTGTGGCCAGAGCAGGGAGAGCTGGGGTTGGGGCAAAGGGAAAGAGATGACATTGGATGGGTGGTTAGGTCCCAGCTCATACAAAGCCCTGCAAGCCACTGTAGGGATTTTTGCTTTTACTCTGATTGAGACGGGAAATCATTGAATAGAGTGAGAACACAATCTCACAGTGTTTTACAAAGATCACTCCAGCAGCTGTGGCTGTGCTGAAAACAGACTGGGGTAGGGCAAGGCTGGGAGAAAGTGGAGGACCCTTAAAATGCTTCAGGTGGGGGATGATGGGGGATTGGACAAACTGATGGTGGTGGAGATGTATCCACGATCAGTGCTGGGTTGGTGTGGAAGGTACCACTGATTGGATTTGCTGAAGGATTGAATAGAGAGTGTGAGAAAAATACAAGAGACCACGTTGGCTCCATGATTTTTGGCTTGAGCACCTGGAAGACTGGATTACCATTTATGAAGGTGGGGGAAGACCATGTGCGTAACTGGATTCAGTGTGTGTGTGTGTGTGTGTGTGTGTGTGTGTGTATGTGCGTGTGTGTGCATGTTAAATCTAACAAAGCCTATTAGACATTCAAGCAAAGATGTCAAGAAGGCAGCTGGCCTTGTAAGGCTGGAGTTGAGTGGGGAGGTCAGGATGGGTGGTGGGAACGTGGGAGTCAACCGTGTGTAGATAGTGCTCAGAGCTGTGGGGCAGATGAATTGCCCTGGGAATGAGCACAGGCAGTGAAGAGAAGAGGTCTAAGGGCTGAGTCCTGGGACCCACCATCGTTGAGGGCACAGGAAGAGAAAGAAATCAGAAAAGAAGGCTAATAAGAAATAGCCCTTTTCAGAATGAGCACCAGGAAAGAGGGAAGGGAGAAGAGTTTCCAGGAAAGAGGAATGCTCCCACGAGCCACATGACAACAAAGATTCTGCACGATGGAGCTTGAGAGCTGGCTGTTGGATTTGGCCACATGTAGGTCACCAGAGGCCTTGCCAGGCATTTTGTGGAGTGGGCTTGAGAGAGAATAGGAGGAGATGATGTGTAGGTGTTGAATAAAAGCAATTTTTTGAGGAGCTTGCTTTCTTCCTTTCTTTCTTTCTTTCTTTCTTGCTTGCTTGCTTTCCTTCCTGCCTTCCTGCTTTCCTTCTTTCTTTCCTTCTTCCTTCTTTCTTTCTTTCTTTCTTTTTCTTTCTTTCTTTCTTTCATTCATTCTTTCTTTCTTCTTTCTTTCTTCTTTCTTTTCTTTCTTTCTTTCTTTTTCTTTTTCTTTCTCTCTTTTTTTGATGGAGTTTTGCTCTTGTCACCCAGGCTGGAGTGCAGTGGCACTATCTCTGTTCACTTCACTACAACCTCTGCCTCCCAGGTTCAAGTGATTCTCCTGCCTCAGCCTCCTGAGTAGCTAGAACTATATGCACACACCACCATGCCCAGCTAATTTTTGTATTTTTAGTAGAGATGGGGTTTCACCATATTGGCCAAGTTGTTCCTGAACTCCTGACCTCAGGTGATCCGCTCACCTCAGCCTCCTGAAGTGCTGGGATTACAAGCGTAAGCCAGTAAGGAGTTTTCTATTAAGGGGAATAAAGATGGGGTGATAGTTGAAATAGGAAGTAGAGGGATGAAAAGTTGTTTTCATATCATTGTTATTACTTTTAAGATGAGACAGTTATGATGTGTTTGTTGGCTGGTGGGAACAATTCAGCAGAAAGTAAAAGATCTAATGATGCAGGAGAGTGAAGGGAGGATTACGGAATAATTTTTTTACAGCGAAAAATTAGAAAGAGCCTACATGCCCATCAAGAGAGGAATAGATAAATAAAATATGTTATATTCAAAGTGATGAGATTCTATACTGCTGACTCATTGCCTGGAGGAAGAAATCTCAAGAGCAAGAAGGGGTTCCAGCACTGCACTTGCTTCACTGATGCTTGTGCCAAGAACCCTTGTCCTGCAGACTTGAAAGCAGATCACACAAGGCCCAGGCCCCTGCCCCTGTGGTCTCCAGACACCTTCTGGTCTGGGGAGAGGACGGTCGTGTCTGAGGGTATCTTGGAAGATCTTCCTTCTGGTTGCCTTGGTCAAAAGAATGCAGCATGATGACGATACAAATAAAAAAAAAGTAGCTACTTATTACAGAGTGTTTTACCAACTCCTTGCCCTCCTGGGTCTTACATTCTAGGTGGACGTTAAACAACCCAATCTCACAATTACTGATTTCAGTTATGATGAATGCTGTAAAGTAGGGTATCAAAGAGGACCTAGCCCAATCTAGAAAATCAAGAAATGTGGCTGTAGCTGAAAGCAGAAGAGTGAGCATAAGTCAGCCAGGCAAAGGCAGGGGAGAGGAGGGGAGGAAGTCGGGGGAAGGAGCATTCTTAGCAGAAGGAATATCATCCTTCCCTTTATTCCACAAGTAGTTCCTGAGCATTCACTATGTCCTAGGTGCACGGATGCATGAGTGAATAAGGCACTAGCTCTTTCTTTCTTTCCTTCCTTCCTTCCTTCTTTCCTTCCTTCCTCCCTTCCTTCTTTCCTTCCTTCCTCCCTTCCTTCTTATGTTCTTGTTCTTACACATTTTTTTTTTAATGTCAAGTTTTTGGGATACAGGTGGGCTTTGGTTACATGAATGAGTTCTGTAGTGGTGAGTTCTGAGATTTTGGTGCACTTGTCACCAGAGTAGCGTACACTGTACCCAATACATAGTCTTTTATCCCTTGTCCCCCTACTACCTCCCCCACCAAGTCCCCAGAGTTCATTATATCATTCTTAGGCCTTTGTGTCCTTATAGCCTAGCTCCCACTTATAAGTGAGAACATACGCTATTTCCAGCCATTGCTTTCCTGGGGCTGCCATTCTAGTGAGAGAGAGAAGAGAAGTGGCACACAAATGGCACATGGTTTCGGTGAGTGATAAGGGTTATGAAGACAGTAAATCAGGGTAATGGTTGGGGGAGAGGAATCGATTAGTATTTTAGACAGGGTGGTTAGAAAAGGTATTGAGGGCCAGGCGTGGTGGCTACGCCTGTAATCTCAACACTTTGGGAAGCCAAGGTGGGTGGATCATGAGGTCAGGAGATCGAGACCATCCTGGCCAACATGGTGAAACCCCGTCTCTACTAAAAATACAAAAATTAGATGGGCGTGGTGGTGGGTGCCTGCAGTCCCAGCTACTTGGGAGGCTGAGGCAGGAGAATCACTTGAACCCGGGAGGCGGAGGTTGCAGTGAGCCGAGCTCTCGCCACCGCACTCCAGCCTAGTGACACAGTGAGACTTTGACTAAAAAAAAAAAAAAAAAAAAGGTAGGTGTCGTCTCACCCAAGACCTGCCTTGCAAATGTGCTGGAAGAGTGTCTCCAGCATAAGAAACTGCAAGTGCAAATGCCTTGAGGTGGGAACAAGCTTGTCATGTTCAGAAACAACTAGAAGGGCAGTGTGACTGGGCCTACGGACTAGGTGGAACAAGGTGAGATTACGGTTACAGAGACAGGCAGGGGCCAGATCATGTAGGGCTTGTAACAGCATTTTAACCTTCAGTAATTCCAGGTTTTAGCTGGGCTGCAGATTCAAATGGAATATTTCTTGGAAAAAGCCCAGGATCCCTAGGTTCTCAGGATCCTGAGAAAATGGGCTGTGGCTGGTTTGGCTTGCCTCAGCTGCAGAAGCAAAGAGGTTTTCAGTGGCCCCCTACACTTCCAGCCATATATCTTACCTTATCACTCCCGTCCATTTAGCATGAGCCATATACTCTACTCCAGAGGAGAACTCTCACTTAATTAATTTTAGATTTAAAGCAACAAGAAGTCCTTATATTAAAAATGGAGTGGGGGGAGAACAACTTGTTAATTAAAATGTCAGTTAGGGTGTTCCTGGCGAAAACTATGATTAGTGGGTGTTTCCTTTGGTTACAAGCCCTTGTGCTTCGATATTTCATATGTGAATTTAAAGAACCTTACACATGTGCCCAGCACCCAGAGACAGGCTACATTTTATGGTGGTTTCAGTGGGTCAATCTGTCTGCAAATTCCAATGTACTCCAGGTCTTCTGGGATTGCACCCCCTAACCCCACACTTCTCATCTTGGAGGGGTCCTGTCTCTCTCGTCACATGCCATGTCTGCCTGGCAGGCTCTTGCTCTCTTCTGTCTTTGGAAAACCTACCTATTCGCCCTTCAGGGATCAGTGGCATCTTTTTCAAAGCCTTACTAGATCTCTCATTCAGAAATATTTTCTCCCTCCTATGTGCCTTCAAAGATTGCCTACATCTTTGTTAGAATCTTTGTGACCAAAAAAAATTGTGAAAGGAGAAAGTTATTTATCGTTTCTCTCATCCAGCTATCTTCTAAGATGGGTGGAGTCCATGCAGGCTTCTTTGTTTGCTGTGCTGGGTGATGGGTGTGGGAAGGCTGGCCTGGAAACACTGGGGGAAGTCTATGCCCACGGTCTCTTCTTGAGCAAAGGAAGAGCCGTAGATAGGCCTGGGGGAGTGGTGGTGGTGTAGATCCGGATGAACTGCAGCCAGCATAGGAGGGAGGCTGAAGTAGGGGACGGAATCGGGAAGAGCCTGCTGATGGCTGCAGAGGAAGTGTGCGGGGCTTTGCAGAGGAAACAAGTGTTTCAGGGGGGATTTTTGTTAAGGTGTGCTATGTAAACCTCTGTTTTGTCTCCCCATGCCATCTTTAGTGAAACTTATTACTCATTAAGGCTTTGTGGAATTAGATTAAATTGTTTCCAGAAGGGTAAGTATCAAGAACTGCAAAGGATCTGAGATTCGCTTTACATGCAGGGTAAGAAGTCAGCCTGCTGTGGTGTCATGGATGCTGGCAGGGGACATGGGACTCCTGAGTAAGACACAAAGGACTTTATGACTCACAGCAATAGCAGTAGCCAGAGTGTCAGCATTTGTGCTGTTCCCCAAGCTCCAATTCCCGCAGGGTGACACAAAGAGAGCCACCTAACACCTGCAGCACAGGCTGCAAGTTTCATTACAAGAAAGGAACCCCCAGCCTCGGGAACCCAAATCTTTTATAATGAGTAAGTACGCCTGCTTGATATTTGCCCTGGAGAGAGACATTTTTATTATGTAAGACAACCAACCAAACTTCCTGTTGCTCTGGAGGGAAACTATCTCTAGTTTCCAAAACTATTTGTTATACAAACACCCTTTAAAAGATAGTCCCAAAGAAGTCAGTGCCTTTGCTTGCAAAATGTGTAGAAATGCAAGAGACCCCTGGAGAACAGTCTCCCCAGAGTAAGACCCAGTGCTGATTCCTGCTTGAAAGTTGGTGTTGGATGAGAATAGAGGATGTTTATGGGGCCTTAGTGGCACCCGGGTTATGAGCTTTTATAGTATGCTTTTAAAAGAAATTAGTTTATTTTATGCTGTATCAGTTAGCCATTGCTACATAACAAACCACCAAAGACTTAGTGCATAAAATAAAAATTATTTATTGTGGCTCATGAATCTGAGTCACCTGAAAGTTCTGCTGATTTAGGCTGGGCTGGGCTGATCTTGGCTGTGCTTTCTCACAATTGCTTCAGTCCCAGCTGGGACAACTGAGCAGGGTTGGCTCTACTCTGTGTGGTCTTCCTGGGTATGACAAAGTCCCAAGAGAATGAGCAGAAGTACCCGAGGCCTCTAAAGCCTAGGCTTGGAACTGCCACATTCTATCAGCCAAGGCAAATCACAAGACCAGCCCAGATTTAAGGCATGGAAAATAGAATCCACCTCGTATGAGAGGAATTCCAAAGTCACTTTGCAAAGGCATGTATACACGGGTTGAGGAGTAACTGGGGCCATGTTTACAATCAATATATCACATTTGTTTCTCTACTGGACTCTAAGCTCCTAGATGACAGGGATTATGTCCCATTCACATCTATTTCTTGGTGATTGGCCTGGGATAAGCATAGAGAAGACATTAATAATATCTGTCAAGTGGATGAATGTTATGCAATAGGATGAATGAATGATACACAATAAGGATTTGTTCCCTCGAACTAGACGGTCTGCTGGGGAGATTCACAGGGGGAGTTCCCTGACATCTGCTCAGATCACAGCCACCCTGTTCAATGTCATGTATGGTACTCTCAGCATCTTCTCATCCCCACTGCTGCTGCATCACTTGGGACCTCATCATGTTGCACCTGGACTTCTCTGCAGCCCTGTTACTCTCTGTCTGCCTTGACTTACTCCTCTCCAACCATCCTCCACATCAGCTCCAGGGATCTTTCTAAAATGCACCCCTGACTCTGTCACTCCTCAATTAAATCCATTTCTGACTTCCCAATGCCTAGAAAATAACATCTCAGCTATTTTGCATGACTTTCTAGGCCCTTCACCCTTGAGACTTGGATCCCACTGTTCCTTCCTGCACATCCTATGCTCGTGCCTCACCAGATCACCAGATCTTGAATGTGGAGAGGACAGGCCCCTGCACTTTGGTCCCAGCCATATCATCTGCTCATTGTGCACTTGCCCAAGTTCTCTACCTTTGCTCAAGTGTCAGCTTGGCCTTCCAGGGAGGGGTATTTTCCTACACTTTCCTCTCCTGGTTTTCTTGTGAAACCTCACCCCATCACCACAACCCACCCTAAGTACAGAGTAAAGTCTTATAGAGAGTTGATTCCCAGAATTTTTGCTGAACCCAACTGAGATTGACAGAGAGAGAGAGAGAGAGAGAGAGACAGAGAGAGAGACAGAGAGAGAGAGAGGAGAAGGGGAGGGGAGGGGAGGATAAAGGAGGAGAGGAGAGGGAAGAAATGGAGGGGAGGTAGGGGAAGGTGAGAAGGGGAGAGAGAGAACTGAGTGTAGCCAAGGCACAGACACAAAGATCCAATGCATCTTGTTCTGCCCCCCATACTCCCCAGTTTGCCCCCTGGGGCTCCTCTCCCAGCAGCCCTTTCTGGAGCAGTCCATAGTCTGTGGGCTAGAGGCTTCTCACCCTAAGGCTTCTCCTAAAAGTAGAGCCCCAGCCTCAGCCCCAGCAGCAAGGACTGTGATTGGCACTGTGGGAAGGGGTGCAGTGGGGGAGGGAGTCTCCCATTGTCTTGAGTTCTCATCATTTTAGTCTCTGTTATTAGCTTTATTTAATTTGTCACTTAATTACTATTTACTGAGTATGCTTGTAGCTAACATGTATTTATTTACTGTGCACTTTGTCTGATTTCAGTAGATTTTTTTCCTTTTCCTTTCTTTGTATCTGTATTGTTTATTCTAATAATGCATGATTAGGTAAAAAAAAAAATTTAAGACAATACGGAGAAAGTAAAAGTCCCTTGATATTTCATCCTTCAGAGATAACCACTGTTGACAGTTTGGTGTATATCCTTTCAGACTTTTAAAAAGTGCCTATATACATATATATGGATGTGACCCAAATATATCTAAGTAGCCTTTAAGGCTGCTGGTCTCTGCTCAACAGTCATCCAAAATAACCCAAATCAGACTCCAGAAGCCTGGAGAATAATATAAATCTTTATTGTTGGTTTCTTTAAAAAGGTAGTGCAGGAGCTTTTCACAGCTTTCTAAGAGTCAGCTTTAGACATCTCTCTTCCTCCCCAAAGTGTCTCGCTCATAGCAGCTGCTAACAATCTCTTCTTGCTTCCTCCCACTCATCTCTTCTTTCTTTGGGCTGTGCCCTCCTGAATTCTATTGACATGGAGCCCTAACCCCTAAGAATAGCTCTCACAAAGTGCTGTTCTTCTGTGACTGCTGTTCTTGTAAGAGTCAGCCTTCCTCAAATTTTTAAGAAAAAAATTGCTACATCTCTTTATCCACATAAATAGGATCATGTCATGCACATTATTCAGTTAACCACTCTTTTTCCAAACCCTGCTATCTCCTAGATATATTTCCATGCCTATGCATTCAAATCTAACTGTCTTACAGCCAAGACTGGGTAGTTTATAAAGAAAAGAGGTTTATTTTGGCTCGCAGTCCTGGAGGCTGGGAAGTCCAAGATCAGGCAGCCACTTCTTGTTGGCTTTTGGTGAGGGCCTCATGCTGCATCATAACATGGCAGAGGACATCACATGGCAAGAGGGGCAACAGCGTGCATGTCAGCTCAGGTCTCTATATTCCTATTCTTATGAAGCCACCAGTCCCATCATGAGGCCCCACCCAGATGATTTTATCTAATCCTAATTACCTCCCCCAAACCCCACCTTCAATCAGCATATAAATTTGGAGATTTAATTTCTGACATATGAAATTTGTGGGACACATTCAAATCATACATCTACCATTTCCTTTTAAAGTCTATTGTACAGCTCCATTGAATGGACAGTCTATAATTTATTTAACCCTTCCTTTGCTGTTGGACATTCTAGTGGTTTCAAGCTTTTACTACTAAGAACCATGCTGCTATCAACACTCTTATGTTTTTGAACTTTTATTGCTTTTCCTTCTCTTCCATCTTGACCTCTTAGCCTGCCCTAAGTTTTGTTGTTCTAGCAAATGTCTGCTGAAGTTATAGGTTTTTGGTTGTTGTTTTACCCAGCACATGCTTTCGTTGTCTTCCTTCTGGTTCCCTTGAACCAGTTCCTTCCTCACTTTATGTGATCCTGGGAGGCTGCAATGATGTCCCCTGGCATAGGCATAAACACATGGCCAAGCTGGCCAATCTATACATCCCATTCTCCTGGTTTTGGTGATAATCCAAGCAGTTTCTACTGTCCATCTCCACTGGCCCTGCCTTAGCCCCAGGCCCATCATCTCCATCCAGGCCCCCTGAAACAGCCTTCTCTCTGTTGCCTCTGCTTCTAGGGCTGCGCAGCACTCATCCATCCTCAAATGGCTGTTTGTCTTCCCTCTGTCATCTCTGTGCTTAAAAGGAACAGAGTGACTCCTTGCCTTCTATGAATGAAGTCCTATCACCTCAAACTGCCACCTGGAGACCAAGGGACCTGGCTCCTCTTTCCCTCTCCAGCTCTGTGGCTCCTTACTCTCCTTTGCACACCCCAAATTCCTCGCAGATTGTACTTCTTCCCAGCTTTTGAATATGCCCTGCATTTTACAGCTTCTATCCTTTGGACCACTTACTCTTTACTCCACAGAAGTCTCACTCCAAAACAATGTAGGTCCAAGTCCTAACTAAACTTCAAGCTCCTGGCTCCCAAACCTCCCACAGCAACAACAGGAAATAATCAATTTCATCATCCTTGGGGCTCTCTTAACACGTTGACAACCTTCTAACATTTTTGCGTTCCTCAGGGATCACTGGTTATAAAGGAGCAGAAATTCACTCAAGCCAGCTCAAATAAGGAGGGACAGTGGTTATTGTAAGAACATGGAGGTCTCACAGAAACCAAACTCAGGCAGACCTCATGGGAATTAAAACTAGGACCAGGGAAGCCACCAGGGTTTGGAGTAACCCTTTCCATCTCTCAGTGCCTTCCTGACTCTAGCTTTCCATTAATTTAAATTGGGGTGATGGCAGCTTATGTACCATACTTGCCTTCTCCCTACCACTACCCTGGAAACACTGTCATATTTATATCCCTTCTCAGGGTCTAACCTAGTGCCTGGTACATTGAAAATAAGAAAATGCAAGCTAACAATATTTTAGCACTTCCACGTGTGATACACAGGGGTTCATGTTTTCCTATTCTTCTTGTTTTATCTCCCAATACCTCCCGAGAATAGGTACCATGATTTCCCCCATTTTACAGATGAGAAAACTGAAGCAGCAATTTGCCCAAGCTGACATGGCCAGCAAGTGAAAGAACTGGGACTTGAATCCAAGCCTGTTTGAATGAATACATTAACTCATAACAGCAGTGGTCTTGAGGTCACCCACCTCAGACTCTGGCCTCTATTTCAGGAGTACAGATGCACCCCATCCTAGAGGCAGCCAGATATTTTCAGCTTGAACATCTCTAGAGTGAATCCTCCAATGATTTTATTCCTCCCCACTATGAACATCAGGCATTTCTTCCTTATCTCCAATCATAATCTTTTTTTTTTGGCTTTGATTTAAAATTTCTCTCCTTTTGTGTTTCAGTCCATTTTGTGTTGCTACAACAGACTACCCCACACTAGGTAATTTATAAAGAAAAGAGGTTTACTTTTTACAGTTCTGGAGGCCGGGAGGTCCAATATCAAGATGCTGGCATCTTGTGAGTGTCTTCTTGCTGTATCATCCCATGGTGGAAGGTGGAAGGGCAAGAGATGCCAAGAGCAAGTGAGCACAAGAGAAGGCTGAACTCACTTTTATCAAGACCCAATCCGATGATAATGGCATTCATCCATTCATGAGGGTGGAGCCTTCATGGTCTAATCACCTCTTACTGGTCCCAACTCTTAATACCATCACAATGGCAATTAAATCTCCACATGGGTTTTGGAAGGGACATTTAAACCATAGCATCTTGTCAAGCTTCCTCAGACGTGAAACCAACTCTTGATTAGCAAATAGTCAAATGCTCTTTTTGCAACAACACTATGAAGCAGACAGTTTAAATTTCCACTCAATAGATAGGAATCTAAAGGCCTAAGAAGGGAAAGCAAGCCACCTAAGGTCACATAGACCAGACATAGTGGATCCGGAACTTGAACCCAGGACATTGGACACCAAAAACCACTCCAGCCAGTCTCTCCACATCTTCCACTATGTTGAAGGCACAGTGGTTGGTCTGAGATCATGGAAGGAACAGTCTTGGCTGTTTCCAAAGAGAATAAGAATGAAGAGGAAGAAAAAGCAAGACTAGGAAAGGGATGCATGAGAGGGAAAGAGCTGTCTCTTAGGTTCAGGGTGGAGTGTGTGAGGGTGAGATGGAGAGCACAGGGACCAGCCTGGAGACTGAGGGAATGAAGAAAAAATGTAATATAAAATATCTATGCTCTTTACCATGGCCTACAAGTTGGAGATCCATACAATTATGTTGGAACAACAAGCTTCAACCAGAACTGTCCCAGGCAAACCGGGACATCTGGTCACCTGGCCTAAAGGCTCATGATCTGCTTCCTTCCTACCTCTCTGACCCTTTCTCCATTCTCTCTACCCCTCATTTATTAAGCCCAAGCCATACTGCTCCTCTGTGAAATTTCCAGGGTGTTGACACTCCAGGACCTTTGTACTTCCCTCTGCCTGAAATGCTCTTCTCCCCGCCCTTCACACAGCAGCTTCTCTTGTTTTAGAGGCCTCAGATGTCATCTTTCAAGAGAGACTTTCCTGATCTCCTCGTATAAGGTAAACCCTTACCTCCAGTCACTCTGTTCTGGTTGTCTACTGCTGCATAACAAATAAACCCAAAATTTTGTGTCTTAAAACAACAATCATTTTATTATCTCTTACAGTTTCTGTGGGTCAAAGACTTGGGAAGCGCCCATTAGGCTGATCTGGCTTAGGCTCTCTCAATGCAGCTATATTCATGGTATCTAGAGATGGAATAGTGAAGGGCTAGAGGAGCTAGAGGCTGGCTGGTCATCCCGTTCTCTCTGTGTATGTAGTCCAAGGGCCTTTCCATGTGGTCCCTTGGAGAAGACTAATTTGGTCTTCCTTACAATATGGCAACCTCAGGACAGTTGGCTGGCTCTCATGACACTCAGAGCTCCAAGGCAAATGTTTTACCACACAAGGCAGAAGCATCATCATCTTTTATGACCAACTTCAGAAGTTATACAGCTTCCTTTCTGCCATATCCTTTTGATTGCAAGTCACAAGCCTTCCCAGACTCAAGGGGAGGAAATTAATTAGACTCTAATTCTTCATTTCTTTATGGGGGCCTTAATTATGTCTTTTAAACTTTATGTTTGTCATCTGTACTTTCTCCTCCAGCCTCACCCTACTAGAAAATAAAATCCATGGAGAGAAAGACTTATTTTGGTCTGTTTCACCTCTGTATTTCTAATGCTTGCCTTATAGAAGGCACATAAAAATTCCATTGAAATGATGAATGAGATGTTCTGCGGTATATGTGATGCCTGAGATGGCCTTTCAGCTGCCTGCAGCTCCAGTTTTTGAGCAGTTTCTCAAAAATCATCATTGGAAACTCTGAGAGATATTGTCAGGTTTGTTTTGTAGGGTGAGGTCCCTGGCTTCATTAGGCTGAGTGTCCTGGACTCTGGGTTCCACTGTCCTTCAGCTGCCCCTGGCACCAGAGCACACACAGAGCAAGAATTCCTCCTTCACATGTGATGCCCTTTGAGGGACTTTGCCTTGGTCTGCAGACCCTTCCTGTCTATGAAAGACATGTCATTTCTTCAGGAATCTTTATTCAGGAGGAAGTGCCCACCTACGCTGGGCTCCTAGCCCTTCTGTGAAATAATTCTTGCTGGGCTTTTGGGTCTCAAAGAAAATTTTTCTAAAGCTTTTCCATAAGCTATGAATCCCACCTCAAAGTAATTAAAAAATACTTATCAATGGGCGTCTTAGAATTCTCCAGAAAAACATAACAAACATGGTGTGTGTGTGCAATGTGTGTGTGTGTAGAGACAGACAAAGAGTTATTTTAAGGAGGTGGCTCATGTGACTGTGGATTATATATTCAAAATATGCAAGGGAGGCTGGCAGGCTGGAGACCCAGGAAAGAGTTGCAGTTCCCCCAAAGGCGATCTGCTGGCCAAATTTCTTCTTGCTCATAGAGGTCAGTTTTTGTTTTACTGAGACCTTCAACTCATTGGATGAGGCCCACTCACATTATGAAGGGCAATCTGCTTTACTCAACATCCACCAATTTAAATGTTGATCAGTGCTCTTCCATCTGCCTAGAGTGTCCACAGACTAATCACCTGGTGGTGAAAATTTACAGGCTTGGGCTTCTGTGTGAGGACCCCATATTAGTACATTCTCGTACTGCTATAAAGAAATACTTGAGACTGTGTAATTTGTAAAGAAAAGAGGCTTAACTGGTTCACAGTTCTGTACAGGAAGCATAGCAGCGTCTGCTCGTCTTCAGGGAAGGCCTCAGAAACTTACAATCATGGCAGAAGGCAAAGGGGACACAGGCACCTCTTAGGTGGCTGGAGCAGGAGGAAGGGGGTGGGGAGGTGCTACACACTTTTAAACAACCGAACTCCTGACAACTCTATCACAAGAACAGCACTAGGGGGATGGTGTTGACTCATGAGAAACCACCGCCAGGATCCAATCACCTCCCACCAGGCCCCACCTCCAACACTGGGAATTGTAATTCGACATGAGATTTGGGCAGGAGCACACAGCCAAACCATACCAGCCCCCGTTCCCCCACAGCCACTCTTGCCACAGGCAGCTCTGACCAATGCACATGGTTCCAAGAGTTGGCCTTTTACAGAATTTTTTCCTATGTCTATCCCTCAAATCAGCACCCAACACTGCAGAGTCATGACTCTGGGGATGAGCTCTCTGCTACCTTCACAGAGCAGGAGACCTTAACCCCAGAGCCGGAGACCACGGAAGAGAAGCAGCTTCCCCTGAAATCATAGGCAGGATTTGAGCGTGACAGGATGTGCAGTTTTCTAGGGAGAGGGGCCACAGTTTTCATCAGATTCTGAAGTGGGTCTATGAACCCCAAACACACCACAAGGCAACATGTCATCCCTTCAGTCCTTGGCCCTCATTGATCTTGTTTTCTGGTTATTTATCCAAAAAGTTCAGACAATCATGTGACCTGGTGGTGCCATGATGAACCAAATGCCGCCTCATCTTAGTTGGGAGAGGCTCCTGTCTGCTGTTTTTTGAGAAATGTAATTGTCTAGAAGATCCAGAGCGTTTCTTCTGAGTAGCTCTGCCACTCAGACCCACATACGTTATGTGGGGGCTTATACATGGAGGCCCTGGGAGGGAGGCATGGCCCGACTCCACTCCAGATGCTCACAGTCCCCCTGGTCGTGCCCTCTATTAGAGCACCCCTTGGCCTTTCTCCTGGAATTGGAAAGGATCAGGATGAAGGCTGAAGCTTAGATTTTTGAGCAGAGGTAATTTCAGAAGGTGGAATCATAGCTTAAGAAACTCTCTGGGGATTTTTCCTGATGCAAAGCTAACAAGACATTGTGATAATTTCTCTGGAGCTGGCCTCATTCCAAGTTGGATTTTAAACGCAGATTATAAAGCAAACACCATCCCCCACAAGTATTAAAGGAGGGGAAAATAACAGAACGGGGGCTGCAAAAATGGTCTCTATTGTGGGACCAAAAGCCGTCAATCATGTAGGCTGACAGGCGTCAGAGATTGACAGACAGGCCCTCGCTCCTGACTTCAGTTATCAAGGGGAATGGGAAAAGTGTCTGCAAGAACATGTTAAATTGCCAAAGTCATTACCAGTCACCAATTACCAAAGAAAAGATAACAAGGTGTATTTTAGAAAAATCGATGCAACAACATGCATTTCAATACAGTGAATTTTTTAGAACTTTCAAAAACGAAACGAACTATTTAGGGAATACACAATGGTTTTCAGTGAATACCAAACACTGGGCTTTGTAAAGTCATCAATATTCACTTTAGATTTGGCTCTGCTTTAGGGGAGCAGAGATCAAGCAGTAAACTAATATACTTCATTTTTTCCCCCTGCAGTTCCACCCAAAGGACAAAATGATAACTGGAGGACCAGCTGGTTTTCCTGTAAACTTCTTCAAAGAAAGACCCAGCTGGTCACTGAGGGCACCTTCTGGGGCCCTGGGCATGGACAGGGCACAGGTCAAGTAGGTGATGGTGTGATGATGAGAGGGGTGCATTTGTCCCAGGAGGTCCTTCCACACGACCCAGCACAACTTCCTAATCATCTCCTCTGCGCCCTCCCCTGGGCTGGCCCCTGGGGATGGAGACATTGAAGGACACAGTGCCTGCCCTATTGGGCCCTGAAGTCTGGGGTGGCAAAAGGAGGCGCATGAAGCCAACAGATTATAGGACAATGCAGACTCATAATAGTTACCAACAAGAATGAATGATGTGCAACAGGAATGGGAGAGTCTGCTGCAGCCTGGAAGCATCAGAGGAGGCCAGAGAGAGAAGGGAGCATGGCAGCCCATTCTTCAAAAATGAGGACATCTTTCGCTGGAGATGCAAACGCCTGAAAAGGAGGATGGTGCAACTTCGAAGTGGGAGAGTGCAGGGAGATGACAATGATAGGACAGGAGTGAGCTCTACTATGGTAAGCCTTAAATGACAGGCTGGGATGTTGGCCATCTTGTGGGCCATGGGAAGCCATTGAAAGTTCTTGAGCAGGGTTGTGAAACAGCCAGAGTTAGGCAATGGGAAGCCAGCTCTGGCAACAATGCAGTGCATGGACAGAAGGATGAAACTTTGGAGGGCTGTTGGAGCACATCCTGTGGAAGGGGCTGAAGTCCTGCACTTGGGTGGAGCATGGGGAAGTCCCAGTGGGCTGCTATCATACTGCATCCATGAGGCTCTCCCTGGTCTCTGCCTTCTGATCTTCTGCTCAGATACCATGTCTTCATGCTGCCTCTCTCATCTACTGTTAGAACAGTTCCCTCCTTCTTGCAGCCTCCAAGGCTCTCTATTGAACGGCCCGTGTGATATGAGCTGCACTCAGTTGCCCCAGTAGTCCAGGTCAGCAACCTTGCAACCTTCTGCAAGGTTGCAATTCTGCAAGGACAGCAACCTTGTCACATGCCTCTCTGGGTTCCTTCAGCACACAGTGCAGCTCCCCTCCCAACAGAGAGAAAAGGATTGATATGGTTTGGCTATGTGTCCCCACCCAAATCTCATCTTGTGCTCCCATGATTCCCACATGTTGTGGGAGGGACCCGGTGAGAGATGATTGAATTATAAGGGTGGGTCTTCCCCCATGCTGTTCTCAGGATAGTGAATGGTTCTCACAAGATCTGATGGTTTTCTTTTTTCTTTTTCTTTTTTTTGAGATGGCGTTTCAGTCTTTTTGCCCAGGCTGGAGTGCAATGGTGCGATCTCGGCTCACTGAAACCTCTGCCTCCCGGGTTCAACCGATTCTCCTTCCTCAGCCTCCCAAGTAGCTGGGATTACAGACATGTGCCACATGCCCAGCTAACTTTGTAAATATTTTTAGTAGAGACGGGGTTTCTCGTAGAGACGGGGCTTCTCCACGTTCGTCAGGCTGGTCTCGAGCTCCCGACCTCAGGTGATCTGCCTGCCTTGGCCTCCCAAAATGCTGGGATTACAAGCGTGAGCCACTGCACCCGGTCAGATCTGATGGTTTTAAAAACAGGAGTTGCCCTGCACAAGCTGTCTCTTTGCCTGCTGCCATCCATGTAAAAGGTGACTTCCTCCTCCTTGTCTTCTGCCATGATTGTGAGGCCTCCTCAGCCAGGTAGAACTGTAAGTCCAATAAACCTCTTTCTTTTGTAAATTACCCAGTCTCAGGTATATCTTTATCAGCAACATGAAAACGGATTAATACAAGGATAAACAGCAAAACCCTGAGTGGGGCAAGCATTTCATGGTAGTGCTCAAGAAATACCAGAACTGTCACGCATTTGCCCAGTGGACCACTCATTTTCAGCTTGGATCCAAGTTGCCAGAAGGATCTAATGTGATTGGATAAAAGAAGGCTTAGAAACCCTTCCTAGTTCTGCAGTATGACCAGGATTTTGAGGCTAAGAGTGCTTAGAAAGAAAGAAAGGGGTTCTGGGCCTCAAAAAGGGAAAGTAATAGGCATGAGGTGGAGACATTTGTCATCAGCATTAGAGGAAAGCAAGCCCTTTTCCATATGATTGGTAGGTGGCATGACCATATCATCAATTGTTCAAACAGGGACACGTTTGAGGGTGAAAGGGGCATCGTGTATAGTTTCTACATGATGGCAGGCTTTAATTGGGATGGTCCCTGAGAAAGTGTAATGTGTGGTCACCATAATGATAGACACTGCTGCTGACTCATCTCCCTGCTCCCCACCATGACCTCCTTATATTTTGTAGGTGATGGGAATATCCACTCTTGACCTTTCCCCATCCCTCATATGCTCCTCCCTCTCCCTAGGACTTAACTGGCAGGCGAATTTGGAACGAGGATGGAGTATGGCTCAGCCTCTTTTAGTTCTCTCTGTCTTTTGGGGCAGCTGTCCTCAGCATTCAGGCATTCTCTCTTCTTCCACGTAGTCTACTTAAGGGGAATGTCTGTCTTTGTGGAAAAGGCCAAGGTTGTCTAGTTGGACAGTGCTTGGGTGGAGAGAGAACTGTTAGGGAGCCTGGCGTGACCACTGACCTAAACCTTTAATTAGCCTCAGTGAAGACGGACCTGATAGTTTCAGTTCTGTCTGATTCCAGTATCTCCTTTTCAGTTGATTCTATACTCAGAGCAGAGTGTGGCTATCATTCCCCCAAACCCAAAATCATCCTAAGCAGAGGCTGGGAATTTTCAGAGTTAAAAAGCCTGTCTACAATGAAGTGGTGTACCAGCACAGGCCAGCATGAGGCCAGGACTGAGAACACACCAGTAGAACTTGAGAAACACAAGAAAAAGAAAAATCTGGGCTGATTTATCCATGTGTGTGTATCTGGATGTGAGTTTTCACCAGTTTGTTTTGGGAAGGATATGGAAATTAATGATCAGAACTCCACAATACATATATATTTTAAAAATAAATTTCATTTCATTGAGGTCATAAATTACATGCCATAAAAGGAACCAATTTGAGTTTTGACGAATGTATACACCTTTGTAACTACCACATCAATCAACATATAGAGCATTTCCATCTCTCCAAAAAGTGTCCTGTGCCCCTTCTCTGCTCCTTCCCCCAAAATTTCCCCCTCCAGGGAACCGCTGATGTGATTTCCATCATTATAGGTTAATTTAATCTGTTCCAGAACTACATGCACATGGATTTATACAGTATGTTTTATCTTTTATCTGATTCATCTGTGTTGTACCATGTATTGGTAGTTCTTTTTTCACTGCTGAATGGTGTTCCATTGCATGAGTGTATCACAATTTATCCATGCACTCGTTGATGAACATCTGACGGGTTTCCTGTTTTAAGCTATTTTGAATAAAGCTGCTATAAACATTTGTGTACAAGCCTTTCTGTGGCCATATGTTTTTCTTGGATAAATACCTAGGTATTGCTAGGTCATACAATAACTGTATGTTTTTCTGTGGACGGTGGTACATGCATGTAATCCCAGCTATTCAGGAGGCTGAGGCAAGGAGGATTGCTTGAGCCCAGGAATTTGAGGCTGTAGTGAGCTGTGATCACGCAATTGCACTCTAGCCTGGGCAACAGAGCAAGATCCTGTCACTAAAAATTTTTTTAAGTGTATGTTTAAATTCATTAAAAAAAACTGCACAACTATTTATAAAGTAACATTGTACACCCTCCACCAGAAATTGTGTGAGTTCCAGTTCCTCAACATACTCACTAACATTTGGTATTGTCTATTTTAAAAAATTTAAGTCATTGTAGTGGGTATGAGCACTACTACTTCATTGAGGTTTTAATTTGCATTTCCTTGGTGACTAATGATGTTAAACGTCTTTTAATGGTCTTATTGGCCATGTGTATATCTTCTTTTGTGAAATGTCTGATCAAACATTTCACCCGTTTTTAAATTGGTTTGTTTGTCTTAGGTTGTAAGAGCTCTTTAAATATTCTGGATCAAAGTCCTTTGTACTTTTGTGTTTTGTTTTGTAGTTTATAGTTTTAGGTTATATGTTTAGGTCTATGGTCCATTCAAGTTAATTTTTCTGTATGGTGTGAGGTAGGTGTCAAGGTTTATTTTTTTCCCATAAGGATACCCAGTTGTTCCATCACCATTTGTTGGAAAGGCTATCCTTTTCCCTACTGAATCATTCTGCACATTCATCAAATATCAACTGAACATATATGTATAGGTCTATTTCTTGACTCTGTTCTGTTCCATTGACTTAGCTGTATATCCTTATATGAATACCACATTGTCTGAATACCACCATTAACTTTACAATAAGTCTTAAAATCAGCTAGAGTAAGTCCTCCAGCTTTAGAATACCATACTATATATCATTTGTGATTGTTGGAAACAAATGTGCTTGAATTAAATGTATAATAAATTGTATACATTATCCTTTCTTGGTGTGGGTTGTTCAATCACTCTCAATCAATACATTTGTGGTCTTCAGAGAATCCTGAGTTAAAGTACTCATTTGGGTTTTGCAATAAATAAAGATCTGGACTGGTGGAGTCCTTGCCATAGCGATCATGATTCTGGTTGCAACCCAGACAACTAACCTCCCTTACAGGACGTTGCTCTTTAATAAAGTGAGTTCCTGTCTGGGTTTGCTCCTCCTGCCACTGGCACATACAAGGCATCAACACATCTGCTGTCTGGTTTCTCCAGCTGTGGTGTGATGGAAAGAATTCTAGACCAGCTAGTTGCAGAGTGCCCTTCTCTGACCTTCACCATAGAGCTGCTTGTGATTTTCACAAATGGCTTGAAAAGGCCTAAATTAAAGAGCCACGTTCAGGGCTCGCAGAAGGCCCAACTGCTGGGTTGGTCCAACCTTCAGTGAATCTGAGGGTTCCCAGCCAAGAGCCCCCCTCAGGTGGGGTCTGCCACCCACCCAGAAATGAGACACATCCTAAATCCTCATCAGAGCCTGAACCTGAGTCAGGCATTAGCTGGAAACCCAAACAGTATCATTCCATTCTAAAGGGACTCTTTTCCCAAACTGCAATTTGACTTCAACACTCCCGTAATTCTTGTTTCCCTGTAGCCAGTGTGTTTAGCTTAGCTTTCAACTTGTTCTGCAGTGTACATCGGGAATCAAAAGATCTGGGTTCAGGTTCTGGCTCTGACACCTACTAATAGAGTGACCTTGGGTAAAACACTTTACATTTCTGAGAGTCTAGTTTTCACCTTATGGAATAAAGATTCTAACATCTTCCTCACAGAGCTACTGTATGTGTATGGAAGTGTTTTATCAATATAAATCACAGTGCAATAATCCATATAAAGGATGATTATTATTATTTCTCCTTTTAGACAAAATATAGCTAACAGAGAGCATGAGGAACGTCAGTGGTTCCTATAGGGGAAAAGGTGTGTGTATTAGTTTGCTATGGCTGCTGTAACAAACTACCACAAACTTGGCTTGAAACAACGAAAGTGTAGGATCTCACAATTCTGGAAGCAAGAAGTCCGAAATCAGTTTCACTGGGCTGAAGTCAAGGTGTAGGCAGGATCATGCTTCCTTCTGAGGCTCCAGGGTAGAATCTACTCCTGTTCTCTTCCAGGCGCTTGTGGCTGCCTGCCTTCCTTGAGCTTGTGGCCTTATCGCACTTCTGCTTCCATCTTACTATCACCTTCCCTTCTTCTGTGTCTACTTTTCCTCTGCCTCTTTCCCAAAAGGATATTTGTGACAGCATTTAGAGCCCATCTGGATAATCTATTATAATTGCTTCATCTCAAGATCCTTCACTTAATCACATCTGCAAAAACACACAGGTTTATCATATCGGTGGCATTCACAGTTCAAGGATGAGGCTCTGATATTTTTGGAGGTCATTTATCCTGCTATTGTGTGTGTCTGTGTGTGCGTGCATGCACATATGTGTGTTGATGGGTGTGATACAGAACAGGAAAGAAAAGCACATCCCCTTTAATTCAGTCTAAATGTCCCTTGTGAAAGTTTGCCTCTGAAGTCTTCCCTACACCTCCTGTGGAAGAATAGCCTTTTTATAGATTCCTAGAACATCAGAGTTGCCTGGGCTTTTATGATTCCCCTAACCCAGGGGTTAGCTAACTACAGTCCCATGGGCCAAATCTGGTTCCTGCCTGTCTTGCCAAGTTGTATAGTTTTGACAGAGACCGTTTGACTAACAAAGCCTAAAATAGTTATGATCTGGCCCTTCAGAAAAAGTGTGCTGTCTGTAGGCCTAGACCAATGCCTCCACCATACAGATGGGGAAACTGAGGCCCAGGGGTGCAGGTGACCTGCTCAAGCTCTCACAATGACTTGGGAATGGATTTCAGAACTGTGAGTCCAGTGCTCTTGCCCAACATGGACCTTTCCCAGGGTTCTCCTCTGCCAGAACTTGCCCTTCTTTGGGCATGTGGATGACTGGAGCCCAGTGCCTGTCAGATTCCAGCAGGTGTCAGCCTCCTCTCTGGAAAACCTGTTAGCAGGGGCTGCAAGCAGACACTGGAGGTTCAAGCAGATGCTGGATCACTTCTCAGTGAGTATCTGCTGTGCCTGACATAGTGCCTGCTGAATAAGTGAATGGGTAATGGGATGAATAAATGATGTAGTCCAGGTGGTTTGAGGGACCTGCGCTGACATGGGCTGACCAGCCTTTAGAGAACACAGGAAGTCTCAAGCTGGTGCAGTGGAGAGGATCACAGAGACAGTCCCAGCATTCAAATCTCTGGCCTGAGGCTATTATGGGGGCATAACCCCCAACTCACCACCTCCCAGGAGGCCACAGGAAAACTTGGAGTTTGCAGAAGCAGCTGAGCTGGTGAAGTCCACTGGCAACTCTCAGAGAGGTGGGGAGGGACTGTGGGGCCTTTAATGATGACTAATTTACAGCCTATTAATGCGGTGGTAATTAAGAATATTCATTTTATTAAAAGCCGTTTACTGTAATAGTGCATGCAAATCTGGAGAGTGGCATTGTGCTCACGTACCAATCAACATAGGTCTATTGTGGCTCTGTGGATGGCAGGTCGCTGCGTCACTAATTGTTAAGAGTTTAGGGTCTAATTTTAAACCCTTTTAATTCCATTTGAAATAATTGCCCTAATGAAATTCAAAGTACTCAGAGGCAGCCATGGAAAAAGTGGATGGTGCCCCCGCCTCGAGCCCCCAGGGAGCTGGGCTTTGAGAGCCGTGGCAGGGGCTGAGCTTGTCCTGGGGCTACGCTGGCTGCTCTCTTCCCATAAGAGGAAGCCAGCCCCAGTGAAGGGTGGGAAGCTTCCTCCAGGGCCAGGCCCCTGTCTGCAGTGCTAACAGCAGCTGAGGCTGAGGAGGAGTCAGTCTGGGTGGAGAGGGACCACAGGAAGAGGATGCTGTCTAAGTCATTTCTGTAAGCCACACAGGGATAGAATCTACAGAGAGGAGAGGGGAGCCCCTGTCCAAAGACCAATGTTTTTAGCTCCAATGGCATTGTGGCCTTAATTGGCAGAGCAGCTGAACTCAGGGATCAATATAACAAAACTCTTTCTGATGGCTTCCTGCATGCCAGGTGCTCTCCCAAGCATTATCTCACTTAATCCTCACAGCCTCACAGCACCCTTAGAGGTGGATTGCATGATTTCTCCATTTTACCAATGAAGGAACTGAGGCTGAGAGAGGACCAGTATCTTTTCAAAAGTCAGACAGGTTAAGTGGCAGAGCCAGACTTGAGCCAAGGCTTTTCCATCTGTCTTCTCAGAGTTTATCTGTCCAGTCTACAACATTCTGTAGAGGTGGGTCTGAAGTCAGCCTTGAGCAACTCAGGTGCAATGCTCATTCCTTTATGCCAGTGGTTCTGAGCCTGACTGGAGACCACAATCACCTGGGAGGCTTTGTAAGAACAGATTCCTGAGCCTCACTCCAGATTCATGGAATCAGGATCTTTAGGGACTAGGGCCTGAGAATCATTATCTATTACATGCTGCCCATGTGATTCTGATGGGGCTAGTCCATGGATTGGCTTGGGAACTCTTGCCACAGGCTGGTCTCTATTTTTTGTCCCCAGTGCCATGTTATATTAGTTCATTCTCTTGCTGCTAATAAAGACATACCTGAGACTGCATAATTTATAAAGGAAAGAGGTTCAATTGACTCACAACTCCACATGGCTGGGGAAGCCTCACAATCATGGCAGAAGGTAAAGGAGGAGCAAAGGCACATTTTACATGGAGGCAGGCAGAAAAGCATGTACAGGGAAACTGCTCTTAATAAAACCATCAGATCTCATGAGATGTATTCACTATCACCAAAACAGCACGGGAAAAACCTGCTCCCATGATTTAATTACCTTCCACTGGGTCCCTCTCATGACACATGGGGATTATGGAAGCTACAATTCAAGATGAGATTTGGGTGGGGACACAGCCAAACCATATCATAAATCTAGTCCATGGCGTGTAAAAGGTGCTAAGAGCCTGTTGAATGCAGCTCATCATCAGAGGTCTACATCTTCTGCTGAGTGCTAGTGTAGCTTAATGAACAAAGTGTTCTGGAAGCAGAATCATGAGAAACTATCTTGAATGAAAGCAGAGGTGAGTCTATTGAAGCCACCAGAGAAATAACTTTTGCTCAAAGGGTAAGTAGGATCTTGGCAGGCGGGAGAGCAGAGGAAGAGCATAAGAGAGAAAGGGAACAGTAGCATGAGCAAAGACTCAGAAGCTTGAAAGTCTGGCATCTGGCACACAGACCCTAAGATGATCCCTATGATCCCTGCCTTCTGGTGTTCATGCCTGAGTGTGAGTGGGACCTGTGACTTGTTTCTGACCAATAAATTATGGCAAAGATGATATGCCACTTCTGTGATGACATTACTTTCCAAAGACTCCATCTTGCTAGCAGTCTTGCTCTCGCTCTCTCCCACTGGCTTTGAAAAGGCAAGCATCTGTGTTGTGCACTGTCTGTAAAGAGACCCACGTGGCAAAGAACTGTAGGTGGTTTGTAGGAGTTGAGAGCCTCAGCCCTTCAGCTTCAAGGAACTGATGTCTGCCAACAGACTGGGTGAGCCTTAGAGAGGACCCTTCCCTACTCCAACCTCAAGATGAGAATGCAGCACAGCCAACACCTTGGTTGCAGCCTGTTGAGACCTTGAGGCAGAGAACCCAGCTAAGCCAGGCCTGGACTCTTGACCTACAGAAACTGAGATAATAAACTATGCTTTTCTTGTTTGTTTTCTGTTTTTGTAGGGACAGGGTCTCACTATGTTACCCAGGCTGATCTCGAACTTCTGGGCTCAAGCAATCCTCCTACCTCGGCCTCCCAAAGTGCTGGGATTACAGATGTGAGCCACTGTGCCCAGCTGTATGTTGTTTGAAGTTGCTAAATTTGTGGCCATTTGTTACTTAGCAATAAAAAATGAATACAACATTTGGGCTCAGAAAATGTCCCCAGATGTGGTGTGTTGACATGCTAAAAGGAAGAAGCAGCCTCAGGGTTTCTCTTTGACCTTCTGCTGCCTCCCTGTCTCTCTGATTCTCTTTTTTTCCTCAAAGAACTAGGAGAGGGCTTTCTCTGGAAGTTCCCTTATCTGACTAAGAAAACTTCTTCCAAAATAAATGTAATTGTCTTAAAACTCTCTTCTTAGGGCTCTCATTAAATAACCAGGAAAGGTTAACCACCAGAGAAGAGAAGAGACTGGGAGTTGTCACCATGCTCAGACAGACTTTTCATCTATTTTTCTGAGGGCCATGCTGAGAGATTACCTGGGAGACTGTATCTGCATAATAAGACAACCTTTGTTCACAATGCAGCTCTTCCCCTCACCTTTCTGTAACTAGTCCACAAGCTATTATTTGTCCTTTAGTCTCATTCAGCATCCAAAGAGAATCATTTACAAACCATTGTCTGGTTTTCAGTTTCATTCCTTTACAACATCCTTCCATTTCCATCCCCTCAATGAAGAGGGTATATACACATCAACCATCTGGCCCTTTTCTAGAGTTTTCATATTTGTGCATATGACTTTTGTGCCTATGTATGCATGTAATACATTTGTTATACTTTCTCTTATTAACCTGCCTTTTGTTACAGGGGTGTCAGTCATGATTCTTTATGATAAGAAGGCAAAAAAATCACTGCCTTTCTTTCCCTACAAGCATCTACAAAGAATGGCAAGAAAAGCAGAGTAGCTAGGATGGTCTTCAATCTTTTTGCTTATCTAACACATCTCTCATCAGAAACTGTGGCTGTTGATAGCAATATAGAAAGTTAGGCTGCAAAGAGAGATAGGGCCTTCAACATGAGCGGCCTTACGAATCATGTAAATAAGCATGGGCTTTCTCCCACAAGATATAAGAGGGATGGAGTTTCAGGATGGGGTGACATGGTTAGATCTGTATTAAAGAAAGATTACTTTGGTGCCCCAGAGCCTAGGATGGGTTAGAGGCAGGGAGACCTGGCAGGCCATTGCAATAAATAGTTCAGGCAAGAGATAGTAAAAGCTTGAACCAAGGGAGAAGCATTGAAGATAAAGAGAAAGGTAACTTGCATTTTGGAGGAAAAGGGGGACCACTGAATAAGATCATATTTCTTCCACTCTCAAAGATTTTCAGGAAAAAAAATATTCTCGCTAATGCCCTCCTTGTGTCCAATACTCTAACAAGGCTGACTTCATTGACTTGGTTTCAAAGATCACCTTATTAGTGATATTGTTATGAAGTGTTTGGGGGTTTCCTTCTTCCCACAAGCACATTGCATGGTATTCTTGCTTTCTTGGGGGCAGCTGTGACTGTTTTCGTTTTATAGAGTCCCAGAGAATGAGGTGAAATCACTCCCATAACATCTTTCTGATCAAATGCCACTTATTATGTCATCTGTCACCTCCCAAGGGATTTAGCATTTCTCCTCTTCTGCAGAGAAGCTATTTAGACCTTAATAAGATCTTGCAGAATGAGTGGTGAGTGCAAAGGCAGAAATCTTGACCCTTCACCATCCATCCATTCTTTCAACATTTTTGACACTAGGTATAAGGAATACCAGAGTTAAGTAAGAAATAACCTTATCCTCAAGGCATTCACAATCTACTGAGAAAGACAGATGAGTAAAGGAAAAATTGCAGCAAAGATTCCTATATTAGAGGCTTAGATTGAATGGTCTGGGATTCCTGAGAAAAAGACTGATATATCGCTCAAGTTGAGAGATTGTCCAAGCAGAGGGTTCAGCTAATGCAAATGCATAGGGACATGAAAAGACACAATACCTCTGGAAATAAACAAACATAGCACAGGATTCAAAGGAGGAAGGGAAGGAGAGTAGTGGGCCTGAGGTAGGAGAACTCAGCATGGTCCAGATCATATAGGGCATTGTGTGTCTAAGAGGCTTGGACCATATTTTGTAGGCAGGGAGACTCACTAAAGAAGAGTAAGCGGGGGAGAAACATGGTCATAGTTTCATCCTAAAAAGTTTATTTTTGTGTGTTGTGATCTTACCTTACTAACTGGGTACTGCTTTGGGTGCTCCTTCTCAGTGAATGAGGCCAAAACTATGAGAGTAATCCAAAACATACTTCTTCCTCCAATCACCAGGCCCTGTCTATGTTACCTCCTTGATATCTCTTAACGTTGTTCACTTCTCTTCCATTCCACTGATGAAGTCTAATTTGTTAGCTTTTATGATTAGTGCTTTCCCCTCTCCTGCTTTGTTGAGGTATAGTTGACAAGTAAAATGATTTGTGTTTTTTATATGCTAAAAAATATTTGCTTACTCCAGTGTTACAAAGATTCTCTCCTGTTTTCTTCTAGATGCTTTATAATTTTAGCTATTACATTTAGATCTATTATTCATTCAAATTAATTTTTGTGCATGGTGTTAGGTAGGAGTTGAAGTTCATCTTTTATCACGTTTATTCTAGCACCATTTGTTGAGAAGACTTTCATTTCCATATTGAATTGCCTTGGTGCTTTTGGTAAAATTCAAATAACTGTATATGTATAGGTATATCTTTCGACTCTATTCTCTTCCATTGACCTAATTGTCTATCCTTATCACCACCCTACACTATCTTGATTACTCTAGTTTTTCAAGCTTTTTATGTCTTAAAATAAGGTAATAACCTCCAACTATGTTCTTTATTTTGATATTATTTGGGCTATTCTAAATCCTTTGCAATATCATACATATATAGTAGAAACAACTTGTCAATTTCATTTTAAAAATCAGCCTATTGAACTTATTATTGGGATTGCATAGTATCTATAGATATTTGGGGGAAAATGGATATTGTAACATTGTAACATTGAGACTTCTAATCCATAAACATGGTACATTTTTTCATTTATTTAGGTCTTCTTTAATTTCTTTAATATTTTGTGATTTTTAAATGTAAAGGTCTTGTACATATTACATTAAATTTATTCCTGAATATTTTATACTTTTATGCTATTATGAATGAAATTTTCTAATTGTTTATCACAAGTAGATACAAATAAAATTGCTTTGTGTATATGGACCTCACATACTAGTGATCTTGCTAAATTAATGCATTAGTTTGCATAGTCTTAAGATTTTATTTCTTAAAACGTTTCTACATAAATAGTCATATCATTGCTGAATAAAGGCAGCTTTAATTCTTTTCCAATATTTATTTCTTTTTCTTCCTTATCGTACTGGCTACAATTTCCAGTGCAATGTTGCATAGAAGTGGTGAGAGCAAACATCTTCGCCTTGTTCTCAGCATGAAGTGGAAAGTGTTCAGTATTTCACCTACTAAATAGGATGTTCACTGTAGGTTGGAGTAGTTGCTGTTGTCATTACTGTTGGTGTTGTTTATGCACCAACAGGACCAGTCGGCTCTTATGTACCAGTCTGCTCTTCATCAGTCTGAGGAAGTTTTCTGTGAGCTGAATGTATGCTGAGTTTCTCAAATGATTTTTCTCCCTTATTTTCGCAATGTGGTAAATTACATTGATTTTCAAATGTTAAATCAACCTTGCATTCCTGGGATAAAACTCACTTGGTTATGATGCAGTATCTTTTTACATATTTCCAGATTCGATTTATAATATTTCATTAAGGATTTTTGAACCCATATCTAGGAAAAATATTAGTATACGACTCTTTTTAATTGTCTGGTTTTGGTATTGAGTTTTGCTGGCTTTATAAAAATTAGTTGGGGGTTGTTTTATCTCTCACTATTTTCTGAAAGAATTTGTGTGAGATTGAGGTTATTTATCTGTAAGTTTAATAGAACTTACCAGTGAAATATTTTTTACGGAAAAGTTTTTTATTACAAATTCAAATTTGTAATCCAGTATTCTAATCCAATATTGTATATAACCCAGGCTTAATCCAATATTCTATTTCTTCTTGTGTCAGTTTTGGAAAGTTGTGTTTGCATGTGTGTGTTTTTAAGGAATTTGTCAATTTCATCTGAGTTGTCAAATTTATTGGCAAAATATTGCCTTATTTTTATTTCAATATCTGTAACATCTGTGATTTCTCTTTTATCCTTAATAGCGTGTGTTCTCTCTCTCTCTCTCTCATCAGTCTTGCCAGGGGTTTTTCAATCTTTTCAAAGAACGAAATTTTGTTAATTCTCTCTCTTCTTTGCCTTTTTCTTTCATTTATTTCTGCTCTTGTCTTTACTATTTCCTTTCTTTTACTTAATTTTCTTTTCTTTTTCTAGCATATTAAGGCAGACACTTAGATAAGTTATTTTAAAATCTTTCTTCTTTTCCAACATGAACATTTAAATATACACACACATACACATATAAATTTCCCTCTCAACACTGCTTTGATTATATCCCACAGGTTTTTATATGTTGTATATTCATTATCATTCATTTCAAGATATTTTACATTTTCCTTTGTGATTTCTTCTTTGATGCATTGGTTATTTAGATGTGCATTCTTCAATTTCTAATTATTTGGAACATTTCCAGATATTTTTGTGTTAATTGATTTTTTAATTTAAATCCACTGTTGTCAGAGAACATACTCTGTAAGTTTCTAATCTTTTGAAATTTTCTGAAACTTATGGTTCAAAATATGGCCTGTCTTGGTGAGCATTCCGTATACACTTGAAAAGGATGTATATCTTGCAGGCATTGAGGTATAGTGTTCTATAAATGTGAATTAGGTAAAGTTGATCTATAGTGTTGTTCAAATTTTCTGTATCTTTACTGATTCTTTTTGCCTAGTTGTCCCATTAATTGCTGAGAGGGTGATGTTGAAATGGCCAACTATGATAGCCAATGTTTGTTTCATTTCTTTTAAGGATCCATTAATAGACACACACACATTTACAACAGTCATGTCTTTCTGATGAATTAAACCTTTTATCATTATGAAATAACTCTCTTTATCTCTCATAATATTTCTTATCTTGAAGTATAATATGTCTGATATTAATATAGGCACAGCAGCTTTCATATGTTCACTGTTTGCATAAGAAAAAGCATGGTATCTCTTTTCCCTTCAACATATCTGTGTCTTTACATGTTAAATGTATTTTCTGTGGACAGAAAATAGTTGACTCTTGCACGTTTATCCAATCTGACAATCACTGGACTTCAATGTGTTCAAAATTGTACAATGAGGGGCTTAGCCAGCTGAATGAAGAATTGCCTTCCAGCTCTGTCTTTATGACTCTGATCAAGGGCAGAAGACTCTTTGAGTCTCTGTGGCATCTTTCCCTTAGCAAAGGGACCTGCTTGTCACTTGGCGTGCCATGATTTGGAGCCAGGACCCAGGGTATAACCACGGGGAGTGAACTGAGGCAGGAGGCAGTGTGGTGTTGGTTGGTGCAAGTGTGTAAAGAGTATCAACCTTTGACTATCTTCTCCACATGTTTTATGGTCTTGCTTTCATAATGCTTCTTTTTTTTATCATAGTCATACTCCCTCAATTCTATCTTTGGCAATACTTTCCCTTAATCATTATTTTCTTGTGGTTGAAAAGGTGCTACTTTGAAGAACATACTCAAGGAAATTTCTCCTGTCATTTCTTCCTCCTTTGTCCTTCCAAAATGCGAGAGTTGCTTTGAACAACTTGCTAGAGGATTTCTTTCAAGGAAAGAGGGAAAACAAAGCAGAAGGAAAAAACTAGAGCACATGGAAGGCCCAGTGTGCTTCAGATCTGTGTTATGAAACCCTCACGCCACCTTAGGAGGTGGTGCTTTTATTGTCCTTGTTATACAGAGAAGGAAACAGAGCTTAATGGAAATAAGTAACTTGCCCAAGGTAGTTATTGCTACGTGTCTAGTATGCAGCATGTCTGCACTGTGTACTGTACCTACTACAGCGGGGATACCACTAGTTGCCTATTCCTCATCCACATCCCCACTTCTTCCTTCCTTTTTTTTTGAGAAGGAGTCTCACTCTGTTGCCCAGGCTGAAGTGCAGTGGCGCAATCTCAGTTCACTGCAACCTCCACCTCCCAGGTTGAAGCGATTCTCCTGCCTTAGCCCCTCGAGTAGCTGGGATTATAGGAGCCCACCACCACACCTGGCTATTTTTTGTATTTTTAGTAAAGACGGGGTTTCACCATGTTGGTCAGGCTGGTCTTGAACTCCTGACCTCAGATGATCCAGCCACCTCAGCCTCCCAAAGTGTTGGGATTACAGGCGTGAGCCAACACGTCCGACCTCCACTTCTTCCTTCCTAATAGAATTACTCCCCGACATGAGTCACAGGGAAGCAGACCCCATCCCAGCTCTATGGATGTAGCTTCTGATTAGTCTAACAATCCATGTGTGGCCTTCTCCTGGAATCAATTATTGCTCCAGGGGTGGACTGGCAAAATAATTGGCTCAGTCAGACTGAAGGGAAGGATTTGTAACTCACGTTAGTGGGAGACACTCACTCCCTCTTCTGCTAGATGTCAACCAGGAAGATTGTATTCCTTTCTTGCCAGGGGAGGGGAGAGCCTACTTTAGGATAAAGCCAGTGTTGGGTATGGCAGAGTGAAGAGAGAAAGTAGACCTATATCTTTGATGACATTAACCCATCAATTAATTGTACCACCCCTGCAGCCTGCACTAGCCCTAGTGTTCTCATAGGAAATAATAAATTTTTGGAGAGCTTAAGCCAGTTTAAATAGTATTTCATGTTTCTTGAAATCAAAGGCACCCCAATTGGAAAAGTCAGAGAGCAAGTCATCGATGGGCTCCGGATCTGAAGGCAGAAACTTGCAGATCCTGAGCCAATGCTCTTAACTGCTCAGCGCTGGGCTCCCTCCCTTCCAGTTAGAGTTTGTGACCTCTTTCTTACAGATGAGAAAGCTTAAGTTTAAATGGGAGAAGTGATTTGTCCAGGCTCACAGAGTTAGCAAGTGGCTTACCCTGGCTCAGAATTCATGTTTATCCGACTGCAAAGCCCACACTCTCTACAAGCCTCTGGTGGCTTCCCACACTTGAGGCTGCCACCGTTCCTGTACCTTTGACTCCAAACAGAGGCCTCTCCGTCACCAAATAATGTGATCAAATCAAACCTTCTTTCCATACAATTAGAAAACATAACAGGTTACAGCAAAAAATGCAAAAACCTCCAAAGCCGCTCAAAGCTAATTAATTTCTATTACTAGTGAGAGAAGAACCACTTAACATGTCTTTTCTTATTCAAATTACCATTGACGGCACCTGCTTTTTTATTCTTGGGAAATCCTGCTACAATGCGGGCAAATTATGTAAGACTGTAGAATTTATGAAGATAAGGCAATTAGCATTACAAAACCGAGTCCGGGTTACAATTTCTGGGGAACAGAAAGAGTTATGATGCTCCCTTAAATGGCCCAGTGAAGTCTCACAGATTGAGTTACTCCTGTGGTAGTCAGGAAAATTGAAGGCGAAACGGCGCCATGATGGTGGGTAATTAATTGTCTGGGCCCTTTGGTGATGGGGCTGTCTGTGCTGTGGAGGAGGCGGCCAGGGCTCTGCCTGTTCCCTTAAGAAGGAAAAGAAACCGAACAGGGTTTCTGGGTTTGGGAGGAAGAGAGGGGAAGAGAAAGTTCCTCCTGAAGTCCCTGGTCCTTTGGGTCAAGGAGGGTTCTGCTCTGGGGTCTGCCCTCTCAGACGGTTTTCAAAAATCTCCATCCTGCCCTGCAGCCCCAACTCTCAGCACAGCTGCCACTGAGCAGGTGCTTCCTTAGAGTGTTTAGATGTGCTGCTTAGATTTTGCATCTGAGCTAGGAGGACTTTTTTTTTTTTTTTTTTTTTTTTTGTGACAGGGTCTTGCTCCATTGCCAAGGCTGGAGTGCAGTGGTATGATCATAGCTCACTGCAGGCTTGACTTCCTGCTCAAGCAATCCTTCCACTTCAGCCTCCCAAATAGCTGGGACCACAGGCATGTGCCACCACACCCAGCTAAATTTTTTTCATTTTTGTAGAGACAGGATCTTCCTATGTTGCCCAGGCTGGTCTCAAACTCCTGGGCTCAAACCATCCTCCCACCTCAGCCTCCCAAAGTGCTGGGATTACAGGTGTGAGCTGCCACACCCTCTTTAGGAGGACTCTTACAGACACCTGGATTAACAGGGGTATTTGACTGAATAGCCACAGGTAGAGGGTGAGTAGGTGAGTGGTATGGGTCCCTAGAAATTGTGTGCAAAATTTAGGATGTGTGTATGTTCTTTTCTGTAAGAGATTCTGCAGCTTTTATTAAATTCTGAGCGAGTTTTAGGCTGCTTCTATCCCTGGCCTAGTTGGAACTCACATTATGTAGTTGGAAGGGCAGAGAGAGAGAGAGGGCTTTCCCACCACCCAGCTAGCTGCCTAGCATCTGCCTGTTGCTGGTTTCCCATGGACAGGCCCATCCAGTACCCACTGTTTCCGGGACCAGAACCAAGGCTGCAGCACCTGCCTTTGGTGTTCCTCACTTGAATGCCAACTGCTTACCATCCAGCTACCCACTATAGCCAGGTCAGCTTCTGGGCAGGTTCACTGTGGCTCATACAGTACCTCTGTGTGAATTAGAAGATGGCACACTTCCTCTGGGAGGATGCAACCCTGCACAGTGTCCTACTATTTGGCAAGCTTGGCAAGCAGCACTCCAGCTGTATTCCAGCCCCTGTTGGCCACCTTGACTTGTGCCCTTGTGTAGTGTACAACCAGCACAACCATACATACCTTGTTCTCAAATTCCTTACTCCAGGGGCCGAGTCACTGACTTACTGGTTATTTTTTTCTGGTAAGGACCTGACCAAGCTCTAGGTAGTCCTGGCCAGCAGAATAACTGATTTAGTGTGCAGGAGACCAGTTAGCTGGAATCATAAATTTCCTTATGGCAAAGCAGAAGCACCGAGTGTAACACTCACCTCTAGCTGACCTCAAAGCCGGACAAGGCCCATCTAGAAATGGCCAGGCAGGTGGAAGAGCAAGCGCAGAAGCCCTGAGATGAGAAACACACCAGTGTGTCTGAGGAACAGTGATCAGGCTAGAGCAGACCAGAGTAGCAGGAAAGCAGTGAACGAGGGGCAAATCAGTCAGCAGGAGAGTGGGAGCGAGGTTGTGTGGGGCTTTACTGGCCACTGCAAAGACTTTTTTGATTCTGAGTGAGATGGGAGTGGGAAGCTTTGGAGGATTCAGAGCAAAGAAGGGGTATAATCTGACCTGACTTTCTTAAAGAATACAATGGCTTCTCTATGGAGAGTCAGTGTCAGGAGCTAGTGTAGAAGCAGGGAGACAGGAGCTTGTGGATGAAAAAGCCAAACTCTGTAAAATATTTGGAGAGATTTATTCTGAGCCAAATCTGAGAACCATGACCGATGACACAGCCTCAAGAGGTCCTGAGAAGATGTGCCTAAGGTGGTTGGGTTACAGCTTGGTTTTACACACTTTAGGGAGTCATAAAATATCAATTAATATGTGTAAGATATATGTTGGTCCGGTCCAGAAAGATGGAGGGGAGGCTTACGGTCATAGGTGCATTCAAAGATTTTCTTATTGGCAATTGGGTGAAAGAGTTATTATCTAAAAATCTGGGATCAATAGAAAGGAGTGTCTGGGTAAAGATAAGGGGTTGTGGAAACCAAGGTTCTTATTATATAGATGAAGTCTCTCAGGTGGCCACCCTTAGAGACAACAGATGGCAAAGATTCCTATTTTGAAAGGTGCTAGACTCTCAGTTAATCCCTTCAGGATTGGCAGGGGAAAGATCTAGTTTTGCTAGTAGAGATTCTTTACAGATGCAAAATTTTCCCCACAAAAGATAGCTTTGCAGGGTCATTTCAAAATACAGCAAAGAAACCTATTTTGGGGTAAAATATTCTGATTTCTTTATCTGTCATGTGATGTTATGCCAGACTCAGGGTGGAAAGTAAGCCATGTTATGTAGAGTTAATAAAACCAATCTGATGAAATTTTATGGTTTGTAGGACGAGAGTCTCCAGGCCCTTTAGATATGAATTTGGGCAAGAGAGAAAGAAGATTGGAGTTTAGTCTTCAAGCTGTTAAAACTATCTGTGTAGATAAGAGGCCTAGTAACTTCAATCAAGATGGAAATTGTACAGACGGTGAGAAGTAACTGCATTCAGGATATACGTTTAAGATACAGCCAGCAGGGTTTAATGATACATTGGATGTAGGATATGAGAGAAGAAAGGAGCCAAGAATGCACCAGGGGTTTTGGCCTTGTAAAATGGAAGAGACTAGAGGGTGTGTCTAGATGTTACCTGAGAGCTTGGCAACACAGGCATACTCTGTCTCTGTTTTGCGGCTCTGATCGAAGACTAAAGTCTCTCCACCTATAATCTTCCCCTCCAGGATGGCACAAGGTGACCCAAATGGTCTACTCACCTTTGCCCCATACTTGCTGCTCTTTACTTTCTTCAAGAATGTCATCCTGACATTTTCTGCTAAACCGCTGCCTTGTAACTGAATGTCAGATGTCATCCACCCATCCATCCATCCATCCAGCCAACCATCCATCCACTCATGACTAAATGAGTCATTACTTTCAATGGCAAAACCACAATTACTTTTGCACCAACCTAATATTTACTGAGGACCTACCATGTGCAAGACACTGATCTTGGCATGAGGAATACAACAATGACCAAGACAGTCATGGGCACTGTGTCTCAGAGTTTAAGCTTCCTCTGGACACTTGTGCTAAGAAAGCACCCTATTTGCTTAGGGCCTACCATCTAACCTGCCTATGTACCTCGTTCCACACTATTTATTTGTATTTTGACCTTGCTAACCATTCAGGGAGACCTGGGAAATGGGCTTTATTTCTCCTGTTCTCTGTCATTTCTTCAGCAACCAGATGCTTAGTTACTGCAGTAACAGCAATTGGAAGCCCTCTGAGACATGCATCTTAGGCACAGAGGTTTTTTTCAACCACTATTCTCAAGCCACACATTCCATGGGTTTCTACAGAAGGCTTAGGAAGACATTTGAGGACACTAGTTCTTGGAACTCTTTCCACTTGTTTACCTGGTTATTTTGGGACCCCCAAGTAGCATGGCCAAGGCCAACGGGCTGAAAAGGGGCATTGGGACCTAGAACTTGACCCATCCCCAAGACAGGGGCCATGACTTATCCAGAAAGAGTTGGTGTAGGTTCTGAAAGGAAGTCCAATTGGGCAACAGATCATAGCAGAGGTGGGAGGGGCTACATTCGGGTAGGGAGAGGGTGTTACAACCCATTCAAGTTCTTCTTTCCCACTGCACAGAAAAAGCCAATACACTGAGACAGCAGGTGTTGCAGCAGACAGTTTAATAATCACAAAGTGGCTGAGCAAGGAGAACATGAGCTATTTCTCAAATTCCCCTCCTGAGAATTTGGAGACTAGGGCTTTTAAGGATTGTTTGGTGGGAAGGGGGCTAGGGAATAGGTTCTACTGATTGGCTGGGCTGGGGATGAAATCATAAGTGTACCAAAACTGTCTTTGTGCACTGAGTCAGTTCCTGGGTGGGGGTCACTGGTCTGGGTGGCATCAGTTGGTCCACTGGAATGCAAAGTCTGAAAAATATCTCAAAGACCCGTCTTAGGTTTCACAATGCTATTTATAGGGGCAGTTGAGGAAGTTACAAATCTTATGACCACTGGGTAGTGACTCCTGAGTAGTATGCAATTACAGACAGGCAAGTTAGAAAACAATGACTAGTTTTTATTTAACTATGCCTACATGTTAGCAAAATTCAGATCCCTATCATAATTCTAAGCTTGTGGCTTTTCATTAGTTTTATAAAGGTGATTTTGGCCCCTGAATAAAGAGGTAGTTATTTTTGGGAAGGAACTATTAGCATCCTTTCTTTAAATTTAAATTACAAACCAAATTCCTCCCATAGTTAGCCTGGTCTACCTGCAGAGATGAGCAAAGGCAAGTTAGCATGTAAGGTTAGAAGCAAGATGGAGTCAGCTGTATTAAATTTCTCTCACTGTTACAATTTTGCAAAGGTGGTTTCAAGGGCAGTGTTCAGGACCACCTGTATGGGAGGCTGAAGAATATCATCCTCCCCATCAGGACAAGATGTGATTGCCCAGGACCTCCAATGAGGCACACACAGCTTGGGAGATGCCCAAGGGCCGATGAGAACATGCACATTGGTCTTGGACTACTCATAGATTTGGGACCTCAAAAGCCCCTTGGAACCATTAACCCATCACTTTACATACTGAGGTTTTGAGCACAATTATCCCTCATTTTATAGATAACCCAGCTGGCATTTAGAGACAGAATCATCAGGGGCCCCAGAACTCGGGCAGAACTGCAAGGATTTCTTGGTCTTCTGTCACATCCCTAAAGCTGCTGTTTCTGCCAAAGGGAATCTTCTAGGCTACACTCTCTTGCCATGGGCACTAGATGGCTTTGGATCTACCAAACATGGAAAGTGAAAGCCTAAAAGCCATCCTCATGTACCAACCATGTGCCAGGCTCTGGGGTGATTACATAAGTACAGCATCACTTTTAATCCTGTAAAGCTGGTATCATTGTGATCAGCTCCCATTTCATACGGGAAATGGAGGTTAGAGAGGTGACATCACAGAGTTGCATTCACTCCCTCCCTGAATCCATACACGTGGATTAAAATCTTGGTCCTACCACTTATGAGGGAGCAAATTTGAGAAAGTTAGGAAAATTCTCTGATGCTCGATTTCCTCATTTGTGATATGGGCTAAGAATACATACTTCAGAGGGTTGTGGTGAAGATTAAAATGAGTTAGAATATGTAAAGTACTCAGCCTGGCAGATAGAAGGCATCAATCTATATTTATGCTCCTCCAATCCCCACAGATTCTGGGGCCTCCAAACCATGGGAAGTCCAGAGGAGAAAAGGCATTCTTACTCAAGGAGTCATTCACAACTGAAGGACAGGAGGCAGGCTCGTGGGAATGGAGTCAGTGGTGCATAAGGCTGCCAGATTTAGCAAGTTAAAATGTAGAATGCCCAGTGAAAGTTTAATTTAATTTAAATTTCAGATAAATGACATGTAACTTTTTTAGTCAAGTGTGTCCCATCTGGCACACCTGTATTTTATCTGGCAAAAAAATAAAAAAAGTGGGCTTCAGATCAGATTGGGACCTGTTGCTGGTCCCTCTGGGAGCCCAGCTGGTTGGCTTTCAGTTCCTAATGCAAGATGCTAGAGGAGCCAGCCAGCACAGTTGGGCCTGCAGGCACCACCCACTCAAGGTGCTCTGCTGGGCCCATGGGCTTCACAAAAGAATAACTGACTAGTAATTATCATCAGTTAGAAGCTCTGAGCACAAGCCTTTTCAGCACAGAAGTGGATCCTAGTTCTTAAAAGGATTTGCAGACTTGAACAAATGCCTTTCTTAATCAGTACAAATTGTTCCTTTAAATAGGTGGGAGCAATAGGTCCACTTCTTCTCCTTCCAGTTAGTGAGCAGAGTCAGCATCATTCCTGGGAGTCTGGACTCTCATTTGTGCTTCTGAGGTGTAGGTGATGGAGGTGGAGGTGGGGCTGGCATTGTGGGTGGCATGAGGGACTCCTGTAGTCCTGGCTGGCCAGGAGGCACAAGACTGGAGCCAGCCCACTTAAGTATAGGCCTAACCTTTCATAAACGGTATCTCAAAGGATGAGTCCTTAATCACTTTGGATTCAGTTTTCTCCCCTGTTACTGAGAATAATGATCAATTCTACCCTACTACGTAGGACTGTCCTAGCAATTGAATAGGAGAATGTGTGTTTTCAGGATTCCCTTGTGGAGAAACCCCAGCCCTCTCTATAATTCTGCCCACCCTGGGCCATTATCTTCATTTCCAGAACTGGAAACAGACCTGCATCCAAGCCAGCAAGAGATGGAAAACACACACACACACACACACACACACACACACACACACAACAAAAACCCAGTTGATTCTATATTGACATGCCTTCTCTCCTCCTGTTGTACCCACGTATCCATGGCCCAGCTGTTTGTCTCTTTAGGTCACCATCTCTGTTTAGGTGCAGAGGTAGATTTATCTGATGATGCAGTATTGGAGCTGTTCCGACTTTCTCCATTTTCCAGCCTTGTCACCGGGACCTCCCTCCACTCCTTCTGTCCAAGGCTGAGCTCTCCCGGGTGCACTCCCAGTGGCCCCTCACCCCTTTCTAGCCCCAGCCATGCCTCCTTTGTCTGTGTCCCTTTGTTCAGGCAAAAGTCAGAAGTGAAGAGAAGCTGAAATTTCTATGCCCTGAAGGGGACCCCTTCTAATCAGGCAAAGAAACTGGAATGCCCACAGCACTGACACATGCATTGTCAACTGGGCTGACCAGTGTTACTGATGGTGTGATTATCATAACCCTGATGAGACTCCTGGATGGCCCAGAGTGCACACTGGTTTGTGGGCTCTGCTCTGCAGAAAGGAGAAAGAGCGGGGAAGGTGGATGGGGGAAAGAGGGATTAGAATGAATACCCATCGGGATGGCATCTCTTACCCTCCAAAAAGAGAGGACATATGATGGAAGAATCAAACTAAAGTCATTTTAAATCTGATAAAGAGTATACAGGCAGGGCACGGTGGCTTACGCCTGTAATCCCAGCACTTTGGGAGGCCAAGGTGGGTGGATCATTTGAGGCCAGGAGTTCGAGACCAGCCTGGCCAACATGGTGAAACCCTGTCTCTACTAAAAATACCAAAATTAGCCGAGTGTGGCGGTGTGTGCCTGTAATTCCAGCTGCTTGGGAGGCTGAGGCATGAGAATCACTTGAACCTGGGAGGTGGAGGTTGCGGTGAGGCAAGATCATGCCTCTGCACTCCAGCCTGGGTGACAGTGAGACTCTGTCTCAAAAAAAAAAAAAAAAAAAAAAAAGAGTATATAGTAGTCCCCCTTACCTGTGGTTTCACTCTGTGATTTCAGTTACCCATGGTCAATCACAGTCTGAAAATAGGTGAATACAGTACAATAAGATATTTTGAGAGAGAAGAGAGATATACCTTTTATTATAGTATATTGCTATCATTGTTCTATTTTATTATTAGTTGTTGTTGTAATCTCTTACTGTGCCTGATTTATAAATTCGACTTTATCATAGGTATGTATGTATAGGAAAGCACATAGCATATCTAGGAGTCCAATTCAATCTGTGGTTTCAGGATCCACTGGGGGTCTTGGAATGTGCCCCCGTGGATAAGGGGGGGACTACTGTAAATTACAGAACATCCCAAGAAAATTTGTAAGTGAATATTTCATTCCAGTATAGAACAAGACCAGGGTAAAGCCTAAAATAATCACCTGCTTCCTCCCTCAACTCTTAGTGTTGCCTCGAGACTTATTCAGGGGTCTTAGAAGTTTGACCTCTCTGAACAGAGTGAAGCATTAGCAAAAGGAGCTTGTGAGGCTAACATTTCATCTGTGCAAAAAGCCCTCATGGTTACACACATTATTTTGTTTGAAACCCTCATAACTCTTGGGATGAACCAGGGCCAGAATTATGATGATTACTCCCGTTTTTCAGATTTGGAAACGCAGGCCAGGTTCCCTGAGATCATTTGGTTAGTGATTAGCAGAGTCGGAACCAGAACTGAGTGCCTGCTCCGCTACACCAAGACTGCTTGCCCAGGGTCTGTTAATATCTTCAGATTTTTCTTGATGCATGATTGTTGGCCTAATCTCAATTTCAACAATGATCTTTTACTGAAAAACAGGCTTCCCCAGAGGATAAGCAGGCCCATGGGGTCATTCAGAGGAAGATTCTGCTGACAATGATCAAGTGCCCACAAAGCGTCAGCACCAGGCGGAGTCTGTTCACAGATATTTAACACTCACCGCTACTCGGGAAAGTACTTATTATGCCCATTTACAGATGGGGTTGGAGATGTTGGGGAACCTTATGCAAAGTCATACAAAAGCAAAGAGGCAAAGCCAGGATTCAGGGCCAGTTTACATTTTCCCTCACACTCACCCAAGTTTCTCTGCACTCCAGAAAGAACGCTAGACGTTATCCTAAGAAATGTTTATTTACATATTTAAAAAAACAGACTTGGCACCTATAGTAAAATCTACAGCCTTTCCATGGCCCAGGCAGGACCCCCTGCCTATCTTTCGAAGTGCATCTTGTATCCCTCTTTCTTCATACAGGACACTCAGGTGTTACAAAATTTCTTCCCTCAAGAACTTGGCATTGCTGTATCCTCTCCCTGTGGGTTAGTCTATTCATGTTGCCATAAAGGAATACCTGATGCTGGGTAATTTTTTAAAGAAAAGCTGTTTATTTGGTTCATGGTTCTGCAGGCTGTATGAGAACCATGGCACCACCATCTACTTCTGGTGAGGGCCCAGGCTGCTTCCACTCATGGCAGTAGGTAAAGGGGAGCCAGTGTGTGCAGATCACGTGGCAAGAGAGGACACAAGACCGAGGAGGAGGTGCCAGGCTCTTTTCAACAACCCATCTCGCAAGAACTAATAGAGTGAGAACCCACTTGCTTCCCCACCTCCTGCCCCTGCAGGGAGGGCACCAAGCCATCCATGAGGGATTCACCTCCATGACCCAAGTACCTCCTATTGGGCCCTACCTCCAACATTAGGGATCAAATTTCAACATAGGGTTTGGTGGGACAAACATCTAAACGACAGCATCCTGGAACCCCCTTTCCTTGAAATATTTGCATGGATAGCTCCTTCTCATTCATTAGTTGTCAACTCACTTATTATCCTCTCAAAGGGGCTCCCCTCAACCCCATCTACATTGGTGCCCCCATCCCAAATCATCACCTAGTTTATTATCCAATCTTTTATTTTCTTATTGTCTTCTTATCATTATCTGAAATTATCTTACTAATTTTTTGTTTGTTCCCTGGGTGTTTCCCTTACTGGATTGCAAATTTCTTCTCTATCTTGATACCTGCTATATTTAAGGGCCTAGAGAAGTGCCTAACGCACACCAGGTGTGCTGAAAAGATTTGTTGGATAAAAACTGAATGGATGAGATTTTATGCCTTGGGACAATGTTACCCTGATCGCCATCTTGACCAGGGCTCTTCTTTAGCAATGACAGAATTTCTTTTTTCTTTCTTAATAAAGCTCATTAAAAGCAGTCTTACCTTCAAAGCAGGTGTTACTTTAAACAGGGTGGTTTAATTAAAGCAATGACGTGAAGGTGCAAAGCAGCCTCTACCTTGCTGCCTTACTCTGGTCTGGAAGGAGAGAGAGTCTGTAAATAGGTGTGTGACCCTCAGAAAGATCCATCCTGCTTTCTGCAATAATGTAAAAAGAAAACTTTCAAATACCACAATTTGCAAATGAAGACCTTTAAAATAATGGGACGGCAGCTCTGGAATGGGATTATTAGGATAATGCGATGTTTAAGTGGGCGCTTTTCCTCTCAAGGACCTGCCTGAATTCTGCTGAGCTCATTCCACGAGAGACCTCAGAGAGATCAGTTATGACTTTTATTAAAGTCAAACCAATACCTGTATTCGCAGCCGCCTGGAGGAAATTTCTTTCTGTAACTCTGATTGAAGTTTAATGGGAACTACACAAAGAAAATTTACTTAACCTCCTCACCCATCTCTTCCACGGTGGAAGTCTGTTCATCACGTGTTCTGCTCCCAGGAGACACTATCAAAGATAGCACTTCTCAATTTCATAATATTTTTCAGAGTAAAAGAGGGAAGACAGCTGCAGACCCCAACTACTCCAGAATGCCATGTAGTCGATGTCTGATTTCACTTACAGGAACAATGCACAGACATTTTTCTGAAGGGTGTGCACATTAGTATTTTGCAGATTACAAAATAAAAGCATATGAACTACTAAGAAATTATGTTACATGCATGTGAAAGTACATGAATACAAAGTGCTGGCTAATATGCTTCTGATTTGTTCATATTGCTGGTCAACCTTAGCTCCCAGCCATAGGGCAAGACAGACACCTGCTCTTACACAGAAAATAAAAACCGTGAGTGGCACCTTTTTTTCAGGGAGAACTAGACATTATATATTAACATCTGTCATGTGTAGCACTTTATAGATGGAAAGTATTAAACAGAACCCCACATTTTTCTATAAAATTTACACACACACAAAAAAACTGGATTAAAAACCTAGATGTATGATTTCTGTAAAATATAAAATAATGAGTATCTACGTAACCATTACCTAAGTTGAGGAATAGGACATCGCCAACACCCAAAGCCTTCTATGAACCCCTTCATGGTCACCATTGTTCCTTGCCTTCTGACTTTCATTGTAATTCCTTGTTTGCTTTATTTGACAGTTTTTTCACCTAAGATGCTTTCCTAGACAATATTGTTTAGTGTTTACAAAATCAAATGTCATAAAGAATGTACTCTTTTGAGTCTGGCTACTTTGCTCAACATTTTGTTTTTAAGAGTCACCCAGACCAGCCTGGCCAACATGGCAAAACCCCGTCTCTACTAAAAGTACAAAAATTAGCCAGGCTTGGTGGTGGGCGCCTGTAATCCCAGCTACTCAGGAGGCTGAGGCAGGAGAAGCTTGAACCCAGGAGGCGGAAGTTGCAGTGAGCCAAGATCGCGCCATTGCACTCTAGCCCGGGCGACAAGAGCAAGACTCCGTCTTAACAACAACAACAACAAAGTCACCCAAGGACTCTTAAAAGAGTGTGTTATTTGTACTATAGGGATCATTCAATTTGCCGTTTGATATTCAGTGGATACATACACCGTGGTTTATTTACGTAGTGTCTTGTTGATGGATATTTGCATTTGGGTTGTTTTCAGTTTGGGTCTACTACAAATGATCCTGCAGTAATATTCTTGTACCCATATTTTGGCATACATCTGCATGAGTTTCTCTAGTAGCAGTTGACTAAATCTGGCCCACCACTTGTATTTGTAAGTAAACTTTATTGGAATATAGTCATTCAAATTTGTTTACACATCATTGATGGCTGTTTTTGCACTATTTATGCAGAATTGAGTAGTTGCAATGGAAAAATCAGGACCTGCAAAGCCGACAATATTTACTAACTGGCCCTTTTCAGAAGTTTGCCATCTCCTGCTGTAGGGTTTATATTTATGAGGAAATTGTAGGGTTACAGGGTTTGCCTATGTTCAACCTTACTAGATACTACCAAGTTTATTTCAACAAACTTCTTTTTACATTTTTTAGCATTTTATTATGAAAAGATTGTTTCAATGTTCAGTATGGCATATTCAAGACATGTTATTACTATACAACTTTAGAAATTCATCAAAAAGGATGAAAAACTACTAATTATTCTAACTACCCTTCATTTCAGACTGTGGCTGAACATTTAGTGGAAAACAAGGCTTATGGCACATCAGTTTTCTCAACTGTAGTAGAAAATTCTCATTGTCTGATCTGTTTGGTGGGATTGCCAATCCCTTGCTATTTTAACGTACTTTCTGTATCCCAGATGGCTTCTATTACAATTTTATCCTATCTGTGAGAGTCCTATATAACGTGTTTAGACCTGTGTGAGCCATTATACCCAGCAGCCATTAAGTGGGAAGATGTGCAAGTCTTCAGTCATAAAGGGTTAAAAAGACATTTTGCGGGTGGGGCATGGTGGCTCACACCTGTAATCCCAGCACTTTGGGAGGCCAAGGTGGGCAGATCACCTGAGGTCAGGAGTTCGAGACTAGCCTGACCAACATGGTGAAACCCCATCTCTACTAAAAATACAAAATTAGCCGGGTGTGGCGGCAGGCACCTGTAATCCCAGCTACTCGGGAGGCTGAGACAGGAGAATTGCTTGAATCCGGGAGGTGGAGGTTGCAGTGAGCCAAGATCGTGCCATTGCACTGAAGCCTGGGCAAAAAGAGCAAAACTCTGTCTCAAAAAACAAAACAAAACAAAACAAAACAAAAAAAACATTATGGGTTTTTAGGATGTGAAGCAGAGAGGCTTCGTTGTCTCTTGATCTTTTCCTTACCATCTTCTAAAGTTTCTCCTCCATCGTTAATTGTAGCTTCTTCACATTGCTAGGATTCTAACACCAGGTCACTCATGCTACTTTCAGCTTCTGTGAATTTTACCTCCCCATCCCCTTTCCTGTAAACCAGTGAAGGAAGGCCTTCCGGCAACGATGGCAGAAAACTGTTCTCAGATGCATTTAAAACACCTATGCATAATAGTGCTCTTGTCAATAAGCATGAATACCACCTTGAGCCCCAGGAAGAGGCGCCTCACATAATCACCTGGAGTCATGGAGGAGGGGCACCCCACGTGGCCACCTTGATACTGTTGGGTAACCACTCCACAAAGTACTCTGCTCTGTTCTAAGTGGTCAGCATCTGCTCTTCCACCTTTTTTTTTTTTTTTTTTTTTGTGGACATGGGACCCTGGAAGGCCCTGAGCATAGTGAGGGAGGGCCCGTGTCTTGGCTCATGGGCTGCAAACTTATGCTTAGCATGGAACATTTGCCGAATGTGTTCTGGCTCTGTGAGGGCACTGTATCGCCAATTGCCTCTGGCTCTCAAGGAGGCAAAGTTGGCATGAAGAGTTTGTTTTCTTTCTCATTATAAGAAATTGCGAGGTATATAGTCCTGGGTTTGTATGGCAGTTTGACTATCATCAGGGATTCAGACCACCTTCCATCTTTCTCCTCTGCCATCCTTAGCCAAGGAATCCATCCTTAAATTGGAGCTTTAGCCATCAACTCTGCCCTCCAGGTGGCAGTTAGAAGGAGGGTAGAGAGGGCCCAAAAGTGTATTCAGCTTCCTTCCCCCTCTTTAAGAGACTTCCAGGAAGTTCTACCCAACAACTTCCATTTACTTCTCTTTGGCCAGAACTTAGGCTGTGGCTCTTCCTAGCTATAAAGGGAGGTGGGAGATACAGTCTTTTTGTTATGTATATTATCACATTGCGTAAAACCAAGAAGGGAAGAATGGGTATTGGATAGGAAAATAAAAGTCTCTACTACAAGGAAGAATGTCCTGGCACCCAAGGCAAGAGAGCAGCTGGGTCTACAACTAGGGTCAGTGACGTTAGCAAAGGAGGCAGCTTCTCTCTCCTCATCTCTTTATGGGGGACACATAGTCTCTTGCTTTGTACTCCTCTCTTACAAGCCTGCTTTTTCTGCAGCCTGTGGTTTCTGCTCCCTATAACTTCATCCTGAGTGGGATGTTGCACATAGAACCTACTCCATCCTTGACTGTACATTTCAACTCAAATTCCTATCATTGCCCAGAGGTGCTGATTCTAAATTCTGGAGTCAGGCAGTTTGATTGGTCCATGGCTGGCCTTTGAATAAGTGTCCAGATCTGGTCTAGACACATGTCGGGGAAAGGGAAAGCCAAGAACAAGCAGAATATGGAGTGGACCCTTCGAGGTTGGACAGGCTGCAGGCAAAGCAAGTAATTATATGTTCAAGTCATATGCCTTTTTGTGGCAATGATTATTAAAGGTTTTATAGTATTCTATCTCAAACTTTGACATGGTGGGAGAAAAACAATTATTTTAAGGTTGCCAGCTGAAAGTTTACCTGCAGGTGGTTCTGGATTTTAAAATTGATGAAGCTGAGAAACTTCCATTTAGAGAATAATAGAAAGTTTCTGCTTCTACGGGGAAATAGGAATTTGGGGTGGGGAGAAGACCTTTCATTTTCTGAGAAGGTCCATTAAGAGAGGCCTTTCAGTCTATGCACTGAACAACAACACTATATTGCAGATGTCAGGTCAGTATGTACACCTCACTGTTCACGGATTAACACTGAACCAGTGACATCGTTCAAATATACACTGAGATGCTGAGTGTTTTGAACAGTACTGTAGATCAGCTGTATCATGAGCAAGTTCAGGCCCTTTTAGATTGCTTTTCTAAACATAGATTTAAAAAGGATAATTTATCAAAGTCTTCATTCATTTCTTAGGAGACGTCTCTGTATTTTTTTTCAAGTATATGCTCTTGAGATCATGAGCCCATATTAAACAGAAAGGAATGTACATGCCTGATCTTCTTTTCATCTCACATTGGAAGTGAAAGACTATGAAAAGGAACTGGAGGAGATTTGATACAGTCTTTGGGAAATATACTGTTGACCATGTGACGGCCAGCCAGGTCATAGGGCCCAGACTCAACCTAGGAATGAAGGTGGGATATCTGTCTACTTTGTAGGAGATAGAGGGTCTTACTGTCAATCTCTTGGGAAGGAAATGAGGTAGGCCTCAGATTGGGAGAAAGGAGAATCTCAGTCTTTCCAGGGCCTGTAGTTTATAGAGAAGGACATGGTCAAAGGAACTTCCCATCTGTGGAGGTAAGCTGGCCCAGAAACATGCTAGTAATTCTAGAGTTAGAAAGCAAAATGGCCAGGGATGACTTCTATGGAAGGCATGATTTGTTGGACCGTAGGTATATCTGATATTCAGTTTTAACTTTTTCTTTTCTTTTGCTAGCCTCAGACTTGCACATCTGCACGTATTTCTACCCACTTCCCCTGCCCCCCAGCACTCTTACTGTGCTGAGTATTCTTTGGGAGAATTAATGGAAGGTTCTGTGTCCAGGCTTAGGGCAAAGCAGTAAAGAACAACTAGGAGCAGCCTGAAGAAGTAGCTTTAGAATAGCAAAAGATGACCTGAGAGAAGCCCCTAGTAAGAGGTGACAATCAATGACTATTATCATTTAAATATCTTTAATATAATTGCCTGTTCAAAACAAAAATAATAATAATGCATTGTGAGGTGTGATGTAGAAATCAGATGTATGACAAGAGTAGCACAATAGCTGGCAGAGAAGAAATGGAATTATATTTTTAAGGTTCATATATTACATATGTAGTATACTTTTTAAAGGTAGAATGTAGTAAGTTAAAAATGTATACTGTAAACTCTAAAGCAATTAGTAATACTACATAACAAAGAGTTATAGTTAACTAAGCCAACAAAGAAGAAAAATGAAATAATAAAAACAAACTCAATTAATTCAAAAGAAGGCAGACAAAAAAGAAAAAGAGAAAAAAGACTATCTGGGATAAACAGAAAACAAAATAGATAGCAGACTTAAACCCAGTGTATTAGTCTGTTTTTTCATGCTGCTGATAAAGACATACCCGAGACTGGGCAATTTACAAAGGAAAGAGGTATAATGGAGAACTCACAGTTCCATGTGGCTGGGGAAGCCTCACAATCGTGGCAGAAGGCAAGGAGGAACAAGCCACATGTTACGTGGATGGTGGCAGGCAAAGAGAGCTTGTGCAGGGCAACTCCTGTTTTTAAAACCACCAGATCTCATGAGACCCATTCACTATCATGAGAACAGCACGAGAAAGACCCATCCCCATAATTCAGTCATCTCCCACCAGGTCCCTCCCACAACATGTGGGAATTCTGGGAGCTACAAGATGAGATTTGGGTGGGGACACAGAGCTAAACTATATCACCCAGTACTGTAAATAAAAACACTAAGTGGTCTAAACATCCCAATTAAAAGGCAGAGATTAACTGATTCGATTAAAAAAAAACAAGACTCAGCTATATGATATCTATAAGAACCCCACTTTAGATATAAAGACACAAATAGGTTAAACATAAAAGGCTAGAAAAACACACATCATGCTAACCCAAATAAAAAAAAAGTTAGAAAGTCTACGTTGAAATCAAAGTAGATTTCAGAGCAGAAAAAATTATCAGGAATAAAGAGCATTATTTCATAATGCTAAAAAGTGCAATTTTTCAATAATATGCAATAATTGTAAATGTTTATGCACCTAAGAGAAGAACAACAAAACACACAAAGTAAAAGCTAGTAGAACTTCAAGGAGAAATAGACAAATCCACAATAATCAAAGATTTCAATAATCCACTCTCAAAAATGTTTAGACATTTTTGAGACAGACAGGAACACAATAAGGATATAGAAGATTTAAACAGCACTATCAACCAACTTACTGACATATATAGAACATTCCACCCAATAACAGAAAAATATACATTGTTTTTAAGTCTACAGGGAACATTCACCATGATAGGCCATATTATGGACCAGAAAACAAGTCTCATACAGTTAAAAGGAGTCATCAAATTATGTTCTCATTTCACAATTAAGTTAAATATCAGTAAGTTGTTAAGAAATAAGTAACAGATATATGAAAAGTCCCCAAATATTTGTAAGTTACACTCATGCTTTTAAATAACCCATAGCTTAAAGAAGCAACAAAAAAGAAAATTAGGAAGAATTTGGCCTGAATATAAACAAAAATGTACCATATCAAAATTGTGAGATTCAACTAAAGCAGTACATACAGAGAAATTCTTAACATTAAAATTCTATATTAAAAGAAAAAAAAGGTCTCAATCAATGGCCTCAGCTTCCGCTTTAAAAAACTAGAAAACAAAGAGCAAATGAAAGCCAAAATAAGCAGAAGAAGAGAGATAATAAAAATCAGCATTGAAATCAATGAAATAGAAAATGAAAACAACTAAGAAAATCAATTAAACCAAGAGCTGGTTTTGAGACAATCATAAAATTGACAAATCTCTAGCAAGAGACAGATCAAGAAAAAAAAGAGAAGATACGACTTTATTATTTATTAGAAAAATGCAAATTTAAGCCACAATGAAAAACCTCTACACATCTATTGGAAAGTCTAAAATTAAAAAGACTAACCATGCCAAGTATTGGCAAAGACTTGGAACAACTGAAACCTTTATACACTGCTGATGGGGATGCAAAATGTAGAACTACTTTGAAAAGAGCCAACAGTTTCTGAAAAGGTTAAATATCCACCTACCATATAACCTAGCCTCTGCTTGTAGTCACTGAGGGAAAATAAAAGCATATGTTCATACAAAAACCTGTGCATAAATGTTCACAGTAACTTTATCATAGTCAAAAACTGGAAACATTTCAAATGTCTATCAAGAGATGACTGAATAAACAGATTTTTGTATATTCATAGAGAAGAATACAACTCAGCAATAAAAAGGATACAAGAATATAAACAAATCTCACAATAATTATGTTAAGTAGAAGAATCCAAACAACAACAAAAAGAGAACATGTGATATTATTTCATTTATATAAAATTCTTAAAATGAAAACTAAATTATAGTGGCAGAAAGCAGATCAGTGGTTGCCTAGTGTGTCAGGCCATTCTTGTGTCACTATAAAGATATACATGAGACTGGGTAATTTATAAAGAAAAGGGGTTTAATTTGCTTATGGTTCTGAGGCTGTACAAGCATGGCACCAACACTGGCTCAGCTTCTGGTGAGGACCTCAGGAACTTACAATCATGGTAGAAGGCAAAGCAGAAGTAAGTGCCTTGCATGATGAGATCATGTGCAAGAGAGAGAGCAGGGAGGTGCCACACACTTTTAAACAACCAGATCTCACAAGAACTCACTCACTATCATGAGGACAGTGTGTCTGCTCCCATGACCCAAGCACCTCCCACCAGGTCCTACCTCCAACATTGGGAATTATGTTTCAACATGAGATATGAAGGTAACAAACATCCAAACTATATCATTCTATTCATGGCCCCTCAAATCTCATGTCCTTCTCACATTGCAAAATACAATTAAGAGGTGACTGAATAAACAAATGTTTGTATATTTATAAAATAGAATACAACTCAACAATAAAAAGGATACAAGAATATAAATGAATCTCACAATAATTATGTTGAGTGAAATAATGCAAACAACAACAAAAAGGGCACACATGATATGATTTCATATGTACTGCCAATAGTAACAATAGTATCCAAAAGTCTTAACTGGTCTCAACATTAAGTCAAAAGTCCTAAGTCTTATCTGAGACTCATCTCCTTCCACCTATGATCCTGTAAAATCAAAACAAGTTGTTTACTCCCAAGATACAATGGTAGTACAGGCATCGTAGTACTATTTTGAAACACTACCATTCCAAAAGAGAGAAATTGGCCAAAAGAAAGGAACACTAGGCCCCATGGAAATCTGAATTCCAGCAGGGCAGTCATTAAATTTCAAAGCTCCAAAATAAACCTCTTTGACTTTATTTCCTGCATCCAGGACACATTGGTGCAAGAGGTGAGCCCCAAGGCCTTGGGCAGTGCTGCCTTTGTGGCTTTGCAGGTTTTGTAGCCCCCAGGGATGCTCTCACAGGTTGGAGTTGGAGTTGAATGCTTGTGGCTTTTCCTGGTGCAGGGTAGAAGCTTCTGGTGGATCTACCATTCTGGGGTCTGGAGGGCAGTGGCCCCCTTCCCACAGCTCCACTAGGTAGTGCCCCAGTGGGAACTCTGTGTGGGGTTTCCAACTCCACATTTCCCTCTGTACTGCCCCAGTAGAGGTGCTCTGTGAGAGCTTTCTTTTAGTCATGCAAATGTCTCTAGCAAGTGATTGTTCTACAGCCTGCTTTGATTCTTCCCCTGAAAATGATCTTTTCTTTTCTAACACATGGTTAGGCTGCAAATTTTCTAAACTTTTACTCTGATTCCCTTTTAAATATAAGTTCCAACTTTAAGTCATTTCTTTGCTTCTGTATCTGAATGTAGGCTGTTAAAAGCAGCCAGGCCAAATCTTGAATGATTTGCTGCTTAGAAATTTCTTCTGCCAGATACCCTAAGTCATCACTCTTAAGCTCAAACTTCCACAGATCCCTAGTGCATAAACACAGTGCAGCCAAGAACTTTGCTAGGGCATAACACAAATGACCTTCACTCAGTTCCCAATAACTTCCTTGTTTCCATTTGAGGACTCTCAGCCTGGCCTTCTCTGTCCATATTTTTATCAGCACTTTGGTCACAACCATTTATCTAGTAAGAAGTTTCAAAACTTCCCTCATCTTCCTGTTTTCTTCTGAGCCATCCAAACTCTTCCAACCTCTACCTGTTACCCAGTACCAAAGCCACTTCCACATTTTCAGGTATCATTATAGCAACATCCCACTTCTCATTGCCAATTTTCTGTATTAACCTGTTCTTGCATCTCTATAGAGGAATACCTGAGGCTGGGTAATTGATAAAGAAAAGAGGTTTAACTGGCTCACAGTTCTCCAGGCTGTACAAGTGAGGCACCAATATCTGCTTGGCCTCTGGCAAGGGTCTCAGGAAGCTTACAATCATGGTGGAAGGCAAAGTAGGAGCAGGCACTTTACATGGTGAGAGCAGGAGAAAGATGTAGGGGAGGTGCCACACACTTTTAAACAACCATGAGAACAGCACTAAGCCATTCATGATCCAAATACCTCTCACCAGGCCCCACCTCCATCACTGAGGATTACATTTCAACATTAGACTTGGAGGGGCCAAACATCTAAATTAAATCACCTGGGGATGGGAGGTGCATGAGAAAGACAGAAAGGAAGGGTTAAGGGAATCGGTGACCTTCTGGGGCTGTCGGACATGTTCATTTTCTTGATTGTGGCGATGGTTTCACAAGTGCTATACATAGGTCAAAATTTATCAAATTATACACTACAAAGTATGCCATTTATTGGCACATTATTGACATAGTGAGGTATGTCAGCTATACTTCACTACAGCTGTTAAATGCTCAAAAACAGCAGAAAAGAGCAAGCACATTTTAAGAACCAAAGAGAATCATAAAAATAAAATATGAAAATTGAGATAGAAAACTCAATAGATAAGCATTGCAGTTGACTAGATTTATTTGAAAGGAGAATCTACTGGAAGAGCAAACTCCAGATAGTATCTGAAATGCAGCAGAAATGGTAGATGGAAGAATCAGACAAAGAGATAGACAAAGAAAAATTAGATGAAATAAACAAATTCCTAGAAAACATAACATCAAGAAGAAACAAGATACCCAAATAGTTCTATAATTATTAAAGTTTGAATTAATAGTTAAAAGTCTCCTCATAAAGAAAAGAACTCCAGATCCAGAGGTTTTATCAGTGGGTTCTACCAAATATTCAAGGGAACAAATAATTCTAATCTTACATAAATATTCCAAAATGTCAAAAAGAAAGAGAAGTCTCTATCTGCTTTATGAAGTTAGCATAATCATGATACCAAAGACTGACAAAACCATATAAGAAGTTGCAAAAATCTTAAAGCATTAGCAAGTGGTATCCAGCAATGTATATAAATGATAATGTATTTTGACCTTAGTAGGTTAATTCCAGGAATTCAAGGTTGGCTTAACATAAGGAAAAATATTTTCATGTAATTCACAACATTAATGTAAAAAGGACCTTAATAGCTAAGAAAACTCTTTGTCCTCCTGTTATTAATATTTCTTCTCCAGCTATCAGATGAACATACAGCTGTAGCTTCAGCAGCTACCTTGAACCATGAGGTGACTTTGAGGATTGCAAAGCAGAAAGGTAAGAGCCTGAATCTTTGATGGCATCAAAGGGCTGCCATAACAGCCTTGGACTACTGACCTTCTGACTTCTTCTATGTGAAAGACAAGTAATATCTTTTCTAAGCCACTGACATGCTTTTTAAAAATTAAATTAGCAGAAGCAAATCCTAATTGACTCTGACACCTGGAGTAGATTAACGGAAGTGAGGGAGCATCAGGAAAAGCCTCATGGAGCACATGATATTTGAGTTGGAACTTGATGAATGAGTACAGTCTTACCAGATAGCAAGGATTAGAAAGGAGGAAGGCACTCTAGACACAACAGTAGCAGTGTGGAAAAGTGCAGGGCAGGAAAAAGCAGCTTGTTCAGAAAATAACAAGATGAGTATAACATGTATATTTCTTGAATATTGTTTTGAACTTAGGCATGGTCTGGGACTGGGGCTGAATTGAACTGGAGAGAAGGGTCACTTTGCAGCTCCATTATATGCAAACCAGCACCTCTGGGGGAAAGCAGTGACCTTTTGCAGGAGCTGTGTGAGTAAACAGATATTAGCCAGGCAGGACGCAACTCAGTGAGGGGCAGTGAGTCCTTGACTTGCAGGAAGGTGATTTGAGCTTAAGTTTTTGCCTCATAGCTGCGAATGTGCTTCAGACAAAAGTGACCAGATCCATCCTTTTCACTGGTGGCTCGGCACAGGTGATCCTAAACCCTTTGCACTAGTGGAGTGAGTTCCCCAACAATAAAGTTCCTGAGAAAGAAAGATGCTAGAGATGAATAGAAAAAAGAGCTGTTCATCTGTGTATCTGGTGATTTGGTTGCCAAACATTTTTTTCCTCAAGAATCAGGAACCTTTACAGGAAGTCAGGCCCTGAGGTACCCAATTGCACAATGCCACATACATTGCAGTTTTTCTGAGGCAGCCAGTCATAGCGTAATTATTAATAGTGCCCCCTTTCACTTTCAAAAGTATACTGCTTTGGATAATCAATTTTATGATCACCTTACTTACTTGTGTAAGGACTTTATAAAGGAATTCTTATATCTTTGCTAGTGCTTTCTCTGATTTGTAGAATAAACAAATCACTACCACTCTCCTTTCCCCCTGAATAAATCTGGGGATCAAAGAGAAACTTTGGGAGGATATATTATTTGATTATAGTGTTTCACACAGAGACAGTTAGGAAGGATAGGAAAATGCATATACAACATAATACGACCCGCATTGTTTTGCAAATAATAGGGTCAAAGTTGTGATAATAGGAAGAATATGGATTTAACATATGAGACTAGGCTGAGTGATTTTTGGAAGAAAAAGTGAAACCTAAAACAGGAAAACATGATTGCCCTTGGTAATTCAAGAGAAAATTAGCCACAGGCCTCACTTGTGGAGAGAGACTGAATTATAATAGCCCCTGTTCCCTCTTCTTCCCCCACCAAGGTAATCAGAGAAGGGAGCCCTAGTCCCTCCATCAATGCCAGCAGGAACCCAGGAGGTGGAGACATCTCCTCAGACCCTGTCACCATCATTGGCTAAAGTTTGAGGTGCCTGAGTTTTCAAGACACAGACTGGATAGGAATTATAATGGCATTTTTCAGATAGGGATATTGAAACTCAAAAGATGACTTGCTCAAATTATAGAGTTTATAAATGGCAGAACCAGGAGCTTGAGTTTAGGACATTCCTCCATGAAGAAATAGAAGCATTATAAGGACTCCAAGTTCCCTAGAGAAAACCTGTGGCCTGAGAAATGGCAGAAATAACTGGGATTTTTAGCCTGAAGATAAAGGAGATGTAGAGGCACAGGATATGATCTCTGTCATCAAATCCCTGATGGACTGTCAGATGGGAAAGAAGTTAGACCTGTGTGGGGTGGACCCAGAGAACAAAGCAAGGACTAGTGAAGGGAAGTGAAAAGGAAGCAGATGCCAATTCAACATACAGGAAAGGAAACTAACATTTCCTGAATATCTATCCATGCCAGGCATTTCACATATATATTCCTATTTAATTCTCAGACAGAGGGAAAAAACTGTGAAGTAGATATTATCCTCATTTTAAAAATGAGAAACCTGGAGATTTCCAACTTAGGGTAATGGCAGAGTAGCTTGTATTGCACTAACTCTCCTACTGATAACATTTATCAACTCTGGACAAAATAGAAAAAAATGGTTTGAAATTACTGGGAAATTATCCAAAGAAACTAGAGGGCATTGGTCCCCTTGAAAGATGAGAACCACACTGAGTGAGATCTAGTTTATTCAGCTTTCATGTAAGGGCAGTCCCTAGTCTGTGTGGTATGGTGGGGCATTTCAGATAGAGCTAAAGCAAAAAGCTGCAGTAATATTGGGGAGTCAGGTGATGCATATTGGGTCTTCCAGAGCAGTTAGACATTGAAGGGGGGAAATCCCAGAAAGAATGAAGCCACAGAGGGGAGCCCCCAAATCTGCATATAGATTCCACTCAAATCCTTGGCTGGCACCTAAACCCTGAATGTATGGGCTAAGACTTCAAGAAGTCTATGGGGGAAACAGTAGCTGGAATCTTGAAGAAAACCAAAAACCCCAAAACACACAACTGAGCAGAGGATTCAGTAGCTGCCCACAATGGAGGCAGAGTTTAAAGTTTAAATACCAACAGATGAGAGAGCCTTAATAAGTACCTCAAGCTTTGCACTGAAATCCCAGAAGGGCCACACCCTAGGATTAAGTACCATATTCCAAGATTAAGGTATTCACCCTAGGACTAAGGGGAAAAATCAAAATAGACTTTCCCTAACAAAGCTTAAAATCAACTCCATAAAAGACCAAGGCGATTTGATGGTCATTTCCCTACCTACTAGTGCAAAACTCAATACTCTTCAAAGAAAGATAACAGAAAATAAAATTATCTATGTATAATAAAAAATTTTAATTTCTAGACATATGAACAGACAGAAAAATGTAGCCCAGTGAAGAAAAAAAATCAGTTGATAAAAACAAAATGACAAACCCGTGATATTGAAATTAGCAGAAGGGAACTACTGTGGTCTGAATGTTTTTGTTCTCCCAAAATTCATGTTAACACCTAATTACTGATGTGATAATATTAGGAGATGGGCCTTTGGGAGCAGATTAGACCATGAGGGCAGAAGCCTCATAAATAGGATTAGCGCCCTTATAAAAGACACTCCAGAGAGCTAGTTACCCCCTCCACCATGTGAGAACATAGCAAGAAGGCACTGTCTATAAGAAAACAGGTCCTAGCTGGGCATGGTGGCTCACACTTGTAATCCCAGCACTTTGAGAGGTTGAGGTGGGCGGATCACGAAGTCAAGAGATCAAGACCGTACTGGCTAACATGGTGAAACCCCGTCTCTACTAAAATTACAAAAATTAGCTGGACATGGTGGTGCACACCTGTAGTCCCAGTTACTCAGGAGGCTGAGGCAGGAGAATTGCTTGAACTCGGGAGGTGGAGGTTGCAGTGAGCTGAGATTGTGCCACTGCACTCCAGCCTGGTGACCAAGTGAGACTCTGACACACACACACACACACACACACACACACACACACACACACACACACACACAGAAAGCAGGTCCCTCACCAGACAGTAAATCTGCTGGTGCCTTGATCTTGGATTTCCCAGCCTCCATATCTGTGAAAAATAAATTTCTGTTGTCTACAAACCACCTAATTCAAGGTATTTTTCTGGTAGCAGCCCAAATGAACTAAGTCAAGAATTTAAAAATAACTATGATAAATATAATAACAAATCTATAGGAAAAGATGTATTCATTTTTAATGCGTGAAGAGATGAGGAATTTGAGAAGAAATATGAATACTATAAAAAGAACTAAAAGGAAATTTTAGAAACTGAAAAATACAGTATTTGAAATTTTAAAAAAATTAGAAAATATCATGGTAGATTGAATAAAGAAGAAGACAGGATCAGTGTACTGGAATATAGATCAATAGAAATTATCCAAGCAGAAGCATGGAAGGAGAAAAGGTTGAAAAACAACAGATCCTCAACAACTTGTGGGACAGTATCAAATGGCTGAGAAAATGAGCAACTGGAGTTTCAGGAAAAGAGGAGCAAAAGAACTACAAAGCAGAAAAAATATTTGAAAAAACATTGGTCAAATATTTTCCAAATTTGATCACAAAGAAGAAACCTATAGATCCAAAAAACAAAGCACACCTCAAACAAGATAAATACAAAGAAAATAACATGTAACACATCAAAGTTAAACTCTTAAAAAAACACAAATAGACAGAAAATATAAAAAGCACCCAGATAGAGCTGATTTCTCATTAGAAACAATTGAGGCCAAAAAACATAATTAAAATGTTAAAAGAAAAAAAAGAAAAAACTTGTCAACCTAAAATTCTGTATCAAGTAAAAATACCTTACAAAAATGAAGATAAAATAGGTATTTTCAGATAAATGAAAGGCAAGCTAATATGTTAACAGGTGACACAATTACAAAAAGTGCTAGTGCTTACTTTGGCAGCACATATACTAAAATTGAAATGACACAGGGAAGATTAGCATGGCCCCTGCACAAGAATGACATGCAAATTTGTGAAGTATTTTGTATTTTAGGCCAGAAAAGAATGAGATGATATATTCAAAGTACAGAAAAAAAAATTGGCAACCAAGAATACTGAACCTGGCAAATCTGTCCTTCAGAAATGAAGGCGAGATAAGGACTTTTATAGACAAACAAAAGCTGAAGGAGTTTATCACCACTAGATCTACTTTATAATAAATGCTAATGGGAGTTCTTCAAACTGAAAGATAAAGTGCTAGCTAGCAACATGAAAACATATGAAAGCATAAAACTAACTGATAAATGTAAATACATAGTCAAATTCAGGATAGTCTAATACTGTAATGGTGGTGTATAAATCACATATATCCATAGTATGAAGGTTAAAAGACAAAATATTTAAAAATAATAATAGGTAAAATAATTTGTTAAGGGATACATAATATAAAATAATATAAATTGTGACTAAAATACAATGTGGGTGGGAAAAAGCAAGTGTAGAGTTTTTAAAATGCAGTCTAAGTTAAGTTGTTATCAGCTTAAAATAGCCCATCATAACTATAAATGGTTTTATGTAAGCTTCATGGTAGCCACAAAGCAAAAACCTACAATAGGTACACAAGAGATAAAGAGTAAGGAATCAAAGCATACCAGTACAGAAAATCATCTAATCCCAAGGGAAGACAGCAAGACAGGAAGAAGAACCAAAGACTACAAAACAACCAGAAAGCAATTAATGAAATGGCAATAGTTAAGTCCTTGCCTATCAATAATTACATTGAATATAAATGTACTAAATTCTCCAATCAAAAGTTGTAGCTATTGAATGATTAAAAGAAACCCCATGACTCAACTATAGGCTGCCTACAAGAGACTTAACTCACCTATACGGACTTAATTTACCTTTATAGATTAAAAGTGAAGGGATGAAATAAGATATTCCATGAAAATGAAAACCAAAATAGGGCAGGAGTTATATTAGACAAAATAGACTTAAAGTCATAAACTTTAAGAAGAGACAAAGATATAATGATAAAAGGGTCAATTCATCAAGAGGTTATAACAATTATTAGTATATATGCACCCAACATCAGGGCACCCAAATATATAAAGCAAATATTCATATATCTGAAGAGAGAGAAAGAATGCAATATAACATTAGTAGAGGATTTCAATACCCTATTTTCAACAATGAACGATCATCCAGATAGAAAATTAATAAGGAAACACTGAAGTTGACTATATTTTAGACTAAATGGACCTAACAGACATATATAGAACATTCCATTTAACAGCAACAGAATACACATTCTTCTCAAATACACATAGAATACTACCCCAGGATAAACCATATGTTAGGCCACCAAACAAGTCTTAACAAATGTAAGAAAATTGAAATTATATCAAGTATCTTTTTTGATCATAGTAGTATAAAACTAGAAACCATAATGGGAGGAATTTCAGTAAATTGACAAATATATGGAAATTGAGCAACATATTTCTGAACAACCAATGGGTGAACAAAGAGGCTAAAGGAAAAATTTGGAATCTTGAAACAAATGAAAACGGAAATATAATATACCAAAACTTATGGGATGGAGGAAAAGCAACTCTGAGAGAGAAATTTATAGCAATAAGCACCTGCATCAAAAAGGAAGAAAGATCTCAAATAAACAACCTAACATTACACTTCAAAGAACCAGAAAAAGAAGAACAAACTAAGCCTAAAATAAGAACAAACTAGGCGGGGTGCGGTGGCTTATGCCTGTAATCCCAGCACTTTGGGACACCGAGGTGGGCAGATCACCTGAGGTCTGGAGTTCAAGACCAGCCTGGCCAACATGGCAAAACCCCCTCTCTGCTAAAAATACAAAAATTAGCTGGGTGTGGTGACAAATGCTTGTAATCCAGCTACTCGGGAGGCTGAGGCATGAGAATCACTTGAACCCATGATGTGGAGGTTGCAGTGAGCTGAGATCATGTCACTGCACTCCAGCCTGGGCAACAGAGTAAGACTGTCTCAAAAAAAAAAGAAAAAAAAAGAACAAACTAATACGAAATTAGTAGAAGAAAGGAAATAAAGATCAGACATTTCTCAAAAGAAGGCATACAAATGACCAACAGGTATGTAAGAAAAATGCTCAACATCAGGAATTATCAAGGAAATGCAAACTAAAACCACAATGCGATATCACCTCACACCTGTTACAATGGCTACTATCAAAAAGATGAAAGATAGCAAGTGCTGGAAAAGATGTAGAGAAAAGGAAACCCTTGTATATTATTGGTAGAAATGTAAATCAGTACAGCCATTATGGAAAACAGTATGGAAATTCCTCAGAAAAATTAAAAATAGAGCTACTGTATCATCCAGCAATCCTACTATTGGATATATAGCCAAAGCATATGAAATCAGTATGTCAAAGAAATATCTTCATTCCCATGTTTGTTGCAGCAGTATTTACAATAGCCCAGGCATGGAAAAACCAAAGTGCCCATCAATGATGAAAGGATTTTAAAAATGTGGTATATATACATAATGGAATATTCTTAAATTAAAAGAGACTCCTTAAAAAGAAGAAAATCTTGTTACTTGTGACAACATGGATGAGCCTAGAGGATATTATGTTAAGTGAAATAATTCCACTTCAACTTGGCAGCTTAACGAAAAAATAAAAATTTAAAAAGTGAAATAAGCCATGCACAGAAAGACAAATACCACATGATCTCACTTATATGTGGGATCTAAAAAAGACAAACTCATCAAAGCAGAGATGAAAATGGTGGTTACCAGGAGTTGGGCACAGGAGGAGGGAGGAATTGGAAAATGTTGGTCAAAGGATACAGATAGGAGAAATAAGTTCAAAAGATCTATTGTATATCATGGTGACTATATTTAACGACAGTTATTGTATAACTGAAAATTGCGAAGGCAGTAGATTTTAAGTGTTCTCACCACAAAAAATGGATAAGTATGAAAGTAAGACACGTTAATTAGCTTGATTTAACCATTCCACATTGTAAACATATGTCAAAACATCATGTTATATACCATAAATATATATAATTTAAATTTGTCAATATTAAAAAATAAATATTTCTAAAAGAAGAAATGCTAAAGGAAATTCTCTATGCTAAAGAGAAATGAGACCATATGGAAATTCAGCTCTACAGAAAGGAATAAAGGGCACTAGAAATGATAACTTTGTAGGAAAATACAAAAGAAATTTTTCCTTCTTTTCTTAATTATTTAAAACATGAATTGATAGGACTTCTACTTCTAGCCAGTATGGGGTAGCAGGGGCTGAATTTAACCTCCAATCTGAAACAATTTCTTTTTAAGCTGAACAAAATATATGAAAAAATAGCTGTGAAAATATTAGGCACCAGGTAATGAAGGACAGCAATCCCTAAATGACAGGAAACAAATATAGCCCTATTATTGACCTGGTTTACCTCCTGAAGGAAGTTTGCAGACCATCACAAGGAAGGCAGATCCATGGCAGAGGCTGGCAATATCCCTGAGTTGAGGAGGCACAAATGGAAGTTGAGAAAAACAAAGAATCTAGAGTTCCCAATGTAGTGTATTTAAAAGAAGAGCTGCACACAGGGAAAACTTCAGAAATCTACAGAAGCTTCCCTTGAGTATTCAATAGAATAATCATCAGCACATGCATATGAACAACTAGTCTAAAAAAATAACTCAAAAGATTAGAGGAAACAGTGCTACGCTCACAAGAATAGGAAGGGTCTATTCCCAATAGCCAGAGTAGAATACTTCATAAGTCATAGGACATCAGTTAGAGTACTGAGCAGGGTCTTCCCTCAGTAGTGGGAAAAATTAACCCTAGACTAAATGCTGCTGGTCCCTGATAATTGAGCTTAAAGCAAGAACCAAAAGTATTAAGCTATTTGAAAGTAATGTGTATCTCCAAATAAACCTCAAGAATAATTTTAGGAATACAAAAATATTCAGCACCCAACAAGGTAAAATTCAAAATATATGGCATCCATAAAAAAAATTATCAGGCATTCAAAGAACTAGAAAAATAAAACCTATAATGAGGAGAAAAATCAATCAAAACTGACTCAGAAATGACACAAATGATAGAATTAAGAGACAAGCATATTAAAACAGTCATTATAACTGTATTCTATATGTTCACCAAGCTAGAGAAAATATTGAACATTAAGTAGAGACATGGAAGATATTAGAAAAACTGAAACCAAACTTCTAGAGAAGAAAACAACCATGTCTGAGATAAAAAAAAAAAATACAATGAATGGGAAATAGCAGATTAGACATTTCAGAGGAAAGGAGTAGTAAACTTGAAGACATAGCAATAGAAACTACCCAAAATAAAGTACACAGAGGAAAAGACACACATAAAAAAAAAAACACACAGAGCAACAGTGACAACTTCAAGTGGCCAAATCTATGTGTAAGTGGGGTTCCCAAAAGAAAGGGAGGACAGAAAAGTATTTAAGGAAATAGTGACCAAATGTTTCAAATTCGATAAAAATTATAAGTTCACAGATTCAAGAAGGTCAGTGAACACCAAAACCAGGAAATTAAAAAAAAAAATACACAAACGCATATCAGAATCAAGTAGCTTTAAATCAGTGACAAAGATAAAATTGGAAAAGTAGAGGAGATGCTCTACATGCAGGGCAATGAAGATAAGGAGGATAGCAGATTTCTTGTCAGAAACAATGCAAACTAGAAGACAGTGGCTCAAAATCTTTAAAATTCTGTAAGAAAAGAAAATGTCAACCTGGAACTCTCTACTAAGAAAAAATTATTTTAAAAGTTAAGGCAAAATAAATACTTCTTTAGACATACAGAAGCTGAAAGAGTTAATCACAAGCAGACTGGTGGAATAGAAAATGTAAAGGGAAGTCCTTCAAGCAGGGGGAAAAAAAGGATAATATCAGATGGAAACCTAGATATATTAGGGGTCAGCAAATTATGGCCCATGAGCCAAATCTGACCTGCTGCCTCTTTTTGTGAATAAAGTTTTATTGGAACACAGCCATACCTATTCATTTATTTGTTGCCCATGGATGCTTTCATGCTACAATGACAGGATTGAATAATTGTAACAGAAACCACATGGTCTAGAGTATTTATTACCTGGCCCCAACAGAAAAAGTTTTCTGACCCTTGATCTCCACAAAGTATTGAGCAGCACAGGACATGGTATTACATAAGTAGATTTGTAATAATGATAATGATAATAATAATAATTTCATTTATTATTTAAATATCTTCAAAAATAATCATCTGTTTAAGGCATAATAGCAACATATTATGAGATATATAAAATATGTAGAAGTGAAATGTATGATAACAATGCCCAAAGGCCAGTAGGGAAAAACTAGAGTATACATGAACAGGGCTTATACTACACATGAAGTAGTAAACTATCACTGAAAGTTAGACTGTGGTAATTAAAAGATGTATACTATAAACCTGAAAGCAACCACTAAAATAACACAACAAAAATTGTGGCTAATAATTCAACAAAGGAGATGAAATGAGACCATAGAAAACAGTTAAACCAAAAGAAGACAGAGAAGGAGGAAAAGAGGAGCAAAGAACAGCAAGGACAAATATAAAACAAATAGGAAAGTGGTAAACTTAAACACGACCATACCAATAATTACATTAAATATAAATGGCCTAAACATTCCAATTAAAAGGCAGCCTGTCAGATTAGATTTAAAAAGCAATACTCAAAGATATGCTACCTTCAAAATCCCACGTGTGTGTGTGTGTGTGTCTTTAAAAACACATAAATAGGTTAAAAAGAAAAGGAAACCATGCCAGCACTAATCAAGAGAAAGCCAAAGTGGCTACATTAATATCCAAGTAAAAATTTCAGCACACATACATAAAAAATTATCAGGGATAAAGAGGATCATTTCATAATGCTAAAGGAGTCAATTTATCAAGGGGATACAATGATCTGGAATGTTTATGCACCTAATAACAGATCTTCAAAACACATGAAATAATAGCTAATAGAACCACAGGAGAAATAGATAAATCCACAATTATAGTTGGTGCTTTCAATTATTCTCTTTCAATAATTTATAGAACAGATCATGAACTTTTGCTCCAAGAACTATTGCAGGAACATACCAGGAAAGCCGAGAGAATCCACAGACCCTTTGAAGGAAGTGGATTGCTGCTGCAGGCTTCTGGAGACAGTTGAAAAACTGTGAGTGTCCAAAGTGTGGAAATGTGAAAGGAGGATCATCTGCCCCTGAACATACATTCTCACTTGGGAACTTGAAGGTCCAGATCATGGGAGAAAGATTTGACCTTACCTGGAGCTGAGAGAAACTTAGAGAGCTGAGTGAAATACAGGGGTAGAGGAAGAAGCGGGAAGAGCCCTGTGGGGACCCTCAGTCCCTGGGGAAGCCACTTCTGACTTTGTCTCACAGGGGTCCTTGGGGAGGCCTGCCAGTGGAACTGGGGAAAGACCACAGGGAGAAAGAAACTTCCAGTTGAACTTTGTAACAATTTAAACCTAACAGGAAGTTTTCTGGACATAATCTGGGGAAGAGGGTGAACCAGGAATGCAGACACAGCACGGAAGTTGCAGCAGGTAGGGAGGTGCAAAATCTGAAAGCCCTCTTTGCTTTCTCATTGGGGAGGTCTGGAGCCTGGGGCAAGTCCTCAGCCTTGCTCACCAACTGCCTGGAAATAAACTCAGTGCTGTTGGGGTGGAGGGATCAGTGGGAGTGAGACTGGCCTTTGGGGCTGCATGGGAGCCAGCTTTCCCCCACTTCCCTGTCAACCTGCATGACGCAGCAGAGGCAGCCATAATCCCCTTGGCAACATAAGTCCACTGGCCTGAGTAACCCACCCCCATGCCCCACAGCGGCTGCAGCAAGCCTCATCCAAGAAAAGTCTGAGCTCAGACGCCCTTGGCCTGCCCCCACCTGATGGCCTTTACCATCAGGTAAAGACCATCCCTGCAGCCACCTGATGGTCTTTACCAGCCCTGGTAGCTGAAGTCAAAGGACATAATCTCTTGGGGGCTCTTTGGCCCTGCCCACCACCTGAGAAACTTATCCAGGTGATGCTAGGGCAAGCCTGTATCCTCCCTAACTACCACAGCTGATGCTCTCTTAAAAGCGCCACCTCCTGGCTGGAGGCCAACCAACACAAAACTAGCACAATAAACAAAAATACAACCAAGGACGCTCACAGTGTCCACTTCACACCCCTGCTACCTCCACAAAAGCAGATTCTTGTATCTAGGGCTGAGAGACTTGAAGACAAATCACATCACAGGACTCTTTGCAGACACTCCCCAGTACCAGCCTGGAGCCAGGTAGATCCAGAAGAGAAATAACAATTGCTGCAGTTTGCCTCTCAGGAAGCCACATCCCTCAGCACCCATATCCGAGGGCATCCTGTGGAATGAGAGAATCTGAATGGCAGCTCCTGAGCCCCAGATCGTCTCCTGGCAGTCTACCCAAATGAGAAGGAACCAGAAAAACAATTCTGGTAATATGACAAAACAAGGTACTTTAACACCCCCAAAAGATAACATTAGCTCACTAGCAATGAATCCAAACCAAAAAGAAATATCTGAATTGCCAGAAAAAGAATTCAGAAGGTCAATTACTAAGCTACTCAAGGAGGCACCGGAGAATGGTGAATACCAACTCAAAGAAATTAGAAAAACATTACAGGATATAGATGGAAAAATCTCCAGAGAAATAGATAGCATCAATAAAAAACAATCACAACTTTCCGGAAGTTGTGACTGTTTTTTATTCATGCTGTCTATTTCTGGAAAGTTGTGATTTTTTTTTATTTATGCTATATATTTTTCTGGAGATTATCTTCTCTAAGAAGGGCACACTTAGAGAAATACAAAATACCCTGGAAAGTCTCAGCAATAGAATCAAACAAGTAGAAGTAAGAACTCCACAGCTCAAAGACAAGGCTTTTGAATTAACTCAATCTAATAAAGATAAAGAAAAAAGAATTTTTAAAAATTAGCAAAACTTCCAAGAAGTTTGGGATTATGTTAAATGACCAAACCTAAGAATAATTGGTGTTCCCGAGGAAGAAGAGAAATCTAAAAGTTTGGAAAACATCTTTGAGGGAATAATTGAGGAAAACTTCCCCAGGCTTGCTAGAGATATAGACATCCAAACACAAAAAGCTCAAAGAACACCCTGGAAATTCATCACAGAAAGATCATTGCCTAGGCACATAGTCATCAGGTTATCTAAAGTTAAGATGAAGGAAAGACTCTGAAGAGCTGTGAGGAAAAGTATCAGGTAACCTATAAAGGAAAACCTGTCAGCTTAACAGCAGATTTCTCAGCAGAAACCCTACAAGCTAAAAGGGATTGGGGTCCTATCTTCAGCTTCCTTAAACAAAACAATTATCAGCCAAGAATTTTTTATCCTGTGAAACTAAGCTTCATAAATGTAGAAAAGATATAGTCTTTTTCAGACGTACAAATACTGAGAGAATTCATGACTACCAAGCCAGCACTACAAGAACTGCTAAAAGGAGCTCTAAATCTTGAAACAAATCCTCAAAATACACAAAAATAGAAACTCCTTAAAGCATAAATCTCACAAGACCTATAAAACAATAACACAATGGAAAAAAACAAGGTATTCAGGCAACAAACAGCACAATGAATAGAAAAGTACCTCACATCTCAATACTAACATTAAATGTAAATGCTTAAAGGCTCCACTTAAAAGATACAGAATGGCAGAATTGATAAGAAATCACCAACCAAGTATCTGCTGCCTTCAAGAGACTCACCCAACACATAAGGACTCACATAAACATAAGGTAAAGGGATGGAAAAAGATATTCCGTGCAAATGGACACCAAAAGTGAGCAGGAATAGCTATTCTTATAGCAGACAAAACAAACGTTAAAGCAACAGCAGTCAAAAAAGACAGAGGGACATTATATAATGATAAAAGGACCTGTGCAACAGGAAAATTTCACAATCCTAAATATATATGCATCTAACACTGGCATTCCCAAATGTATAAAACAATTACTATTAGACCCAAGAAATGAGACAGACAGCAACACTATATTAGTGGGGGAATTAAATACTCCACTGACAGTGGCAAGGCCTCAAGACAGAAAGTCAACAAAGAAACAATGGACTTAAAATATACCCTAAAACAAATGGACTTAACAGATATTTACAGAGCATTCTACCCAGCAACTGCAGAATATACATTCTATTTGTAAGCACGTGGAATATTCTCCAAGATAGACCACATGATAGGCCACAAAACCAGTCTCAATAAATTTAAGAAAATTGAAATTGTATCAAGTACTCACTCAGACCACAGTGGAATAACATTGGAAATAAACTCCAAAAGGAACCCTCAAAACCATGCAAATATATGAAGATTAAATAACCTGCTTCTGAATGATCATTAGCTCAACAATGAAATCATGGAAATTAAAAAAAATTTTAAACTGAATGATAATAGTACATAATCTATCAAAACCTCTGGGATACAGCAAAGGCAGTGCTAAGAGGAAAGTTCATAGCATTAAATCCCTATATCAAAAAGTCTGAAAGTAAAAATAGACAATCTAAGGTCACACCTCAAGGAACTAGAGAAACAAGAATAAACCAAATCCAAACCCAGCAGAAGAAAAGAAATAACAAAGATCAGAGCAGAGCTAAATAAAATTAAAACCAAGAAGAAAAAACAATGGAACAAAAACTTGGTCTTTGAAAAAATAAATAAAATTGATAGACCATTAGTGAGATTAACCAAGAAAAGAAGAGAGAAGAGCCAAATAAGCTCAATGAGAAATGAAATGGGAGCTATTACAACTGATAACACCAAAATACAAAAGATCATTCAATACTATGAACACCTTTACACACCTAAAGTAGAAAACCTAGAGGAGATGGAGAAATTCCTGGAATTCTAAATAGACCAATAATGAGCAGTGAGATCGAAATGGTAATTAAAAAATTGCTCACAAAAAAGTCCAGGACCAGACAGATTCACAGCTGAATTCTATCAGACATTCAAAGAAGAATTGATACCAATCCTACTGACACTATTCCACAAGATAGAGAAAGAGGGAATCCTCCCTAAATCATTCTATGAGCCAGTATCACCCTAACACTAAAACCAGAAAAGAACATAACAAAAAAAGAAAACCACAGACCATTATCCCTGATGAACATAGATGCAAAAACCCTTAATAAAATACCAGCTAACCAAATCCAACAGCATATCAAAAAGATAATCCACCATGATCAAGTGGGCTTCATACTAGGGATGCAGGGATGGTTTAACATATGCAAGTCAATAAATGTGATATACCACATAAACAGAATTAAAAACAAAAATCACATGATCATCTCAATAGATGCAGAAAAGGCATTTGACAAAATCCAGCATTGCTTTATGGTTAAAACCCTCAGCAAATTGACATAGAAGGGACATACCTTAGTGTAATAAAAGCCATCTATGACAAACCTACAGCCAGCATTATACTAAATGGGGAAAAGTTGAAAGCATTCCCCCTGAGAACTGGAACAAGACAAGGATGCCCACTTTCACCATTTCTATTCAACATAGTGCTGGAAGTCCTAGCCAGAGCAATTAGGCAAGAGAAAGAAATAAAGGGCATCCAAATTGTTAAAGAGGAAGTCAAACTGTTACTGTTTACTGATGATATGATTGTATACTAGAAAACCCTAAAGACTCATCCAAAAAGTTCCTAGAACTGATAAATGAATTTAGCAATGTTTCAGGATACCAAATTAATGCACACAAATTCATAGCACTGCTATACACAAACAGCAACCAAGCTGAGAATCAAATCAAGAACTCAACCCCTTTTACAATAGCTGCAAAAAAATAAAATATCTAGAAATATACCTAACCAAGGAAGTGAAAGACCTCTACAAGGACAACTATAAAACACTGCTGAAATAAATTGTAGATGACACAAACAAATGGAAACACATCCCCTGCTCATGGATGGGTAGAATCAACATTGTGAAAATGATCATACTGCCAAAAGCAATCTACATATTCAATGCAGTTCCCATCAAAATACCACCATCGTTCTTCACAGAGCTAGAAAAAAATTCCTAACATTTTTATGGAACCAAAATGATCCTGCATAGGCAAAGTAAGACTAAGCAAAAAGAACAAATCTGGAGGCATCGCATTACTGGACTTCAAACTATACTATTAGGCCATTATCTCCAAAACAGCATGGTACTGGTGTAAAAATAGGCACACAGACCAATGGAACAGAATAGAGAACCCAGAAATAATGCCAAATACTTGCAGCCAACTGATCTTCGACAAAGCAAGCAAAAACATAAAGTGGGGAAAGAACACCCTATTCAACAAATGGTGCTGGGATAACTAGCAAGCCACATGTAGAAGAATGAAACTGGAACCTCTTCTCTCACTTTATACAAAAATCAACTCAAGATGAATCAAAGATTTAAATCTAAGACCTGAAACCATAAAAATTATAGAAGACGACATCAGAAAAACCCTTCTAGACATTGGCTAAGTCAAAGAGTTCATGACCTAGAATGCAAAAGCAAATGCAACAAAACAAAGATAAATAGTTGGGACTTAATTAAACTAAAAAGCTTCTGCACAGTAAAGGAAACAATCAGGAGAGTAAACAGACAACCCACAGGGTGGGAGAGAATCTTCATAATCTATACATCTGACAAAGGACTAATATCCAGAATCTCCAAGGAATTCAAATAAATCATCAAGAAAAAAATATCCCATCAAAAGGTGGGCTAAGAACAAGAATAGACAATTCTCAAAAGAAGATATACAAATGGTCAACAAACATATGAAAAATACTCAACATCACTAATGTTTAGGGAAATGCAAATCAAAACCACAATGCAATACCATCTTACTTCTGCAAGAATAGCCATAATCAAAAAATAAAAAAAAAAATAGATGATGGCATGGATGTGGTGAAAAGGGAACATTTTTACACTGCTGATGGGAATGTAAACTAGTACGACCACTATGGAAAACAGTGTGGATATTCCTTAAAGAACTAAAAGTAGATCTACCATTTGATCCAGCAGTCCCACTACTGGGTATCTACCCAGAGGAAAAGAAGTCATTATTCAAAAAAGATATTTGCACATGCATGTTTATACCAGCACAATTCGCAATTGCAAAAATATGGAATCAGTTCAAATGCCTACCAATCAATGAGTGGATAAAGAAAATGTGGTATATATATACCATGGAATACAAATCAGCCATAAAAAGGAACAAGATAATGGCATTCACAGCAACCTGGATGGAGTTGGAGACCATTATTCTAAGTGAAGTAACCCAGGAATGGAAAACCAAATATCATGTTCTCACTCACAAGTGGGACCTAAGCTATGAGGGTGCAAAGGCATAAGAATAATACAATGGACTCTGGGGACTCAAAGGAAAGGGTGGGGGTGGAGGTGAGGAATAAAATACTATACATTGGGTACAGTGTACTCTGCTCAACTGATGGGTGCATGAAAATCTCAGAAATCACCACTAAAGAATTTATTCATGTAATGAAACACCACCTGTTCTTCAAAAACTAATTGAAATTTTAAAAAATTTAAAAAATTTAGAGAACAAATAAGACAGAAAATCAAGAAGGACATGGAAGAGTCATACAACTCTATTACCCAATTTGATCTATTCAACATTTATAGAACATTCCACCCAACTACAGCAATATACACATTTTCCCCCAAGTATACACAGAATATTTACTAAGATAGAACATAAAATATGTCTAGGCCATAAAATATGTCTCAATATATGGAAAATAATTCAAATTATGCAATGTACATTGTGTGACTATGATGGAACTAGATGATAAATCAGTAATAGAAAGATATCTAGAATATCCAGAAATATTTGGAAACTATATAACCTAGTTCTAACTTCAAAAGTTAAATTAGAAAGCATTTGGCTTGAATGAAAATAAAAACAATATTTCAAAATATGGGGGTATAGCTAAAGCAGTATGATATGGTTTGGCTCTGTGTCCCCACCCAAATTTCATCTTGAATCGTATTCCCATAATGCCCATATGTTGTGGGAGGGACCTGGTGGGAGATAATTGAATCATGGAGGTGGTTTCTCTCATACTGTTCTCGTGGTAGTGAATAAGTCTCACAAGATCTGATGGTTTGATATAGGGAAGCCTGTTTCACTTGGCTGTCATTCTCTGTCTTGCTGCTGCCATGTAAGAAGTGCCTTTCACCTTCCACCATGATTGTGAGGCCTCCCTAGCCACGTGGAACTGTAAGTCCATTAAACCTCTTTCTTTTGTAAATTGCCCAGTCTTGGGTATGTCTTTATTAGCAGCATGAAAATGTACCAATACACAGTACTTACAGGGAAATTTATATTAGAGAAAAAGAAACATATCAAATCAATGACTTCAGCTTTCACTCCAAGAAACTAGAAAATAAATATCAAGTAAGACCCAAAGGAAGCAGAAAAATGAAATAATACCAAAATAGAAATTAGAAATAAAATAAAAAAGAGAAAACAATAGATAAAATCAATGCACCCAAGAGCAAGTTCTTTGAGAAGACACTAAAATTGTTAAACTTCTACACAGGCCAATCAGGAAAGAGAGAGAGAGAGAGTGAAAGAGAATACAAATTACCGGTAGCAGGAATAGTAGAAGTTATATCACTAGGAAGTCTGCAGATTTTAAAAGGGTAGTAAGGGAATATGGCAAACAACTTTATGTCAATAAATTATAAAATGTAGGTGAAGTGTATAAATTTCTTGAAAGGCTCAACCAAACTTCCCTCAAGAAGAAACTAATAATAAAAATAGCTGTATATTTATTAAAGAAACTGAATTTGTAGCTGAAAACCTTTTCATAAAGAAAACCTAGGTCCAGATGGCTTCACTGGTAACTTATAGCAAACATTTCAGAAATAATACCAATTCTACACAAACACTTCCAGAAAGGTAAAGAGTGGGGAATACTTCCCAACTCATTCTATGAAACCAGTTTCATTCTGACATCAAAACCAGACGGACATTAAGGAAAGAATACTAAAGATCAATTTCTATCATAAGTATAGATGCAAAAAATTATAACCAAATTTTAGCAAATCAAATCCAACAATATATAAAAATGATAATAAGTCATGGCCAAGTGGGATTTAATCCCAGAATACAAAGTTCAGTTTGACATTATCAAATGATCAATATAATTCACCATAACAGACTAAAAATGAAAAATCATATGATTTTTGCAATACATATAGAAAAAACATTTCATAAAATTCAACTTCCATGTCTAACAAAAACTCTCACAAACTAAGAATAAAAGGGAGCTTTCTCAACCTGATAAAAAGTATCTAAGAATATCCTACGGTTAACATCATACTTAATGATGAAAGATACAATACTTTCTCCCTAAGATCATGAACAATGATGTTCACTCTTACCACCTCTTTTCAACATTGTGGTGGAAGTACTAGCCAGTGCAATTGGGCAAGAAAAAGATATAAAAGCATCCAGAATGAAAGGAAGAAGTAAAACTATCTTCATTTACAGATGACATGATTGTCTATGTACAAAATCATATGGAATGTTTTAAAATCTCTATCTAGAGACTCAATATTTTTGTCATCAGTTCTTCCCAAATTGATCTACATGTTTAATGGTATCCCATTCAAAATCAAAGCAGGCATTTTTGTAGAAATTGCCAAGCTGATTCTAAAATATGTATAGAAATTCAAAGGGCCTGAAATATCCAAAATAATCTCAAAAAAAGAACAAAGTTAGAAAATTTATTCTACCTGATTTTAAAACTTACTATAAAGCTGCAGTAAATCTGAAACTGTTATATTGCCATAAAGGTAGACATAAAAATCAGTAGATCAGAATAGTGAGTCCATAAAAAGGCCCACATAATATGCCAACTAAAGTCACCAAAAGTAATTTTATTTGAAAAAGATAATCTTTTCAACAAAGGATGCTAAAACAATTGGCTATTCATGTGGAGAAAAATGAACCTCAACCTCCATATCATACCACCTCCAAAAATTAATTTAAAGCCAGGCGCAATGGCTCACACCTGTAATCCCAGCACTTTGGGAGGCAGAGGTGGGTGGATCACTTGAGCCCAGGAGTTTGAGACCACCTGGCCAACATGGTGAAACCCCCTCTCTACTAAAAATACAAAAAAACTAGCCAAGTGTGGTGGTGGGTGCATGTAATCCCAGCTACTCGGCAGGCAGAAGAATTGCTTGAACCTGGGAGGCAGAGGTGGCAGTGAGGCAAGATCACACTACCGCACTCCAGCCTGGGTGACAGAGTGAGACCCTGTCTCAAAAGAAAAAAAAATAATTTGAGATGAAGCATAAACCTAAATAAAAAAGCTAAAACTATAAAGTTTCTAGAAGAAAACAGAAGAGAGTATCTTTGCATCTTAAGGGCAAGCAAAATTTCTTAGCCAAGATTCTAAAGCACTAACCATAAGAGAAAAAAACCTGATATGCTGGACTTCATAAAATATAAAACTTCCATTCTTCCAAAAATAACATTAATAAAATAAAAGGCAAGCCACAGCCTGCTAGAAGTATTTGCCATACATAAACCTGAAAAAGAAATTTTATCCAAAATGTATAATGAATTCCTATAATTCAATAATGAAAAAACTAAATAATCCAATAAAAAGTGAGCAAAAGATTTATACAGACTCATCATAAAAGAAGATACATGAATGGCCACTAAGCACATGAAAAGATGCTCAACGTCCCTGGTCATCCACGTAACGCAGATCAAAACCACAGCGAGATGAACAACAATGACTGACAATACCAAGTTTTGGTGAGGGTGTAGAGCAACTCTGACTTTCATACATTGTAATAGTGAGAATGTAAATATTACAACCACGTTGGAAAAGAGTTAGGGTGCTTCTTATAAAGTTAAACATATATATTCTCTATGATCCAGCTATTCCACTCCTAAGTATTTGAACATATGTTCACAAAAAGATTTGTGTGATAATGTTCATAACAGCTTTGTTCAGAATAGCCCCAAACTGGAAACAACCCAATTGTCCACCAATAGGTGAATGGATAAACAGACTGTAGCATATTGATTAAAATACTACTCAGCAATAAATAGAAGAAACTACTAATATGTGAGACAATATAGATCAACCCAAAAAACAGTACGTTGGGTGAAAGGAGCTTGATAAAAATAATTATGTACTGTTTTATAATGTTAATAAGATGTTCTAGAATAGGCAAACTAAATGATGATGATAGAAACCAGAATAATGGTTATTTTTAGGAGAGACACTGACTGGGACAGAGCATGAGGGGGTAGTTTTCAGGAGTGATGTAAATGTTCAATATCTTTATTGGTGTGATGGTTACACATGCCATATTAGTTTCCTAGGGCTGCTGTAACAAAGTGCCACTAACTCAGTGTCTTAAAATGACTGTCACTTATTATCTCATATTTCTAGAGACTAGAAGTCCAAAATCAAGGTATCAGCAGGGTTGACTCTTTCCAATCATTCTGAGGGAGAATCTGTTCTGTGCCTCTCTCTCAGCTTCTGGTGAAGGACGGCAATCCTTGGTGTTCCTTGGCTCGTAGATGCATCACTCCAGTCTCTGCCTCCATGTTTACATGGTGTTCTCCCTGTGTCTCAGTGTTTACATTTCCCTCTCCTTGTAAAGACCTTCCCAATCACCTCACCTTAATTTGATTACATCTGCAAAGACACTATTGCCAAATAAGGCCACAGTCACAGGTGCCATGGGCTAAGACTTCAACCTGTCTGTTTGGATGGCACAGTCGAAATCATAAAGCATGAGTATATATTTGTCAAAACTGATTAATGGGAGAAAAATTCATGACCTTGGTTTGGTGATGAGTTTTTAGCTATAATACCAAAAGCATAGCCATGAAATAAAAAATTGAGAAGTTGGGTTTTATTAAAATTAAAAACTTCTGCTCTGTGAAAGATACTGTTAAGAGACTGAAAAGGCAAACCACAGACTGGGAGAAAATATTTGAAAAACACATATCTGGTATCTGGTAAAGGACTAGTATCCAAAATAACAGAGAACTCTTAAAATACAACCATGTGAAAACAAACAACTCAATTAAAAATAGGCACAAGATCTGAACAGACACCTCACTAAAGAAGATATACAGATGGCAAATTAGCATATGAAAAGATGTTCAACATCCTATGTCATTAGAGAATTACAAATTAAAACAACAATAAGATATAATCACACACCTATTAGAATGGCTAAAATCCAAAAAACTGACAATACCAATTGCTGGTGAAGATGTAGATCAACAGAAAGTCTCATTCTTTGATAGTGGAAATGCTAAACGGAACAGCCGCTTTGGGAGACTTAAGTAGCCAAATATAGTCTTACCATACTCTCTAGCAGTTATGCTCCCTATGACTTGAAAACATGTCCACACTAAAACTTGCATGCAAATCTTTATAGCAGTTTTATTCATAATCACCAAAACCAGGAAGCAACCAAGATGCCCTTTAGTAGATGAATAGATAAAAAACACTGTTACATCTTTGCAATGGAGTATTATTTGTCAATAAATAATTTGAGCTATCAAGCCATGAAAAGTTATGAGTAAATCTTAAATGTATATTGCTAAATAAAAGAAGACATTCTGAAAAGGCTACATATTGTATGATTCCAATTATATGACATTCTGGCAAAAGCAAAATTATGTTAAGAGTAAAAAGATAAGTGGTTGCCAGGTGTAGAAAGGGAAAGTTAAATAGGTGAAGCACAGGGGAGGTTTTAGGGCCACAGAACTATTCTGTATGATATTGTAATGGTAGATATATGACAGGATGCATTTATCAAAACCTATACAACTTTACAGTGCAAAGAGTGAGCCTTAATATATGAAAATAAAAAAAAATCTTTTAGGTGATTGAGGTCCAGGACAAAATGTGACAAAGCAATCTAATTGTGTACAAATGTATGAAACAACCTCATGGAAGAGGGTTGGGGAAAACGTCCTGACCTAAGTAACTTTGGAAATGAGTGGAGTTAATAGAACTAAAGGTAAAAGCTGTAAATAAATACTGTTCTCTAGTTGATAAAGTTGTTTCCCATGGGTCATGGGCTAACACAATACTGATAGCACTAAGCATATATACTGCAAGTGAACAATTAAGTAAATGAATGGCAGATGGTGGGAGTCAGTTTTCTCACTGTTGGAATGGGAGGTTACAAGCAAGCAAGGGAGGAAGCTAGAATGGTCCATGTGATAATAGATTCGAGTTGGAGACATCAGCAGAAACTAATGTTTAGGTTAATGTACATACAGATGGTGGCATATAGAAATATGTACAGTTCTGTGTATATACATGGATTCATTTTAACACACATATTTTTTTCTGTCAGCTGAGAGGGCCTAGAAACAAGGACATACAGTAGCAATGACCACACATGCCAGATCTTGGTTTCTAATACCATTCTCTAGTGAAAGGGACCAGGGTTCTTGGAGAAATGGTTGAGTCTACGAGTAGGGCAGAAAACATATAGCATGATACTGGGGTATCCTGTAGTGCCAGAAAGTAAGAAAGTGCTCATAAAACCAAAAACAAACAAAAAGAAATGGTAATAATATTAGGTCAAAGTGACCTGGGAGCCAACCAAAGGAGCTCTCAGAAGCCAAAGCTGGAAATATGTAAGTGACAAAGGAAAGAAAGTAGTATAGGATTATAATCCAAAATATAAAATCAATATCTATGAGACCATACTGATAGAAATAAATGTTTGGATAAATTAATACATGGAGAAAAAAGCCAAATACCCCATGAAGAAGCATTCCAAATTATTTGTGTAGATGGTCTGTCCTCAAGGAGCTAAAATGTAACTTTCTTCACTCCACAAATAGGCCCTGGGAAGTTGTTGAAAAAGTTTGGGCTTTAACATCAAATAATTGTGAGTGGGAGACACATATCAGACTTTTGTTAGCTGTGTGATCCCAGGGAAGTCACCCTTTTTAAAGTTCAGGTTTCTGCAAAATGGAGATAGTAATATCACTTAACTACCCTTTATAGTTACTGTGAAGATCAGATATCTACAAAGCTCTCAGAACAGTGCTTAGGATGTTATAGCATTCAATAACTTGGAGCGTTTATTTTTTTCTTTTTTTTTGGAGACAGAGTCTTTCTCTGTTGCCCAGGCTGGAGTGCAGTGGTGTGGTCTCAGCTCACTGCAACCTCCGCCTTCTGGGTTCAAGCAATTCTCCTGCCTCAGCCTCCTGAGTAGCTGGGATTACAGGTGTGTGCCACCACATCTGGCTAATTTTTTGTATTTTTAGTAAAGACTGGAGTTTCACCATGTTGGCCAGGCTGGTCTCAAACTCCTGACATCAAGTGATCCGCTCGCCTTGGCCTCCTAAAGTGGAAGGATTACAGGCTTAGCCACCGCACCTAGCCTAGTGTTTATTCTCTAAGGTAGTGTATTTCTAAGGTAGTCTGCTTCAGATGCTGTAACAAAATGCCACACAGTGGCTTAAACAACAGAAATATATTTTCTCGCAGTTCTAGAGGCTGGGAAGTCCAAGATCCGGGACTGGCAGGGCTTGGTGTCTGATAAGGGCTCTCTTCCTGGTTTGTGGATGGTTGCTTTGTCCTTACATGGCCTTTCCGTAGTGCATGTGTGAGGGTGGGAGTGTGGGTGAAGGGTTGGGGAACCTCTATCTCTCTCTTTTTCTCTCTTCCTCTTCTTATAAGGCTAACAATCCCATTGGAGTACAGTCCCACCCTTATGATGTCATTTACCTTGTATTACTTTCTAAAGCCCTATCTACAAATATAGTCACATTGAGGGGTGAGGGCTTCATATTTTGGAGCCCAAAATAATAATTTTGGAGGCAAGAACACAATTTAGTCCATAGCAGGTAGTCTGAGATACTGAATAAGACAACTTGAATTCTCATTCTAACTTCACCACGTACTAGCTATGTTGGGGAAATCTCTCAAGTTCCTTAACTTTTTTTCATTTTTAAAAATTGAGGTATTATTTTTATCCAGTAAAACTCACACATTTTAAAATATTGTTAAGTGAGCTTTTTTTAAAAAATAATCCTTTTATTTTAGAACAGTTTTAGATTTACAGAAAATTTTCAAAAATAGTACAGAGAGTTCCTATATATCCTGCAATCAGTTTCCCCTATTATTAATATCTTAAATTCGTATGGTATATTTGATGAACTAATATTGACCTATTATTATTAACTAAAGCCCTACTTTATGCAAATTTCCTTAGTTTTTACCTAATGTTCTTTTTTGTGTTCTGGGATCCCATCCAAGGTACCACATTACATTTAGTCATCACGTCTCCTTAGGTTCCTCTTGGCTGTGAAAGTTTCTCAGACTTTTCTTGTTTTCGATGACCTTGACAGTTTTGAGAAGTATTAGTCAAATATTTTGTAGAATGATCCTACCTGGGAATTCTGATGTTTTTCTTTTCTTTTTTTTTTGAAATGGAGTCTTGCTCTGTTGCTCAGGCTGAAGTGCAGTGGTGCACTCTCAGCTTGCTGCAACCTCTGCCTCCCAGGCTCAAGTGATTCTCCTGCCTCAGCTTCCCAAATAGCTGGAATTACAGGCATGCGCCATGATGCCCAGCTAATTTTTGTATTTTTAGTAGAGACTGGGTTTCACCATGTTGGTCAGGCTGGTCTTGAACTCCTGACCTCAAGTGATCTGTCTGCCTTGGCCTACCAAAGTGTTGGGATTACAGGCATGAGCCACTGTGCCCGGCTTGATGTTTTTCTTTTAATTAGACTGGGGTTATGGGTTTAGGGGGAGGAAGATGACAGGGGTAAAGTTCATCTCATCCTATCATGAGTACGCAATACACATGACTTATCACTACTGATGTCCTTGATCACCTGGATGAGGTCGTGTTTATTAGGTTTCTCCACTTAACATCAATCTCCTCCCTGTACCCGCTTTCCATACTATACTCTTTGGAAAGCAGTCACTGGCCAGAGTCCATACTTAATGAGTAGGGAGCTATGCTCCACCTCCTTGAGGAAGAAAGATCTACATAATTTATTTGAAATGTTTCTGTGTGGGAAAGTTGTCTCTTCTCCCCTATTTATTTATTCAATATTTACTTATATAAGTATGGACTAACAAACTTATAAAATATGTTTCTTTATAAAGAAAATAAATTTATAATAGAATATTATCGTTACTTTGGCTCCTGTGTCCCTTTTGACATACTCCCATCATTTTTCTTATTCTCACTGTCTCTCTCTCTTGTGCACACACACTTCTTCACTTTCTATCACTACAAAGTGCCCCAGAGTCACCTTGTCTCTTCTTGCCCCAGCTCTAGAATCAGCCATTTCTCCAAGGAGCCCTAGCACTTAACAGAGAATAGTATTTATTAATAGATCTGGGCACTAGATGTGTTGTTTTCTGCTGAAGCACCACTGCTTCCAGGCCCTCTCAGGGAACAGAGCTATGAAAATACATGGGTGTCCACTAACCCCTGTGTACTCACACATCTCTATTTATTTTTTTATCTACACAAACAAGCAAATGCAAGTTTATACGGATATCACTGAACGTAACCCAGCACCACAGGGTTCACTCCAGCCTTTCCCCCGTGCTTAGTGGGCCTTCCTTCTCTAGCAGTGAGAAACCTGGCTTTCATTAGAGCTCTTCTTTTATTGCTTTTATAAATTAGCCTTTTGTGTAAGATTTCATTTGAAAACCAAAACAACAAAAACAACTTCCACAGCTAAATAACAAATTCAAAACCCATTGGACTAGACTATGCATAGCTAAAAGCCCTTTTATCTCCAAGGATCTCTGATGCTGCAGGGCTGGGAGGGAAGTGGAGCGGAACTTTGTCTTATTATCTTTGGCCAACAGAGTGGAGTGGATTGGATTGGCTTGGAATTCATCCAGCATTCAACAAGTATTATTGAGCCCTTCTTAGAGGCCAGGAACAGCCCCAAATGCTGGGTACAGGATGAGCAAGGCAGCAAGTCCCCTTGTGGGGCTGACCTCGCAGTGGGGGACAGACAACACGCATGTAAACAAATACAGAAGGTTCAGATAGAGACAGGCGGCAAAAATAAAACATCATAAAGAAATGGAATGCGATGTGGGGGAAGATAAGAAGTAAAGTGGGGGTGGTGAGAAAAGGTGGCTAACTTTGAGCTGAGGCCTGAGGAGGGTGAGAAGGAGCCAGATATTTTAGACCTAGAAGAATAGCGTTCTAGGCAGAGGAATTTTTAGGAGAAGTGATATGAAGCAGGAACACGCCAGGCTCATTAAAGGGGCAAAAAGAGGATCACATAGGCTGAGCAGAGTAAAAGAGGAGAGTGGCAGCAGGTAAGGTTGGAGGCCCCAGAGAACAATAGGGCATATAGATCAGAGAGGGCATGTCGATTTTATCCGTAAGGCAATGGAAAGCCATAGAAGATGTCTGTTAAGAAATAGAGATCAAGTTGACATTAGTTGATAGTGGATGTTAAAGCTTAGGCCCAACTAACCAGCCAGAGGAGTCCAGGTGAGAAATGAAGGTGATCCTGAACCAGGCCCAGAGCATGCGGCCAGCAAAGACTTTACCCTCTCTCGGCTGAAACCAGCAGATGAGTGTATTTGTGGACACGGTTTCAAGGTGGGTCCTGGTGTGCACTAACTAATAAATTAAGACAGTGCCCTGCTCTAAAAGCTATGAATACAAGCCCAAATCTCCTATTGACATGTGGGAACTGGAGTCCCCAGGGAACTCCTCAGATATCTTGGGTCACCAAATACACAACCCAATCCTGATGCTGCTGCCCAAATTCTGAATAATATGGCTTGGCATTTGGCATCTTCACTGGGTGTGTTTCCTCAGTCTATCAGCATTGTGCACCTCCTTTCCAGCAAAACCAAAGTGCTGCTGGCTTGGAGTATCTCACCCCATGTGCATAACTGTCCTCTGTCTCCTTCCACTCAGCTCCTCCACATCCATAGGTCTGTTACATCTTCCAAAACCTGACTTTAAACCCATCTCTGGGAAGATCTTCCTAATTGGCCAAGCTCATTCTTTGGCCCACATCCAGTCTAGGTCTCTGCTCCACAGTGGGTACTTGGGACATCCTTCTCACATTAAATGTAAAAGGTATGCCTGTTTCAGATGTGGTTTTAATGGTAATCTCTCCCTCCCCACAGCCCACCCAAGTAGGCAGACTCAAGGAAGTTACACAGAGGCAATAAAGACTGATAATAGGTTGATTAGGTTGATACTAATTGATATAGGATGATAGAGATTGGATCCAACTGACCAACCTAAGGAGTCAAAGCTCTTGTTCCAGAAAATAGCTTTTTTTCCCCAGAAAAAAAAATGCTATTGTTTTTATAGTACAGTGGAATATTTTGAAATGGAGGTTGCATTTCTTCATATGGTTTCTTGTACCTATTACTGTTTCCCCCACTATTAATGCAGCTGCCCTGAGAGGGCACAGCTTGGAACAAAGAGTCCATTTCTCAACTTGTGAGCTTCTAAGTAGATACTTGTACAACGGCAATGAAAGCATTAAAAACTAAAGTTTCCAATCTGAAAGTTGTACTTCGAAGAAAGAAAAATGGTTATAGGTTTATTTTTTGTTTTTATTCTAGAAGTTTGGTTTTGAATATCAGAAAACATAGATTTAAACTATATTATAGGGAAGAATACATAATAATATATTTTCCTTCCCCCAAATAGATGGATCAGTTGGGGAGATGGAGAGTAGGAGAGGATGTGACTGGAGCTTAGTTGCTGGTCCCTAAGAAGGGGCTGAGCCCTTCTATCTATTTAGGTTGAATTCTTGGCAGGGTGCTCCTGGAATGACAGGAACCTGATAGAAAAATTAGATTAATTGTGAGGAGAAGGTAGGGTGGAGACTCGGAGAGCAGGGTGATGATCAGCTGGCAACTGAGGTCTAGGCTGGGGAAACAGCAAGGCTCTCAGGGAGCTCTGCACTTATTACCGTCTGAGAGGTGGAGCAGCCATGCGGACTGAATTGCCTGGGCATTCAGGTTCCCAGCCTGCATCAGAGGCTTATGCTTCCCAGCACAGTGGCAGGAAATCAGAAAAAAGCTTCTGTGGCCCCAGAGGAGAGGATTGGCAAATCCAAAGGAAGCCAGAGCAGCGGGAGGGATGTGGGCAACCCTGGTGCCCTGAGGACATCATTAGCTGCAGGATGGAATGGGGTGTGTATTGGGTTAACAGCTGATATCAGAGAGCAGGCAGGAAGAAGAGAGGAACACCCTCAATGAAGGGGGTCAGCAAATGAGGAATCAGACACCTTCTGACCATACTCACCGCAACATCTCCCAACCAAGATCAATGGGCAAAGGGAAAGTGGGAGAGAATCTTAAAGCCATTATATTTAAATCTGGAAGTGACAGGGTTTACCTTAAATTGGGAGGAAGGCTTTCTACTACTCAGAGGAATGAGTGGATATAAGCTAAGTAACCAGTTGTAATAACATTAGTGATAATAATAATAAACACATATACAGCACCTACTACTATGCAGCAGGCACTGTCCTAGATACCTGGCATGTGGTAACTCATTTGATCCTAGTAATACATGTATGAGATGGAAACATTTTAGCACACTTGAGTGTCGTGACTATTATTTGCAATTTATAAAGCACTTTTTACCTATATTATTTCATTTTATGACTCTTTTTAGACATGAAATAAGAGTTTTGCTCAAAAGACTTGCCTTAGGCCATATAATTGGTAAATAAAATATCTGGGCTTGAACCCAAGATTCCCATCACTTGGTCTGAGTTCTTTCTACTGTGCCACACGTGTTCAGTAAATAGATATTTTCAAAAACAATTGAATGTATTATCTTACCTTAAAGAAGGAGACTTAAGACTAAAACTTGGTGTCCTTAAAGATTTCAAGGTTGATTAAAGAAGGGTAAGAGCAGAGGAGATTGTGAAGGCATGTGGAATACAGTCAGGAAGAAAACTGGGGAGTGTCATGTCATAGCCCTCTAGAAAGAAGGTGTTCTTAAAAGGTCACAGTGACCCTGGTAACAACGAGCACAGCTAGAGTCCAGATCTTGGTTTCTAAGTATCAGTCCCCACTAAAAGGAATATGGGCTTTTTAGAGAAAAGGCTGATTCCAGGGCTAAGGCAGGGAAAGTAAATGGTGAGCCTGGAACTTCTGGTGCCAGAGTAAGGAGATGCTCAATGGACAAAATGATGGGGTTACTGTGGAAATCAACAAGGACCACTCAAATGAGAACAAGAAAAGGCTACTTATTCTGAGCTTAGTAGGGCGTGGGAGTCAGCCACAGTCACTTGTATTTTGGCAGAGACTTGAATGCAGTCTGAGGAGTGGGAAAGCCTACATACATGTAGTGGGAGAAAGGGGAGACTTCAGATATACCCTGATTGGGGGCTCTGACATGGGGAAGCTATAGGGGAGCTAACTAGAAGTGGGGTGTCCTATGTGATTGCTTAGAGAAGCATATTTGGCTTTCTCTGGTCCTAAATTGGAATCAGAGACAAAAATTAGGGAAGTTGTCAGTTATTGATCTAGTCCTGGCCATATTCGGCTGATTATTAGAGGGCTTATTGTTTGGCTTCTGGTATTGATTGCTAGAGACAGTGGTCTGACTTTCTGTAAGTCTGACTTATGGATAGCAAGCTGGCTTCCTGGGCTGGTTACTGTAGATAATGGCTTGACTTTCTGTGCTGCTGGCTGCAGATTATGGGTCAAACTTTTAGTTTTATGTGTGGTTTGGCCATTGTTCATTTGTATATTCCTCATCTCAGTACATCAAAAGGAACACGGAAGCCAACCTAAAATAGTCAACCAAATTGGGGATAATTTAAACATTAAAATGAGTAATAACAGTCAGGATTGTAACTTACTGAGTTAAAAAATAACCCATGAGTTCATTCTGATACAAAAAAAACAAGTAAACAAATAAAGTGAAGGATAAGAGAGAAGTCTTCCTTATAGTAGAATGACAACTAAAAAGTATAGAAGAAATGATAGAGTAAGGGAGTCAGTATTTTGCAATAATTGATTCAGGTAAAAATCACTAATGGATCTAAAAATCTATAGGTAGTATTTCATTGGTGATTCAGAGCAGAGTATCTCCCACAGATCACTTAGTAAAAACAAAGGGGAAAAATTTCTTCATAGTGCAGAAACATGGTATACCCCACCTTAGTCAAGTGATCAAAGTGAGCATCACCCAGCATGGGACAAAGCAACATCAAGGCCTTACGATGTCATGCACTGAGAAGAATATAACATAATGGATTCAGTGTTCCTGCCCCACATGGATAATCCGAATCTAATCACGACAAAGGATCAGACATTCTAGAGAACAACTGCTATCCTCTTCAAAAATGTTGATGTGGTAAAAGACAAAGAAAGGCTGAGGGACAGTTCCAGATTAAAGGAAACAAAATTAACATGACAACTAAGTGCAATGCATGGTCATGTATTGGATCCTGGATTGGAAATTTGTTGTTGCTGTTGTAAAGGTCAGTTATTGAGACAATTGGCAGAAATTAGAAAATGGAATCTCTTTTAGACAATGGTATTGTATCAATAATACATTTCTTTGTTCTTAGGAGACACACGTATAAGTCTTAAGGGGTGAAGGGCCATAATGTCTGCAATTTATCCTTAAATGATTAAGAAAAACAGCAACTAATAATAGGTCTTTTTTTTTTTTTTTAAATAGAGACAGGGTCTTGTTGCGTCACCCAGGCTGGAGTGCAGTGGCATGATTGTAGCTCACTGTAAGCTTGAACTCCTGAGCTCAAGTGATCCTCCTGCTTTGGCTACCCAAAGTGTTGGGATTATCAGCATGAGCCACCACACCAGCCAATAGGTCTATTTTTATGAAAAGAAAGAGCTAACACAAATATAGTAAAATGTTAAACAACAGGTGGATCCAGATGGATATACTGGTATTCACTGTAATATTCTTGCAAATTTTCTGTAGGTTTGAACATTTTCAAAATAAAAAGTAAAAAAATATATATGCAAAAAGGGAGGTGATGCTCAACTGTGCTGTGCTAACAGGTCAAATAAGATGACTTAGGAAGTGGCCACTGGCTTTAGCAACATGGCAGTCACTAGTGACCTTCACAAGCAGTTTTGCAGAGATGGGACAGAGGCTGAATTGGCAAGGATTAAGAAGAGAATATAAATTGAGGGAGTGGAAATAGCAACTTGAAACTGTCTCTTTAAAAAAATTTTTAGCTCATATAGGATAGGATGAAATAGAATTAGTTGCTAGCTTCCATTCTCTTCTTTTGTTACTATTTTTTTTTATTATACTTTAAGTTCTAGGGTACATGTGCACAAAGTGCAGGTTTGTTACATAGGTATACATATGCCATGTTGGTTTGCTGCACCCATTAACTCGTCATTTACATTAGGTATTTCTCCTAATGCTATCCCTCCCCCGTCCCCCACCTCATGACAGGCCTCAGGGTGTGATATTCCCCACCCTGTGTCCAAGTGTTCTCATTGTTCAATTCCTACCTATGAGTAAGAACATGTGGTGTTTGGTTTTTTGTCCTTGTGATAGTTTGCTCAGAATGATGGTTTCCAGCTTCATCCATGTCCCTGCAAAGGACATGAACTCATTCTTTTTTATGGCTGCATAGTATTCCATGGTGTATATGTGCCACATTTTCTTAATCCAGTCTATCATTGATGGACATGTGGGTTGGTTCCATGTTTTTGCTATTGTGAATAGTGCAGCAATAAACTAGTTATTAACTAGTATCTAGGACTATATAAACCAATCTGGCCTGGATTTATTCCCAGAACTGAGTAAAGTGTTTGCATTGATCTAAGTACTTAACTCACTCCATGGACTTGGGATTCAGCATTAATTTGGGGTCAAAAGCTTTTACAGTCTCCTTTCCTGTGGCTGAGAACTCCTCTTAGGAGCACCCTCTAAGGCCTTCTGGCTGTCTCTTGCCACCAACTTCCCAGCCTTTTCCTCCTTCAGTTCACAAATGGAGCTCTGCAGAGAGGAGAGCAGCAGGGCCCCTTCTCCAGTGTCTGACATCTGCTCCATCCTCGGGGGAAGAACCTGATAAAGCACCTTGAAGCCACCACAGCTTCTAGGCCAAAGCCCCATTCTCTGCAGTCCTACACATTTCTCTCTGGTTAATCACTTCTTCACCTTTTCTACTGTCCTCTTCACTGGCATGAATTAATTCAAATTTTTGTCTTTCCTATTCATTGCTGAAATTTGCTTCCTCTGTTATATCATTGGATACTACTTCCTTTCGATACAAAACCTTAACATTTCCAAAGTTTAAGTTCATACTGTCAGGTCTCTGAGCCCAAGCTAAGCCATCATATCCCCTGTGACCTGCACGTACACATCCAGATGGCCGGTTCCTGCCTTAACTGATGACATTCCACCACAAAAGAAGTGAAAATGGCCTGTTCCTGCCTTAACTGATGACATTGTCTTGTGAAATTCCTTCTCCTGGCTCATCCTGGCTCAAAAGCTCCCCTACTGAGCACCTTGTGACCCCCACTCTGCCCACCAGAGAACAACCCCCCTTTGACTGTAATTTTCCTTTACCTACCCAAATCCTATAAAACGGCCCCACCCCTATCTCCCTTCACTGACTCTGTTTTTGGACTCAGCCCGCCTGCACCCAGGTGAAATAAACAGCTTTATTGCTCACACAAAGCCTCTTTGGTGGTCTCTTCACGCGGACGCACATGAAATTTGGTGCCATGACTCGGATCGGGGGACCTCCCTTGGGAGATCAATCCCCTGTCTTCCTGCTCTTTGCTCCGTGAGAAAGATCCACCTATGGCCTCAGGTCCTCAGACCAACCAGCCCAAGAAACATCTCACCAATTTCAAATCTGGTAAGCAGCCTCTTTTTACTCTCTTCTCCAACCTCCCTCACTATCTCTCAACCTCTTTCTCCTTTCAATCTTGGCGCCACACTTCAATCTCTCCCTTCTCTTAATTTCAATTCCTTTCATTTTCTGGCAGAGACAAAGGAGACACGTTTTATGCGTGGACCCAAAACTCCGGCGCCAGTCATGGACTAGGGAAGGCTGCCTTCCCTTGGTGTTTGATCATTGCAGGGTTGCCTCTGATTATTCGCCCAGGTTTCAGAGGTGTCAGACGACGCAGGGACGCCTGCCTTGGTCCTTCACCCTTAGCGGCAAGTCCCACTTTTCTGGGGAAAGGGCAAATACCCCAACCTCTTCTGTCCGTGTCTCTACCCCTTCTCTGCCTTTCTGGGGGGCAAGAAACTCCCAACCCCTTCTCCTTCACCCTTAGCGGCAAGTACCACTTTTCTGGGGGAGGGGCAAGTACCCCAATCCCCTATATCTCTGTGCCCCGATCCCTTATTTCTGTGCCCCAACCTCTTATATCTCTGTGCCCCAATCCCTTATTTCTGTGCCCCAACCTTGTATCTCTGTGCCCTGACCCCTTTCCCACTTTTCTGGAGGGTAAGAACCCCTGAACCCCTTCCCTCCATGTCTCTACTCTCTCTTTTCTCTGGGCTTCACCATGGGCAACCTTCCACCCTCCATTCCTCCTTCTTCTCCCTTAGCCTGTGTTCTTAAGAACTTAAAACCTCTTCAACTCTCACCTGACCTAAAATCTAAGCATCTTATTTTCTTCTGCAATGCCGCTTGACCCCAGTACAAACTCGACAGTAGTTCCAAATAGCCAGAAAATGGCACTTTCAATTCTTCCATCCTGAAAGATCTAAATAATTCTTGTTGTAAAATGGGCAAAGAGTCTGAGTTGCCTGACGTCCAGACATTCTTTTACATATCTGTCCCTCCCTAGTCTCTGTGCCCAGTGCAACTTGTCCCAAATCTTCCTTCTTTCCCTCCCACCTGTCCCCTCAGTCCCAACCCCAAGCATCGCTGAGTCTTTCTAATCTTCCTTTTCTACAGACCCATCTGACCTCTCCCCTCCTCCCAGGCTGCTCCTCGCCAGGCCGAGCTAGGTCCCAATTCTTCCTCAGCCTCTGCTCCTCCACCCTATAATCCTTTTATCACCTCCCCTCCTCACACCTGGTCCGGCTTACAGTTTCGTTCCGTAACTAGCCCTCCCTCCCCCACCTGCCCAGCAATTTACCCTTAAAAAGGTGGCTGGAGCTAAAGGCATAGTCAAGGTTAATGCTCCTTTTTCTTTATCCCAAATCAGATAGCATTTAGGCTCTTTTTCATCAAATATAAAAATCCAGCCCAGTTCATGACTCGTTTGGCAGCAACCCTGAGACACTTTACAGCCCTAGACCCTAAAAGGTCAAAAAGCCGTCTTATTCTCAAAATACATTTTATTACCCAATCTGCTCCCGACATTAAATGCAACTCCAGAAATTAAATTCCGCCCCTCAAACCCCACAACAGGATTTAATTAACCTCGCCTTCAAGGTGTACAATAATAGAAAAAAGTTGCAATTCCTTGCCTCCACTGTGAGACAAACCCCAGCCACATCTCCAGCACACAAGAACTTCCAAACACCTGAATCACAATGGTCAGGCATTCCTCCAGAACCTCCTCCCCCAGGAGCTTGCTACAAGTGCCAGAAATCTGACCACCAGGCCAAGGAATGCCTGCAGCCCGGGATTCCTCCTAAGCCGTGTTCCATCTGTGTGGGACCCCACTGGAAATCGGACTGTGTAACTCACCTGGCAGCCACTCCCAGATCCCCTGGAACTCTGGCCCAAGGCTCTCTGACTGACTCCTTCTTGGCTTAGCAGCGGAAGACTGATGCTGCCCGATGGCCTTGGAAGCCCCGTAGACCATCACGGATGCTGAGCTTCGGGTAACTCTCACTGTGGAAGGTAAGTCCATCCCCTTAGTCAATACAGAGGCTACCCACTCCACATTACCTTCTTTTCAAGGGCCTGTTTCCCTTGCCTCGATAACTGTTGTAGGTATTGACAGCCAGGCTTCTAGACCCCTGAAAACTCCCCCACTCTGGTGCCAACTTGGACAACACTCTTTTATGCACTCTTTTTTAGTTATCCCCACCTGCCCAGTTCCCTTATTAGGCCGAGATATTTTAACTGAATTATCTGCTTCCCTGACTATTCCTGGACTACAGCCACATCTCATTGCCGCCCTTCTCCCCAACTCAAAGCCTCCTTCGCGTCTTTCTCTCGTATCCCCCCACCTTAACCCACAAGTATGGGACATCTCTACTCCTTCCCTGGCAACCGATCACATGCCCATTACCATCCCATTAAAACCTAATCACCGTTACCCTGCTCAACGCCAGTATCCCATCCCACAGCACGCTTTAAAAGGATTAAAGCCTGTTATCACTCGCCTGCTACAGCATGGGCTTCTAAAACCTATAAACTCTCCTTACAATTCCCCCATTTTACCTGTCCAAAAACCGGACAAGTCTTACAGATTAATTCAGGATCTGCGCCTTATCAACCAAATTGTTTTGCCTATCCACCCTATGGTGCCCAACCCGTACACTCTTTTGTCCTCAATACCTTCCTCCACAACTCACTGTTCTGTTCTCGATCTTAAAGATGCTTTTTTTACTATTCCCCTGCACCCCTCGTCCCAGCCTCTCTCTGCTTTCACTTAGACTGACCCTGACACCCATTAGGCTCAGCAAATTACCTGGGCTGTACTGCCGCAAGGCTTCACAGACAGCCCCCATTACTTCAGTCAAGCCCAAATTTCATCCTCATCTGTTACCTATCTCGACATAGTTCTCATAAAAACACACGTGCTGTCCCTGCTGATCGTGTCTGATTAATCTCCCAAACCTCAATCCCTTACAAAACAACAACTCCTTTCCTTCCTAGGCATGGTTAGTGCAGTCAGAATTCTTACACAAGAGCCAGGACCGCACCCTGTAACCTTTCTGTCCAAACGACTTGACCTTACTGTTTTAGCCTAGCCATCATGTCTCCGTGCAGCAGCTGCTGCCGCCCTAATACTTTTAGAGGCCCTCCAAATCACAAACTATGCTCAACTTACTCTCTACATTTCTCATAACTTCCAAAATCTATTTTCTTCCTCATACCTGACGCATACACTTTCTGCTCCCCAGCTCCTTCAGCTGTACTCACTCTTTGTTAAGTACCACAATTACCATTGTTCCTGGCCCAGACTTCAGTCTGGCCTCCCACATTATTCTGGATACCACACCTGACCCTCATTACTGTATCTCTCTGATCCACCTGACATTCACCCCATTTTCCCATATTTCCTTCCTTCCTGTTCCTCACCCTGATCACACTTTATTTATTAATGGTGGTTCCACCAGGCCTAATCACCACCCACCAGCAAAGGCAGGCTATGCTATAGTACAAGTCACTAGCTCACCTCTTATAACCTCTCATTTCCTTTCCATCGTGGAAATCTACCCTCAAGGAAATAACTTCTCAGTGTTCCATCTGCTATTCTACTACTCCTCAAGGATTATTCAGGCCCCCCTCCCTTCCCTACACATCAAGCTCGAGGATTTGCCCCCACCCAGGACTTGCAAATTAGCTTTACTCAACATGCCCGGAGTCAGATAACTAAAATACCTCTTAGTCTAGGTAGACACTTTCACTGGATAGGTAGAGTCCTTTCCTACAGGGTCTGAGAAGCCCACTGCAGTCATTTCTTCCCTTCTGTCAGACATAATTCCTCAGTTTAGCCTTCCCACCTTTATACAGTCTGATAACAGACCAGCCTTTATTAGTCAAATCAGCCAAGCAGTTTTTCAGGCTCTTAGTATTCAGTGAAACCTTTATATCCCTTACAGTCCTCAGTCTTCAGGAAAAGTAGAACAGACTAATGGTGTTTTAAAAACACACCTCATCAAGCTCAGCCACCAACTTAAAAAGGACTAGACAATACTTTTACCACTTTCCCTTCTCAGAAGTCAGACCTGTCCTCAGAATGCTACAGGGTACAGCCCATTTGAGCTCCTGTATAGATGCTCCTTTTTATTAGGTCCCAGTCTCATTCCAGACACCAGACTAACTTAGACTGTGCCCCCAAAAAACTTGTCATCCCTACTATCTGCAGTCTAGTCATACTCCTATTCACCGTTCTCAACTACTCATACATGCCCTGCTCTTGTTTACACTGCCAGTTTACACTGTTTCTCCAAGCCATCACAGCTGATATCTCCTGGTGCTATCCCCAAACTGCCACTCTTAACTCTTGAAGTAAATAAATAATCTTTGCTGGCAGGACTATGCTGAATCTCCTTAGGCACTCTAATTAGATGTCCTAGGTCCTCCCAATTCTTAGAACTTTAATACCTGTTTTTCTCCTTCTCTTATTCCGTTTAGTTTTTCAATTCATACAAAACCGTATCCAGGCCATCACCAATAATTCTAAATGACAAGTGTTTCTTCTAACAGTCCCACAATATCACCCCTTACCACAAAATCTTCCTTCAGCTTAATCTCTCCCACTCTAGGTTCCCACGCCACCCCTAATCCCGCTCGAAGCAGCCCTGAGAAACATCGCCCATTATCTCTCCATACCACCCCCAAAAATTTTCACCGTCCCAACACTTTACCACTATTTCATTTTATTTTTCTTATTAATATAAGAAGACAGGAATGTCAGGCCTCTGAGCCCAAGCTAAGCCATCATATCCCCTGTGACCTGCACATACACATCCAGATGGCCAGTTCCTGCCTTAACTGATGACATTCCACCACAAAAGAAGTGAAAATGGCCTGTTCCTGCCTTAACTGATGACATTGTCTTGTGAAATTCCTTCTCCTGGCTCATCCTGGCTCAAAAGCTCCCCTACTGAGCACCTTGTGACCCCCACTCTGCCCACCAGAGAACAACCCCCCTTTGACTGTAATTTTCCTTTACCTACCCAAATCCTATAAAACGGCCCCACCCCTATCTCCCTTCGCTGACTCTCTTTTTGGACTCAGCCCACCTGCACCCAGGTGAAATAAACAGCTTTATTGCTCAGACAAAGCCTGTTTGGTGGTCTCTTCACATGGACGCGCATGAAACATACCAAACTATTGCCTCTAAGAAACACAATAGTTCTTCCACACAGATAATTTCAAACATACCTGTTAACCAAAACTTTAACAATGACAGGGTGTTACAGCTGTTTCCTCACATGTCAGTTCCAAACAAGTTTCCCTTTAAGAATTCCAGTAATCGATGAAGGTTCTTCTGGTAGGATTTATTGCTTAGAATCATGGGCTTCCTAAATGCAGTCTCCAAAGTTTAATGATTTTGCAGTGTTATCAGAAAATGCCAAGGAAGACCCTAGATACACTGACTTCTCAACTCTCAAGTAACCCTACCAGCTTCAAAGGTCATGAGCTACAAATGTCAACTGATTTATTCCTCACAATAGGCCTGCCAGGTAGTTTTATTGGCCCCATTTTACAGATGAGAAAACAGAGGCTCAGAGAGGCTAAACCTTCCTATACACAGAGGGTTGAGGAACCAGGATTGAAAATCTATGTATTTTCCACTATGCCAACCTGCCTTCAAAGAATGATTTCATGTCCTCCAGTTGTCCAAAGGAACAAAGACTGGGTTAGCCTTGCAAACATATTTTTAAAAGACTCAGATACGAAGCAACCATACATAAGGGGGATGTTACGGAGAGGTTGCACACGAAGGTAATCTTTGTAAATTGAATCACATTGTAAATGCACTGGCTTTTTAGATAATTCCTGAAGCAAATCATTTTGTATTTGTGAATCTGGATGTTCACGTATGTATCCTGTTTGCCTGCTGCAGAAATTACCTGTTCTCAGCTATCACAAAATAGATGCACAAAAGAAATAAATCAAAGACCAACACTCAGAAGCAGGGAATAGAATACTAGTTCAAGGAGGGGTCACTGACCTGCATAAAACATTCAAGATAACAGATAAATGAAGCGCAACTCACAACTAGCTCTAGTTGAGTGTGGTTGTGTATGTGATCTATTCTTTTTGAATGGAGCATAGACAGGGAGACAGTGCACAGAGGCAGGGATGGAGTCAGAAAGAGCAGGAGGAAGGGAGAGAACCATAAAAACAGAAAAAAAGGGAGTGAGATAGAAGGAATAGGAAACAAGGAGAATGAAGCTGGCTGAAAGGCAGAGATGGGAGAGAGAGGGATGGGGACATCAGCCAAAAACTGATTAGAGAGACAAAAGGAAAAGGAAAGAAGGACATGAAGAAAGGAAACAGTGAGGATCTAGGGAAGATAGAGGGTGGGAGGGAAGAAAAGTGCTCAGTAAATACAGCTGCCGTTCCCTGCAGTACCTGCAAGGCACTCTGCTCCACAGCCTGTGCCCGCCTACCCACCTCAGTTGGTTAAAACCTCCCACCATGGGCCTGCTTTCAGGGCACACCTGACTCAGACCCCCCAGGCCCCCAACCCTTCCCTGACCAGGACTTTGCAGGAGCAGTGCACTCCATCCCCAGGAGGCAAGCCTGCTACAATTTATTGCCCAGAAAATCCATAATCTCTCCCTGGGACATGAGGCCTCAAAACCCATTCCTGCATGCATAACCAGAAAAGAGAAGACCTTGGCTAGGCAGGGTGGCTCATGCCTATAATCCCAGCACTTTGGGTGGCCAAGGCAGGTGGATCACTTGAGGTCAGGAGCTCGAGACCAGCCTGGCCAACATGGTGAAATCCCATCTCTACTAAAAATACAAAAATTAGCCAGGCATGTTGGCACATTCTTGTAATCCCAGCTACTTGGGAGACTGAGGCAGGAGAATCGCTTGAACCCAGGAGGTGGAGGTTGCAGTGAGCTGAGATCGTGCCACTGCATGCCAGCCTGGGCGACAAAGCAAGACTCCGTCTCAAAAAGAAACAAAAAACAAACAAACAAACAAAACAAAACAAAAAAGACCTGGAGCATCCATCTTCAAGTCTCTAATGGGCAGCCTTATGACACAAAGTCTCTGTGCAGATCCAAGGCCAGGAATATGACCGATAATTAGGCACCACACAGAGAGATCTTTGTTAAGGAAAAAAAAATGCTAATTGATCTGCCACAGATGAAATTTGCTGTTTCAGGAGCTGGTGAGTTCCCCATTACAGGAGAACTCATGCAAGCAGAGGCTGGAAACCAAACCTACCTGTGATTGAGCTGAATGAGCCCAGATCTCTTCTATGCTTCCGATTTCTCCTAAAACCTTTGAAAAGTAGCTTTTAAATCCATCATTACTCTTAAAATCTTCCTCTATTTATGTGATTAGAAAACTCCTTCCATCACATATATAGTTCAAGGAGAAAGTTCATCCAAGTCCCCATTCAAATGATCACAAATTCTGAATCAGTGGGTTTTGAATTAGTGGGGTTTCCCGGGAGAATTTAAATGTTCCACCCAGGAGACATGAAGAAGAAGGTTCTCGCCTTCTCTGGGAACACAGCCCAAGAAAAGAAGAGGAGATGGCAGGCAGGCTGCCTCTTGTGCATTCCAATAGACCCGCTGCCTCTCAGAATCTCAATGTTCCAGCCCCAGAACAGTTGGTGAAGATGGGATTTCAGGGAAGGAGTGAAAGCAGAACTGCCAGTCATTCAAGCATCCGGTGCTGGGGAGGGTGGTTTCTCCAGGGGATGTGCCAAGTCCGGGGCCCTGACCCTTCCTGCAGGCTTCCATCAAATGTCATCACTTCCACGAGGCCTGACCTGACCCTTGCTTCAATAACTCGGACAGTACCCTGAGCTTCCTGCATACACAGCGCTTTCATCCTGGCTAGTTACTATCTGTCTCCCTGCACCACTGGGACAGAAGTCATGCTTGGGGCCCTTACTATCTGGAATGGAAACACTTCATGAGGTTACAGGGACCACAGGCAGCAGGAGTTGCCCATTTCCTCTTGCTCCTTGGATGCTGAGTGCTTTTTTTTTTTTTTTTTTGAGACGGAGTTGTGCTCTTTTTGCCCAGGCTGGAGTGCAATGGAGCGATCTTGGTTCACTGCAACCTCTGCCTCCCGGGTTCAAGTGATTCTCCTGACTCAGCCTCGCGAGTAGCTGGGACTACAGGCGCCCACCAACACGCCCGGCTAATTTTTGTGTTTTTACTAGAGATGGGGTTTCACTATGTTGGTCAGGCTAGCCATGAACTCCCGACCTCGTGATCCACCCACCTCGGACTCCCAAAGTGCTGGGATTACAGGCGTGAGCCACCGCGCCCGGCCAAGTGCTTTTTGATCTAACCAGTTGTGGGTTACTTTTAGAGCTTTGCTTTATCTCCACCTCTGAGCCTCACTTGACCCATTTCTGGTTGCCTGCTTCTTATTCTCAGAACTGTCTTTTGTCCCCCTCCCGCCTACTGGCTCAGATAACCTTCCCTTAGGGTTCCAGCCTCCTTGGGATTTGCCCAGCCCCTGCACTGCCTAATGAGGGCTCTTCACCTGTCTGGGTTCTTCCTTTTCTGCCAGGGCAGTCCTACTTGCTCATACTCTGGGCCAGCCCAAGAATTCTCCCTCTGTCCTCCAACTGTCCTGACATGCTGAGAATTCCATGGAGGCAGAAACTGTGTCTCACCCCTCTCCGGATCCCCGACCCCTACAACAGTTGCCTACAGCAAGGAGCTCAGTGAAAAAAAAAAAATGTCAAATTAAAATTGAACTGAAAGGCAAAGAAAAGTAAATGCTTTCTTCTGTAATGCAAGATTTTAGGAAGGAGGGCTTAAGACAAATCAGGGGAGTGGACTAAAAGATTTATTGTTTACAGTTTCCCTCCCCCTCTCCTAAACAATCATTCATTGGACCCTACAGTTATGTATTAAAATGGCCCTCAGGGATGACCAGCAGTGGCCAAGGCCCTGGCCCAGCTTGATGCATGCATGGGTTGCACCACAGGGGAGCACCTGCCTCTGAGCCTCCCTCTCTGGAATTGTCCAAAATTATCCTCTTGGCTGTGAGCACCATTGGCTGGCACTATGCAGTGACCATCCTCCCTTTCAGAATGCTCATTGCATCTGGGTCTTAGGGAGGGGGATGGAGGCAGCCCAATGCTCTGTTATTTGTCCCACAAACATGATTTCACTTGAAATCTGATTTCCATTTGCTGAATGCCTCCACGAATGGGCAGGAGATTGCTATGTTGTTGCATGTCACACTGAATTTGGCCAGCTTCAGAAATTCCCTACAGAAGATGCCTTCTTGTTAAATTGCCAGGTCTTTTGTCATTGTAACCCATCTAATCATCAACATTCAGTTTCTTCTGTTCGCTAGTCCTCTTGCTTCCCCATGTATAACAAAATTCATGCAATCCCAATGGAGACTGGTTTGGATGCAGTTTAATAGCCTTTCATCATTGACTTCCAGCCCACTTCTCAATGCACAGGTCCAACTTGGGACAGAATAATATATTGCAACCAAGTTCAGCTCAAGACCTATTTGTTGAGTGCCCGCGATGTGCCAGGCCCTGTGCCAGGAGCTAGAGACATAGCTTGCTTAGTGGCTGACTTTTCTGTTGCTTGCATCGCAGAATCTAGGGGCTAGATTCATATAGCATTAAACAAAGGATGGGTACAAGTGCTGTTCATCTAGGACTTGGAATCAGGGACATCACTCTAGGGTTTCCATTCAATAAAAACACTTTGTACTAGACCTTGTGCTTGGTACTAGGGAAATAAAATGAATGAGACAATTTCTTTTCCCAAGGAGCTCACAATCTGGGGATGGGAGAGATGGATGAATAAAGAGAGGATTGCAGTAGTGTTTGATGGATGATGTGATAGAGGAAAATTTGGGGTGCTGGGGGACCCCACCCTGCACAGATTAAGGAGGAATGACAAATGTGAGAGAAGGCTTCCCAGGGTATGTGACATTTGAACTGAATCTTGAGGGATGAATGTGAGCTTGCCAAGGGAATGTAAGAAGTAACATCTAAACAGCAGAAGCAAAATTACAAAAATGAGAGGAGGCCCACAAAGTTCACGGAACACTAATTACTTGAACATCCAAGGGAAAGAAGAGAAATAGATGCATTTGGAGGGAAGATAAGAGTGAACTTATAAGAAGTTCCTTAGGTTAGCTAAGGAATCAATCTATTGCCCTAAAATGCTGGAATCCAGGAGATCAGTTAGAAAGCTTTTGTAATAATCCCAAAGACAACTTATAAGCGTCCAAACAAAAGGAGTAGTTGTGAGAAAAGGGATAAGCGCATTCTTTGTTTTTGAGATGGAGTTTCTCTCTTGTTGCTCAGGCTGGCGTGCAATGGCGTGATCTCAGCTCACTGCAACCTCCGCCTCCCGGGTTCAAGCAATTCTCCTGCCTCAGCCTCCTGAGTAGCAGGGATTATAGGCGCCCACCACCACTCCCAGCTAATTTTTTTGTATTTTTAGTACAGATGGGTTTTCGCCATGTTGGCCAGGCTGGTCTCAAGCTCCTGACCTCAGGTGATCCACCCACCTTGTTCTCCCAATGTGCTGGGATTAGCGGTGTAAGCCACTACGCCCGGCCGGATAAACGCATTCGAAGACACTTTTTGAAGATCAAAGCTGCAGGATTTGATGATGCGTTAAACATGGGAGGTGGAATAGATAAGGATAAAATCAGAGATTATGTTTCCTGCTTGAGTGGAAGGGTAAATTACCAAGGCCTGTAGAACAGAACTGACAATATAATAATAATAACAATAATAATGGTATTTTAAAAGAATCACTAATGTGAGGGACTTGTAGGTAGAGTTTTTAAAACTCCTAAATAAAATTAAAAAGCAAGGACAAAGCAACAAGGAAAAAGACCTATATAGAGAACAACAACAAAAAGGAAATCAATTGAAAAAGTAAAGGTATTTTTAAAGATGAATATAGAATATCTATAACAGAAGCAATAATCAAAGACTTTTTTTAAAAAAAAAGGAAGAAAAAGCAAAGCTTTCTGAACTGAAATCACAACAGAATACACAGACAGAAAGATTCACCAAGTTGAGAATAAAAATAAATAAAAGAAGGAATATTGAAATCTTTCACCACAGTCCTATTTCTGATTATTTATTCTTACACTTCGAATATATTTTGTTGTATATATTTAAATGCAAAATTATTTTGTGCCTAAAAGTTCTTGAAATTATTCTTTCATTATAAAGTTGGCATCCTGTCAATACAACCCAAGTTTTCCAGATCTTGCTAGCATGTAGAAACAAATGAAACTACCGTTTTTGTTCTCACCCACTCATGCAGGAGCTATAGACTTCCTCAAAGTCTCTCTCTGCTAGATTTAGGAGTACCCAGGTGGCAGGGGTTCAGTTTAGCTCATTAACAAGCTCACTCCTAATGGATGTACCTCCTGTTCCACGAGACATCTATGGGCGAGCTCCAGATCTTCTAGTACCATAATTTATCATCAGACTTCTATTGGTAACTGACATGCCTATCTGGTGCCACTGCTCTTCTTCTAGGTTCATGAATGACATTGGTTTATGCTTTAACTTCTCTTACAATGTCTATGTCTGTTTTCATTATCAAGATAACATTGGCCTCATAAAATAAGTTAGAAGGTGTTCCCCCTTCCTGCCTTTATTTTTTGAGTTTGTGTTTGGCAGAATTATCACTGAAGCCATCCAGGTCTGGAGTTTTCTTTTGTGGGAAGATTTTAAATTATAAATTATATTTCTTATATAAACTTATATGACAGTTCATATTTTCTATGTGTTATTCACAGTCAGTTTAATTTGTGTCCTTTTTTTTTTTTTTTTTTGAGACAAAGTCTCACTCTGTTACCCAGGCTGGAGTTCAGTGGCGTGATCTCAGCTCACTGCAACACCCGCCTCCCAGGTTCCAGTGATTCTCCTCCCTCAGCCTCCCGAGTAGCTGGGACTACAGGTGTACACCACCCCACCTGGCTAATTTTTGTATTTTTAGTAGAGATGGGGTTTCACCACATTGGCCAGGCTCGTCTCGAACTCCTTACCTCAAGTGATCTGCCTGCCTTGGCCACCCACAGTGCTGGGATTACTGGTGTGAGACACCATGGCTGGCCTAATTTGTGTCATTCAAAGACTACGTTTATTTCATCTAAGTTGAATTTTTTGGTGTAATGTTGTTGGAATTACTTCCTATACCTTAATGTCTGTAGGATCTATAGGGCTGTCCTTTTTCTTTCATGATACTGGTAATTTTATGTCTTTACTCTTTTATTCTTGATTAGTCCAGCTAGAGGTTTTATTGATTTTGTTGATCTTTTCAAGGAAACTGTTTTTCGTTTCATTGATGTTTCTCTGCTGTTTATTTTCTATTTATTGATTTCTACTATTTAGTTTCCCTACTTCTGCTTATCTTAGGTTTAATTTGTTTTCCTTTGTCTAGCTTCTTAGGTTGAAATTAGATAATTGAGATGAGACCTTTCTTCCTTTCTAATATAAACATGTAAAGCTATAAATATCTCTCTAAGCACCGCTTTAGCTGCATCCCCCAAATTTTGACATGTCATATGTTCGTTTTCATTCAGTTGAAAATATTTTCTAATTTCCCTTGTGATTTCTTCTTTGATCCCTGGGTTATTTAGAAGTGCATTGTTGAATTTTCAAATATTTGGGGAGTCTCCAGGTACCTTGTTTTATTATTGGTTTCTAAATGAATCGTGTTTTGTTTACAGAATGTATCCTGTATGTCTGAATCTTTTTAAACATAGTGATAGTGTTTGATATCCCAATGTGTAGTTTAGCTTGTTCTAAGTGCACTTCTCCTGTTCTTGGGTGGCAGTTTTTATATGTGTCAAAAAGGTCAAATTGGCTGATAATACCGTTTGGGTCTTCCATATGTTCACTTATCTTCTGACTAATTGTTCTATTAATTATTGAAAGAGGAATGTGGAAATCTCCAACTATGCTTGTGAATTTGTCTATTTCTCCTTTCAGTTTGGTCAGTTTTTGCTTCATATTTTGAAGCTCTGTTATGAGGTGTGCTTAGGATTATTATACCTTCTTGATTAATTGACTCAATCGTCTTTGTGAATATCCCTAATAACATTCCTTCTTCTGAAATCTGCTTGTCTTGATATTAATATAGCCACTCTACCTTTCTTTTGATTAGTGTTTGCATGGTATATCTTTTTGCATTATTTCAGTTTTAATGTATTTTGTTTATATTTAACATGTATTTCTTATAGACATAATATACTTAGGTGTTGCTTTTTTAACTATATGACAATTTCTGCCTTTTAATTGAAATACTTAAACTAGGTACACTTTTATGTAATTATTGACATGTTCGAATTTAAGTCAAACATCTTGTTTGTTTTTTTCTGTGTGTCCCATTTATTCTCTATTCCTTTTATCCTCCCTCACTGCTTTTCTTTGGATTGGTGTTTTTTAATATTCCAATAGTACTACTGGCTTATTAGTTATCACTATTTCATAATGGTTTCTCTAAGATTGACAGTATGCAACAGTCTACTTCCCAATAATGCTAAATCACTTTATATATAAAATATAGAAACTTTGTGACAGTATATTTTCATTCCCTTCTTCCCATTCTTTGTACTGTTACTGCCATACATTACACTTCTATGTACATTAAAATGTATACATTGTACTACTTTTCCTTTAAGCAGACAATAGTCTTTTAAAGAAATTAAAAAATGATAGAAAAAGTATTCGATGGTTACTCGTGTATTTATTCTTTCTAGCATTCTTCATTATTTTGTTTATATCCATGTTTGCATCTGGCCTCATTTTCCTTTAACCTAAACAACTTTCCTTAATAATTGTGCTGGCCACCAATTCTTTTAGCTTTTGTTTATCTAAAAAAAAATCCTAGGCCAGGCATGGTCGCTCATGCCTTTAATCTCAGCACTTTGAGAGGCAGAGGAGAGTGGATCACTTGAGTTCAGAAGTTCGAGAGCAGCCTCACTAACATGGTGAAACCCTGTCTCTACTAAAAATACAAAAATTAGCTGGGCATGGTGGTGCATGCCTGTAATCCCAGCTACTCAGGAGAATGAGGCAGGAGAATCACTTGAACTCAGCAGGCAGAGGCTGCAGTGAGCTGAGACCATACCACTGCTCTCCAGCTTGGGTGATAGAGGGAGACTTTGTCTCAAAATAATAATAATAAAGCAACCCTTATTTTTCCTTTATTTTTGAAGGCTGTTTTCACTGGATATAGAATTTTAAGGTGATAGCACTGGTTGGCTGATCATTTCAAGTTATCATTCCATTGTCTTCTAGTTAGTTTCTGAATAAAAGTTTGGGACTATTCTCATATGGGTTCACTAGTATGTAATGTGTTTTTACATTTTAGCTGCTTGTAAGATATTCTCTTTATTACCAGTTTTCAGCATTTGATAATGATGTGTCTTGGTGTGGTTTTCCTTGTGTTTATCCTATTTAAGGCTTATTGAGTTTCTTAGGTCTATGTGTTCATCAAATTTGGAAAATTTTATGACTTTTTTTTCAAATATCTTTCTATCCACTCCCCACTGTTTTCTGAGACTTTCATTATTCAAATATTAAATTTTACATTGCCCACAGATTGCTCAGCCTCTAATTAATTGTTTCAGTCTTTTTTTCTCTCCCTGATTCACTTTAGATGGTTTCATTACTTATGCCTTCAAGTACACTGGTGTTTTCTTCTGCAGTATTTAATCTGCTGTTAATCTCATTCAGTGAACATTTTATTTTTGGTACAGTATATTCAATCTCTAGAAGTTTCATTTGGTTGTTTTATATCCTCATTATATTCATGTTTTCCTTTAAATCCTCTGTCATATTCATAATAGCTGTTCTTAAAATTTCTCTGTTAATTCCACCATCTCTGTCATTTCCAATGTTGTTTTAATGATTAATTTTCTCCTAGTTATGGGTCACATTATCCTGCTCCTTAGATTGTCTACTAATTTTTTATTGCATGCTGGACATTGTCAGCATTATGTTGTTAATTCCTGGATTTTGTTGTCATCCTTTAAGGAATGTTAAATTTTGCTCTGGCAGACAAATAGGTTGCTTACAAATCAGCTTGATCCTTTCAAGGGTAAAGCAATCTATGTGTCTGTGTATGAGTACAGGTATGTGTATGTGCATGTGTATAACAGGTTTAAAATATACCTTACTCTAGGGCTGGTTTAGCTTTATTACTAAGGCAAGACATTTGGGGTTCTCTTCTGAAATTTTCTGGATATTTACAGACCTCTCCATCCTGAAAGGTCAGAATTTTAACTTATCCTTGCCCTATGTAGATTCTGAGAATTATTCAGCTTATAATCCTCTGGGCACTTTGTCTACCATTGGGTACCTTAGGATTCAGCCACAGACTCCAGGGGACAGCCATGTGGATACTTGGAGCTCCTTTTCTGTAAATTATTTTCTGCAAATTATAACTATTTCATCATCCTTCTCTTTGATGTCTGTTTCTTCAAATCAACAAAATTTGGGTTCCCTTTTATTGAACCATGATCGAGAAAATCCCTGCAGGCAGAAATCTGCAGTAACTGTAGGGCTCACCTTGTTTGCTTACCTGCTCACAAGGATCACAATCCTGCACTGCCAGTTGTTCAATGTTTGAAAACAGTTGTTTTATATCTTTCGTCTAGTTTTCTTATTGTTTATATTGGGAAGGAAATCTGATCCCAGTTACTCTGCCATGGCCATATGTAGAAGGTACACTGCTCCTCTTCCAGGAATCTATGGGATACAACATGGATTTATTTGTTAAGGACTCCTGTTTCTTGCACTTCTCTTCTAGACTATTGTAACAGCTTTCTAAATGCCTGTTCTAACTCCAGACTCACTCACTCCATACTGCTGCCATAGTAATATTTATACCAATCGAATTGCATGGTGCCAAACGCACTAAAGCAGAAGTGAATAAATAACTCCCTTTACCTTTTGCATTATACAAGGATCCCAAGGACATACCACTGGTTTCTTACTTTTTTGCCACCCTTTTAGGAAAATAGCCCTTTAAGTTTTAAATTATAATTTGCATGCTCTCCAGAAGGCTTGTATTTGAAAAATTACAGAGAATGGGCCAAAAGGCAAATTCCAATGATAGATAACACATTGTCCTAAGAATGGTATTTTCCTCTGGTGACTACAATTTTCTCTCCAGGTCACATTCATTGCACTTGGTATCTTTATCCTTACTGATGAGCCTTCTAAGGTCTCAGGCAAAAAGGCTTTTAGCAAGAGAAAGCTTACCGTCTCACAAGACATGTCCAGCCATATCCCAACCCCTGCAATGGACACAGCTTGAATTATCTCCTAAGAGACCCTTTAGCCTCTGTTCACATAGATCTGGAATCTGAACAGAAACACCCAGCCTAAACCTGGGATTCCTTCTCCATGAAACAAGACTCTATTTTCTTGTTTAATTCTTTATTGTCCCAAATTATATTTGCCTGATTGACACTGTGGGCCTTGATTTCCTTTCTGTTTGCATTAATTTGCCTCATGCACTTTTGCCTATCCCTTTGCTTCTTATTCTTTTTTCCCAACTTTGTTTTAGTTGATTATCTTGTAAATAGAATATAGTTGAATATCATTTTAAATCCAGTCTGAGAGTCTTTATGTTTTAATAGAGGAATTTAGTACATTTATACACATTGTAATAACTAGTTATTTTGTTTTTTCCCTCCTGTCATCTTGTCATTAGCTGTGCTGTTTTTTTTTTTAACTATTGGTAAATGGTTTCTATTTTCTTTGAATTTATCTTCTTTAATGTATTAGAAGATAAATGGTGGCTCTAATTCCACTATTAGCAACCTCAACAGTTTTCAAAAATAGTTTTCAATTTACATTCCTCTAATTATCAGAATTGAGTATGGATTGGAATCTTTTGAGATCATTTTATATTAGATGAGTAGTTAGGCACACTTTTACTTTCTTTTTCCAACTTCATTCTTCATGGTTGTTTTAAAGAAACTAAGGTTTCAGAAAGATTATTTTATTATACTATCCTTATTTTACATCATGTAAAATTTTCTCCAAAATAAATGTTAGAAATTTGGATAATACCTAGACATTTAAGAATTATTTATATTTATCTTCATTGTTCAGTTGCATTGTTCTCCTCTCAACCTTTTATGCCGTGATTTTTCCATTTTTGAACCTTTCATTTCTTTCATGTCTGCCTCTTCTGTGGAAGGTGTTCAAGTGCCTTTTGCTTAGCAATTGTAGCAAAGATTGTTAGTTGTCTTCTCATTCTCTTCTTCCTTATTAACAGAGCCCTGATTTCCTTGGGATAGAATAAGCACTACGAAAAACAAAAACAAAAACAAAACAACCACATTTCTCACTTTCCTTTGTGGATAGGGTGGCCAATACAATAAAAGCAAAGGTTTTAGGCAAGGCTTGTAGAAAAGCTCTTCGAAGCCACCAACCACCAACTTAATTGAAAAGTACATTCTTTTTATCTTTTTCCCCTTCCTCTTTTTTCCTTCCTGGAATGGGGGCATAATGGCTGCAGCTCTGGCAACCATCCTGTGACCATGAGTGAGTTGACTTTGAGGATGAAAGCCACAATAAGGGGGGTGGAATGGAAAGATGGAAGACGCCTGGGTCCCTGATGACCCTGTCATGCTACTACTTTACTTATTGCTAAATTTCATGTTACATGAAAGAAAAATAAGCCTCCGTATTTCTTTTTCTTTTATTTTTTTTTTGACAGAGTCTTGCTCTGTTGCCCAGGCTGGAGTGCAGTGATGCGATCTTGGCTCACTGCAACCTCCACCTCCTGGGTTCAAGCAATTCTCTGCATCAGCCTCCCGAGTAGCTGGGATTACAGGTACCCACCATCACGCCTGGCTGATTTTTGTATTTTTAGTAGAGACAGGGTTTCACCATCTTGGCCAGGCTGGTCTTGAACTCCTGACCTTGTGATCCACCTGCCTCAGCCTCCAAAAGCACTGGGATTACAAGCGTGAGCCACCACGCCCAGCCAAGCCTCCATCTTTCTTAAGCTGCTCTGATTTCAGCCCTTGTTATTAGCAGTAAAACATAATTACTAGCTTTATAGCAAGGAATGGGGGGAGGACATTCCAGATTGAGAGAACAGCAAGAGCAAAACCATGGAGGTATGAAAATATGGTAAGGTCCGGGAATAACAAAATGTCCAGAGCAGCTGGAATCCAGGATATGTGGTAAGAGATAGAGAGGATGTCAAAAAAGTAGGTAGAAGGCAGTTCTCAAATATATTCCTTTCTAAAAAGTAGGATAAAATCCAAATCATTTTATCTGGGGTTCAAATCTTTTCACCACCTGATTCCCTACTTTTCCAGACTTATTAACTACTTCTCATATACCGATGGACACTGACTCATGGTGGTTCAACTTACAATTTTTTGACTTCATGATGATGTGATAGTGAAACGCATTTGGTAGAAACCATACTTTGAATCAAATTTGAATTTTGATCTTTCCCTGGGCTAGCAATATGTGGTACCATACTCTTGCTCGATGCTGGGCAATGGCAGTGAGCTGAAGCTCCCAGTCCAGTCACATCATTGCAAGGTTACAACAGATGTTCTACGATGTACTGTGTTGCCAGATGATTTTGCCCAACTGTAGGCTAATGTCAGTGTTCTGAGCACATTTCAGGTAGACTAGGTTAAGCTATGATGTGCAGTAGGTTAGTGTATTAAATGCATTTTTGACTTACAATAGTTTCAAGTAAAGATGGGTTTATTAGATGTAGCCCCAGGAATCCAGGAGCATCCGTACTTGGAATGCCAGACACATGGAATCACTTGGCATTGCTACAATTCATGAGTAGTTTCGACTTTGCGCCTTTGTACTTGCTTTTCCCTTTCCCCACCTCTCTGCCTGACTAACGGCTGCTTAGCACTTTAGACAAAGCCCAAGATTATCCCTGCCCCTTGGCTCTCCACTACCCCACACATCTGGTTTCTGTGTTTCTCTTGTGGCTTCCCACAGCTTTCTATTACTACTTCTGTAAGAGATCTTATATTCCACTCAGGGACTTATCTGCCTCTGCTCTGAGATCACAAGCTTCTAAAGGGTGAGAACTCTCTTACATTTAATTACTCTGCTCCGTAGTTAGCAGAATGCCTACTACATACCAAATGTGCAATAGGTAATTGTTCATCAGGTAAACAATTGAGTGAATAAATGGGATGAAAAGCTTTGAATGCCAGGTCAAGGAATTCCAGCTTCGTCCTGCAAGCTGTGGGAGGCAGCAGAATGAAATCACAGGCGTAAATGTGGCTGGAATTCTGCTCTCGTGGCCGGTATGAAAGAGAGACTGGGAAGCGGGGAAAGCCTGGAAGTGGGGAGACTTGTCAGGACACAGCTGGAGCAGCTCCCAACCAGGGTCCCTGCCCTGTCTTGAAATGGTTAAGGTGGCCGAGGCACACGCCTCTGCAGAGGAGAAATTTCCCTGTCCTTGCCTAAGTGAATGGCTGGGATTAAAGTGACAGCCCACCTTAGTGATGGCGGCGTAATTGGTTGTTCAGCTCTGTCCTTGTCAGAGCGCTGACAGTTCTGCAGATGCCCTGCTCAGCTCTCCAAAGGTTAGCCTCAGCTGGTGCGGCTGTTCATTAATCATTCCTCCCTGACAGGCCTTGGTGCAGCCCACAGCTGCCACGCCAGCCCCCACGGTCCCCACCCCACCCGGCCAGGCTAGAGGCAGTCTGAGCTCCTCAAGGGACTGGTCCCCACAGAGGGAGACACGCAGTCTGTGCGCCTCCACCACACTGCTGCCACTGCTGAATGAAGAACACTGATAAAAGAATTTCCCTGGGTTCTCTCTTCCTGGAACTAGGGTTTGAATCACCTTACAAGCTCTCCTGACATCCTTGACTTTATCTGCTGCTCTGTTCCACACTCACAGAAGCTTCTTACTGAGAGGAGGGCAACCCTAGCCCAAGAGTTCCAGAAAGACAAGAAGGCCAATGGATCTGGGGTACGTGTGCTGAGAAGACACAGGACCCGGCTTAGGGCCTGAATCCTGGGCAGAATGTGCATCACCTCCAAGCTGTGAATTCCACACGCTATAAAAGATGCTTATGAACCACTAGTTATGACTCAAAACAGGACAGGTGTATTTGTACATAAGTTGGTTTTATGTCAAGAATATTAGGGAAAGGATTATCCTTCTGGTCTTTGGGGCAGAATAAGCTGAAAGCAGGCTGGGGAATCTAATTCCCTTGGCTCAAAAGAGACCACTCCTCTCCTTTGCTCTCTCCCTTACTCACTTCTTTTCCCTTCCATCTTCAGCATGGTGGGTGGACTGAGCCAAGGATGGTGGATGGGATTCTAATCAAACCAGTGAGGTTGAAGGAAGGCTTGAGGGGTCCAGGCAAGTAGGGAGAAGAGAGGACAGGGAACCGGGCCTGGGTGGGGACACAGCAGAGGCTGTAGTGTGGGTCAGGAAGTATGGGCAGAGTGGAGGGTGAGGTTAGACTTGGGGTGATATGGTGGGGTTGATTAGAAAAATCCTTTGCCCAAAAGTCCTTGCCTAAGTAAATGGCTAGGATTAAAGTGACATAGACCAAGAGTGTAAAACGCCTTTCTGGGCTTTGGCTCTCAGGCTGCCCAATTCCTCAGGACCTCCTCCCGCTGTCTTTTCTCGTTCCTTTTCATTTTCTTTGATTTTTCATCCCCTAATTTGGCCATTTGGCTCCCCTTCTTCCATCTGCTACCTTGGTCTGCTACATCAAGTAGATCTGATCTTGCTCTCAACTAACCAGATCCAGAATTAGAAATTCCATTACAGTTCCCTGCCCAGCCTTCCTTCAAAAGCAAAAGCATGTTCCCAAGTCCCGGGTCTGGGCTCCAGGGCTGCCAGTTAGTATGTGCACAATGCAGGAGTCATCATTTCCCCCCATCGATTAGCTGTCCCCCAGCAAAGTTTCCAGAGGAGCAAACAAGGACGCTGGGAGATTAGCATTCAGCTAGTTTTTCAGACTCCAAGCCACAAACACCTGCATTTTCACATCCAAAGAACCCACACACAGTCAGTCGAGAAACCAAGAGAGTACAGGCTGAGCTCCCCCAAATTCACGCCCAGATAAATAAGATACCTTTCTCAAATGCTTCCTGATGACAATCAATATCTCCCACATGTACCTAGCAGCCTTTCACATACATCCTTCTGCTTAATATTTACAATAGTCTCTCATGGAAGATGAGATTATCCACATTTTCACTTGAGAAAACTGAGGCTGAGAAAGGATCAGTGCTCAAAATCATACAGGCCCCTTAATGCTCAGAGGCAAGTCCCTTGAGTTTACAAATCCTACATCCTTCCTTCTTATCACGCTGTCACTAAGGGGCTTGCTGCCGCTTTAAGCCAGGGCTTCTCAACAGCAGTACTCTTGGCATTTGGGGCCAAGGAATTCTTTGTTGTGGGCACTGCCCTGTGCCTTGTAGGATGTCTAGCAGCATCCTTGGCCTCTGCCTACCAGATGCCAGTAGCACCTCCTCCCCAAGTTGTGACATCAAAAATGTCTCCAGACATTGTCAAATGTCCCCTGGGGAAGGGGGACCAAAATCACCTCTAGCTGAGAACTGCTGTGTTATGCTCTTCCACTCTGTGTCACTCTTCACGTTACCTACCTGAGGCAAAGGGCTGTTTTCCATGCTTGAGACAGACCCTCCTCATACACGAGAAGTCAAGGACTATAGCAAGGTCAGATGCCTATGAAAAGACTGCTTGGCAATGATAATGAAGAATGAGAAGGGCATTTTGAGCAGAAATCCAGAAGACACATATTGTTGGGGAGGGGTATATATTGGGAAGTTGTTCCAAACTGCCATCTTTTAATCTATCCATCATTCTCTCCATCTTCTGATTCATTAATCCATCCATCATATGTCATTCTACTCATTTTACGTCCATTCCCTGGTGTAAGGTCTGTGCAAGGCACCAAATGGGAGAGAAAAGTCACCCATGGATCCTTCCCATGGGGCTGTGGAAGGCAGCTGGAGCCTCAGCTCAGCAGCAGTAGACTACGTAGCCTGAGCAAGCCTTTGGGCTTCAGTTTCCTAAAACTAAAAATAATATGTTCCTTGTAAAATCATAGTAGTGACTTAATGAGCTAATGTATGTGAAAAATGCTTTATATGCGATACCAATATTAGCTGTTATTATGGACAGAAGTTATGTTGGACAAGTACAAGGAGACCATCGTACTTATTTTTTTATTTTTTATTTTATTTATTTATTTGTTTATTTTGAGACAGAGTCTTGCTCTGTTGCCCAGGATGGAATGCAGTGGTGTGATCTCAGCTCACTGCAACCTCCACCTCCTAGTTTCAAGCAATTCTCCTGTTTCAGCCTCCCAAGTAGCTGGGACTACAGGCATGTGCCACCATGCCCAGCTAATTTTTGTATTTTTGGTAGAGACAGCGTTTCACCATGTTGGCCAGGCTGGTCTCGAACTCCTGACCTCCAGTGATCCCCCCGCTTTGGTCTCCCAAAGTGCTGGGATTACAGGCGTGAGCCACTGCGCCCGGCCTGAGACTGTAATATTTAAAGGATGCAATTAAAAATGGGCAAAAGATTTGACAAGGAATTTACAGAAAAATGCAAATGGCCAAGAAATATAAAAAGATGTTCAAATTCACCTGTATTTAAGAAAATGGAAATTAAAACACTAAAATGCCATTTGTCACCCAGCAGATAGTAAAAAAAAATGCAAAATATTTATATTTAGCATCTAAAAGCTGGTGAAGGTGTGAGGAAACAGGCATTCCTATACTTCACTGATGAGCTATATCCCCACATCCTATCTGGAAAGTAATCTGCTAGTAACTATAAGAATTAAGCATATTATATCCTTTGGCCCAGAAATCACACATTTGTGACTCTTTCCTACAGAAACTAAAACATCACTATAAAAAGATGTGTGTATGAAGATTACGGACCGGAAGACAACAGGGAAAGATTTGAATAAATGTATAGAACATTATGAAGCCATTTAAACGAAAGATATATGTGAATTGGCATGGAGGAATGCCCATAATATATTATTAAGTTAAGAAAGGTAATTGTGTATGTGCAATGAGAGCACATTTAAATATTAGTAGAAAACCCCTTTATGTATGAATATATAAATGAATATGTTAGTGTGAACACAAAGAAAGACATTGGAAGATGCAAACAAAACAAAACATTGCTTACACAAGGAGGTGCTGGGGAGAGGAGGACACTGGAGAAGAAGAATGGGGAAAACATCACCCTTTACCTTACATGCTTCTGCATTTTGATTTTGTAATGTGAAAGGATTACGGCTCATCATAAAGGAACAGGAGAAGGGATGTAGAAATTCCGAGCAGGAGATTCCTTCTCCATGGAGAAGGTGGCTGGGCAGGACTTGAAAGAATGAGTGGACTCAGGACCTCCCCACATTGAGGGCGGGAGAAATCAGTCCTGAGCCTCGAAATGAGAACTCCGCATTTTAGGCCATGGCTGAGCGTACACAAGTGCAGGGAAGCTGGGTGGGGAACACTCTCAGTCCCGGCTGGGCTGGGCTTAATCCCAGATAGAAAATGAATGATTGTCCAACGACCAGCCCTGGGGGCTATGGAGACAAGGACGAGCAAAGCCATGGTCATCCTGAACTTACTAAAGACCACGTAGTGAGTGGGTTTTAACTTCAGAATTCCTGGCCAGCTGAATTCTCCACCCAGCAGCCCTTCAGAGGGAGTCTTTTCTGCATCCCCCATTGATGCTGGAGGATAGGAGAAAAGAAAATCACAAAGCCAGTTGGAAAACCTTCCTACTTTGTCTTTAGTATTAAAGAAATGCAAAGGTGATGAATTAGGCAAATTGGTTGATGTCAAGTTGTATCCATCAGAATGATTCAGAGCCCAGAATGAGTAATAGTAATGGGGAATAGCTGTTACTAAGAGTAACCAAATTAGCATTATCGAAAAAGACAAAGGAAAAGCAGGCAGCCAGCAGGCACTCTGTCCCTGAGCCTGCCCCTCAGTTTCCACAGCCCAGCTTCTGCATGGAGCCCACCCTAACTGGGGGGCGGCTTCTTGCCTAAAGCATTCCCTGTGGACTTGGAGCTTTAACAAGATCAAAGAATATTCACATCCATTTTCTTATTTGATCACATTCTTAGCAGGCCAGTGACATTGGCTCCATTTCACAGCTAGGGATCCGAAGCTCAGAGAAGTGAAAAGGTCTGCCCAGTGTCATGGTCACATAGCTGGTAAGTAACAAAAACCTAGCTTTCAACTCAGGACTCGTGAATCTTAATCCAGGACTTAAGTGCCTGTACTTTCTACAGAACGTCCATTTAAAAAAAGAAAAAAAAAAAAGGACCTACTTTTTTTCTTTAGCCATTCATTAGCAGTCAAAAGTAGGAGCTAGGTGGATGCGTGGAGAGGGGAAAGGGAAGAATATGAAAGAACTCTACAGGAGGATCACAGCTCCACAAAACCTCCCAGTGGGCCCGGACCAAGGTGCCTGGGTCTGCTGGACATGTTTAGGATGCTTGACCTCTGCCGGCCTTTTGAGCTCAAGAAGTCTTGCTTTGTGCCAAGTGACCCCACCACATTCCGTTACAGCCAATTGGCCTAAGGCAGCCCCTGAACCATCAAGGGCAGCTGGTCCACAGGTCAGCCACAAAAGATGACCAGGACCAGATCCCCTCTGTATCAAGAATTTGAACAGGGCTGGGCGTGGTGGCTCACGCCTGTAATCCCAGCACTTTGAGAGGCTGAGGCCAGCCAATCACGTGAAATCAGGAGTTCAAGACCATCCTGGCTAACACGGTGAAACCCTGTCTCTATTAAAAATACACAAAATTAGCTGGGCATGGTGGTGGGCACCTGTAGTCCCAGCTACTTGGGAGGCTGAGGCAGGAGAATTGCTAGAACCCAGGAGGCAGAGGCTGCAGTGAGCCGAGATCGTGCCACTACACTCTGGCCTAGGTGGCAGAGTGAAATTCCATCTTGGGGGAAAAGAAAAAAAAAGAATTTGAACAAGAAACAAAGAGAGAGGCTGCCATTGCTAGCAGGAACATGGTGCACAGCTGGGTGTGTTCACTTCCTGGGGCAGCCAGGACACATGAGCACACATTGGGTGCCTTAGAACAAGACAAACATCTTCTCTCATAGTTCTGGAGGCTGGAAGTTCAAAACCAAGGTGCAGTGGGGCTGTGCTCCCTCTGAAGGCCCTAGGGAAGACGCTTTCCTTGCCTCCTGGCCTCTGGAGTCTGCTGGCAATGCTTGGTGTTCCTTGGCTTGTGACAGCATCATTCCATTACCTGCCTCCAGCCTCATGTGACCATCTTCCCTCTGTGTCTTTTCATATAAGGACACCAGTGATAGGATTTAGGGGCCACGCAAATGCAGTATGACCTCATTTTAGATTGATTAACTCTGCCAAGACCCTATGTCTGAATAAGTTGATATTCATAGGTACTGAGAGTAAGGACTTCAACATATCTTTCTGGAAACACAATTCAAGCCACAACCCTGGGCCACAATAGTACAGTAGAGAAGGCCCACGGACAGCTGCCTCTGAGGCCCCCAGATCTCCCTTCAACTTAAAACTCCCTGCAGCTCCGGCCTCAGGGAAGCTGAGCTGTCAGCCACGGGTCCCTAGGAGAGCCCTACTTTTGAATCCCCAGGTACCGCTGAGGGTCTCCTTCCAATGCTCCCCGTGCTTCTTTCTGATGGTTTGACAGGGGTTATTCCTTGCAAACAAAACAGACCAAAAATAAAGCTAAGTTTAATGTTTATTTTTCTGCCATAAATTTGCTTAATTCTATAATTTAAAAGCACTAAGATGCTTCAGAGGCTCCTTTTGTTGGAAAGTAGAATATTTCTCCCATGTGCTGGCCCAGCCTAGTCACTGGGATTTTTTTTTTTTTTTTTTTTTTTTTTGCTGAAACAGCCACCTCCTGTCACCAGGATAAACAGAGACACCCCAAGGAAACCTGAATTAGAATCACTGGTGCATTCCTAAGAGGACCTTGGTTAGACCCCAAAGAAATCAGACTAGGACACAACATTCTTTTAGCAAGCTATGAAAAAGCTGCCTCCAGAGAGGCCAGCCTGCCTGAGTCATCACTGTGTGGGAAGGACTGGAGCCAGCTGTCCCGCTGGCGGGGGTCTGAATTTCTCTGCAAAGTCACACTTCAAGAGAGTCACACAGTCCCAAGTTGACAGCTGAGGTGGGAATGGCAGCTCTACTCTTTCACCCTTCCCTCTCCTCCCTAGTCATCCTCCATCCTTTCAGGCTGAGAGCTCTCCCATGCCAATCCACACACTCCTCTATTCATGGTGAAATGCTCCCCTCCCCCAGGCAGGGGCCCTAGAGACGGTGCTGGTTGTAAATATCCTGACTGTGTGCAAGGAGAGGAGACAGGAGGTCCTTGCACTCTGAAATGATCAGCTTCCATGACTGTAATTATATAAATTACATCTAAAATTTCCTATAAATTCCATATGTAATCCTACAAATTCAGTGTGTTTCTATCAAGAAGATTGGTATATTTGTGTGAGAGAGAGTGTGTGTAGAGAGGATTAGAGAGAGGATAGGGGGATCCAGTGGTTTAGAGGCTCACGAAAACCCTCTATCTGGCCCCTCCCTGACTTCATGAAGCCCTTACAGACTCACTGAGCAAGCAACCCCTACATCCTGGAAAAATTTCAGATCCAATGCTACGGCAATCACTGCCTATTCCCCTTGTATGACATGAGCTCTGTACTTCTGTGGGCAAAACATACAAATCACAGTGCTTCCCCTTTACAAGTGAAGCACGCACAAGGAGCACAGGGAAGTCTGGAAAGCGGGTGGGGCTGGGGGTTGTCAAGCCTGATTCCTGATCCTTCCATGTACTTTTAGGACCCTGCTAACCCTCAGTGTGCCCTCGGCATCTCTGCCCCCCTTTAGGAGGTCTCATCCTGACCTCAGGGAGGAGGAACTTCAACTCTAGCCAATTCTTGGCTAGATGGAATTCTTTGTGATGCAGCACCAACATCGCCATGTTAGTCAGACCTTGACTTTGTTTCCCAGTTTCTGGCTGAGCTGATGCCCTGCTCCCTCGGCTTTCGGGGTTTTTTTTGTTTGTTTGTTTTTCTGGAGTCCTATCTACTACCACAAAACTCTTAGACTGGAGTCCAGCTTGTTTTTTTGTGCGTGTTGCTTTGTTATTGTTTTTTGAGATGGAGTCTCTCTCTGTTACCAAGGCTGGGTGCAATGGTGCGATCTTGGCTCACTGCAACCTCCGCCTACTGGGTTCAAGCAATTCTGTCTCAGCCTCCAAGTAGCTGGGACTACAGGCGCCCGCCACCACGCTGGATAATTTTTGTATTTTTAGTAGAGACGGGGTTTCACCATATTGGCCAGGCTCTTCTCGAACTCCTGACCTTGTGATCACTCACCTCGGCCTCCCAAAGTGCTGTGATCACAGGCGTGAGCCACCGCGCCCGGCCGAGTCCAGCTTGTTTTTACCACGCTACTCTGTCTCCCAGGGACTGTGGTCCCAGGTTAATTCAGATCAGAGGCTGAGACTTTGACAGCTGCCATAGCCCTCTCTTCCACCTGCAGAGTGTATCAGGCAGGGTGAAGGGGAGGGGTGGCTACTCAGGTTCTCCCTCCTTGCCCTTCTCCATCTGCCAGTCCCTCTACGGTGACCCAGCATATGCCCTGCTGTATTCCAAGACAAAACAGATTTCACAATATGTGGCCGGCACAAAGGTGAGTTGTCCTTGCTACTGTCTCAGGCCTTTCCCTCAAGATAATCCAGCCCTGAACACTCAGCAAACAACTGGTTGTCAGAATGTTTCCCAGGGTGGGAATGACCAGAGAACCCCATGCTGTTAGTCCAAGGTTTCTGGACCTAGAAGGGCCCTTAAAATCAGCCAGCCGGATACACCATTTTACAGATGAGAAAACAGAGGTCCCCAACTCTAGACCAAGAAGAAGGTAAGATCAGCGGCAGACACATATTCATCAACTGCATGCGTCGAGGGCTACTGTAGACCGAGCATTACAGATACAGCCTCTGCTTTTGGAGGCACAGTGTCCAGAGTAGGACAGAGCAGACACACAAGTGCAATCCACCAAGGAAGTGCTGTGATGGGGATGATTTGGAGACACGCTGTCCAGAGGAGGACAGAGCAGACACGCGGGTTCAATCCAACAGGGAAGTGCTGGGATAGGGATGGCACATGATGGACATGAGAGCCAGAACACAGGCTTCCAACCCCGAGGAGCAGGGAAGGTTGACTGGGGGCCAAGAAAATGTGGTCTGCATCCTCAAGACAATATTTGCTCAGCATAAGGTGCGAATCTAGTGTTTTTCACCTTTTCATTTCCAGTGCTAAACCAAAGACATCTATGGTGGCAGACTGAACCAGAGAATTCGTTATGAAAACTGCATGTTGCATGGTCTGAGCTTGATGGCTTATAAATGGGAAACAACCACTGCCTTCAAACATGCTCCTCCCTGCCCCGCCATGCCATCTTGGGGAGAACTCAGAGCTTTCTTCTCACTTGCAGTCATGAGAATGTTCTCTGTTGAGGTAGTTAAAACTTACTTCCATGTATTAAAAAGGCCAAAGTATCCAAATAAAAATTGCCCAAATTGAAACTTCTGTCTTGCATATGATTCAAAGCCACTTCACTTTGCCAGGCTCAGGACTCATCCCTGGGGCTGAGAAGGGGGTGTGGCCTACTGGACCAGGAGAAGGAGGCGTGGCCTACTGGACCAGGAGAAGAGGGCATGGCCTACTGGACAAGGAGAAGGGGGCATGGCCTACTGGACAAGGAAAGGGGGCGTGGCCTATTGGACAAGGAGAAAGGGATGTGGTCTATTGGACAAGGAGAAAGGGATGTGGTCTACTGGACAAGGAGAAAGGGATGTGGCCTACTGACATAGAGAAGAGGATGTGGCCTACGGGACATAGAGAACGGGGTGTCGCCTACTGACAGAGAAGGGAGTGTGGCCTACTGGACATAGAGAAGGGGGTGTGGCTTACTGGACATAGAGAAGGGGGTGTGGCCTACTCTTTCCTTGCTTTTCCCTTTTTTATCCTCATCCCACTGCTGTTCTTGGCTACTCTAGAATAGAGGCAAGAGAAGTAGGGATTATAAGGAAAGAGTGAGTCTTATCTTTAACTAGTCCTACAGTCCTCTCTTGGCCAATGCTGGTTAGCATTAATGCTCTTAATGTGACAGGCCTTCAAATGCTGGCTCTCTCACTGGGAAGTTTCTACTGGGACGTCCACCCTCCATGGTCTCCTGATATGAGCAATGTGCCCTCTGGCTGACCTCTTGCAACTTTCCTCTTACCCCAGGATCTGCACTAAAGGAGTCCTCCTGCCTGGAAGGTGGAACGTCCTCACCACCTAGAACTGCCTAAACCGAGCTGTCCTCCATAGCAACCACTTCCCTCCTGAGATACTCACGTGCCTTTGCCATGCTCCACAGTGACATACAGGCTGCTCATCTGCTGTCCTACCTTTGCCCTCACAATTGCAAATGACTCCAATTACTACTTGCCTTCAGAATTCCCCAGTCACCAGTTTCTATATTCACGTGCCAAGGAACGCATGCCAAGCTCTCCAAGCACTCTCCCACTCTGCTTCACTCCCGGCCATCACTGGGTAGGCTTGGAAGCTTCTGCAGCTCAGCAGTTGTCCAGTTGAAGAGTGAGATGCCTGTCTGCACTTGTGCAGGCATTTCACGCTCTGAGCGGCCCTCTTGGAAACCTGTTACTTGGCTTGGGGAATGAGGATACCCACTCCTCTTATTTTCACCATGGGGCAGGAAAGGAAAAGGCACAGCTCTCCTTATCAAGCCAATGGCTCATATACCTCTCAATTTCTGCCTTCAATCTACTCTCTAGTTCTTCTGTCTATATGGACTGAGGATGGGCAACAGGGAAAAGACGGGTCAGTTTGGCTCATTTTCTGGAAGCCCCAGAGAGTTTATCTGGTAGCAACTGTTTCCATCTATTTCCATCCAATATTCCTGCTATTTCAAGATAGGAGGAAAGTCATGTTAACATCCTATTTCACTCAAATCATTGCTTTCACTGATGAGGGTAACTGGTGTAATCCCTAGACTTTAGAAATCATGTAGCCCATCTCCCTGCTGTGGCAGAGAGGAGAGCCTGGGGTCCAGAAAGGGGAAGATTGGCTTAGCAGCCCAGGGACAACCCCCAGAAACCCTGACCTGAGACTTATGCGCCATCCCCTGCTTTTCCCTTGATTGTCTCCACCAGACCAGTGTGAATCATCTCACCGGAAACCGTGTTCAGCACAGTCCTTTGCTTACTGAAAGTCAAGGCTTCTGGAAAAGCCGAGGCTGAAGCTGTGGTGCTGACTAGGGGCTGGGGGCGGGGAGTGGATCCCTGGCTCCAGGAAAGGGAGCAAAAAGCTAATGCCAGGCAGGTCAGGAGCCCTAAAGGGGAAATGTGACAGTAATTAAGGAGGAAGCTGGCCTTCTCATCCTGGGTCATGACCACTCCCTATAGTCTCTGTCGAGGTCACTTGAAGCGGAAGATTGTATCCGGCCAGACATTGGAGGCACAAGCTCAGCAAAGTGTTCAGGACAGCTTTATTTAATTCCCTGTCCATATGGAAATGCCCTGCACTGAACGGTTTGGAAGCCACAATTGCATTAGCCGTCTGGAGCTCCCATAAGCTTAATCAAGCCATAATCAAGGATCTTCTGTGATTGTCCATTATCTGCCTCTCAGCCAGAGAGGCACGTTCTTGAGGGAAAGTGATCAGAGAGCTGCGTTCTTGGCACTAATTACATGCTAGCCTGCATCTGTGTCCCTCCCGCGGCCGTCAGGAGCCATTGTGGATGGCCCCGGGACATCTCACCCACTTCTGTGCAGGTGACCCTGAGCAGGCTCAGCCCCCAGAATAGAGTCCATGCTGATCAGTCTGAATACGGCTTCCCAGGCAGACGAGGTCTTGCCAGTTCAAATGTGACTGCATGTTTTACATTGAAAGCACCCTGGGGTGCTTAGGAAGGGGCTACTGCTGGGTCAGCAGATAATTCACCACAGGAGCCCAGAGAACATCTGGAGATGCAGCAAAAACAGCCAGATGGGCACCTCTTGAGATCAGCAAGGATAGAGAGGAAGCAAGCATTAGAAGCATCAACCACCCCTGCCAAACAAAAGGGCATCATTGTTTGCATAAGCCCTGCCACTGTCTGGCTTCTGCTGATTTCTAGCAATGTTCTCTCATTCCCCACATCATGTGTCCTCAGCTCCAGCTGAATTGGGCTCCTCTGGCCCCACATGCTCCCACCTCTCTACCCAGTCCTTGCTGCCCGATTGTTCACTTGCCCTCAACATGGCATGTCCAAACATTATTTGGACCTCATTTCTGGGTCCAACCTCCAATGCCAGGGCTGCTACAAAGCCTTCCATGTTCACCCAAGTGAGATGTGGCCTCTCCCTTCACTTAAGTCCCCAGCAACATCTCTTCTGGTGCTTCTCAGTTTGGGCTGCAGTGGTTGTGTTCAGTGGACTGAGAACTCCTCAAGAGCAGGAGCTGCCTCCAGCTTCATGTTTCCTTTAAGAAATGTAAAAAATCACACAAAAGTTTGGTCAGTTGTGGTGGCTCACGCCTGTCATCCCAGCTCTTTGGGAGGCTGAGCAAGAGGATCTCTTAGGGCCAGCAGTTGGAGGTCACAGTGATGTTTATGCCACTGCAATCCAGCCTGGGTAATGCAGCAAGACTCTGTCTCAAAAAAACAAACAAACAACACACATACACGCACACACACAAACAGAGAATGACAAAACCATCACATGTGTCCCTTCAACCAGAACAAATTATCATTAAATTTGTACCACACTTGCTTCATTTAAAAAACAAAAACCAGAAAACATGACAGATAAAGTTGATGTCACCTTAGCATAGGTATTAAGAGAATATAAAGCTAATAAATGGCTCTGGAGCCAGATTGCCTGGGTTCAAATCCCCATTCTGCCACTCGTTAGAAAGTTGACCATGGACAAATTACTCAACCTTTCTATGCCTCAGTTTCCACTTCTGTAAAAACTGTGGAATGTTGTCACGAAGATTCAACGAGTTAGTGTATGTAAAACTCATAGAACAGCACCTGCCTATAAGTATTCAATAAATGCGAGCTATTATTTAATCTTCCATCCCTAAACCTATTTCTCAATGCACCCCTCCCAACCCCCAACAGAGGCAACCATATCATGAGTTGAGTATATATGTGCTTTCAGTTCAAGCTTTGCACTTTTACTTCCAAATGTATATAACCACAAAAAAAAAAAAACTATAGTATTTTTTGTATATGTTCCTTAATTTATCTAAATAATGTATTGGTTAGTATCCTTTGGTTGTAAATACTGAAAGCCCACCTCTACCTGGCTTAAACTTTGAGGAAGATTAACTAGCTTCCATACCTGAAAAGTTTAGTGGCAAGGAAGACTTCAGGGTTGACCTGATTTATCAGCTCAAAAATGTCATCAAGGACCCACTTTCTTTTGACACTTGGCTCATCTTTCCACGGTGTCAGCTTTATCCTAGAGCTAGCTCCTCCTCATGGTTATAAAAGGCTACCAATGACTCCTGGGACTGCAGGCCTTGCTGGGAGAGAGGGGGTCATTCAGGAAGTGCTCTGAGAAAAGTGAGGAAGCTGCTTCTCCAGAAGCGTCAAGAAACTTCTCACTTCTCATGGCCTAAAGTGGTTTATGCACCTCTGAACCAGATATTATGACCATGGATTGAGATTCTATTGATAAGCCTTGGACTCAGACATGTGCCCCCTGTAAGGGGAGGGTAGAGACAGCCTCTCTAAAGGCACACAGGCTGCACAGGTTGATGTGGACATCTGCACAAAATTATAGCAAGAGAATGGGGAATGGATGCTGAAGAGGCAACAAGATCCTCTACAAATGGTATCATAAAACTTACATTGTTCTTCCTCCTGCTTTTCTCATTTAATGTTTTGGCTTCCTTTTGAGATCTTTCTGTTTGGTATATAGACATCTAGTTTATTCCTCTTAAAAATGAATAATATTCTATCATATGAATAAAACCACATTTCTTTGTCCATTTCCCTACTGATAGATATTTTTATTGTTTCCGTGTTGACTTTTTTTTCGTATTGCAAACAGGGGTGCAATGAACAATGGTATTCGTGTCTTCTTAGAGACTGTCTCAGTCATCTTTGTGTTTGCCTCTAATTCCTGCAGTGGCCAAGCCCACGGGTGGGCTCAGCAGGTACCTGTTGCATGAATGAGTGAATGAGTCAATGAGTAAATGAATAAATTCTCTTTTTTCCCAGCTATGAGCTATTGAAATGATCATTGCATGATGCTGGTTATGGAACCTATAATGCTAGCATTCAAATGGTGCCTTTACTTTCCTAGAGGGGCAAATGAAGACTCAGAGAGGGAAAGTTGGAAGTCACATCATGAGTCTGCAGCACAACCAGAATTTGAACCCAAGTTCACTGACTCCAGAAAGCTCTTCTTTCTACTCCATTGTATCCTTTACTGCTCTGGACCACTCATGTCACTCATTTAACCAAATTCTTTTGCTCCTCTAATTTGTTCCACAAATTCACCTGTGAGTTATCTGCAGCCTTGCATGTGCTTCTCTCCCTGACCAGTGGATGGGCTCCCCATGGGCAGGGCTCAGGTCTGATGCTTCTCTGTTAGCCAAGACCAGGACAGACTCCAAATGCATCCCAGGCTCTCCTCATATAGGCCCCTCCTGAAGGACAATGGCCCAGGGTCCAAGAACCTCTGGCAGGAGGAGCCATCAAAGATTTTCTAACCCAATTTCCCAGCAAGAACCACTATCACACATCTTCTGGCTCCTTCTTGGATAAGTGGTAAGCCAGTCCCAACTTCCTTTGGTGGCCACTGTGTTTTGGACAGTTCTGCCTGAAAGCCTCACCCACCTCAAACACCTACCCATTGCTATTCCCCTGCCTTCTGGAACCACTAAGAATAAAGCCACTCTTTCCAATACTGGAGGGAGCCCAAGTGTGCTTTCCCTCAGGGGAAAAAAAAAAATTTCCAATTACCAAATCCAACCTGTGCAAAACGGTTTTATGTGTGTGTGCATGTGCACACACATACACAAACACGCACACCCTCAGCTGTCCTCTCCTACCCACTTTGGTTTGACTGTGCTCCTAGGACCTCCTTCCCACTACCTGAGCAGCTGGCACTTTTTGGGTATCAGCCTAATCATCACTTCCTTTGGGGAGTCTTCCTTGAACTCCAAAATCTGAGGTCTGGGTTAGGTGCTTTGCTTTTTTTTTTTTTTTTTAATGGAGTCTTGCTTTGTTGCCCAGGCTAGAGTGCAGTGGTATGATCTCGGCTCACTGCAACCTCCGTCTCTCAGGTTCAAGTGATTCTCATGCCTCAGCCTCTCAAGTAGCTGGAATTACAGGCATGTGCCACCACTCCCAGCTAATTTTTGTATTTTCAGTAGAGACGGGGTTTCACCATGCTGGCCAGGCTGGTCTGGAACTCCTGACCTCAAGTGATCCTCCTGCCTCGGCCTCCCAAAGTGCTGGGATTACAGGCATGAGCCACCGCACCCAGTCTGAGTTAGGTGTTCTTGTAGGTGCCCTTGTTCTACCCTGCAGTTCCCTAACCCAGCAGTCACCACCCCAGAGTGCATGGTCAGTATTGTCGTGTGTACCTAACAAGTCTGGGAGCTCCTTGAGGGGAAGGATAACGCCTGTTATGTCCACTGCTTTATTTCCGAAGCCCAGCATACTGTCTGGCCTCTTACAGGCACTGTATGCATAGTTATGAAACAAGGAGTAAAAGAATTTCACAATAGAAGAGAAAGTGAAAGAATGAAAAAAGAAAAAAAAGAAAAATGTTTAAGTGCAGGTAGAGAAAAAGAATAAAAAAGGAAAAGGAAAAAATACGGTTTGATTTGTGAAAGATCAAGAGGTTCATTCCTTCCCTTTCCCCAACCTCAGTATGTCTCTCCTCAGAGCCTGAAATGCCCATCGCTCCAGGCATTTCACAGTCTCTTATCCTGCCAGCTGCTTGTGAACTTGCAGGCAACTCACATCCTGAGACCCTCATTGAGCAGCTGGTCTCTTCACTTGCTGTTGGGAAAGCCAAGGCAAGAGCAAGACAAAGAGCTGGGGTGGGAGGGACGTGATGCTATACCAGGTCCACAGGAGGCCACAAGATAAAATGGAATGTTGACCTGGAACACTGAGTTTACTTGAAGATGTATCCAGGAAGTATGGGGAACAATATAAGACCTCTTTTAATATTAAAATAAAGTTGGATACATTATAAAGTAGTTTGCAAAATCTGGGTTCCTTTTAAAGATAAAGCACAAGCCCTAAAGGAAATTTTATTGTTGTATAAGAAAGAAGCATCATTCATTCATTCATTCCCTCTTTCAATGGAATTCTTCTGTGCCAGGGACTGTTCCAGGCTCTAAAACTACAATAGCGAAAAAAAAATTTCCTTCATGGAGCTTACATTTTAGGATGGGAGATACACAACAAATAAAATAAATAAGTCAGATGTATGATAAATTAGGTGGTGATAAGTGACATGGAGAAAAATAAACCAGAGAAGCAAGGGGAATAGGAATTTTGGCAGAAATGTGTGAATGAGTGTACATGGAGAGAGGGCTGTGATTTTAAATACAGTGGTCAGCGTGGGCCTCCTGAGAAGGTGACACATGGAAAAGACCCAGTGGAGATGTGAAGAAAACATAGAAGTCATAGGAGTAAGCTACAAGGGAAGAGGAAGTTTGGGATAAGAGTGGAGATAGAGAAGAGGTCAGCTTAAATCTGTTCAGTGTAAGAGGCCTAGGGGAAATCCAGGTGAGATCCAGAGAAAGTTTTTTAAAAAATATTGAGCTCAGGAAACAACTCTAGATTGAGTTTGAGATGGAATTGTATAGTTGTCAACAGAGAGAAGATAAGTCACAAAGACAAGAGTGGGAGAGCCCTCTAAAAGAATCGGGGGCATGGGTTGAAAAGCGGCACCCCATGGACCAGGTTTGGCCCATGCGTATGTTTTGTTTGGTCTAAGAACTGGCTGGAATATGGAGGTTAAGAGCTTAGGTTCTGAAGTCAGACTACCTGGATTCCAGATCCTGCTCAATATTTACTAAATATGTGAATTAAGCAGGTTACTTACTTAATTCCTCAGTGCCTCAGTTTCTTTGTCTATAAAAATAGTACATATCACATAGAGTAATTGTAAAGAATAAGTTGGTAAATTACATAAAGTAGTTAGAAAAGTCTCTAGCTGCTATGGTTTTAATGACTTTATTCCCTCCAAAAATTCATGCTGAATCTTAATCCCCAGTGCAACAGCATTGACAGGTAGGGAATTTTGGCTTTATAAAAGGGCTTAACAAAGGGAGTTTCTCCCTCTTCCCTTCCATCTTCTGCCTAGTAAGGATACAACATTACATTCCTCTTCTATGGAGAATGTAACACCAAGGTGCCATCTTGGAAGCAGCCCTCACTAGCACCTTGATCTTGGACTTCTCAGTCTCCAGAACTATGAGAAATAAATTTCTGTTTTTGTAAATTACCCACTATCAGGTACTCTGTTATAGCAGCACAAAACAGTAACTCTACAAATGTCAGTTGCTGCTATTATGGTTAGGATTTTGAATGTGATTATTAGACGTTTACCTTGGAACAAATGCTTTCCAGGTTACCCAGTCCCTGTGGGACAATTTTGTTTATTTAAATGACTTGCCTGATCCTGATCAGCATCTGAGCTTGTGACCACTGGTGAGAAAAGAGAACAAGGACAGAAATTGGGAGCTGACTATAATTTAGGAGACCAAAGACATAAGCCTAATTTTGACATTTGGACCTTTAATCCATTTAGAAATGTATTGATATATGGTGTGAGTCTGGGATTCAACTTTTTTTTTTTTCAAATATCAAGCCAGTGACATTAATAGCACATACTGAATCACCCATGTTTCCTCACTGCTTTTAAAGATCACTTTTATAATATCCTCATTTTTATATAGTTGAGTCCATAGCTAGATTTTCTATTCAGTTTCATTGATCTGTTTACGGGCTCCTGCAACAGTAGTACAACTCCATGAGATTGTTATTTTATAACTGTCATTGTATTTATGGTGTTAGAATAGTGCCTGGCACATAGTAGGCACTCAGATATTCATTGAAATGGTGAATAAATAAATGAATATATTATTGCACTTTTGAAATTTAAAAAAATATTTGGCCAGGAAAGTCTCCCTTTTCTTATTCAACTTTTATAAAACACTCAGGGCTAGACTCATGACTTTATTCCTCCAAGGGAACCAAGTGTTATAAGGCTGGCAGATGTCAGGAGAATCAATCAGCAGAAGGTGAGGCTGGAGAGACAGCAGGAGGCATGCCATAAAGGGGCTTGTGCCCAAGCCAATGAGATCAAATTTCACTCTGTAAGCCATAGGCAATGTTGAAGGGTTGTGGGTGGGAGAGAAATTGTCAGATAGATGATTTCAGGAGATCTCTCTGTGGGCCCTAGGGTGGGTGATTGTAGGGGGACAAGACTAGGGATGCTGCAGCTCTAGGCTAGGAGGAAAAAATGAACTTGAGAGCTACCTAGCAGGTGGAATCAACAGGTTATGGAACCTAATCTCATTTGGGTGCTGGATGTAAGATAAAAGGAGATGAGATTGACCTCCAGTTACCTGGCTTGAGTAGCTGAAGGAAGAATGGTGCCCCATACTTGATAGGGTCTAGAGAAGGAGATCTGGGTTTGTGGGGGAAATGCAGTTTGTTGTGGACTTGGTAAGTCTGAGGCACCCATGGGTCTTGTTTAGAATGCAGTTAGTTCTGGAGTAAGATGAGAGATACAGAGAAAAAGGCTTTCAGGCCAATAGAGGTTAAAATCACAGGTATGGATGAGGTGGCCAGGACAACGTGTTGTTCAAAGATAAACTGTATAGAGTCTATTTTCAAAAAATGTTTATTAAATGTTCACTATGAACAGGACATTGAGCTAAGTGCTTTATATTCATCGTGCCATTTAATTCTCATAGCAATTATTGTTACCCTTATTTTCGTGATCAAGAAACCGAAACTTTAAAAGTTTAAATAATTTTTCCAAAGTCTCGCCATTGATAAGAAGTGGGTCTGGGCTGGGCATGGTGGCTCACACCTGTAATCCTAGCACTTTGGGAGGCTGAGGTGAGTGCATCACTTGAGTCCAGGAGTTTGAGATCAGCCTGGGTAACATGGAAAACATGGTCTCTACAAAAAATACAAAAATTAGCCATGTGTGGTGGCACATGCCTGTAGTCCCAGCTACTTGGGAGGCTGAGGCAGGAGAATCTTTTGAGCTCAGGATGCAGAGGTTGCAGTGAGCCAAGACCACACCATTGCACTCCAGCCTGGGTGACAGAACAAGACCCTGTCTCAAAAAAAAAAAAAAACAAAAAAGCAAACAAACAAACAAACAAAAAACAAAAAGCAAAAAAGAAAAGTGGGTCTGTTTCAACACAATGTTCACACTCTTAACCCCTGGAGTCCATTCTTCCAAAGACCGTATCCCCAAAGACCTACTCTGAACCCTGTTCCTGGCCTCCAGCTGCTATTTGTCTTGGCCCGCAGCAATGGATTAATTTCATACGTTCAGAGGTGAACTCCCAGCCCAGGGGAAGCTACTGTGCACACACACATACTTTTTTAAAACAATTAGAGACTCACAGTCTCAAAACGCCCCAAAAGTTCCTGTATCATCCAAATTAACTCTCAGGGCTCTGTTCAGGAAGTTCTTATTAGCTCTCTGCCTCCTCAGCCTGAAGCAAGTAGAACCTCTGAGGGCATGCAGGCCACAACAGCTGGACGCTGGTGGGAAGGGAACAGATACTCCAGTGCGTAACCCTTCTCTCCCAGTGACTCGCAGCTGCCTGCCTCAGAAATTTTACACAATCACCCAGGAGCATGCAACCTGCTCTCTTCTGCATGATAGTTAATAGATGCAAATCCATGATTAATATTTTCCTCCACTGATTCTGATTTCATTCTGTTAGTGATTATACTGATGGCAACAGTTGAGGGGATTAAAAATCCTGTTTAATTCGCGTTAGTTTTTTTTTTTTTTAACTTTGCTGATAAATGTTAAATGTCAAGTGCTTTGGTGTCTTCCACAAGATGCAGAGGCCAAATGAGGAGGCCAACAGAAGTAGCAGGAGCTCAGAAACAGCTCAGAGAAAGTCGTAACTTAACCAGATGACCCATATTCCACATAGCTAATGAAAACAGAGCACATAAGCTTGCCCAGTGGCTCCCGAGGTCCTAATATCAACTGCATCTTTTCCATTTAATGATCCTCAATAATGAAGGCACTGGGGAAACCTTGCAATTTAAAGAAATGCCTTAGGGAGCCCTGTTGTAAGGCAAATACTTGGCCCTTGGTTGATCTCTTTGTAAGTCTAGTGTGCATTTTTAAGCCTGAGAAAAGCAATACAGATATATAGCATCCACAGTTTTCTCACTTCTATACCCCTTCCTTCCCACCCCAAATCCTATTTTCTATCCCTCAATACACAGGGAAAGCTCCTTGAGAAGCCAGGTCAGCCGAATCCCTTACACACTTCCAAATTCCCCACTCTGTAGGTGGTGGTATTGAGGGTGGAAATGGCAAATGGGAACCTGAGAAATTAGGACTTTTGTTTGTGTTTTTTAGTTTGCCCACGAATCCAGGGTACTGCTCCTATCAATCTCCTAGAGAAAAGATGAGTTAGGAGGAACGCATGCTCAGAAATTCAGCCTTGGTGGGAGTGGGAGTGGGGAGAGTGGATCTGAATGAGTGAAATGCCAATTCACTTTCCCTGCCTCCTGCGTGGCCCCCTCCTCCTGCCTCTGGCCCAGCCCTGCTAGTTTGCCAACTCATTCTCTGTATCCATGGCTTGGGGGGGACACAGGCAGCCAGTCACTAATGACACAGCCAGTTGAAGGGTGAAGTGATTCCACCAGTTGTCACTAACAAAGCTCTGAGGCTAAAATCCAGGTCATCAGGTCTTTACCCCTCCCCAGGGTTGAGGATCTCCCCTTTCCCCACACACCAGGAGCGCTTTGTCTGTAGCTCTCCCTCCCCGACCCCAGTATTAGCATGGATTTCTTTTCTTCGTATTTAGTATCACAATTAATTGTATACAGCATCTGGCCTGTATGGAGAGTCCCTAGAGCAAAAAAGTGTGCTTGTTCCTCTTGTCCCTGATTTCTTTTTTTTTTCTTTTTTTTTTTTTTTTGAGACAACATCTTGCTCTGTCACCAGGCTGGAGTGCAGTGTCGTGATCTCTGTTCACTGAAACCTCCGCCTCCCGAGTTCAGGCAATTCTCCTGCCTCAGCCTCCTGAGTAGCTGGGACTACAGGCACCCACCACCACGCCCGGCTAATTTTTGTATTTTTAGTAGAGACGGGGCTTCACTCTGTTGGACGGGGTGGTCTCGATCTACTGACCTTGTGAACCGCCCACCTCAGCCTCCCAAAATGCTGGGGTTACAGGCGTGAGCCACCATGCCCGGCCTCTTGTCCCTAATTTCTGTGCAACCCCATCATCGTCTTTTGTCATTTGGACTTTTTGCAGTGCACAACACAATCACCTGAATAGATTAAACAAACAAATATGATCAGACTTCATCCCAAGCAAGAATCTCCCCTGGTCAGACTAGGCACCATTCTTGCCGACACCTCCCAAGGTGATTCTGATGTAACCTCTAGATTAAGAACTTCTGCCATAGGAGTTTGTTGTGCTCAGAAAAGGGGAGAGAAGAGGGAGACACAGAGGTAAAAAAGAAGATGCATAAATTAACTAGATTGGAGTTACTCCATCTCTGCTTGGTCCTGACTTTAACTCATGTAGCTGTCCTTGATCAGGTACAAGATTTGCTTCCTCTCTTGCCCCTTGATCACCTGTTCTCTACAAAGCTCAGAGAATGCCTTTTAAGACACAAATTGGGAGTATGTCATTGCCCTGCTTAAACCCACGCAGTGGTTTCCATTCTACTTAGAATAAAATATTCCTGACCACAGCATGCAGAGCTCCTCTTAGCTCATGCCTGCCTGTGTCTTCAACTTCTTTGCATGTCTCTGGCTCCCTTTTCCTACTATGCTCCAACCACACCAGCCTTGTCATTGTGGAATCTGCTGTTCCTTATGATCCTAGAGAATTTGTCTTAGAAGATTCTGCCCCGGTTATTCCCAAACATTGGTTCCTTCTTTTTATTTATTTATTTTTTATTTGAGACAGGGTCTATTTCTGTCTCCCAGGCTGGAGTGCAGTGGTGCAATCTCGGCTCACTGCAACCTCCACTTCCTGGGTTCAGGCAATTCTCATGCCTCAGCCTCCCAAGTAACTGGGATTACAGGTGCGTGACACCACACCTGGCTAATTTTTGTATTTTCAGTAGAGACGGGGTTTCACCATGTTGGCCAGGCTGCTCTCCAACTCCTGACCTCGGGTGATCCACCTGCCTCGGCCTCCCAAAGTGCTGGGATTACAGACATGAGCCACCGCACCCAGCCGGTTCCTTCTTGTATTTCCCATATCAGGCCAAATGTCACCTTCTCAAATAGACCCTCCTTGACCTACTAAGCTAAAGTAGCAAGCTCCTCACTCATACTGTCACATGACCCTGCTTTACTGCCTCCACAGTACTTCTCACTATCTGAAATTATCTTATTCATTTACCTGTTACTTGTCTATTACTATCTGCCTCCCACCTGCTAAAAGGCAAGCTCTGGAGATCAGAGATCTTATTTGTCATGTCCATTGTTCTATTCTATTTGGTGCGTTGCAATGCCTGGCACATGGTAGGGGCTCAATAAAATGTTTGTTAAATGAATGATTTATGTCATTCTTATTGGTGAATGTGCTCTACTTTCTAATAATTCATTCAATAATAGTTCTAGGAACTTGTAGCAAAGAGTAGAAATTTTTCATATTTAAATTGCAAAAGCGAAGAAATGTAATTTTACTAATTTCAAGGATATGCTTTGTTAACCAAAATTTCTAAGTAGAAGTTCTAACTGCGTTACTTTAATTAGTAGACAAACCTATCTATAATTAGTACATCAATTATATGCAAATGAAACTGCCAATATCCTTGAATATGTTTTGTCCCCTTAAGCAGTTGCAACATTCTCCACCTTCACCATGTAATTTTGTTTACAAGACTATTTTGTTTACTAGTCTCTTAATTCATAAATAGTGTAAAAAATAAACATCAGTCTTGTACCAGCTGAATTATCACACATCCCAAATCACTGGAAACCCAGTTATTAAGTGGTGGAATCATCTCTGAATATGACAAGTGTAGATAGATTAGAGTAGTCACAAGCCTGAACTAGACTTGGGAAACATAAAGCTGTTTGGGGGCCATTATTTTATTCTTCCAATACCTTCTTTATTTACTTTTATTCACTTATTTATTTATTTATTTATTTTTGAGACGGAGTCTCACTCTGTCACCCAGGCTGGAGTGCAATGGCACAATCTTGGCTCACTGCAACCTCTGCCTCCCAGATTCAAGTAATTCTCCTGTCTCAGCCTCCCAAGTAGCTGGATTATAGGCGCACACCACCATGCCCAACTAATTTTTGTATTTTTAGTAGAGATGGGTTTTCGCCATGTTAGCCAGGCTGGTCTTGAACTCCTGACCTCAGGTGATCCACCAGTCTCGGCCTCCCAAAATGCTGGGATTACAGGTGTGAGCCACCGCGCCCGGCCCTAATTTTTGTATTTTTATTAGAGACAGGATTTCACCATGTTGGCCAGGCTGGTCTCGATCTCCTGACCTCAAGTAATCCACCTGCCCGGCCTCCCAAAATGCTGGGATTACAGTTGTGAGCCGCTGTGCCTGGCCCCAGCACCTTCTTTAGACATTGGTGATATCACTGAGAATGACTTCTTAAGCCACAGTCACTATAAAGAGTCAATCACCAAAGACGAGATAATCTTGTGTCACTGCAGTTGAAGATCAGCTCTCAACAACTGGTGCAAGCCTCCCAGCCCTTGAGAGCCAGGGATTAACTAAAGATAATCCTCAGAGCTTGCAGACTTTCAGACATAGTGGAGTGAGCAGTGGACAATAGAGGAATGTGATTTCCCAAAGAGGATCCAAATCAAGGGGGTCAGCAAAACATAAATATATCAAAGAGATGTTTGTACACCCATAGCAGCATTATTCACAATAGTCAAGAGGTGGAAGCAACCCAGGTGTCCATCCATGGATGAATGGATAAAAAAAAGTGTGGTCTATACATACAATGGAACATTATGCAGCCTTAAAAAGGAAAGAAATTCTGACACATGCTACCTCATGGATGAATTCTGATGACATTATGTGAAGTGAAATAAGGCAGTCACAAAAAGGGAAATGCTGTATAATTCCATTTATATGAGGTAGCTAAAGTAGTCAAATTCATGGCAACAGAAGGTAAAATGGTGGTTGCCAAGAGCTGGGGAAAAAGGGAAATAAGGAGTTGTTTAAGAGTTTTAGTCTTACAAGGTGAAAAATTTCTGGAGTTCCACTGCCCAACAATGTGAATATACTGAACACTACTAAACTTTGCACTTAGAAATGCACTTATATATACATACATAAAATTTATGTTATGTATATTTTACAGTTAGAAATTTAAAATATTGAAAACAACTACATGTTAGGGATAATTTTAAATATAAAGAAAAACAACTGTAACCAAAATTCATAGGATTAGTACTACTGTGTCCTGTCATAAAACTATTTAGACTTCCCAACACTCAAAAGAAATATTCACATATTTGATTCCTACCAATATTCTAGCTATGACAACTTTTCCCAACTTACTGGTTTGGTCACATAATTAATAGTGATTTTTCCCATTAGGGGTTCCAAAATGCTACTGGCTAAACTTAGAAATATGGTGCTGGTATTTAGTCTTTTGTCTCCAAGAAAATTCTTAATTTTAAAAAGCTCATTTTTTTTATTTTATTTTTTATTTTTATTATACCTTAAGTTTTAGGGTACATGTGCACAACGTACAGGTTTGTTACGTATGTATGCATGTGACATGTTGGTGTGCTGCACCCATTAACTCATCATTTAACATTAGGTATATCTCCTAATGCTGTCCCTCCCCCCTTCCCCCACCCCACAACAGGCCCCAGTGTGTGATGTTCCCCTTCCTGTGTCCATGTGTTCTCATTGTTCAATTCCCACCTATGAATGAGAATATGTGGTGTTTGGTTTTTTGTCCTTGCGATAGTTTGCTGAGAATGATGGTTTCCAGCTTCATCCATGTCCCCACAAAGGGCATGAACTCATCCTTTTTTATGGCTGCATAGTATTCCATGGTGTATATGTGCCACATTTTCTTAATCCAGTCTATCACTGTTGGACATTTGGGTTGGTTCCAAGTCTTTGCTATTGTGAATAGTGCCGCAATAAACATACGTGTGCATGTGTCCTCATAACAGCATGATTTATAATCCCTTGGGTATATACCCAGTAATGGGATTGCTGGGTCAAATGGTATTTCTAGTTCTAGATCCCTGAGGAATTGCCACACTGACTTCCACAAGGGTTGAACTAGTTTACAGTCCCACCAACAGTGTAAAAGTGTTCCTATTTCTCCACATCCTCTCCAGCACCTGTTGTTTCCTGACTTTTTAATGATCGCCATTCTAACTGGTGTGAGATGGTATCTCATTGTGGTTTCAATTTGCATTTCTCTGATGGCCAGTGATGATGAGCATTTTTTCATGTGTCTTTTGGCTGCATAAATGTCTTCTTTTGAGAAGTGTCTGTTCATATCCTTTGCCCACTTGTTCATGGGGTTGTTTGTTTTTTCCTTGTAAATTTGTTTAAGTTCTTTGTAGATTCTGGATATTAGCCCTTTGTCAGATGAGTAGATTGCAAAAATTTTCTCCCATCATTTTTAAATATAAAGATAAAATGGAATAACATTAAAACTTATGAAAAGAAAAGCTTACATGTCCATCATCTCTCTTCCTAACAATGATTTCCCATTTATAAATTTACCCTTCCAGTTCATTATTGTAGTCATTATATACATGCCATTTCACCTGTGTTTCTTTTGCTATTATACTATAGGTATTTTTCCACATATTATGTTTTTGTCAAAATTATTATTTTTAACGGCCATATAATATTCCATTGAGTTGATGACCATGATGAGCCTAGTCATTGGCTTATTTTTGAAGAGTCATTTCTGTTCTTCTAATACAGATAAAATAGTTTTGGATATTTAACCCATTCCTGATATACTTAGTGTTTTTCATGATTACTATTATAGACACAAACTATGAGAAACTCATAGAGCTGAAAGGGCTATGGGATCAATTATTCCTGTTCCTTAGTTGAGGAAGACTCTGAACCTATACACCAAACAGCACTCATCAGCCTAGTCAGATTTTCTTTGTGGCAAGTTTATGACCCCATGCGATGCTAAGTAGGCTATCAAAATGTGGATAGTTTTGCCTAAACCTTTTTGTGACATTCATTCAAATGGCAGCAATGACATATTTCTGTTTAAATCCCACATATAACAAATCCCACATATAACATTTGAGTACTTCAATGAATAAATTCCTCAAATTTCCTGAGTCCTAGGTAATTTTTGGAACCAGAGGATGGAGTTGAAGACCAGTGTTTACTTAGCTATTTATTTGTTTTAACATTAAAATCAGATTTCATTCATCTGTTATGAGGTTTTAGCTGATGCTCTTCCCCTCTGCCTGGTACACTTCCCTGCAGCCTCCTTCACCAAGACTGCTCCTACTCATCTTTTCCATCTCAACTCAAATGTCACTCCCTTAGGAAAGCTTTCCCTGACACTTCCTCTCCAACTAGGTCAGTTCCCTCAAGATATGTTCTGATAGTTTCCTGAACTTTCCCTTCATTGCGTTTATCAGTCCCTAATTATATATACTCAGGCAAGTATCTGACATTTGTCTCTCCCTCTAGGTGTAACCTCTATGAGCCAGAGGCTGGGTCTGTTTTGCTCACTGTATCCCAGTCAGTATCTAGCAGATAGTACATAATAATATTTGTTGACTGAATTAAATGTCATCAGGGACAGTCAGGAACCAATAGGTTAAGAAAGGGGGAGAGGCCGAGCGCAGTGGCTCACGCCTGTAATCACAGCACTTTGGGAGGCTGAGGCAGGTGGATCACCTGAGGTCAGGAATTGGAGACCAGCCTAGCCAACATGGCACACACACACACACACACAAAACTAGGCATGGTGGTGCGTGCCTGTAATCCCACCTACTCGGGAGTCTGAGGCAGGAGAATTGCTTGAACCTGGGAGGTGGAGGTTGCAGTGAGCCAAGATCACCCCACTGCACTCCAGCCTGGGTGACAGAGCGAGACTGTGTCTCAAAAAAAAAAAAAAAAAAAAGGAAAAATGATAGAAAAAAGAAAGGATGAGAGAAGAGCAACCAAAAGACAGGGGTTGTCTATCTTAGCATAGTCATCTACTCCACATTCAGGAAAAACATTGTGACAATTTTAACAATCCATAAATCAAAGATTCCACCATAACTTTTCTTTCTGAAAGTAGTCTGGAACTGTCTCCAGTTACTCCTCCCTTCCCTTCTTTCATAATATGTAGGTGCATAAAGCACCTGTCCACTTCTGCTTCACATTTATTTGTTATGTCTTATCTTTTATTATAAGATTGTACTTTTAGAAAACAAGGCTTACTTCTTCCTTACATCCTATTTGCATGGCCAGCACTTAGGAGATCATATATAGTCAATAAATGTTAGCTCTTCTTACCTAAAATTCATATGGAATGTCAAGAGACCCCAGATAACCAAAACAATCTTGGAAAAGGACAAACTTAGAGATCTCACACTTCCTGATTTCAAAACCTACTGCAAAGCTACAGTAATCAAAATAATGTGGTACTGGCATAAAGATAGACATATTAGCCAAGGGAATAGACAGCCCAGAAATAAACCCTCACTTATATTGTCAAATGATTTTCAGCAAGGGCATCAAGACCATTCAATGGGAAAAGAACAGTTTTTTCAACAAATGATTGTGAGTATCTTGCTTTGGATATCTGCATACAAGAAAATGAAGTTGGACCATTACTTTACATCATATACAAAAATTAACTCAAAATGGACCCAAAACCTAAATGTAAGGGCTAAAACTATGAAACTCTTAGAAAAAAAAACACAGGGGAAAAGCTTTATGACATAAGCTATGGCAATTATTTCTTCACTATGATGCTGAAGCACAGGCAACAAAAGAAAATGTAAATAAATTGACCTTCATCAAAATGTAAAACTTCTGTGCATGAAAGGACACAACCAATAGAGTAAAACGATAACACACAGAATGGGAAAAAATATTTGCAAATTATATTTCTGATAAGGAGTTACTATCCAGAATATATAACTAAACCACAACCAAAAACCCAACCTGATTAAAAAATGGGCAAAGGATTTGACTAAACATTTCTCTAAAGAAGATACACAAATGGTCAATAAGCACATGAAAGGATGCTCAACATCACTAATCATTAGAGAGATGCAAATCAAAACCACACTAAGATACCACCTCACACACATTAGAATAGTGACTGTCAAAAAATTCCAGAAAATAACAAGTGCTGGTGAGGATGTGGAGAGAATTTGCCCTGTTGGTGGAAATGTAAAATGATGAAGCTGCTATAGAAAACAATATACTGGTTCCTCAGAAAATTTAACAGGAATTATCATGTGATCAGTAATTCTACTTCTGGGTATATACACAAAAGAATTGAAAGCAGGGTCTTGCACATATATCTGTACATCCATATTCACAGCAGCATGATTCTCGGTAGCCAAAAAGTGGAAGCAACTCAAGTGTCCATTGACAGATGAATGCATAAGCAACATGTGGTATATATACATACAATGGAACATGAGTTAGTCTTAAAAAGGAAGGCGATTCTGATACATGCTACAACATGGATGAACCTTGAGGGCATTCGCCAAGTGAAATAAGGCAGTCACAAAAGGAAAAATACTGTATAATTCCTCATATTCCACTTATATGAGGCATCTCGAGTCGTCAAATTTATAGACAGAAAATGAATGGTAGTTGCCAGGAGCTGAGGATAGGGAGAAATGGGAAGGTGTTTAATGGATACAGTTTCAGTTTTGCAAGATGAAAGGAGTTCTAAGGTAGTGGTGACGTTTGCACGACATTGTGAACATAATACCACTAAACTGTATATTTAAAATGGTTAAGATGATAAATTTTGTTGTGTGTATTTTATCCCAATCTAAAAAAGTATCAGTTCCTTCTCTATTAATTTCTATGATGAAACCTCTCAGAGCCCGGAATGGCCCCTTGCATCTAGCATGCATCAATAAATGCGTAAGCGGACGGATGACCAGATCCAGAGTTGGAAGTTACCTTTGGTGAAACCCTCTACCCAGCCTGAATCCTTCCAGGTTGTAGGACACTCACTACCTCTCAAAGCATGTCATTTCTTCTTCATTAGAAAATTCTTCTTCATGCCACCTTTAAGCTGAAATATGACTTCCCTGTAATATTTCCCCTTCCTCGGTGATCATAGCTCTGCCTTCCAGGCCCAGAAAGAACAGGTCAAATTTCTACCTCATCTGACCACCTTCATGCAATAAAAGACAGAGCTCTGTGCACTTGGAGAGTTAAAGCCTCACCCCAAATGCATCTTCCCGGCAGAGAGACAGTCCTTTTGCAGTTAAATCACACTGAAAATCCTCAAGAGGAATATCTGTTTCTGGTTCATTCCAGAGATGCACTAAATGGCAAGAACATGGAGGCAACACATGGACCCGATGGAGTCTCCTTGTGGGAGGGGACTCCCATCTTTGAAGAACAAGAACTATTTATCTAGGAATAGAGAAATCTCTGAGTGAGACACCACCTGTCTTGAAGATGATTCTATGGCAGAGGAAGCCTTGTTTTGGGTCTAAGTCCATAGTATATACGTTACAGCAAAGCAGATTTCAACTCAATTATTTAAAAAAGACTGTAGAACTGCAAGTGCATAAAAACTCATAGAATAGTAGTAACTGTAGGAATCATTACTATTAGGCCCCAGCTTGAACTTCATTGCCCCTTTGAATTCAGGAAATAAATAAGCACATGTACACATACGCACACCCCATATGTCACACCAGGCATTGTGGCGCCATCCATGACTGACACTAAACATTCTAGAAGTATTTCTGTTTTCATGCAGATACACACAGCACAGCTAGTTTCAAAATTAAACCACAATGAAAACTGTCACTACTGACAAGGAACTATGCAAAGACCTTCGGTCTCAGGCCCTTGCTCACTCAGGAGTACCTTGAGACCTGTTTCTTCCTGTTCAGCTGCAGTCACGGTTCTAACCTGGTTCTTCTCACGGCTGGTATCCTCTGACCTTTTATGTCTTGGCAATGACTTCCATGCATTTTGGCAGTGACTGCCTGAATCTCTGATTCAACCCTGATCGCAGCCTCTCGGGCTTTCTCGCTCCTTTAATTCTTTCCGCGGATGGCCACGGCTTTTGCCGCCTGTACCCTTCCTGGAGCAACCCGTGCTTTTGAAAAATGACCATGCCGAAGGGGAACTAACACTCCCAGCCTGGTGCGGGTCTTGTCAATCTGATTTTTAAATGATGGAGGAGGAGGTTTGAGGACAAAGCTCATGGTGGCATTACCACTATCAGGGACGCTGCAAAGATCAAGTGAAAAGGGGAAAAGGCTCTTCTCAATGTGAGCACATTCACAGGCTCTGAGAACAGAGAGGTATTTAAAGTGAACTGGAACAAACCTGCAACATCCGGTGCGTTCTGCCTTCAAAAATAGCTGCCAGTTAGAAAGGGTTATTTACATATTGATTTCATGCTAACTTTGTAATGGAATGTGCTGCCTGCCTGCCTGCCTGAGACCTAACAACTGTCATCATAATTTTTTCTAAAAATACAGTCAGAGAAAAACACTCATTGAACCCTCCACTGGAAAGTAGCTGCAAAAGACCCCCTGATCCCAAACCTGCTTGACAGACCACAGCCAAGGGCAGGGACACTCAACAACTGTAAACGAGGAACATTTCACAGCGGCAGCTGGCCCCTCTCTTCTTCCAACCAGCCAATATTTTTTGTCTTTCTAGAAAACCTGTCTTGTTCAAAGGTAAGAGTGCTGGGGAGTGGGGGGATGCCTCCCTGGAGCAGAGCAGCCTTTGTAGAAACTCCAGCTGGCCTCTCTTCAGAAATAATGGATGGAAAAGGGGCCCGAGTGGCCCACCAGCACCAGCGCTCCACCCTGGGCGCATTTCTGCCACGGTTTCTCCTGGCATCTCTCTACCAAGGATCCCCACTTCTCGCCCCTCCTAATAGCCAGCTTCTAGTGATTCTCACTTGGACTTTTTCCGAACCCATCCCCAACTCACCCCACCCCCACCCCCAGGTTTGTCTCTGTGGATCCCACAGAGCTGAGCCCAGGCAGTTCTGTCGTCGTTCCCCAGTGCAATATTAGCAATTTAAATGCCTCTTTGCCAGGCCTGATGGAGCTGATTCGGTTGTGATCCTGGGCATATGGATGGCATATTTGCTGCGAGCTAGGTGAGACGCGTCCCAGAAGGACCGCTGCCAGCCCCCGCAGCCGCCTTCTCCTGCTCCCGGGAGGCTGGGGCTGGCCGCGGAGCAGCGAAACCGGCCGGATCCAGGGTAACTGCGGCCCACTTTGTTTTCAGCCGGCCCCCGCTGCTGCGGACAAATCTTTCATTCATGAACAGGAGCTTGTTAGGCCAACTCCGGACTCTAAAGCCACTTAATTAAATTGTGGAAAGTCGCTTGGTCCCGGTGGGAAATTTGCACACAAAGACCCGGGGTCCGCGCCCCCCCCACCCAGGAGCGCCGCCACAAAACCGGGCCTGGCCTCCCCCCGGCCCGCGCCCCTGCCCCTCCGCTCCCCGCGCCCTCTCCACCGCCGCAGCCGCAGCGAAAGCGGCGCCCCCTCATTAGAGGGCGTTTGTTAGGGAATGTTTTCCCAGCGATTCACTGACGGGCCTTTCATTCCTCCCTCCGCAATCAAGGGCGGCAAGTGCAGCCTGAGAGCCCTCCACGGCCTGATTGCTGAAAGAATTTCCAAAAGGAAAGAGTGTAAACAGGTACATTGAAAAAGCCTCTTTTCAACAATTATGTAAACATTCCAAACACTATTTGAAAACTTTCACAGTGGAACTGTCAAGTCGGAGCATTCTTGTTTAATTGCGCGGGCACAATGGTGGCTCTGGGGCTACCCCAGCCTCCCCCAGACCCCGCAGAGCTTAGCGGGACGTGGGAGGCCCTCAGATAAAGAAGTCACAGCGAGACAAGTGAGCTTTACTCTCCGGCCCACGGCATCTTTCCGTGTGTGTCCTTGTTCCCTTGGCCTCCAGAAGAACACCCTGGAAACAGGGAGGCGCCTTCTTTCTCCTGACTGGATTTCTCCAGGACCTGGGCCCCTGCTCTGCACAGAGGGTCGCTTGGTAATCAGGATGCAACTAGATGGAAACTTCTGTGTCATTTAAGGGTTTTCTCCAAAGCACCAAATGACCATTCTGAGATACCAGGCAAAATTGTTGGCAACGTTTTCCCTCCCCTTTAGAATGTTTCTCGCTGGCCTCTCCGGCCTCTCCTTTTCTGACTCTAGTTTGCTACTGGGCAAAAGTTTCCTCCTTTTCCATGCAGCTCAGAGTCTCCTGATTCACTAACTCAACTACCAGTGACCCTGATTACATTACTAGAAGTTGGAAGAGTTTAGGCCACACATGCAAACCGCTTAATCTCGTATTTCATGGAAACACCGAGGTACTCAGATCACTTTTATACATATTTTTCTCTGAATCTGTTTAGCCCGTCTCCAGTCATTAGCCTGGTCCAGGTCTGGCCAGCCTGTAACCACCAAGGCTTGCAGGTTGCATCTGAATAGGAACCGTGGTTGTGACAAGTGGGATGTGATTTGTTTTCGTTTTTGTTTTTTTAAAACTCTATTTTCTTAAAAGCTGGGGAGGGGGCAGTCCAAATGTTCAACAGGAAGGGACTGGCATATCAACACAATGAAGTCTTACAAATGTGGAATATGAAGGCCATGTAGAGATATGGAAAATATTTATGCAACAACATACAAAATGAAGCCACAAAATCATATTTCCACTGTACTGGCAAATGCAAGAAAACATGTCTGTATGTGGCAAAGGGCTAGAAAGGACATACCAGAATGAAAATACTTGTTCTGGGGAATGGGGGTACCAGCACGTTTTACTTCCCAAGCATATATCTTTAATGTTATCACATTGTGTTATCAAGGCAAGGTCTGGGAATGCTGGAAAGCACCCGTGTACATACAGGGTTGCACTTAAAAGGCCACCCCAGTAGCCTGCAGGGAGAAGTACACACCAGCCCACAGCACTCTGCATCCCTACCAAGGATGTAGATCAGAGCTTCCAGGTAAATTCCTCAGGTCTAAAGAGGAGCTAAAACTTGCTTGCTTGCTGAGTCCCCAGGAGGCAGACACAGAATCAAAACTACAAGATAAATCAGATATGTGTTTTGTAGAAATGGTTATGCTCAACAGGGTTACTGGCAGAGCAGGGGCCAGAGAGAAAATCACTTCTCTCCATCCCAGGGGGGCCACTGAACACAGTAGAGGCTCAAAGAGTGAATGTGTCTATCTCCTAGGCTTATTCCATTTGACTAAAGTCAGCACTTATTATGCATCTACTCTGTGCCAGGGTCTGTTCTACAGGCTGGCCCTGTGAGGCCACAGAGTAATTTTAATCCCAACAAGTTAATTCATAATGAAGTGTAGAACCAACATCTTTAAAAATGTATGTGAGTTAATTGAATTTTGACAAGGGTGCCAAGACAACTCAATGGAGGAAAGAAGAGACTTTTCAACGAATGACACTGGGATAAGTGGATAGCCATGTAAAAAAGAATGCTTTTGGACCCATACCTCACACCATATACAAAAATACCTCAAAATAGATCCAAGGCATAAATGTAAGAGCTAAAGCTACAAAACTCTTAGAAGAAAACAGATGCAAACCATTATGACCTTAGAGTAGGCAATGGTTTATTAGATAAGACACCACAAAGCATAAACAACAAAAGAAAAAATAGGTAAATTAGACTTGACCAAAATTTGAAATTTTGTACTTCAAAGGACACTATCAAGAAAGTAAAAAGACAACTCATGGAATAGGCAAAACTATCTGCAAATCATACATCTGGTAAGATTATTCAGGATATATAAAGAACCCTTACAATGCAACAATAAAAGACAAATAACCCAATTAAATAATGAGCAAATAATTTGAATAGATATTTATTCAATGGAGATAAACAAATGGACAATAAGCAAATAAAGAGATGCTCAAAATAATTAGTTATTAAAGAAATGCAAATAAAAACCACAGTGAGATACCACTTCGACCCACTAGTATAGCTATAATCAAAAAGACAATGAAAAATGTTGGTGAGGATATGGAGAAATTGGAACTCTCATACATTGCTGATGGAGATGTAAAATGGTATAGCCATTATGGAAAACAGTTCAACAGTTTCTCAAAAAGTTAAAAACACAGTTAGCCTATGACCTGGCAATTGCAACCAAGATAATTGAAAACATATGTCCACACAAAAACTTGTACATAAATGTTCACAGTGGCATTATTCATAATAGCCAAGAATTATAAACAACCTAAATGTCCATCAACTAATCAACTGATAAACAAAATGTGTAATATCCATACAATGGAACATTATTCAGCCATTAAAAGGAGTGAAGTACTGATTCATGCTGCAAGCAAGACACACACAAAAAAGCCACACATTGTAGCATTTTATTTGTATGAAATGTCCAGAATGCAAATCCATAGAGCCAAAGTAGATTAGTGGCTGCCAGGGGCTGGGGAGAAGGGGAAAAGGAAAGTGATTACAAAAGGTTACAGGGTTTCTTTTGTGAGTGGGAAGAATACTCTGAAATTAGATAGTAGTGATGGTTGTACAACCCTGTGACTATACCTAAAACCACTGAATTGTACACTTTAAAAGGTATATTAGTCTGCTTTTACACTGCTGATAAAGACATACCTGAGACTGGGCAATTTACAAAAGAAAGAGGTTTAGTTGACTTACAGTTTCACGTGGCTGAGGAGGCCTCACAATCATGGCAGAAAGTAAGGAGGAGCAAGTCACATCTTACATGGATAGCAGCAGGCAAAGAGAGAGCTTGTGCAGAGAAACTCCCATTTTTAAAACCATCAGATCTTGTGAGACTCATTCACTATCACCAGGACAGCATGGGAAAGACTTGCCCCCACAATTCAGTGATTCATTCATCTCCCACCGGCTCCCTCCCACAACACATGGGAGTTATGGGAGCTAAAAGATGAGATTTGGATAAGGACACAGAGCCAAACCATATCAAGGGGATAAATTTTATGGTATGAGATATACTTCAGTTTTGTTTTGAAAGGTTCTGCAAACTATAAAGCACCACCTACAATACAATTTCTGTAGCAGGAGCAAGGGGTATTACATGAAGTCCAGAATGCTCATCTGCCTAATTAATTCCCGAGACCCTTCTCAGTCTTCATGGCAGTATGTCACCAGGATAAGCTGGCAGTATGTCACCAGGATAAGCTGGCCATGGTGGGTGGTCTGTGCCAGGCCTTGGGAGCCTAACTGGGGCTTCTGTGTACCCCTGGGCCTCCAGAAGGAACTGGGGCACATGAATTCTGGATCTGCTGAGCCCCACTAGGATGGGAGAATGAAGACATTACAAATAAGCCTGCCTAGAAAAGCCCACACAGACTGGAAGTCTGAAGACATGGAGTCCAAAGCAGAGGGCTTGGGCTAGAATTCCAGGAACAGAGACTCAGCAAGTGATCCTGAGCAGAGACCATCCCTCCTTTAGTTCCCCCAATTTCTTTCATCAGGTTAGTCCAGATTGTGCCTTGAGACTCCTTTTTTTTTTTTTCTTTTTTGAAACAGAGCCTTGTTCTGTCGCCCAGGCTGGAATGCAGTGGCTCAGTCTCGGCTCACTGCAACCTCTCCCTCCTGGGTTCAAGTGATTCTCGTGCCTCAGCCTCTCATGTAGCTGGGATTACAGGCACCCGCCACCACACCTGGCTGATTTCTGTATTTTTAGTAGAGACGGGGGTTTCACCATGTTGCCTGGCTGGTCTTGAACTCCTGACCTCAAGAGATCCACCTGCCTCAGCCTCCCAAAGTGCTGGGATTACAGGTGTGAGCCACCGTGCCTGGCCTGTGCCTTGAGGTTCTGATGAGAGACTCTTCCTCTCATTCTGTGGCTCTGCAACAGCAACCAAAGTGGGTAGGGTCCCTAGATCCCAAGCACAGCCCTGCTAGAGGAGAGGCTCTTTGTTTCCCTGGGACAGGCCTGCTGCAGTGACTGGTTTGGGGCCCCAGGAGCGGCCCTGGTTTCAGACTGCTTCCAGGCCATGGGTCCACCCATGCCCTACTGGCTTCCCGAGCCACATCCCTGGATTCTACCTCAGGTTTTGAACCTGATTCTCTACATGAGCCTGATTTTGAACCTCTGGTTCTCTGTATGAACTGCTTACTGTGGAGCTGCAACCAGAATCTAGCCTACACTTCAGATCACTCCAGAAGTCCCATCTGTTTTTGGCCATAGTCTTCCGAACTCTGGCCTAGCCTGACCAGAGTGGCTGGTACCCAATGCTTGGAGGGTGCCTGGGCTCCAGCTCATCCCTACATGAAGATAACCTGAGCTACAGTCTATGTCAACTGGCCTGAGGCTATATCTCCGACCTCCTTCTCGGTATTCCCACCTTCCTTCATCCCACTCTGACAACACTGGCCTCCTTGTGTGTTTTTAAATAGGTCAAGGGGGTCCCATTTCAGGGCTGGAACAGTCCCCTCCCTAGTCCCATGGCTGGCTCCCTCACTTCATTTAGTTCTTTGCTCACATATAACCTCTTTGCAGAAATTGTCTCTTACCACCCTTATAAAATAGCACCCCTGTCACATTCTGTCCCTGTATCCTGCTTTACTTTTCCTTCTTTATGTGCTTTTGGTCTGTAACCCTCCCAGAACAGAAGCTCCATGAGGACTGGACTTTGTTTTGTCCACTGCTGTATCCTCAGCACCTAAGAGTGCCTGGCACCTAGCTGACACTGGATACATATCTGCTAATAAATGAATGAATGAATGAACGAGCAAAGGAATGAACAAGTGAATATTTTGTCTCATTGGAAGCTAACAACTAACGGTGAGAATGACATATTATGGCCTTTCTCTGACTCTGAGAAATTGAAAGCACAAGAACAATAAATGACTTTCCTATATTTGCAAAGAGTTGGGGTGAAAAAGGAACTTGGAGAGGGTGGGCCTTGGTGCCCACTCCATGATTGCGAAGCCATCCTTCCTACTCTGTGTGAAATACCCTGTTTGGAGACATCCTGTATGGTTTACAGAAGAACAGCAGAGCCCATGAGGCTAGCCCAGGGCTGGAGCAGGAGCAGGATCTAAAGAGCTAACAGAGCTTCCACAGGGAGGAGCTCAAAAGAGTCTCAGCACCTGCCTGAGCAAACGGTCCAGGGTATGCCTTCCATCAAGCAAGCCCTCAGAGGCAGACTGCTGTGAACACATCTGGGACCATGCTCTACCTTGCTGGTCCTTGAGCAGGTCAAAGAGTCTTTGGAAATTCGAGAGCATGAATCCAGAACACCTATGTCCTAGGTCTAGCCCCACCACCCCTCACACTTAGGACAATAGGACAAGGACGTCTGTGCTGACTACCTTAGAAAGGGAACTAAAAAACCTACGTAACATGTTTCAAACAATAGGTCACACGGATGGGCCCCTGCCTTCATTTGGAGAAGTGAGGTGGTGCTGTGAAAACAGCACTGGGTTCGGAGATTTTTGTTGAAGTTCCAATTCTCATCACTTGCAAGCTCTGTGAGGGACAAGGCTCGTAACTCTTCTGAACCTTTATTTTCTCAACCATTAAATTCTCAACTAATAAACCTCACCTCACAGGGATGCTGTGAGGATTTCAGGAACTGAAATTTCGTAGTCAGCTGATGGTCAATGTGATCTGTTGGAGTGTGATATGTTTTGTGCACCTGATGAGCTTAGGAATTCACATGAATAATAAGAGAAGAAGGAAACTAACCAATCAAAACAGAACACTCTCTGTGCCTCAATTTTCTCTTCTGCAAAGTGGGAGTAATAGAGCCTATCACACAAGATAGTTGTAAAATGCAACATATATAAAAAGCATGAGATATATATATATATATATATATATATATATATGGTGCATAGTAAGCTCTTAGTAGAAGTTAGCTATCACTGTTGTTGCTATTATTAGGACTGTCATGTACCAGCATTATATTCTATAAATAATAAAATATCAACAATGAGATATTGACACATGAGCCTCTGCTCGGGCAATGTCGATTATCCATTCCCCATCTACTCTCCATCCCAGGGGGCCTGTCAGGAGGGAATGGCTGATTCGACATTTTAGCTCCTTCCCTGAACATCTCAACCAAAAACTGGTTTAGTTTCTATATGTAAAAAGCGTTTAAGGCATAAAACATTATATTGCCTTTCCATGACAAGAAAAGTTTGCTGATTTACATCTCTGTGTGAATCAGTAAGGAAATAGGAAGCCGTGAAATAATTGGTTTAATAAAAATTAACTGCTCATGAGGTGTCCAACCTAGTAATTCCAATAATCTTTGGAGGAAAGGACAAATGCCTGCACCCACAGGTTGCTTATAACTATAGAAGAAGGACAGATGCATTCTCTGTGCATCAGAAGACAAAGCTAGGGTCAGGCCTGCAGATTAAAAAAAAAAAAAAAAGGCAGATTGCAGTTCAATATTAAAAAGCACTTCCTACCAAAATAGCTGGCTGGAATTGTAATGGCCTGACTCAGGAGGAAGGGTGTTCCCTGTCACTGGATGTGATGAAGTGGAGACTTCTGCTGCAGAGGAGATGAATACATTGGATAAAGGTCTGAGTTACATTACTTTTAAGGTTCCTTCCAATTCTAAGATTCTGTGGCTCTCTACATACATAAATTACCTACAAAGGAGAGAAGAAAGCCACACTGGTCTGAATCTCAGATCATGATTATATGCACAGAAAACTAAAGGTGTTCAATGGTTACTTTTGCCCACTTCCATTGCACCAGCCAAAGGAATATAAGGACTTCTTTCCTTCCCCCTCCAATTGAGGGATCAAAGCTTTGTCCCTCCCCGACAGGAGGCCTTCTGTCACCAACACACTCCCTGCAGATGAGGAATACTTAGAGGGCCATGGTTCTGCTGCTCAGCCCAGCTCAGCTGGGTACCACTTCATTCATTCCACAAATGCTTCTTGAGTATCTGTTTTTGTTTTTTGGTTTTTGTTTTTGGTTGTCATTGTTGTTGTTTTTCCAGATACTGTGCTGGGTGCTGGGGATACTGAGTCAAGTAAGATATGATCCCTGCCCTCAGAAAAACTACGGAATGATGGGACATCCATGAAAGTCAATTGGATGTCATACTACAGTGTAATTGAGGCAGATAAAAGGTGCTCTGAGGAGGGATGTCTAACCTGGACTGGAAAGGCTCCCTGGATGAGGTGACTCAGGCTGAATTTCAGAGGTACTGTTAACAGTTAGTTAGCTAGACCAGTGCTGTCCAGTAGAATCTTCTGTAGTGACGGCAATGTTCTATGATCTACTTACACAGTACCTAGTAGCCACGTGAGGTAACGGAGCACTTGAAATGTGGCTCATGCAACTGGGGAACTGAACTGTTCATTTTATTAAAGTTAAAATGTGTCTATATTGGACAGAATAGATAGGCAAAGGGTGAGAGAAGGCTGTTACAGATAGAGGACAGAGATCAGAAGTGTGCAAGGGCACAGCACCTGGAGGGCATGACGAGGCAGCCAGTGAGGGGCCAGAAGAAGGGGCCTGTGGGTCCATGGTGGGGGATGGGATCGAGACTGGTCAGCAGCCAGCTCCTGAAAGTCCTGGTGTGTGAAGCTAAAGAATTTGAACTTCCTGGCCGGGCGCGGTGGCTCATGCCTGTAATCCCAGCACTTTGGGAGGCCGAGGTGGGCGGATCACGAGGTCAGGAGATGGAGACCACGGTGAAACCCCATCTCTACTAAAAATACAAAAAATTAGCCGGGTGCAGTGGCGGGCGCCTGTAGTCCCAGCTACTCGGGAGGCTGAGGCAGGAGAATGGCATGAACCCGGGAGGCGGAGCTTGCAGTGAGCCGAGATTGCACCACTGCACTGCAGCCTGGGCAACAGAACGAGACTCCGTCTCAAAAAAAAAAAAAAAAAAAAAAAGATTTTGAACTTCCCATTTATCCTGAACTTCTTATTTTTTTTTTTCTCCTGGGCTCATGAAATCTGCCTGCCTCAGCCTCCCAAAGTGCTGGGATTACAGGTGTGAGCCACCAAGCCTGGCCCTAAGGTTTTAAGTAGAGAATGATAAAGTTACATTTGTGTTTTAGAAATATCACTGCAACAACAGTGTGGAGAATGGATTGTGGGAGAGGCCGTGGGCCAGGGGAGCAGCTTGGGGAGGCTGCTGAGAGCCGGAGCTGCTGAATGGCTGACAACAGAGCTAAGCAGGGGCAGTGGGAAAGAAAAGGATGAGGGCCCCAATCTGATCTGACTCAGGACTTCTATTGCTGATCAGACCTACTGATGGGGGGAGGACACAGCTGGGATGAGATCCCACCCAGGTTCCTGGCGTAGAGGGCAGGTGGATGCCATGGCATGGAATTCCCAGGGAGGGGGATTGTGGGCAGAGCCACTAAGGGCATGTGTATTGAGTCAACAGAAGAGAGCATGAAATGGAACCCTGGAGAAGGGAGACATTTAAAAGGTGGACCAAGAAAACAAGTCCACGAAGGATACAGAAAAAAAAAAAATCAGAGAGGCAAAAAGAAATCCAGAAGATGAGTGTCACGGAAACAGAGAAGACAGAGTTTCTAGGCAGGAGTAGTCAAGAGTGTCAAATGCCATATGAGCATTAAAAGGGTGACAGTGAACTTAGCAATTAGGAGGTGAGGGTGGGGTGGGAGCAAATTTAGTGGAGCACTGGGGGTCTTAACACCGATCTGGATTTGACAGTTGAGACCTGTTTCTTCCTGAGATCGTCTGCTCCCTGGAGACATAGGGCCCAGTGGCTTTTAAACTTTTTTGAGTCACAAATGCCTTTGACAATCTAATGAAAGCTATGTCTCCTGTCTCCAGGGAAATTCACCCACAAATAAAATGTTGTATTTCATTTCAAGGATCCCCTAAAGCTCATCCACTGACCCCCTGGTTTTAAAAAAGTCAAAATTACTTAGTTTCTATTTGCTGAGTTCTGGCTGCAGAGATCTGAATTCTAACCAAATCGTCTGCTTCCTGGGAATCTAAATCTAGACAGAAATCTTCCATTCCTCCATCTCCTGGGGCCCTCTAGCCTCAGCTCCAGCCTGGTTCATTCACATTTCCAGGCTTATTGTCCTGCTTCCTGTCAATCAACTCTAAATCATTACGCAAATTAACATCTCTAAAGCCCACCTCAGCAGCCTCTGCCTGGAGATGTGTAACTAGTGTTTCCCAGGGTCCAGCCTGGGGTACAAAGGGGTCACAAAAGCAGTTATAGAACTGGGAGAACCGCCTGCCGCCCCTGCACAATGCCAGCGGGTGGAGCAGGGCTTTGCTCTGACATCTGAGGGCTTGTAGCCCAGGAACGTTTGTCACTGTCCCTTCCCACCAAACATCTTGGTTCACAGGTCTCTTTTGGCCCTCTCTTCCAGTTTTTGAACATACCTAGGTATAAATGAATTCGCTGAAGTTTCAAAGCTTGTTCCCAGTTTAGGGGATACCCCCAGAAGAAAGGTAAAATCAATGTGTTTTTTTTCAGAAGAAAAGAGGGAGAATGGGTGGAGATATAGAAAGAAGGGAAGAAGGCAGGCAGGCAGGCAGGAGGAAGGGAAGAAGGAAGGGAGGGAGGGAGGGAGGAAAGAAGGAAGGAAAGAAGGAAGGAAGGAAGGAAGGAAGGGAGGAAGGAGAGGTCATCTTGTTGCTAAATCTTGGATTCTTAAATCAACCTTAGCTGTAAAACCTTTACAGAGTAAAGTTGCCAAAATCCCACTCACAATTCTGCTATTACTACAACTAATGATAATAACAGCCACAACCTCACATGTTACTGTTCTGTTATTTTTTAATAAAAAATGTATACAGTTAAGGTGTACAATGAGATGTTTGATATACATACACATAGTGGAATGATTACTGCAGTTAAGCAAATTAACATATCCATCTCCTCACATAGTTACTGCGTGTGCGTGCACACTTGCACGCGTGTGGGTGGTGAGAGCACCTGAAATCTACTGTCATTGAATTTCCAGTATCCAGCACAGTATTATTAAGTACAGTCATCATGCTGTGCATCAGCTCTTTAGACATTCATCCTACATAACTACAACTTTGTACCTTTTGACCAATCTCTCCCCATCTCCTCACCTCCCTGCCCCTGGTAACCATGGTTCTCCTACCTCCTGGACAGAAGAGAGTCCCCTAGCAGAACTAAAGTGAATGGCGATTCTAGTAAGCTTACAGTTGGCTACTTTTCCTGAAAGCTTGGGAAAGCCAGCAAACTCCCCCATAAATCCACCCTAAACAAATTCACACATGAATTCCAGAATGCTATCTGTTACAACTTACAGTTGCGTCAATACAGGATGGAGCTCCCCAGACGGTGCTGGCTGTTGAGTGCTGCAGCGAGTGCGATATTGGCCCTTTAGATTTCACAGACACCCTCTCCAAGTACAAACACACACTCACACACACACAGACACATGCGCGCGCCTACTCCATCGCGGGCTGCGTGGTGTGTGCAGTCAGCAGCCGTGTGGAGAATGTGAAATCACACCTCGCTCTCCTTCCGAGGCAGTGAGATCTTTATTGGTTTGGGAACTGCAACAGTTTGCGTGCTGAGAGGTTGCAGGAGGTTTCCAAGCACCCCATGTGGAGTTTGGTGCTCTGGCACCGTTCACATGGTTCCCATTTTGCCAGATCCTTTCTAGAGGCTCCTTCCGCACAGCCTGGGGAAGGCCCTCAACAGAACATAATGTAAATCTGTGGCTCTTGTTAGTGTTCTCAAAGATAATGCATAGGTTCGTTCAGTATTTGACAGTTCACACAGATTATTTCTATTTCTTACCCTGTTTGCTACTCAAGAGGCACTAGGAGGGATCCCACACAGGAATTATTGACCCTGCTTTGCGGGGGAGGAAAGTGAAGTGCAGAGAAGTCAAATAACTTGCTCAAGGTCAAGTGCAAAGAAGTCAAATGACTTGCCCAAGGCATTAAGTGGTAAAGCTGAAACCAAAATCCGGGCTTCGAGTTCAGGCGCCTTTCCCCTGACTCGCCCTTATCATAATCATAATCTTAAGCTATCTTTACATTTATTGGTAACTTTACAGCACAAAAAGTCACCTATGGAATTCCATATGGCGTTTCATTCTGCTACTTGAATACTAAGACTATGTAATGTTTTCTATTTATTGCGCACAGATCTTTATTATCCTCTCAAGCCTAAGAATTAGGGAACTGTTAGCTAGAAATGAATTTGTGTTTTATGGCAACACTGATTGATAAAATACTGTTGGGGAGCAAGTGATGATGTCATCATGTGGCCTCAGGTTTCGGCTTCACTATTCTATTCGTGTGACCTTGAGCAATTCCCTTCACATAAACAAGGGAAAAGTTGTAGCCAGTGGGCTCCAGAGACATGATCTTAGGTTAGAATTCCAGCTCCATCACTTCCTAGCTGTGCCACCTTGGAGAAGATCCCTAACCACTCTGAGCCTCTGTTTCCTCATTTGCAGAATGGGGATAATAGTAGTACTCTGTCATGAAGGGTGTGTATTAGTGTGCCAGGGTTGCCATAACAAATACCACAACCTGGGCATCTTCGACAACAGGAATTGTCTCATAGTTCTGGAGGCTGGAAGACCAAAACCAAGGTGTCAGCAGGGTTGGTTCCTTCCAGGGACCCTCTCCTTGGCTCACAGATGACCATGTTCTCACCATGTCCTCATGGGGGCTTTCCTATGCATGCACATCCTCGGTGCCTGTGTGTCTGCAAATTTCCTCTTATAAACACACCAGTTGGATTGGATTAGGACCCACCCTAAAGGCCTCATCTTAACTCAGTCACCTCCTTAAGGGCTCCCATCTCCAAATACAGCCACATTCCGGGGTGCTGGGGGTTAGAGTTTTAACATATGAATTTCCAGGGGCAGGGGAACATAATTTTGCCCATAACAGACTATGAGAATTAAATGAAATATTTTGTTTAAGTCACATAGCACAGTGCTCCAGAGCCATCAGCAGGTGTGACCTCTGGTGCTCATCGGTGTAATGGAGATAATAATACCTCTCCCATGGGATTGTTATGATGATTGATGCCAAAGTGCTTCATAACCTACACATCACCTTAACAGGATGAATACTAGGTGCTGGGGTAGGGGTGGTGAAATGAACTGGTCACTTGATCTGGGAATTACCAGGCTATTCCATGGGAGGCTTCAAGGGTATTCTTGCTGGGTCACAGCTGCTCCCCAAGTCACAAGCAAAGAGAGTTTGGGGCCAGGGTAAAGGCTATCTTGGTTTCGGGTGAAGTGGCATGGACAGCAGGTTAAGACTGGTTCAGATGGAAGGAAACACAATGACACTCTCCATGCAGGGATCCTGAACTCAGGTGGAAGCACTCCAGACAGGAACCTGAACGTCTCCAGTCAGTTGCCAGCTGGAAGCTGGTTATTCTAGAATGAAGCCCCAGGGTGCTCAGAAAGGACCTCACTGCCCCCCTTGAGACTAGAGGACTATTAGGTTAAACTACGTGAACTTGCCAATATTTGACTGTTTTTGATCTGCACAACTAGCAATTTCATATAATTTAACTGAATATTAACCTCCACTTTGTGAATTCATGTCTCTGTGCCATTTTATTCTTTGACTGATCCCCATGATTCAACGATTCACTGGTTCAATCTTCAATTCCGCAAACATTTACTGTCGTCTGATGCATGGGCCGTTGTGCTTGGAGTTAAGGAACAAAGCCACCCCTCTTCTTCCTGCCTAAGTTTCAGACGCTTTGAAAGAGATGCGGAGTCAGGCAGATGGAAGCGGAAATGCTTGCTTTGTTACCAATAAGATTGGCTCTGGAGAGCATGCGCAGACAATGGGCCTCCTGATGTTGACCACCAGGATTGGGCAGACCACCATCCAGCCACAAGGGGCGCTAGAAAGCTGCTGCCCTTGCCTTCACTGCCAGGGCTACCCAGGCACAGGTTCTCTGCTGAGACAGCTTCCAAAAAGAAGGGGGAGGAGTTTAAGCTACAAACCTGCTACCTCTCCCAAGCTGGGGGGTGGGGGACCGGAAAGGGAGATCAGAGTGACTAGAGGCCAATTCAGGGCAAGAGTGCAGCTTGCCACCCTACCACCTGGAAACTAAACCAGAGAGAAAGAGGTTTCCCCACAAACAGTAATGGCAGCCCCCACCCCTGCCCTCCCCCCGCCAAATCCCACTTACTGAAAGCCGGTATGTGCACGGGAGACTTTATGAAAGGTTTTGGGGTAATGGAAATAGATTTACATTCCGGCAAAGCTAACACATTATAATTAGTTACTAGAAATCGTTTTCTTAATAGGCTGCTGTGTAGCTCTGTTGTTCCTCGCTCCTTTCTCCCCCTTCCTCTGTATCTCCCTCTCTTCTTTTTACCTCTTAAGGGCATCCTCACACCCCATTTTACTATATAGAACATTCTGATTCTCTTCAACTTTACCCCTCAGTTTCAGTTGAGATATTTCTTTGTGTATTTCTTCTCCCTCCAGAGGACATATCTCTTTCTGGTATATAGAAGCAGCTACCTTAAGAGTACATAAATAATTCTTTAAGCCCTGAAAACCCCAAACCTACTTATGACCTTATTATCCCATCATTTCTGCCACAAAATAAAAACCTAAAGAATAAATCTCAGTTATGCTAATATTTGACAGACGCGGAATCTCCCCCAAAATGCCTTTTTCTAAATACAATTATTCTAAGTACTAATCCAGTGAAGCTTAGTGTTCAAAAGCACAACACTAACAATCTCTGCTCTCCAAAATTAATGTTAATAAATTAAGCTTTGCAATATACAAATTAGTTCCAACCTGAGTCACTAATTTTCATTTTCCCTCTTCCCCTCAAATTAAGAAAAAGTGAGGGAGAATTAAGAAATTAAAGAGAAATATCCAATACTTCTTTCTCCGTAAAGAACGAGTTCCAGAGATGAGGTTTCACTGTGTTGGCCAGACTGGCCTCGAACTCCTGACCTCCAGTGATCCATCCGCCTCAGTCTCCCAAAGTGCTGGGATTACAGGCATGAGCCACCACTCCTTGCCTTTATCCTGTTGGTTTTAGGAGTCAAAGGTAAGCAGGAGAAGTGGCGCCCACCTGTAGTCCCAGCTATTTAGGGAGGCTGAGGTGGGAGGATAGCTTGAGCCTAGGAATTCAGGGCTGCAGTGAACCAAGATCACACCACGGTACTCCAGCCAGGATGACAGAGTGAGACCCTTTGTCTTAAAAACAAAAACAAAAGAGTCAAAAAGATTTGTTCTCACCTGGGAGCTTGAGGCCTCAAAGTGCTCATTGAAAAGAGATTTGGGGCTGGGCGGAGAGGTTCACGCCTGTAATCCTAACACTTTGGGAGGCTGAGGCAGGCAGATCCCTTGAGCCCTGGAGTTTAACCTGTGCAACAAGGCAAAACCTCGTCTCTACAAAAAATACAAAAAATTAGCTGGGCATGGTGGCACATACCTGTAGTCCTAGCTACTTGGGAGGCTGAGCTGGGAGGATGGCTTGGGCGCAGGAGGTTGAGGCTGCAGTGAGCTGTGATTGCACCACTGCGCTCCAGCCTAGATGACAGAGACCCTGTCTCAAAGGAGAGAAAAAAAGAGAAATTTGGTGGCAGTGGGCTATTGTATCCTGGTGATCTTGTGTGGTTCCTGGGGCATTGCTCTTAAGAAAGGGACTGGTAGTGAGAGTGTAAAAGACAAACATCTGGGTGGTGTTGAAATCCTGTAAGGGGCCGGGCGTTGTGGCTCACACCTGTAATCCCAACACTTTGGGAGGCTGAGGCAGGTGGATCACAAAAAAAAAAAAAAAAAAAAAAAAGAATGAGTTCTTTTCTAGTAATCAGCTTTTAGGAATTACACGTCCTTTCTCAGTGATTAATCATATACCTGACAAATCTAAGGAGAAATGTAAACTTGAGGAAAACTACATTTTGATACCATTCTAAAGGAATATTTCAAACATGGGATCAATAACACATTTCTGCTAGATGACCATCTCTAATACTAAGTATCAGGATAATCAAATGTGGAACTGGGAGGTATTTTAGAAACCATCAGATGCGCCCTCCTTGTTAAGCACTAGTTCAAATGGCTTTATGCAGGGAGTCCGAGTAGAGCAGGAACTAGAACCCAGGTCTCAGCTCCCAGCACTGTGTCTTCCCTTCTCATGCCTGTTGTCAGGTTCTACTTTAAAAGCCACAAAAACATCAGAACAGAAACTGGGGTTTTCATCTTCCCTCATGACCGATAATAATAAAATTCTACCCAGTAAAACAAAAGGACAGTTAAGAAACAAAGTATTTGGAACAGATGAATTTGGAATCTTGATGCTATTCCTCCCACCTATCCTATCCAAGAAGCCACTAACTTTCCTCGCTAGAGTTCTCTGCAACAGAGCCATCACTACCCTTCTGATTAACAGAGTACCTCTGGGCTGAGGGCCTCCTGCATCCTGCCTCCTACCCGTGCATCCTTCCAGCCGGCCCACCAGCCCACCCTGCTCAGTGCATGACCCTAATGTGCACCTGCTCTAGGGGAGCATGGTTTACACTTCTCTAGTGAAAGGTTCACACTTGCTTAACAAAGAGAAGGAACTCCATCCTCACTTTAGGTGCTCTTGGCTAAGACAGGGGCTATTTCTGACCTTTGCACCAGAGATAATATGCTTACTTAACTCCTTACTGGAACATAAGAAGGGAAAAAAAGCATGATAGGGCATGCATGACCCAAACTTCTTTAGTTGTCTTAATTGATGTCCAATTCTAATGCCCTTAAAATCAACTCTCACTTATTCTATGAGCTCGTTCATGTATTTGCAGTCAGAAGTACAACATGTATGGAGTAGAAGTGAAACCTAATGACCACATTATGGGTATATCCTGCTAATAGCCTAAGTTATCCGAATGCCATTAGATGCATTCCATTCAACTAAGGAATTAGGGTCAGATGTTATATATTTTTTTCATGTTAGAGGGGGGAAATAAAAGCAGAGTAAGGAAGGGTATTTTTCCAAGGCAACCCCCACAGAGCAGGAGCAGAAAAGTTCATGTGGGAACCCCAGAGTTCTGGTCCCAATCCAGTCCTCTTGAGCAAAGAGAATTTTCATTCCTACTGAGGGTCCCCAGACATTGGCTCTGCTGTTATCATGGCTAGGTAACGAGGGCAAGGGGATGAAGGAGGATGTCACAGACAGTTGTCAAAGGCATAGGGAGTTATGATTTGGGAGCAAACACCTTGTGATATGGTTTGGCTCTGTGTCCCCACCCAAATCTCATGTTGGATTGTAGTGCCCAATAATGGAGGAGGGAACTGGTGGGAGGTGACTGGATCATGGGGGCGGATTTCCCCTTGCTGTTCTCATGATAGTGAGTGAATTCTCACGAGATCTGGTTGTTTGAAAGTGTGTAGCACTTCCCCCTTGCTCTCTTTCTTCCTCCTGCTCCCACCACATAAGACGTGTTTGCTTCCCCTTTGCTTTCCACAGTAAGTTTCCTGAGGCTTCCCCAGCCATGCTTCTTGTACAGCCTGTGGAACTGTGAGTCAATTAAATTAAACCTCTTTTCTTTCTAAGTTACCCAGTCTCAGGTAGTTCTCTTTTTTTTTTTTTTTTTTTTTTTTGAGACAGAGTCTAGCTCTGTCACCCAGGCTGGAGTGCAGTGGCGTAATCTAGGCTGACTGCAACGTCCGCCTCCTGGGTCCAAGCGATTCTCCTGCCTCAGCTTTCCAAGTGGATGGGATTACAGGTGCCTGCCACCACACCTGGCTAATTTTTTTTTTGTATGTTTAGAAGAGATGGGGTTTCACCATGTTGGCCAGGCTGCTTTTGAACTCCTGATCTCAAGTGATCCACCCACCTCAGCTTCCCAAAGTGCTGGGATTACAGGCGTGAGCCACCATGCCCAGCCACATAGTTCTTTATAGCCATGAGAGAACAGACTAATACACCTTTACTTCGCTGAGGCAAAAACTTAACAGTGGGAAACCATTATTTCAATGACAAAGCTTTGTTCAGTTGACTTTATCTCTTAATTACGTGCATGTGAATGCATTTGTCAAGTTTCCTGAGGTGGGATTGATAACAATAAACCTGTATTTCTGCACAATGTTTTAATTCTGGAGGTAGAAGCAGCACAACACACAAGGAAGGAACCGTAGGCGGCCCTGTGCTCATCCTGGCTGCCGCTTGTTGAGTGTGGATTTCGACTCCACATCTATGCAGAGCCTGGAGGCTCACTCAGCCACATTGGGCCATCGGGCTGTACCAGGGCTCTGGGGCCACAAGGTTTCATAGGCTAAGGCAGGGTTCCTGGAATGTCTTGGCCTAAATGCTCCACATCTTGGGAAGACATTCTTCATCATCATCTCCACAAACCAGGGTCAGTCTGACTCCCCCTGCCCTCCACAGGTGTGCCACACCCCCAAGCATGAGTGTAATCATGGAGTTTCTGCCTCCAAGCCACTTCCTGGCCTACTGAGCAAGACACCAAAAATCCCTGGCCCTTGAGCCCCATATTTTACCCCAAGTATGAGATGGCCCCAGCTCCTTCAACAGCCACAAGGATTTTCTATCCATGTCACTCAGGCTGCCTTTCTTACAGTAGATTTTCCAGGGCAGGATCCACCTATGCCCAGAGACAGGCCCGTGCTTCTGGGCTTGGATGACCTAACCTCTACATAAGCTCAGCTCCTTTCAGAACTCCCTAAGACATCTTTGATCCTTTCATTCTGTCTGGGAATTTAAAAGATATTCCTCAAGAGACTGGGCCACAGAATATTTCAGGGTCTCCACGCAAAGAAGGATCACCTACAAACTAGGACTCTTTGGGGCTCACCTGCAAACTGTACTCTAGTAGTCTGCTCTGATATTCCAGAGTTTCCTGGTTGGATGTGCAGGATATTGTGACCCTTACTACAGGGAGCCAAGGACAGAACTTTAAGGAATACCAGCATTTAAAGGCTAGGCTAGGACAACGAATCCACACAGGAGACTGGGAAGAAACACCAGACAGAACACATTGTTTGTTCACATCTGCCCCTCCATGCCAGGGTGAGAGAGCACCTCCAAGGGGGACCAGGAAATTGACTAGCGAATTGTTAAACAATGGCCTTCAACTTGTTAACTCTTCTCTGTATTCACACTCTTGGTTAGTTCCCTGCCACACTGACTTGAGGCTTGCCCATATGACTTGCTTTGGCCAAAGTTACAGTAAAGGAAAGATGTCCTGGCTCGCCTGCTGGATAATGAGAGGCACATAGTTCATTCTCCCCAGCTGACAGTCGGTTGATCCCCTGAGATGTATCAACAAGGCCATTCTAGATCATCCTAGATCATCTAGACAACCTACCTCCTTACTGCAGTTGCATGAATAAGCTCAGACTAACAGCTCACACCAGAAGAACCACACTGAGCGACTTACTTCGCATTGATAGATAATAACTCATATACTGACCAAGGAAAATTCAGATTAGGAAATCCTGAGTGTGATAGTTAATTTTATATGTTGACTTGACTAGGCCATGGGGTGCCCAGACATTTGGTCAAACATTATTCTGGGTATGTGTGTGAGGGTGTTTCTGGAAGAGATGAACATTTGAATTGGAGACTGAGTAAACCAGATTGCACCCCCTAATATGGGTGGGCCTTATCCTATCCATTGAAGGCCTGAATAGAACAAAAAGGCCAAGTAAAAGGGAACTTCTGCCTCACTCCCTGAGTGGAACATTGATCTTCTCCTTCCCCTCAGGCTGGAACTTACCATTGGCTGTCCTGGTCCTCAGGCCTTCGGAGTCAGACTGGAACTACACCATCGGCTTTCCAGGGTCCCCAGCTTGCCAACTGCAGACCTTGGAATCAGCCTCATAATTGCAAAAACCAATTTCTTATCCAAATATTAGTATATATATGTAATTTCTTACAAGAAATTTAAGTAAACTTCATATGTATAATACTTCTATCTTCTATTGGTTTTGTTTTTCTGGAGAACCCTGATGAATACACCAAGTTTCCTGATAATTGGCATTCTCTGCTCAGGGGCTGGTCCTCTGGTTCTCTGTAGCATGCCTAGCTCTTCCCCTCCCCTGAGATGGCTGAGACAGTCCGCAGGTGGGACTTGAGGCTTCCAGACTCCTTTGTCCTAATTGCAATCAGCAGTGACTTCTCACTCACTGGTACCACCCATTAGCCCCTCTGCTGCTTCTCCTCTGCTGTGGGAGCATAGCTGTCACTCTGGAAACACAGTCCCTGGGCTGCGGAGGGAAGAAGGCCCAAAGGAGGAAGGCTGGCTCTTATTTCTGCTGCATAGGACCATTCTTTTCCCTCTTCCCACCCTCCCTTTGCCCCCAGAACTGAATCCAAAATAAATGAACAGACTCCCCAGTTCCTGAGTTTTAATGGAACTAACGAGCTGATCACAGAGTCCCAATGCTGTGACTGCTTCCATTCTGGCTAGTGTTAGATTGCATTACTATTTTCATTTGTTTTCATTATTATTAGCTTTTAGCAGTGAAATGGAGTTAAAATTATTACAGTTTGTAACATGCTTTTTGTACTAATAATTCAAGTACTTTTGAGTAGGAGCTGAGAGCATTAATTTGTCAATCACTCCTGCTTTGTATCTAGTCCTGCTTTAAATAGACTAAACAAAAGAAATGAACACTATATATTTCCCCAAGGGATAGAACTTGTAAACATTCAGATATGTTAGGCTTTCATGAAATTATAAACCATAATTCCAAGGTATATTGCACAAATAATAGGGTATTTCAAAATCAGTGCAGCTGACACACAAAAGCTTCAACTCTGGTTCAGATAATAACATGGGGCAGCCATCTGTGCTCAGAGTTTATTCGCCTAGTCAGGAGCCAAGGTGAAGGTGAATAAATGCAAACATTTTTGGAGGTTGAGCAGAAGGTCCCCAAGAAGCTCTGAGTCAGAGATCTATGTATGCATTAAAGAAAACGAGAGCCTTTCCAGCTTCCAATCCCAGTCATTTGGAGGCAGCATTACAAAAACAACAACAAAATGAGGAGAGCCTGAACTACCACTAAGAAATGCCACATTAATTCTGCCAGGAATGTTTACAACAAAGAGAAAAGGAAGAAAGATCCAGAGCTAGAAATAAACGCGATGTTGTAACTGCATATAAATGCGGTACAACCTCTCCATTAAACATGATAAAAAAGACCAGCTTATGTCAGTGGAATGCCTAGATTACAGGATGCTTTTTCAATAAAGAAATGTCATCTTATTACCTTAAAATACATATAGCACTCAGTCAGATTAGGACAATATTAATCCTCAAGGACCTACTTTTAATGAATGACTAGAAATGATTTGTCATTATCAAATCAGTTGTCTCGGGTAACACGGTCTTTGGGTAGTCCTGCTAACGGTAAAAAAAAAAAACAAAAAACAAAACAAAACAAAAAAAACAACAGTTAACAGTCCTAGCTAACAGGACTACCGAGTTAACAGTCCTAGTTAACAGTTAACGAGGTTAAGCATGAGCTCTCTCTCTCTCTCTCTGTGCAAATCTTGTGTCTATCTTTGTTTCTCAAACCTTTTTTTCCCCTAAAGCAAAGGAAATCTATAACTCAGCTCCATTGTTGATGATTACGGGTACTGGATTGGAAAGGCCCTCACAGAATAGGAGACTTGAGTGGGCCTGTTCTGGTCTCGGTGTTGTCTGGGAAGAAATACAACACATGGGGAACAGCGGAAAGGTCCATTTCTGCAGATTTGACTCCTACTTCTCATTGTTCTTACCCCCATTTTTTCATCCCACCTTGAGAAAATCCAGAGTGTTAAACTTGGCCCCTAAAATTAAACGCCTCCAAGAAAACACAGGACTTGGTATGTTACTGGGTTTCACTCCCACTGCTTAAAGACTGTGATTTTGATAGTCTCGTCTTTTTGACTAGAATATATTTTGTCATTACTAAGAGGCTGCATTGCACCTGTTCACTAAAGCAGGGAGGTTTTTCAAGTTTGGAATTTCCCTGGCAAAGGAGACCTTGGAAATTGACCAACTGGCTAATCCCATTGATCTCCGAGTCCCCTCCACGTGCCCTGCCCCCCACCCTCCACCTCTCAGGCTGCTCAAAAAATAGCTTTTGACTGTGGCCTTTAACAATATGATAATTTATTTAAAACAGATACAGTCCTGAAAGTGACCCACTTAAAATTATTAAAGAGATACTGTGTTTATTTTTGCTGTCCATAAAACAGAAAATGGTTTATGAATATGCAAACCGATCTGATGTAATTAGCATGATTGGCTCCTACTGCACTCCGTTTTATGTGGTTAGAAGAGTAGATGCAGAAACTAATGAGGTCATGTTAATGTGCCTGTGAAGAGAGCTTCAGCTGTCAGAACAACGAAGGCAAATGTCTGGGAGAATCTTTTCTTTTCCACAAAATCACTGAAAGTGGGCATGAATAGGGTGAGATCCCGCCTGTGTGCTGGGGAGCCACCAGGTCCAGGAGCCACTTTGCCTACTGCATGCAAGGAGTTGAGATGAGAAATAAAAATCTATGTCCATTCAGAGCAATGATTAATGTGGTATTTAATTATCTAGAAAGTCTTCAACAAGTGCTAATAACTGAAACTCCTCGGGCAGTCAGCACATGCCACACAGTCCCATTAGACATGCTAACACCCTATCCCCTGGCCCTCCTTAATTAAAATAAGAGGCAAAAATGTTAACTGTGCACCGACCACCTCTGGGGATTAATCTGCCCTGATCATAGCACCCGAGGAAGCAGGTTGCTCACCCGAGCATGGACACTGACATACCAGACTCCTCCTCCTCCCTGAGCGCCGCTACCCACCTGGTAAATGCAGGCCCCTGCCCCTGCTGGGAGAAGGGAAGAGGAAGGGAGGCTGGCCGCAAGTGGGCAGGGGTGCCTTTTAATCTGAATGCCAGAAGGCATGTCTCAGAAATCTTCTTAGATATTGAACAGGACATACAGCCTGCCACTGAGCTTTTCCTTTTACATCTCTCCTAAAGCATAAACATATGAACTTGAAAACCTTATTTTCAATTTCTGCCAGCTCCTCTATGGCTCTAAAAATATACTTCTCCTCTTTGTATCCCCTCCCTCCAACACACACACACACACACACACACACACACACACACACACATTGTGCAACAGAAACAAAGAACGTCTTGAGAGCTCAAATGTTAAAAGGGAGGAGACCAGTCGAAAGTGAAAAATGAGGCTTTGGTGCTAATCAAAGACTCAACTGAGTTCGATGTAAAGAGACCTCACGGGAAAGACATTGCATTTGCTCATTCTAAAGACACTTAAACTAAAAGAAAAGGAAATGGTGTTCTTCAGCCTGCACCTGGTAGCAACCTTGACTCCTGCCTTTGGAGAAACAGCTGGTCCATTTCTGATGGTCTCTTCAGTTACAGAATCTCAAAGAAGAATATTTATTGCATGGCTACTACATGCCTGGCACTTTCCTGGGTTCTGCAAAGTAGGAATTTGTATCCCCATTATACAGAGGTGGAAACTGAGGCTTAGAGAGGATAAATAACTTGTCCATAACCAAACAGCTAGTAAACGGCAGAGGCAGGCTCTGAATCCAAGACTGTCTTACTTAAAGGTTCACGTTCTTTCACTATATCATCTTAGGATGCAGGGCAAAAGGAGAGACATGGGTGTGGGTCCCGCCCTGTGATGTCTTAAGTTTGGCTTGTTTAAGGAAAAGAACATTTACCAAAAATATTTTTACAACTTTGAAAATGGGTGGGAACTCCACAGTGGAAAATGACAGAATATGTTGCCCAAGAAACCCCAAGGAAAGGAATTGACAGGAAACATGAAAGCTGGGTCTTTTTCACCCTGGCCTCCCAACACCCACAACTCTGTACCCAGCATCCTGGCCACATGAAACTTACCTGCCACTTCCCAAGCACTTCACGAATATGCACATCTCCAGTCCTTTGCCCATGCTGTGTCCTCTGCCTGGATCTCCTTCTCTTTGCATACTCCACTTCACTTCTCCCCATGAAAATTTGCCTCTCCTTCAAGGCAGTACCTGGATTTTCCTTCTTTTACAGGATTACAGTCCTACAGATAAAGCACATTGAACCTACCTCTGTGTTATATCATTACCACACTAGATTATAGCTGCTTGTTCATATGTCTGCCTTTTTGGCTGGACTGTGTGTTCTTTGAGCTAAGGGAGCTGAATGTGTGTCCAGAACCCTTAGCCAGTGCCAGATACATAGAAGGTGTCCCATAAATGTTTGTTGAATGCATCAGTGAATGAATAAAGGAATAAGTAAATTTTTAAGAAGTGTATGGCCCTTTTCTTAGGGATTTCCACAACTTTGGAGAACATACTTAGATCATTTCTTTCTTTTGCTCACAAGGAGCCATGTCCATAGGCAGGGTGCAGTTCCCATCCGTAACAGCAGAGGCATGAATGCACACATATCAAAAAGTCCCATCCTAATCTGAAATCTCCATCCAGTTTCTCAATTTCATCCTGATTTCATGGCACCATATACCTCTCTGTCATAAATCTTTATCACTATTGTAATTTTACATCTAGTTAGGTGATTCTTTGATTAATAGCAAGCAGCGACCTCCTCTTTGGGCTCTGGGCTCTGTAGGGGCAGGTTTTGTTGGTCTTATCCTACCTTTAATCACTGCTGTATATCCCACACCTAGCCCAGTGCCTGGCACGGAGTAGGTGCTCCATAAGTATCTGCTGAATTAATGAACACGTGATAAAGTGGTTTGACCTTAGCCAAGTCACTTCTTCTGAGACTTTTTCTTTCCATCTCTGCTATCAGGTCTTCCATCTGCTATTCCATGATGCTGGAATAGCTCCTCACTTCCTGGAAGTGAAAGCTTTTAGTCTCTAGAAGGCCCAGGTAAAAATTCAAATCTATTACCCAAGCAAGAGTATACTAAAACAAGAGCAAATGATGGCATACAAATTGGCCAGCCACCAGGAAGCAAGGCCTTGACAATAAGCAAGGAGATATGTGTGGTTGTGGTGAGTCATGGAGGGGCCCAGCTGGAGGGACCAGGCCCTGGCATGGCTGTCAGGGCCCAGAACCCCCGGGGAACAGTACTATGGCTCAATATAGGGAGACAAGAGGAGGGGAGAAGCAAGGAGCGTGGTATCACTTCCTAGGGCTGACATAACAAAGTACCACAAACTAGAGGGCTTAAAGCAACAGAAAGTTATTACCCCATAGTTTTGGAGACCAGAAGTCTGACATCAAGGCATTAGAAGGTCCATGCTCCCTACCAAGCCTTTAGAGGAGGGTCCCTCCTTGCCACTTCCAGCTTTGCATAGCTCCAGTCATTCTTTGGCTTATGGCAGCATCACTTGAAACTCTTCCTCCATCTTTCCATGGCCAACTTCCCTTTGTATCTTTATAACATCCCCCTTCTGTGAGCCATGTCTCCTCTTACAAGGACACCAGTCATATCGGATTAGGGCCCACCCTCCTCCAATTTGACCTCATCTTAACAGGATTACATCTGCAAGGACCTTTTTTCCAAATAAGGTCACATTCACGGGTACCAGGGGTTGGGATTTAAACATATCTTTTGGGAGAACATAATTCAACCCATATCAGGGGTCAAAAGCAGACTCTAGTTCAGCAAACTTTTGACCACTGCTATGTGCCAGGCCTTGTGCAGGTCTAGATGAAGAAAAAAAATGAATCAGATATAAATATTAATACAAAGTACAGAAAGGAGACATCACATCCTCAAAGGGGCATTTGATGCTATGAGCATCGGATGAGAAGAAGGCAAGATCATGTTCAGTCATGGAAAAAATTCAGAGGTGGTTGGGCTTCAGACACTTGTTGGAGAATAGATCAGAGTTCAACAGACGAATATGGGGACAGCAAAATGTGGTCCAGGAAAGGGAAGAGCATAAGCAGGTCATGCAGCACAGAACTGATGCTGTACCCTCTGATGGTGTGTACAGTTTTTAAGCAGAGAATCATAAAGTGATTCGATTCTGGTTTTCACAAAAATCCCAGCCACCTCAGTAGGACATCGGAGGCCCTGACTGATCCAGTCCCTATCTAGTTACTGGTCCAGAGTGAAGTTTGTTCTGTGTGTGGTCTTAGAGGTGCCAGACATGCCAGGTCAGTACTCACTGGGTATGCGCTTGTCCTGCTGCCTAAAATCCTCCTTCCCTCCCTTGTCAGGCAAAACCCTACTTGCCTCTTATAGGTCAACTCTGATGTCACCAGCTTGGTTTGTTGTGACTTGCAAAGCAGTGTCAGCTCACCTTTGCTACAGCACTAAAGACACCATATTGTCATTATCTGGCACAATTTTCCTCCTCTACTAGATCAGGGGCTTCTAGGGCTCAGGTGCTGGGTCTAGTTAATTCCTATGCCACTGGTAACCAACACAAACCCTGACATGCAGCTGACATTCAGTAAACATCACTGACCACAGTACTAAGAAAGGACAGGAGGAGATGAAACTGGACGCAGGAAGGTCCATTTAGGTGACATCTACAATAGTACTGGCAAGAGATAATAAGGCTCCTAGTACTGCATAAGGCAGAGACAAGCGAATGAAGAAGAAAGGCAGATTCCCCAGAAGCCTAGAAAGACACAGTTTATAATTCTGCCCACCACACCCTGGACATCCCTTCCTCCCCCTCCTCCTCTATCCATGTGCACACTGGTGGACATCCCTTCCTAAAGCCCCAAGGACCTGTCATGACCCAGAGCTTGTCTGCCCTAATTCTGGGCAGGAAGCACAAATGCTGCAACCCTTAGCCTGAGGCTCAGTCGGGTAAGTGTTGGGAGTTTGGCCAGCCCTCTCCAAAGCTCTCTGCTGCTAGCCCTAGGCGTCCCTTAAAGTCATTTCTTAGAGCCCAAGAAGAGCCCTGCTATGGCCCTTTGGTGGGATAAGAGCGACCCCCAGTGCTCAGGAACTTGCCCAGGCAAGCTCTTTACCCACAGGTTCTATTTAAAGGGGCAGTTTGAACCTGTGAGCAAGACCCTTGATAATTAGCCCTGTGTAGACTGGGAAAAGCCCAGTGAGTTCCTGGAAAGCAAGCCCTTCCGCCTTCAATGAAACACAAGCTGAACCAGAATCATGTAGGAGCTGGTGCCTTCTGCCTCCTCCCTTGTAGGCTGGTGCAGCCATGTGCCCCTTTTGGTGAATGAGAGCCTCCCACTAAGTACCACTGTTTTACCTTCCAAATAAATAAGGTGGCTCCATTGCACGCAGGATGTGATGGACTTGGGCGTAGAAGGCCAGCTTTGCAGAGGCTGCTGTGGAAGTCGTATTGTCACAATTCCTACAGAACTCCAGGGAGTAGCCTACACCAACCTGACCAGCCAGGAGTAAGGGGCAGCCCATGCTCCTTCTTCCTTCCCTCTCAATCTTCCATCCCCTCCAGTGCTGGCCACACACAACAGCCAGGGCTGTTGCAGCTACCCAGAGGAAACAGGAAGGAGGAAGGAGGTGGTTATTGGGTGTCTCATCATTTCAATCTGCATTCACTTCATAGGAACACAGCCACTCCTCCCACTGGAAGACCCCAATTAGGGAAGACAGTCAAAATCAAATCGTTAGCCCTATAACTGTATCGTACATTCTCTCTCCCCCACCTCTTCTCTCTCTGTCCCTCCCTCCTTCCTTTGCTAGTATCCTTCCTTCCCTGGACTCAATCATCCTCATATTCTGTTGCCATTAGCTTTAGTTGTGGACTCCCTTTTTGTCTATTTGCAAAGACATTTTGGTATCTATTGATTGAAGGCAGGATTTTAGATACAAAGCCAAAAAGCTGTGATGAGCCTTCCCATTCTGACAATGTGATCAAGTTCTGAGTGTTGTAGAGTGAGAGAGGAAAGACAATTAGAAAACAAGGCAAGGGATGGAGGGGGCATGCTGTGGTGTCATTGGCAAATCCTCATAAGCCAAGCGGGAGGCTCCCTTGTGCTGCACAGATGTGGGTACAAAACCATCCATGGACACAGGACAGATTCCCTCAGCAGACGTTAGCTGAGTAATTACTATGTGCAGGTCACCTTCACACCTGCACACCTTCCAGTTTATAAAGCACCCTCATGTCTCTTACTTCTTCTGGTTCTCACACCTACCTATGAGGCACGTGTGATCATCCTAACCTCACTCATGAAGAGACTGGAGCCCAGAGAGGCCATGGGGAGTAGGAGGAGCCAGACGAGAATCCAGATCTTCTAATTCCTGATCCAGGGCTCTTTCCCCTGCACCAGCCACAGAGCATTGCTCTTGAAGTCACCAAATAAAACAGCCCTCAAAGTGCAGCACATCTAACCAGGCTCTGCAATTGTGAATAAGTCACCTCTCTTCAAGATGGCCAGAAAGAATCTAGAGGAGGGTGACAATGACTTTGTGTTGAGGAAAGGAAGAGCAGGGACAGATTGAAATGACCTGTACTCAGCGTGGTGAGAAAGTTTAGAAGTGGCAAGCTCCAAACCTACTGTCACTTTGGGGGCTTCCACATTCAGCCCATTTAGGTATTCAAGTTAGGGGTTTCCTTTGACATTTGCAGAAGTTCATTTAGAAACAACATAGAATTTGTTACCTTATGCAGTGTTAGACTTTTGCAATTCATTTCTCTAAGTGGTCATGCTAAAAATACAGTCACAAAGGAGAAAGGAACTGAAGACATCAAATAATGCCATCTCCTTCATGCTAAAATGTTTCCAAATGATTTAGATGATGTTGTGGGTAGTAACTTATAAAATGATCTAGAATATTCTGAGAACATCCTTAACCTTTGAGATTGACAACTGGTCAGATAGTTATGCCCTTTAATATAACATTCCTCAATATCCTAATCAATGATAAATTCTGAGCCTAATGATCCGGGAAGGCATCTCTGACATTCTCAACTCATTCATTTCACAAATATTTTATTGAACACCTATTGTATACAGGCCTTGGGCTTGTTGCCAGGGATACAATGGTGAACTAAGCAGACACAGTTCCTGCCCTCAACCTGCAGCAGGGTGGGAGATAGAGATACCATAATTCTAATACAAACAGATAAGCTTTGCCAAGGGAAATAAAGAAATGCTATGAGAGCCCCAAGAGGGGCACCCAACCAAGCTCAGATGGTCCAGAAAAGTTTCTTGGAATGGTTGACTTCTAAGCTGGGACCTGGAGGATGAATAGGATGTGGATACATTTGGGAGTCGGGAGACCATTCAATCCCCTATAGTGCATGTGGAGGTTGGGTCCCAGCTCCCTAAGATTTCTGTTATGGGTTGCCAAGATGTCCATTTTACCAGGGTGCTTGTCTATTCCACCTGAAATTACATAAGCTACCCGGCCCTGGACATCTGTGCAATGTTTCAGGAAGCCATAAGAAGGCAGATAGTTTTATTTTTTCAAAGCCTTTCTCACCCAGAAGGGCAGACAGGGTCTCATTATTTGTGGGGACAAGAAAGATACGTAGTAGAGGAAACATTAATTCAGCAAAAGGTTCATTCTTTTTTATGTACAAATTATGCAACGTAATTGTTTTACCATGATTAATATTATTTCAGGGGCCTAACAAACACCATTTACAATGCAAATCTCCTCAAGGCTGCAGAAAGGTACCTGTAATCAGGGAGGGTGTGATGGCTGCCCAGATGGAGTGGGGACAGGATGGAGCGAGTGAGAAAGGGTCACATGGCTCATCTTTGAGCACAGCATCAGAAAGGCCAAGTGGGCATGGCGGTCTCCTCCTTGCTGCACCCAGCAAAGGCTTCAGGAGGACTTTCTGCATCTGTCAAGCATGCCCTCTGAGCTCTAAGCCAATGTCTCCATTTCTACCCTCCCTTCCTGAGGCTTCCCTTTAAAAAGTCACATGCCTTTACTCCTAACCAAGAGAAAGCCACATGACTAGGTGGTGGGAAGATGGGAAATTGGAAAATAACAACAAGGGAAAATGTGTCAAAAGTACCCATCTGTTCTAATTCATCCCATCATTAATAACGTCTCCTCCCCCTCTTCCAGAAAGAAAAAGCAGGAGGCCTCCCACTGGGCTGTGTCCCCATCTCCTGGTGCCATCGCAGGGGCTCACGTGATCTACCGCTTTGATGTGGTTTGATTCTCTAAACGTGTGATTAGCACACACTTTGTACCACACACCCAGTTTTAGTCGTCTCTAGCACTCACCAGTTAGAAGCCCCCAAGCCCCACCACCAAATTGCCCTTGCGAGATAGCTGCTCTCTCTAACTCAGCTTCCCTACGCAGAGGAGCTCCTGATGCTGAATGAAAAATCACCTCGCTCTGCCTATGCTCAAACAGCACAAAACACATCCTGGGAAATATCCTCTGTCACTCTGGGATACAATTTCTCCTTACCTCTTTATTCCCATTGCTTCCAATGTCCTGTGTTATAAATGTGTAAATTCAATAAGCGTGAAATTTTCCAGAGAGAGAGGGAAAAAATCATTATAGCATGGCATATATGTTGGTGAATTGTTAATTTGCTAGAGCAACAATATCACTGCGATGTTACAACTGGTTTCCTTAGTAACATGTTAAAGTATATAGGAAAACACTTTGGGGTAATAAAATGTTCCCATTTGAATTTTGAATAAACTTTCACACGAGGTAAGGAAGTGGGATTCTAAAAATAACAGATTAGGTAATCAATTAACTTATTCAGTCATTCCATGGAATTTTAAAATATGAAAATATTGCACTTGCTGGAAATATGTCAGGTTACCAGAATTGTGTCTCGCTGTGCTGGTCAGTTAAATTTTGAAGAATTACTTAGAAATTTTTTCCTGTTTAACACTCAGCAATGTATGGAAACAGCTCACCTGGGCATTCTGAAATGAAGAGAGTTTATTCTTAAGGGTCCAATAATCAAAAATAAATTACTTTCCTGGTGCTGGAATCCAGCAGCCCAGACTTCCACATCATAATTTTCTGGGGCAATGGTTTTCAAACTTCACTGTACGTCAGATTCCCCTGGAGGGCTGGTTAAAACACAGATTGCTGGGCCCTGTTTCCCAGAGTTTGATTCAGGAGGGCTAAAGTGGAACCTGAGAATTTGCATTTCTAGCAAGTTCCCAGGAGGTGCTGATACATCTGGTTCAGGGACGACACTTTGAAAGCCATGTTCTAGGGGAAGCCTAAAAAATGATCACTCTGGCCCTACATATCTGAGCAATAAAAAGGGATTTCATATCATCTTAAGACAATCTGAATCTTAAAGCAATGGCACAGAGATCTTCTTTCCTTATTCATCATTTATAAAAAGCCATGGCTCACGGCTGTAATCCCAGCACTTTGGTCGGCCGAGGTGGGCGGATCACCTGAGGTCAGGAGTTCAAGACCAGCCTGGCCAACATGGCGAAACCCTGTCTCTACTAAAAATACAAAAATTAGTCGGGTGTGGTGGCACACGCCTGTAATCCCAGCTACTTGGGAGGCTGAGGCAGGAGAATTGCTTGAACCCAGGAGGTGTAGGTTGCAGTGAGCCGAGATCGCACCATTGCACTCCAGCCTGGGCAACAAGACTGAAACTCTGTCTCAAAATAATAATAATAATAACAATTAAGGAGATGGGTCCATTCTCCTGGGAGATGGGGAAACATAGATGGGCCTAGAGGCTGCATGCCTTCCAAAGAGGATAAACAGGGAGTGGGGCCCTCACCTGGCATCAGGCCAACATCACACAGCATGAAGCAGGGCCTCTATTTTTAACCAGCTCCATCGCCAGTGCTCAGCAGGCAGCCAGACACCAAGTAGGAGGTTGGCCAGATGCGCTTCCACTCGAGTTAAGAGTACACTCAGTGAGAAGCTTGATTTTGTTACAGGTTTTACTAAATGTATTCACAAAGTCATTGGTGACAGGAAAATGCTTAAATCGCAGTCCTTGCCCTTTAGCTCCTAATATGATAATCCAGGTCTCCAGGTAGACAGTCAGCGTAAAAAGTAGAAGGTGCCCTGGGCTGGAGTCAGGACATCTTGCTTCTGGTCCTGAATTTGCCGTGACTTGCCATTTACCTTGGGTTCTCTTCCCTTTCCAAGAGGGTCAGACCAGTGTTCTCCAAGAACCCCTTCCAGCCCTAGTATCATAGGAGTTAACCTTAATCCTACACTCATTCACTGTTTTTTGTTTTGTCCTTTTACCATACCAAATCAATTTCAGTTTGCACTAAAGGAAATTCCCTAATTACTGTTTTGTATCTTGCGGAAGATCACTTCCCACAGTTAATTTCTCAACTTCAGTTTCCTTCCTCCAGAAGCTTGCTGTGTCCACATTTCAATTAATTGCCTATTGGCACACACCCGACTCCAAATATTTGTGCAGTTCCCAAGAAAGCCTCATTCAGCTAAGTACCTGATCGCGTCAACCTGCTCTCTGGTTCCAACATCTCAGAATATCCAAGCGAGGAATATGCAAATGCTAGAGTCACCCAGAGAGAATTCATCAGGGGAGGGAGTCACTGGAGGCAGGGAGGGAGTCTCAGATGAAAGATATTATCGCTTGCTGGAGACAAGGGAAATTGGGGTGGGGGAAGGGAAGAAGTAAAGAATCTGAGGACTGCAAGCGCTTGCACCTTACAGCACAGGATGCTGTTTCTTCAGAGAAAGGCCAAGCAGATCAGCTACATTACAAATATGCTATGGAGCTACTTGCAGGGAGCCAGGGTTTGTTTTAGGAGCAGGCAGAAAAGGGAGTATTATTAGAGAGGCTACCCAGGTCTCTGTGCCAATAAATTCATTACTCCTACTTGCTGACAAACTCCTACTATTAGAATCACTCTTCAATGTGTTTTATAACATTGCAAAATGTTTGGGGTATACTGCTCAGTAACAAAAGGGGTATGCAAAATTATATAAACATGGGAATCTCAAACACATGGAAAAGACAAGAAAAATATGCCAATGCTGATTTGCCTCTGGGTGGTGAGATCATGGGAAAGATTGTCCCTACTTTATATTTTTCTTTACTCTCCAGGTTTTCTACAATTATTAAGTACTGCTGTACTGCTTTTAAGGTTAAAAAATTTTTTTGAACTTTTTTTTTCATACAAAAAGCATGCTTTGAAGGTAAGTCACTGTCTTCAAAAAGCTCCTGGTAAAATGCAAATCTATTACCTAAAAGGGGATTGTCCATGAATAGTTGTGCATAGTTTAGTTTGTCATCTTGGTTACTCTCATCTTAGACCATGGGCCACGGATCTTGTTTCATTCATCTTTGCACCTGTAAGCTTAGTCCTGACCTAGGCACAGGATGAGTATCAAATGTTTATTGAATTGTCCCCCAAACAGAGAAGACAACAGATCTCTGAAGAATGGAACGCAGGATAAGCTTTGAAAGAGCAAGGGTCGTTTGGAAAGGCCTGGGGTAGGATGAAGCCCAGGGGATGATATACTGAGGGAGCCCAGTAGAGAAGAAAATAGCACGAGGGCCTTCAGCACTGCCTCCAGGAGGGGATGGAGTGGAACAAAATGGGGTAGGGACGGGGGCATCTCTAAGGCTGAAGATTCCTCACTGCAGTTTCGCCACTAGCCAGCCCTGTCTTTCAACAGAGTAGTTCAACGGCATTGGTAATGCTCGTGTTGAGCTCTAGTTTCAAAGTTATTCCACTCATGGAGACACTAAAAGTAAAATGGAAGTTCAACTAAGGAAAACGTGAGGAGCTTCTTCTGGCAGGATCTGCCTCCCCTGGACTAATGACATTGTGCGGAACGCTAAAGGGAGCTCCAGGGAAAGGTCAGTGGCTTTCAAGTTTGAGCAGGATTTCACAACAAGACCCAGAAAGATATGGAAGAAACAAAGCTCAGATGGGAAATGTAAGGCACAGAATGGTAGAAGGACTTTGGCAAAACCTAGTGACATAAAGCTGTCTGCTTAATTGTCACTGTGCAGGTGCCCAAGGGAAATGGCTTATGTCAAGTCAATGGAAAAAAGACTTCTTTGATTTTCTCATCTGGGGCAAGCTGCTTACACATATAATTATACCTACTCGTTTAATAAATATTTATCGAGTGCCTACCATGTGTCAGGAGCTGGAAATTGGTAATGAATAAAGCAATACTCCCTGCTCTTGAGGAATATGTGAACTGGAAGGAACATCATTTACTGTCTAGTTCAACAGCTGTATTTTATGGATCAGGAGATCACAGCCCACAAAAGGGAAGCCATATGACCCAGAGCACTCAGCTAGTGCTCTTTCACCATTTTTAATACCATGAGGTTGTATACCTCATCACTTCCCAGGGATTGCAATGTCCCCCACCCCTACTCCATTGACAAAAATTCCACCTTCCCTCTAAGGCTTGTTAAAATGTCACACAGTCTCTATGAAGTTTTTTTCTGTGCCCTCCTTTGGTTCCCTCAGCCCACTGTACCTCTATTACAGCATTTGTCACAGTCTTCCTTGAACTTTAGTGAGTATACATCTGTCCCCTCCACTGGATTCCAAGCCCCCTGAGGGCAGAGATGGCCTCCCATTCATCACTATATTCTCAGCACCTCGCACAGCTGGGGGGACTAACATTTATGGAGTAGCTACCAAAACCTGGACACTATGCTAAACGCTTTATACACAGTCACATTTCTTCTCAATCAAGCTCTCTAAGGTGGCTCTTATTTTGCTTGATGTAAAGACGAGGAAACAGAGGCTCAGAGATATTAAATAACTTTCCAAAAGCCACGAAGCCAAGTGGAGAATGAAGGTTGAGCCCATTCTATCTGGCTCCAAAGTCCATGCTCTTCCTCTTATAAATGATATGCTCCATGAGGTCAAGGACGATGTCTGTCTTGTTCATCACTGCATCTGTAGCACCTGGTGCAGTGTCTAACATGGTGGTATTCTACCCATCACACAGATCCCTCTGATTCTGTACTGGAGGAGATTACACAGAATGCAAACCACCAGGAGGCTGGGACCCTTAGGGGTCATCTGGGAGGCCATCTGCCAGCAGAGGGCAAGGTGCAGAGACCGGTTCAGGTGCCGCGTCAACAGATCTGCCATTATAATAACCTAATCATGTTCAAAGGCAGAAATCAAAGTGAACACACAGTAATCTCAAAACAAAACAAATAAACAAAGTGAGCCCTAATTGTGTTGTGTGTGACAACAACACAAGTCCCTGGAGATAATGAATAAAGCAGAGCCACATAGGACAAGCAGCCCAGCCAGGTAGAGGCTGGGAAAATGGTGAGGTGAGCAAGATCCGGGGATGGGGAAGGTTGCAGGGTGCTAGGACCACCCTGGTAACAGAATATATAGAACGTGCACCTTACAGGGAGACTAGCATGCGGCACGGGGCTGAGGGGGGCTGCTAAAAGGAGTTTCAATGATTTCAACACTCATTTCAACTCCTAATTTCTGAGCCAAATCTCACAAGGAACTGGTTTCCCCACCAGGTTGCCGCCAGCTCCCATTCCCCACCTCCCACCAGCCCCCTACTTCCTGGCTTTGCCTCAGCCTCCAACACCAGATCCAGGTTTTCAGAAGTTCAGGAGCAAACCAGGGAAGGCTCAGTGAATCCACATTTTTGTCTCCTTCATCCCCCTCCAGCCAAGAAATGATTGCATGGAGAACATCTCCGAGAAATTGGTGGAAAAAACAAAACAAAACAAAAAAACAGATTTTTTTCCCAGTGGGTCTTTTCAAGCTCTCTTTTCTTTTTTCTTTTTTTTTCTTTTCATATTTACAAGAGAAAACAGCTACCCTTCCACAGACTTGCTTTCTTTTATTGCATGCTGAGAACGAGATAACCCATGGGATTCCTTGGCGCAGTGGCTTCCAAGAAGCTCAGAACTAAATCCAGTGCTCATGTCTCACCCTAGGTTATAAGTTCCTTACAGGCAAGAAGACAGATGTGCTTTTCTTTTTGCTCCTACAGAGCCCAGCACCGTGTTCAGCAAAGGGACTCGACAAAGATGTGTGCAAGTTAAACATTCGCGCGTGTTCCACTCCCACCCCAAGACTTCCCACCCCTCTTTTGAGTTTTTTTAAATGGTCTTATTATATATGGGTTTTTATCATGACCTACCTCAAATCCTTTATGTAGGCAGGCAGGGAATAAATGAATAAGTAAACAAACAAATGGATAACGGACTCCCTCCTGCCTGAGGGTACTTGCACAGGGTTTTATCAGCTCTGCTTCCAGAAAATCCACCCTAACTGATATTGAGCTAGGAAACAACAGTTTGGGAGCTCAGCAGGTTCCTTTTTTTTTTTTTTTTTAAACCTAGATAAGCTTGGGTGCCTCAAGTAAATTCCCCTTTGATTGGTATGTTTCATCAGTTGAACTCTAATTGGTGCAAACAGGTAATTTGGAGATTACAAGATTTATTCTTCTATAACAGTGATTACTGATTGCTAATGATAGTGCTGATTTTTAGGTGTTTAAAATCTTGACAGTTACAATACTCATGTGATTTACTACAGCGTCTTAGAGACAGCCTTCTACAGATCTCTGAGGACAGAGGCTGTGTCCTCCATGAGCACTGCCCAGTGCCCCATGGGGGTGTGTGTACGAAGAAATGCTTATTAATATTAATAATAATCATCACAAAACGATAAAGCACTCACCTAGAATACTGAGTCATGCAATCTGCTTGCAATTTCATGGATTTTTGAAATGTGTACCTTTTCTCACCAATGCCTAATTAAACGGGGTATTAGGATTATTAGCTCTAGAAATAATTGGCCTTAAAAGCACATCATAAAAAGACAAAATCATAAACTCTCCTCCCTGACATTTGGAAAGACTCTGGTTTGGAAGCACTCAGAGAAGCTAGAACTAGTAAGTAGCTGCCTTCCTGCCACCCCAGGGAAAGGAGCTAAACAAGGCTGCCCTGGCCTGGTGCCAGCTCAGGAGCCAGGCACCGCCTTTGGGCGCTTTCCCTCGTTATCCCATGTTAACAGGCCAGGCACTAACATGTCAAAACACCGGTGTGTGAAGTGAGTGGAGAGGGGCAGTGCCCAGACAGGAAAGTTGCCTCCACCCAGGGAGCCAGCACGCAGGGTGTGGGCATCCAGTCTTACCAGGATGAAGCTTGGCACACAAGTGCACTTGCCAATAAGGAGGGCGCAAGTGATGAACTCGGGCCAACTAATTCAGAAATGAGCAGCAATTACCACTGGGTCCTACACTGTACCCAGAACACAACGGTAACTCTCCAACCTTAGTACCTATTTATATTTTCTTTTTGTTAAGACTTTAAGTGAATAATAACAGAATACGCCATTTCCGATTTCCTGCCTCCAAGCCTTTGCACAGGCGGCTCCCTATGTAAGTGGAGCTGCACCTGCAGGAACTTCTTATCAGGCAAGGGCCAGGTCAGTGTCTCTTCCTTCCCTGGTTCCACCTTTCTTCTTTCTTCCATGCTGGGTAATTAATGCCTCCCTCCTCTCAACTCCCATGAGCAGTGCCAGTTCTCTGGGCATGAGTGTTCACTAGTGTGTGAGCTCAAGTCTGAGAAAACCAAAGGCTTTGGTGTCCTCCCACGCTCAGCACACTTCCCTGTATGTAACCAGTGTTCAATAAAGCTGGTTTGACACAATCACAAAAAGCCTGTAGTCCCAGCTATTCGGGAGGCTGAGGCAGGAGAATGGCATGAACCCGGGACGCGGAGCTTGCAGTGAGCCAAGATCGCGCCACTGCACTCCATCCAGCCTGGGCGACACAGTGAGACTCCGTCTCAATAAATAAATAAATAAATAAAATCAAAAATAAATTAAAAAAAGCTTTCCTCTAGGTTTGTAGAATCATATTACTTAAGAACTGAAATGGACCATTGAGGAAATCTCTTTGACCCTTTCATTCCAGGGATGAAGACACGATAGCGCCAGTGGGTGGAATGAGTTGCCCAAGGACTTTCAGTGAGTGGCAGTGTCAGATGGAAGACTTTTTAGCTACGAGGGTCTAAAAAAGAAGTATCCCAAGTCACCTACAAGTAATACACCTACACCTTTTGCTGTTAGAGAAGAGCAGATCTTTGATTAAGCTCAATGCTCATGGCCACCCAGGTTTCTTGGCAGTTTGGGATGTGTACACAACCGCTGTCCTTCTGCATCCCATATTTAGGGCCACAATGGGAATTATGACACTCAAGCCTTGTGTAGCGCTTTATATTTTCAGAGTGCTTTCAAATATATAATTTGATCCTTATGACAATTTTTAGTGGAGTTATTATTCCCATTTTACCAGGAGGGAACTTGGGTGAAATGACTTGCCCAGGGTCACACAGCTAGGGCTCATTTTGTTTGTTTGTTTGGTTTTAAGTTTACTGTGCATTCACTTTGATTTCTGCCTTTGAACAGCTAGTGCGGTAGAGCTAGGCCTTGAACCTAGGACTTTTATTCTTTTCTTTTCTTTTTTTTTTTTTTTTTTTGAGACAGGGTCTTGCTCTGTCACCCAGGCTGGAGTGCAGTGGCACAATCTTGGTTCACAGCAACCTCCACCTCCAAGGCTCAAGTGATCCTCCCACCTCAGCCTCCTGAGTAACTGGGACCACAGGTGTGCACCACATGCCTGGCCAATTTTTGTATTTTTTGTAGATACAGGGTTTCGCCATGTCGCCCAGGCTGGTCTCAAACTCCTGGGCTCAAGCAGTCCACCTACCTCCACCTCCCAGAGTGCTGGGATTACAGACATGAACTAACATGCCCAGCCTTGAACCTAGGGCTTTTGATTTCAAGCCTATTATCTGTGCTCTTTGTCTCAAAGCTGCCTCTCTCAACTCTGTTTCACAGAGACAAGATCCTAGGACCTCCCCTTGGCCTGTGGCTTCTGGAGCCAGGTGCTTTTGAGCAGGTTTCATCCTTTACTCTACCCATGTAATCCTAGACATGCCCATCAGATTGTTCCTATCCTGCCTTTAAATGACTCAAAAAGGCTGATGTGTGAGGCTTTCTGGGGAAATAGAGGGCTAGCTCTGGTTTGGCCTGGATAGCACCAATCCTTGCCTAAGCCAATGTCTAGAAGGGTTTTTCCAATGTTATCTTCTAGAATTTTTAGAGTTTCAGGTCTTAGATTTAAATCCTTAATCCATCTTGAGTTGATTTTTGTGTAAGGGGAGAGGTGTCCCCTTATACAAAATTTAAGTCATCCAGTTGTTAGTAATTTATTTTGGCAGCCCTAGGAAATGAATATAGTGACTTTCTCCTCGCTACCTGCATGATGCCTGGTTTAGCAGAACCTTCCTGCTGAAGCCAAATAACCGGACAAGTGAAAGAGGTGGAAAGGGATAGAACTAGGATGTGAAGGCATCCAGGCCTTCCAGTTTCATTCTCCTACATGTGGCTACTCTGGGATACAGCTAAGGTTTTGATAGGTTGTGTCATTATTGTCATTCAGTTGGAAGGATTTTTTTAATTTCCATCTTGATTTTGTTTTTGACCCAGTGCTCATTCAGGAGCAGGTTATTTAATTTCCATGTGTTTGCATGGTTTTGAAGGTTCCTTTTGGAGTTGATTTCCAGTTTTATTCCACTGTGGTCTGAGAGAGTACTTGATATAATTTCAATTTTCTTAAATTTATTGAGGCTCATTTTATGGCCTGTCACAAGGTTTATCTTGGAGAAAGTTCCATGCACTGTTGGATAGAATGTGGTTGATATTCTGTGGTTGTTGGATGAAATGTCCTGTGTATATCTGTTAAGTCCATTTGTTCCAAGGTATAGTTTAAATCCATTGTTTCTTTGTTGACTTTCTGTCTTGATGACCTATCTAGTGCTGTCAGTGGAGTATTGAAGTCCCCCACTATTATTGTGCTGTTGTCTATCTAATTTCTTAGGTGTAGTAGTAATTGTTTTGTAAATTTGGGAGCTCCACTGTTAGGTGCATATGTGTTTAGCATTGTAATATTTTCCTGCTGGACAAGGCCTTTTATCATTATATAATGTCCTTCTTTGTCTCTTTTAACTCCTGTTGCTTTAAAGTTTGTTTAAGTCACAACATAATTCATCTCCCTGTGAGATAGAGGAGAAATGCAGAAACATTTGACCCACATCTCACACCTGACCTATGCCTTTTCTTTGTAGGCGGAAGGAATGAGGCTACAGATGGAACTCTTTGACTCTCATTGACTCCCTCAGCTTTTACTGCAAGGGGTGCCATGATTTTGAAGCAAAAAAAAAAAAAAAAGAAAAAGAAAAGAAAAGAAATAAGAAGTAAATCCAGCCGTCATCAGTTGGAGTGGCTATCAGTACAAAATAACACTGGTGGTATCATGAAATTTCTCAAACAGGTCAACACAGTCACTCACTGGAGTTTTCTCACTAGGATGAGATAGACATTTGACAAGGTGCTAACCCCACAGAGCAGGGGAAGAGGCAGGGAAGGAGACAAGGCCAAATGTTGCCCCCTTCTTTCTCTTCTTCATAGGAGCTCTGCTCCTCTGTTTCCTGTTGATTCTGGCAATTTCATCATGCTACATTTGATCATTACATAAGGATAAAGTCAGTCTCTCTCACTTTCTCTCCCTAAAGACTTTTAAAACAACAAAGTATTTTCTGGAGGGTATGAAGGCAAAGTCAACAATGGCCATAGATCATTCTCTAGAAAGTTTCTTAGGTGATGGCTTCCTTAGTGTATTAAAATTTGCAGGATTACATTTTGTCTTCCCCTGCCTCCCCCAGAGGCTCTGATATAATCAGCAGCACCCCAACACAACTTTGAGCAATTCACCTTCACACGCACACCCAGAGTCTTGCCTAAATATAACATGAATCATCTTTTCGCATTCATTATCAGCCATCTCCAATTATCCCAAGAGAAGCTGAGGCTGTGGTCTGATGGTGAGAGACTAATATAGTCTTTAAGGTGAGGAGTCTGGGTTTGCTGATTGTGTGAGAGCCCAGTAGATCATACCAGGTGAGCAGACAGGCATTGGCCTGATGAGCGCATCCCCTGACTTTGCCGCTGTGTGGCCTTGGGTATTCAAGGGCACAGCTGCCAGGAAGAGGCTCCAATCTCCACCATCCTGGTGGCATTGAAGAGGGCACTGGGCCAGATGATTTCATGGGTCTCCTCCACCCCTCCAGTGGTTGCTCCTTTCTGTGACATCATAACAATGGAAGTGGGTGGCCCCTGAAGCTGATTCCAATTTGAGGAAAGACTCTCATCTCTGTGTCCTCCTGTTCTTCTCTTCCTCCTTCTTGTTCTCAAACACTCACAGGGCAGGGCTGGACAGTGACACCTACCCAGATACCATTTTCCCCAGAGAGAACAGGCAAGGGGCCAGTGGTCCACAAGGGCACCTTGAGGAGTGAAGTAGTTCTTTCTTGCATCAGGGAAGAAGAGCAACCCTGGTGAGGACATGCCTTGGCAGAGAAGAGGCACTCGGATCATAGATGCAGTATCTCCTTCAGCATCAAACGGCACCGGCAGGCATAGGCCCAAATCTCCAGACTCCACTAATAACTGAGCCAACTCCCTCGAGGCCATGACAAACCCTCCCAAGGCTCAGTGAGCTCACAAGCTAAAGCTGCCAACGAAACTATCCAGAGAGCCCATCCTGAGGACGCTGGAGCCTAGGTGGAAAGTTCCAGCTCTGTACACCCTTACCACAGAGTACTTAAGACCGTGGAAGAAGATGGGGCACGCTTCTGGGGCCAACCAGAGACCCTCCTGGTCTGTCTTCTGAGCAGACCACAAATCCTCCCACAGAATTAAAATCTGCAGAGTGGTTTAGAGAGGTACAGGAGGGCACTAGATGCCTTCACATCCTAGTTCCACCCCTTTCCACCTCTTTCACTCATCCGGTTGTTTGGATCCAGCAGGAAGGTTCTGCTAAACCAGGCATCATGCAGGTAGCAAGGAGAAAGTCACTATATTCATTTCCTAGGGTTGCCAAAACAAATTACCAACACCTGGATGACTTAAAGCAACAGAAATTTATTCTTCTCATTTCTGGAAGAAATCTGAAATCAAGGTGCAGTAGGCCATGCTTTGTCTGAGGGCTCTGTGGAAGAACACTTCCTTGTGTGTTCCCAGGTGCTGGTGGCTCCTGGCAATTTCTGGTGTTCCTTGGCTTGTAGCTGCATCATTCCTGTCCCTGCTGCCATGGTCACTTGGCCTTGATCCCTGTGTGTGCTCACATGGCTTCCTTATAAGGACACCAGTCATTGAATTTAGGGCCCCAATCCAATATGACCTCATATTAACTTAAAATTACATCTACAAAGACCCCGTTTCTGAATAAGGTCACATTCTGAGGTTGGAGGTGGACATGAATTTTGGAGGGACACTATTTAACCCACTACTGCTAACCCAGCTTGAGGAGCCTAAGCCAACTGCTGGTCTGTGTGCTTCATGCACCAAACCCAGCACTTCCAGCCTCCCAGAAGACAGAGTGAGAGCCCCAGAGTGAGATACAGAAACATGGAGATCCCAAACAGACCGGTAACTAAAAACATACCTAGCAGGCAGACAACCATATGGTCTCAGAAATCACATCACCATTTCAAAACACTGTAATACTCCTCTTGTTTGATTTTCCCAACACCTCAGTGAGGTAGGCAGAGCAAGTAATGCTAACTACACAATATGGAAGAAGCAGTTGAATTTCACGAAGATGAAATAACTTACCCCAGGCCATCTTGCTGGACAGAAACAGGATTGGGATTAGGATCAGGGTGCTCAGTCCAGTGTATGCTCCCCCATCCCCCCAACTTACAATCATACAAATGCTTAAATAAGATTGAGGAGAAGACATCACCAAAAAGAAAAGCATCACCGTAGACCGAGAGTATCAAACGTCCAAGCTAGTCATTAAATACTTAATACTGAATCCATTTGTATAGTAGACACTGGGGAGACAAGGATTAATGAGATACAGCCTCTGTTCTCGAGGAGTTTGCAGTCTGGTGAGGAAGACTAAAACACCTAAACAGACACACATGATAAAATATTATACACACTGACGGAAGACTGGAGCGGTAAAGTGAATGCAGGAGGGAGTGGTCAGTGCCAACAGGCAAAAGGGAAATTTAAAAAAAACCTCAAGGAGCAAATAGTGTTTTGAGATGGTCTTTATAAATAAATTGGTGCTCCTTGGTCAGAAAAAATTGCTATAAAGGACAGTATACAGATAATTGAAGATATGAACATGAACTCTCTATTAGATAATAAATTGTTTTCAACGTTAAATATCCCAAATTTGATCATGTGTCATGGATATGTAAAAAAAAATGTTCCAGGAGATCTCCTACTGAAGTCTTTAGGGGTAAAGGGTACTGGTGTATACAATTACCCTCAAATGGTTAAGCAAATATTAATAGCAATATGAATGTGTGTGTGTGTGCATATGTGTGTGTGTATAAAAACACATCCACACACATATGTAAAGTTACAAGGAGAAAAAGAGGTGAATGTGGCAAAGTATTAATAATTGGCGGAGGCATCTGAAGAGTACAGGAAGGTTTACTGTTATTGCAATTTTCCTGCACATTTGAAATTTTTCTGAAATGAAAAGCTAAAATAGATCAGGACTGAGTAAGGACAGAAGCGAGTCATTTAAGAAATAAATAGAACTGAAAAAATTATTGGATTGTGATGTGACTAACTATCCTTGCTACCCAGCAAGAAAGGAAGAAGGGATTGATGGAGAATGCTGGTGGCAGTTATTGGGAAAAATAAAACTGTTTCACCTAAAAAAATCATTTGGAGTTCAAGATGCAGGCTGAAGGGAGAGGAGAAGGGAGGGGGCAGTGATGGGCAGAAGGAACAGCATGAGCAAATGCCCAGAAGCCTGGCCAGCCTGGGTAGTTATGGTTTGCACATGGGGAATTGGGGCAAGAGCTGAAGCTGGGAAGGTTAGCCAGGACCAGATCATGCAGAACTTGCCAGCCATGCTAAGGAGCTGAAACCCATCTGAAAGCCAATCTGGAGGCACTGAAGTGTGTCAAGCAGGAGAGTGACTGAGATTCCCACGTGTAGAAGGCAGCAACAAGTGTGGATGAGAGTGGGTTAGAGCAGAGTTGGGATGATCTGGGAGATGTATTGCAAGTCTTCTATCACATATAATAGTTAAAAGACCAGAGAGGATGTACTTATTTTAATACATTAGAGTGGATTCAAGGTTATGCTTACAATAGCACCACACTCATTCACTTGCATTCTAATGGTTTTATTGTACATTAGGAATTTACACACAACAGGAAGTGCACCCAGCATGTGAACATCAGCCTTCCTGTGCATCCCAGCTAAGAAAAGGCTAAGAACCACTGGATTCCACGGTTGAAAGAACAGAGAAGTATGGTTTGCTGGAGCCCTGCAAAAAATCCAGGAAAGAAATGCTAAGGATTTAAGACCAATGATTTTCAAATGTTTAGCCACTGGATTCTCTTCAAACAATATGCAAAAACAGATAAACGTGAAGTTGCTCTGGTTGAGTCAGGGACAGGATGCCCATAATCCGGCCTGCTTAACACCTCTTTCCATTCCAACCTCAGAAGCCCCTGAAAGGACTCCAGTAAAACACTTCAAAAGGCACTGGCCTAGACTAAGAGGGAGAAGGTAGCGGTGAGAATTTTGAGAGGAGGTGAAATATGCAGAAAGTTAAGAATCAACTTCTCAATTGGGGGTTGAGGGTGGGGGAAAAGTAATGTAAGCAATGGGGTTACTAGACCACTTGCTAGAGTTCCAGGTTTCTGGTTGGGACTGGGAAGGTGATGATCAAGATGGCAGGTTTCAGAAAAGGATGAAGATTTTTACATGTTCAGTTGGAGGCCGAGGTGGGACATACTTTCAATAGGCAGTGAAATAACATTTAGAGCTCAGGAGAGAAGTCCCACACAGAGAAATAAACTGAGAATTCATCAGCAATTGGTGGTAACTGAAGTCCACGAGGAAGAAAAAACACATGCAGGAAAAAATAAAAGCCTGTAATCCCAGCACTTTGGGAGGCCGAGGTGGGTGGATCACGAGGTCAGGAGATCAAGACCATCCTGGCTAACACGGTGAAACCCCATCTCTACTAAAAATACAAAAAATTAGCCGGACGTGGTGGCAGGCACCTGTAGTCCCAGCTACTCAGGAGGCTGAGGCAGGAGAATGGCGTGAACCCGGGAGGCAGAGCTTGCAGTGAGCCGAGATCGCGCCACTGCACTCCAGCCTGAGTGACAGAGCAAGACTAAGTCTCAAAAAAAAAAAAAAAAAAAAAAAAAAAGACCCATATGATATGATGAGAGGCAAGAACCTGGGACCGAATCCTGGTTAATGCCAACATTTAGTGGTTGGTCAGAGAGCCAGAAAGAGAAGCAGGTTCATGATTATCTCAGAAGCTAAAGGAGAAAGAGAGAAAAGGAATAATAATTACATATGCTCTATGTTCCTAAGTATCTGTGATTATACTCATAGTCTAAGAACTATTAAGAACTATGCAATTATGTGTAGAGAGCTGAGAATCTACCTATTTCTTCATTTCAACTGAACTCAGGGATAGGGATTTTCTCATTCATAAATATGTCCTGTGCTTAACAGAGGCCCTGGAATATAAGTGCTTTATACATATTTGTTGAATGAGTGAATTAATTAATGATCTTTAAGATTTATTTGGAGAAAGCATTATGCTAGCTTTAAGAGCTGAGCAGAACAATGGAAAGGATCAAGATAAACTGGAGGACCATCTGAAACGTTCCCCAGAAGAGAAAATCTACTGAACGATGTGCTGACTCCCAGAAGACCCAACAGCCCTGTCATGGCCCACACAGGGCAGGACTTAGGAGGAGCAGTAGAGGCCAAAGGAAGCCGGCCCAAGTAGGCGTCATGGCTCAGGTGCACAGCTAGACAAAACTGCATAGAACAAAGCCAAAGAGCCAAAAGGAAATGGAAATTACTGGATGTAATTTCCCAAGAGGACCTAAAGTCATCAGAATAGAAATTCAGAGTTGGGTCCTTACTTCACGCTTGAAACTGTCTTTGAGAAGCGAGACAGGCAGCCCTGTAGGGGATGAATACTGCGAAATGCCAAACCGGCACCACAGCCACCTTGCCCGTAGAAACCAGGCTTGCTTTCAGTCCTTCTCTGACCCTATAAGCCAAATCTCGGCTTCAGTAATGTTTCCTTCTTTCAAGCAACCACAGGTAGCAGGAGAGACTGGGACCACAGTGGGCAAAGCTCCTGAAGGGGATGCCCTTCCAAAGCCTGCCTTGGCAGAACCTCTCGTGCTCAAGGGCAGGAAGAGCGCCCCCTCCTGAGGAAAAGGAAGCCGTCAATTCACCTTTTTTTTTTTTTTTTTTTTTTGAGACGGAATCTTGCTCTGTCGCCCAGGCTGGAGTGCAGTGGCACGATCTCGGCTCACTGCGACCTCCACCTTGCAGGTTCAAGCAATTCTCCTGCCTCGGCCTCCCGAGTAGATGGGATTACAGGCATATGCCACCACGCCTGGCTAATTTTTGTATTTTTAGTAGAGACGGGGTTTCACCATGTTGGCCAGGCTGGTCTTGAACTCCTGACCTCTTGATTCACCTGCCTCGGCCTCCCAAAGTGCTGAGATTACAGATGTGAGCCACTGCATCTGGCCTTTTTTTTTTTTTTAAATGGGGTCTTGCTATGTTGCCCAGCCCAGCCTGGAACTCCCGGGCTTAAGCTATCCTCCCACCTCAGACTCCCAAAGTGCTGGGATTACAAGTGTGAGCCACCACACGTGGCCTCAATTCACTTTTTATATTATTACAGATAAAGAATAATAGAAATGCACTCTATGATTAGCTGGATAATAATTAAAATAATAGTTATATATAATAATTATGCATAATACGAGAGATGAAGGTAGAGGGACAGCAGACTCTTGTTTGAGCAGACATGGGACTCTAATTTCCACAAATAAGTCATATGTAGACCAAGAATGCAGCTAAGCAGTTGTTGCCCCTGCCCTATAACTCATTAAAGAGGCTAGAATGAAGGACTAATAGCAACTACAACAAAATTGTTATTTGTTCTCTGATACAGATTAAATTGAACACTGCAGATCATTTCTTTGGCCACACGTCTTCAGGCTTCTGGGAGCAGCGTGCCGAAAGTTGTCCCTTCCAACGCAACTTCCAAATGGTCTCAGCAGGAATCTGAGCATTCTGATCACACATTTATTGGCTTCTTTTCAGTGTTTTATCACTTCGCTTAGTTTTAGAAAGTGTTTCCCCCCATTAGATGGGTAAGACTAAACTCTGGTATAGATGAGAACTCACACACACGAAAAAGGTGACCTCAACGTTCCTGAAGAACGGAAGGCTGTAGAACTGAATCAAAAGGGAAAAAAAGAGAAGGAGCAAAATGAAACAGGAGAGGGAGAGAGACAGTCTGGAAGGACACTAAAGTTTTAAATGTAGCTATCTCTAGGATAATGAATGTTTTATGTTTCCCCTTTTGGTTTGTCTGCATTTCTACTTTTTCTTCAATGAAATGTTATTTTTAAATAGTGAAAAACGTAATCAAAATTATTTTTAATGAAACAATTCAGATTAACAAGACCTAAATATTCTAAGTTAGGATTTCTTACATGCGTAAACATTTTTTCCTGTTGTGGTTAAATACATATAACATAAATTTCACCATTTTAACCATTTTTAAGCGTACAATTCAGTGGCATTAAGCACATTCACAATGTTGGGCAACCGTCACCACCATCCATTTCCAGGAATGTTTTATCGTTCAAAACAGAAACTCTACCCATTAGATAAGAACTTTCCACTCCCGTCTTCTCTCATCCTTTGGTAATCCGTATTCTACTTTCTTTCTCTGTGAATTTGCCTATTCTAAGTACCTCATCCAAGTGGAATCATACAATATTTGTCCTTTGTGTCTGGCTTATTTCACTTAGCGTAATGTTTCCAAGGTTTGCCCATGTTGTAGCATGTATCGATGTATCAGAATGTTATTTCTTTTCTAAGCAGAATAATATTCCATTGTTTGTATATATATATGTCATATATATACACAAACATATATATATATATGTCACATTTTGTTTATCCATTCATCTGTTGATGGACATTTGGGTTGCTTCTACCTTTTGGCTATAGTGAATAATGCCACTGTAAACACTGAAATGCAAGCATCTGTGCAAGTCCCTGCATTCATTTCTTTTGCGCATATACCTAGAGGTGGAATTGCTGGATCATACAGTAATTCTATGCTTCACTTTTTGAGAAGCCTCCTTCTGCTTTCCACATGGGCTGCACCATTTTACATTCCCACAAGCAATGCACCAGGATTCCAATCTCTCCACATCCTCGTCAACACTCGCTATTTTCCATTTTTTTGATAGTAGCGTCCTAATGAGTGTGAAGGGGCATCTTGTTGTGCTTTTGATTTGCATCTCGCTAATGAATCATGATGTTTGGCATCTTTTCACGTACATTTTGGTCATCTGTATATCTGTTTTGGAGAAATGTCTATGTAAGCCCTCTGTCCATTATTGAATTTTTGTTTCTTTGTTTTGCTTGTTTGTTTTTAAGTTGTCGGAGTTGTTTACATATTCTGAACATTAATCCCTTATCAGGTACATGATTTGCAAATATTGTCTCCCATTCTGTGGGTTGTTTTTTCACTCTCTTGATAGTGTCCTCCGATGCATAAAGGTTTTTAATTTTCATGAAGTCCAGTTTATCTAATTTTTCTTTTGATGCTGTGCCTTTTGTGTCGTATCCAAGAAATCATCATCAAATCCAATGTCATGAAGGTTTTCCTCTATGTTTCTTCAATGAATTTTATTATTTTAATTCTTATGTTTAGGTCTTTGACCCACTTTGAGTTAACTTTTTATGTGGTATAAAGTAGGGGTCCAACTTCATTCTTTTTTATGTGAATATTTAGTTTTCCCAGCACGGTTAATTTAAAAGATTGTCCTTTCCCAGGCTGGGTGCGGTGGCTCACGCTTGTAATCCCAGCACCTTGGGAGGCCGAGGCGGGCAGATCACGGGGTCAAGAGATCGAGACCATCCTGGCCAACACGGTGAAACCTCATCTCTACTAAAAATACAAAAATGAGCCAGGTGTGATGGTGCTTGCCTGTAGTCCCAGCTACTTGGGAGGTTGAGGCAGAAGAATCGCTTGAACCCAAGAGACAGAGGTTGCAGTGAGCCAAGATCGCACCACTGCACTCCAGCCTGGGCGACAGAGCAAGACTCCGTCTCAAAAAAAAAAAAAAAAAAAAGAAAGGCTGTCCTTTCCCAATTGAATGGTCTTGGGCACCCGTGTTGAAAATCTTATGTGCTTCTTACATTGTGAATGGCCACAGATTTCAATGTACTCTGTAGCTAAATGTGAAAAATAAAATAGCAACACCTTACACTTGTATAAGGTGAAGGAAAGGTAATACAATTGTATGTTTATATAGTACCTTATAATGTGCAGCAGCTTTGTGTAGATAAAACAATTCATGGATTTGGGAGTCAGGCTGTCTGGGTTTGAATTCTAGCTTCTCAACTTCCTAGCTGCATAACCTCAGGCAAGCCACTTAACCTTTCTAGGCCTCAGCTTCCTCATCTGTAAAATGGGCATATCCTATCCACTTCATAGTATTGTTATGAGGATTAAATTAGATAATTCACATAAAGCACTTAATACAGTTCCCAACACATAGTAACCGTGTGGTACAGATAGCTATTGCAATCATTAATCTTTAACATCATATCGTAGACTGGCTTATATTCATTATTTCCTGTGGTTCCCACATTGACCCTGTAAGGTAAGCAGGATAATAACAGTAGTGTCATTATAGAAACAGGTAAGGTTGGGCTCAGAAGGTATCTTGCTAGACCAAGGCAATGTGGCGAGGAGGTGGCAGGACAAAGTCTGTGTTTTTACCACCACCCATAAAAGGGACACTATCAGAAATAAAGCAGGTTTTACGCAGAGGTCTGGTTCCTGGGCCAATGTTCCTTTTACTGAGAAACTTGTCTGTCATCACTCTTTTTAAGACAGAGATGGTTTACTGTTTTCTACCTTTAACAAAAATCAAAAGAAGCTATGGCACAGTGAGGGTCAGTGTCCTGTGTACGGCAGACCCAGAAATCAGGACAAGACCAGGAACAGACAACAGATGTCCCCTGTAGAGCTGAATTTCACAGAATCAGAATAAACTACCATGGGCTCATCAGAAAATTCCTCCAGTAATTATAAAAGTCTTAAACGTGCAATAACAAATTCATGCAACACCACCTCCTGGCCACAAAGACCGAATGAACCACTGTAGGTACGAACTGCTACGAGTGTGGGAGCTTTCTGTCACTCCAGACTTAAGAAAAGATGAAAGACTGAACTAAAATGAATATAAAGACGGCTGTTTAAATTCATTAAAGAGATAGTTACACATGCTCTGAAAAGAGAGTTGTTAGGCACCTACCATGGGCAAGATGTGTCGGAAATGTGTGGATATAAAGATAATAATCTTTGAGAAGTTTCAAAACAGAGGGAAAAAATGCAAATAAGAAAGAACTTCAGGCCAGGCACAGTGGCTTGCGCCTGTAATCCCAGCACTTTGGGAGGCCAAGGCGGGCTGATTACTTGAGGTCAGGAGTTCAAGACCAGCCCGGCCAACATGGTGAAACGCTGTCTCTACTAAAATTAAAAAAAAAAAATTAGTTGGGCATGGTGGTACACGCCTGTAATCTATTCGGGAGGCTGAGGCAAGAGAATCACTTGAACCCGGGAGGCGGAGGTTGCAGTGAGCTGAGATGGCACCACTGCACTCCAGCCTGGGTGACAGAGCAAGACTCCATCTCAGAAAAAAAGAAAAAAAAAAAGAACTTCAATTTAAAGCAGCAAATATTAAGTGCCTTAACAGTTTCTTTTGGAACTTCTAACAAGCAATTTCTATCAACTGAGGCAAAAGTCTTAAGTTCCCCCAAACCAATGTCCCATTGGTTACTTTCAACCAAAAAAACTGCCTGGTGGGTTCAGCCTCTCTGGAGGCTGTCAGTATGCAAAACTTCTTCAATATCTTCAAGCAGTAAAGGGAAACACAGCCATCCTGATGTAATAATGGGATGGATGAGGAAGCTATACATTTCTTTGGATTTACGATTTGGCTGTCTCCTTCACCTCCATCTGTGCCAAACCATACGGGGACGCTCCTGATTAATCATCTGTGGAAAAAGTACATTACTGCAAGGTGCATGTTCTCACGCAAGTGCTTTCAACCAGACCCTGGGAAGTTGGTGAGAGGCTTTCGGGACAGGAGCTTCACAGAGGACATCATGTATTTGGCCTCTCCTGTACCTCACTGCTGTCTAAAACTGGAATGGAAAGAAATGCTTTCAGGATCAGGGAGAATAGAAAAGTGATGCCGGCTTGAGTGTAAACCTCAGTGTGTGGCTGGGCAGCTGTCAAGAAAGCCACCTGAACAGGTGACTTGGGGGTGACACCTCATCTGGTCTGTCCTGAGAGAATTTAACCAGCCACCAGGGGTAGGCTGATGTCATGGAAAGAGGCGGGCTTTGGAGGAACGCTGGTTCACATTCCGGTTCTGCCACTTGGTGTGTGAACCTCAGCAAGGTTTCAGTTTCCTTTTCTAAAAAGGACAGAACCCCTATTCTAGAGAGTGATTGTGGTAGTGAGCTTCTAAATTAGCTCCCATCCTGGAATTCATGCCCTTATATAATCTCTGCCACTTGGGTGTGAGCTGGACCTAGTGACTCACCTCTGATGAAAAGAATATGGCAAATATGATGGGACGCCGCTTCTAAGACTCAGACATAAGACTATGACTTATATCTTGCTTGCATTCCCTCTTGGCCCTTTCCCCCTGCTGCTCTGATGAACAGGCTACCTTGCTGTGAGCTGTCCAATGGAGAGGACCATGTGGCAAAGAACTAAGCACCGCCTCCAGCCAACAGCCCACAAGGAGCTGAATCCTCCCAACAACCCCATGAAGGAGCTCAGAAACAGATCCTCCCCCAAGTCGAGGCTTAAGACGATATAGCACAAGCAACCCTTTGATTGCAGCTTACGAGAGACCCTGAGACAGAGGATCCAGCTATGCTACATGCAAATTCCTGAGTCACAGAAACTTTGAGATAATAAGTGGCTATTGTTTGAAACCACTAAGTTTGGGGATAATTTGTTATGCAGCAATAGATAACTAATACGGTAACGTTGAGAATTTAATAAGGTACCATGTGCCATAGCTAGTCCATACATGCATGGTAGCTGTTATCATTAGCAGGAGATGGACTAACTGCCTTCCAATTCATTTGTAGAAAGATGGTGGCATGGAGGCTGGGAAAGGGAAGGAGATGGCATTTTCCAGGAAATCACAAACTAAGCAGAAACTCAAAAGAAAAATACAACCAAGTGCCAACTATTTTTTGACAGGTGATCATCTCTCTTCTCCATAGTCCCAAAATATTTCCTTTGTGCCATGATTATAGAACCAGCATGGCTGGCCAGATACTATGCCATTGTCCCTTTCTCCCTTCTCCTGTCCTCAAAGGTAGGGGTCATGCCTTCATTTTCTCACTCCATCACAGTGTCAAACACCATCCTTTGCTGATGAGAATAATGTGTAATTGTTCTTTTTCCCATTCTAAAAAATTCAGTAAATTTTTCTTCCATTCTATTTCCTACTGGAATTCTCCTCTTCTCAAAGTCCATTTCACAGGCATCCCTCTCTCCACGGTCTCCCCAACCTGTAGCTCTCCTTCAAGATTATTTACTCCTGTGCTGCTCTGCACTACTGTTATCCAGCTGTTTATTAGAATTAGTGAATTAATGTGTTGCAGTCATCTCTCCCTCTAGCTGACAGCCTCCAGAACAGCAGGGACAATCTGTCTTATTCATTCTTGGGAGCTACAGTGGCCACTCCAAGTTTGAAGTAGGTTCTCAGAACCAGTGACTGGAGGAATAAATTATTTCAAACCGTTCTCTGAGATTCGAGTAAACAAACCTCTGAGGACAAAATGAGGGGGAAAAGCTCAGAGGACAGGTCACAAATTGCAACAGACTTTTTCAAACCCACTAGGGGCCATCAAGTCCCTTCCAAGCCAACCAAGTTTAAGAACCTGTGGGATCTTGCAGGTTTCTTTTCCAAGCCTGTTGTAGCTCCCTCCTGGCACCATTCCCAAGGCAAAGAAAATGGAGCTGTTAACATTGCCCCTACAATGAAAGGAAGACCAGGTTAGAGAACACAAAGATACATTGTTAGAAACATAATTCAAGAGGGTACAACGAATAAGAACTTCTGGAATTCATTACCAAAGTCAAAGCCCAACCCATGTTCCCCTGACCCCTTCCCTGGCTCCAGTACACAATTAATTAGAACCCTAGTCCAACAGGAATTGCACCTCCACACAGAACATGGTTTTGTGCTAAGAAGAGCAAAGCCTCTGGTGATTTCGTGGTTCTCCCAACTTCATTCTTTTGCAACAAGACAGGGGCAGCCAAAGATGCCATAAACCGGTGGGGAGGGGGAGTGCCAGGGATGAGGCTTGACAGCATTACGGCCATTAATGAAGATGAAGTGGGGCAATAACTCCTGAGAACTTGCTCACCAGAATTCCCGCTGCCTTAGCAACTCCTCCTTCCTGAGGGTCATCTCTTTAGTTGCAGCTGGCCCAGCCCGGGGCTGAGGGAGGACTCTGTGACTCAGTTCCTGGACATAGGACGTAGGCCCTGGAGGCACCAAGTAAACCACAGATAGGCCTGAGCCCGGGCCTTGCTGCTTTAGATGCCCTCATTCTGAAGCATTGGTCAGCATCCACCTGGTGGCAACTGGTAAGAATAACCCACTCAAGCTGGTGACCGGTCATCACTTGCCTGCTTGGCAGTGGTTACTCAGCATCTACCTGCTTGATGGTGGCTGGTCAACATTTGTCTGCTTGATGGTGATTGGTCAGGACATAACTTCTTGGCTAGGACCTACCTACCGGGCAGTGGTTGGTCAGTACCAACCTACTTGGCAGTGGCTCATCAGTACCCATGCCTACTTGGTAGTGGTCAGTACCTGCCTGCCTGGTGGTGGGTGGTCAGCACCTGCCTGCCTGGTGGTGCTCGGTCAGCACCTGCCTGCTGGTGGTGTGTGGTCAGCACCTGCCTGCCTGGTGGTGCTTGGTCAGCGCCGGCCTGCCTGGTGGTGCTTGGTCAGCACCTGCTGCCTGGTGGTGCTTGGTCAGCTCCTGCCTGCCTGGTGGTGGGTGGTCAGCACCTGCCTGCCTGGTGGTGGGTGGTCAGCACCTGCCTGCCTGATGGTTCTTGGTCAGCTCCTGCCTGCCTGGTGGTGCTTGGTCAGCTCCTGCCTGCCTGGTGGTGCTTGGTCAGTGCCTGCCTGCCTGGTGGTGCTTGGTCAGTACCTGCCTGCCTTGTGGTGCTTAGTCAGTACCTGCCTGCCTGATGGTGCTTGGTCAGCTCCCGCCTGCCTGGTGGTACTTAGTCAGTACCTGCCTGCCTGGTAGTGGTTGGTCAGCACCTGCTGCCTGGTGGTGCTTTGTCAGCTCCTGCTGCCTGGTGGTGCTTAGTTAGTACCTGCCTGCCTGGTGGTGGTTGGTCAGCACCTGCTGCCTGGTGGTGCTTGGTCAGCTCCTGCCTGCCTGGTGGTGGGTGGTAAGCACCTGCCTCCCTGATGGTGCTTGGTCAGCACCTTCCTGTTTGGTGCTCAGCACTCGTCTGGTGGACCCAGTTGGCCAGTGCTGTCCATGAGCAGGCCTATGAATTAAGTGAGGACACTTATCATGGAGATCTAGGTCTGGAAGAAGGGTGGGGCAAAAGAAGAAAGGAACATTCATTCCATACTTTACATTTCATGGGCATTTTATCACTTTTTTTTCTTTGGCTCTTTACCAAAACTCTATCAAATACATGCAGCCAGCCCACATTTACAAAGACATTCATTCATTTATTTAACAGGTGTTTGGGGAGCACCTATTCTGGGCCCAACTCTTGGGAAGTTCTGGGGAGAGATGAATAAAATGCAACACTTGCTCTCAAAATGCACAGACTCCAATAGAGACAAGGACATCATCGTGCCTATCCTAATAACAGCTAACATTACTGTGCACTTCTACACACAGGGCACTCTTCTGAGCACTTCATGGCCAATAGTTCATTTAATCCTCACAAAAACTCATTGAGATAAATACTATTATCTCCATTTTACAGATAAGAATACTGAGACCCACAAAGTTAAACTAAATTCCCCAGGTTCTCACAGCTAACAAATGGCGGTGGTAGAATTTGAACCCAGGAGGACTGGTCTAAAGCCTACACCCTTGGGCCTTATAGTCTAGCCATCTAGATAATCAAGGCCAGTGTGACACGTTGAATAAACTTAGAAATGTCCACCTTGTTATTGTGAAGAAGACTAGGTATGTCAGGAGAGAGGAGAATCTGGGAGAGGAGCTAATTTAAACAAGGCCTCTCCAGAGCCCAAAAGACTCCTATCACTTCCATCTTTAAGGCTTTGGTATGTTAAAATAAATACATAATGTCAAAGTTATAAAATTTTGGTGTATTTTAAATGTTTATATTTAACAAATGATTTTGATGCATATGTGATATAATGCAATTATATCACATAATTGATATATCACATAATTGCATAATTGTCATTGTGATATTCACAAAAAATTCCAAGATTACAATAACATATTGATTCAGTGTGCATTTCAGGTGTGATGGTCCTATAACAGAGAACAGACCACATTCCAAGAAAACATACTCCTCTTTCAGTCCTGTCAATGTATTTCTGTGACTGGGTGAAAGTTTTCACTTGGAGGTAATGTCAAAAATTTACATTTCTTGTCCTCTGTGATTGATGGTCTGGGAGAGAAATGGCCTTCCAGGTCTCCTTTGACTGGCCTTGACTTTCAGCAATGTCATGAAGTCCAAGAGGCAATGCAGTGCACAGCAGCACTGCATGGATTCAAGTCTCAGTTCTGTTGCTTACTAGCTGTGTGATTTTGGGCAGGCCATTTAAATGATCTTTGCCTCAGTTCCCCATTCATGAAACAGAGATAATAATATTATCTACCTTCTAGGTTTGCTGTATTAAATATGTGATTAGTATAGAATGAGATGTACACGCAAATTTATTACTCAAACACCTATTATCCTACCCTGAGCCATGTCCCATGCATGGCCTTAGGAGGTACAAAGATAAGTACAACAAGAGATCAGCGCTAGAGCAATGGTACAGTCTAGTAGGAAGTCAGACTATGCAATGTGTTCCTTTGGAGCCGCTGATCCTAACCCTACCTGTGAGACTATCTGTTGGATGGCAGAATCTGAGCTCCAATCTGGCTGCTCCCCAACTCAGAGTGAGGTGAGTGGAAAAGAGTAGGAAGTCACCATGTGAGTAGGATCACCACACCACATAATATGCCACGTAACTCGGAACTCAGGCCCTACTAGTGAGCTGCTCTGACACTTTCTAATTGCTTCAAAGGCCTGATGCATTTGGCTTATAGACTGTTCTCACTCCTTAAAATTATATACAATCCCATATTCTACCTTGGAATTAAATTTAACAGCAAATTTTTTAAAGCCACACTTTTTATCAATTGCAGGAAATTTGGGGAGGAAAAAAAACCAAATGGAGAAAATCGAAATCACCCATCACCCCACCACCCAGAGGCAACCACTGTTCACTTCCTTCCAATCCTTTCTGTATACATTTTTAACACAGTTGAGATCATACTGTATAATCAATTTTGTATCTTGCTTTTCAGAAATGTGAATTTAAAAGTCAAGCACCCAAGAACCCCAGCTATCTCATCAACACTTCAGATGCCTCAGAAACACATTGGAATTTTTAAAAATTGATTCTGCGAATCTCCCCCTTCCACTTCTCTTCTGACCACGTGGGGTTCGCAGCAGAATACACACGATATAGACACATTCCCTGAAGTGTAATAGATTTGAATTGCACACAAGTTGGAGAATGAATGTCTAAATAATTAGGAGGTTAATTAATCTAAAATATTGGAGGATGAAAGAAATTTGAAGCTACAGATTCGACAGAGGTCTTCACAACTGTCTTGCTAATGAAAATAGAGGGAAGTAGGAGACTGAGGCAATTGAGGATGGTTCAGAGCCTGCTGGCCACAGTTGACCACGCCCAATGTGCATCTGGCTCTTTCCAACCTGTTGACTTGTCTATATGGTTCTTGTGATCAAGAGTCCTCCTGGCAACCGGGTGCGGTGGTTCATGCCTGTAATCCCAGCACTTTGGGAGGCCGAGGTGGGCAAATTACCTGAGGTCACGAGTTCGAGACCAGCCTGGCCAACATAGTGAAACCCCATCTGTACTAAAAATACAAAAAAAATTATCCGGGCACGGTGGTGTGTGCCTATAATCCCATCTATTCAGGAGGCTGAGGCATTAGAATCGCTGGAACCCGGGAGGCGGAGGTTGCAGTGAGCAGAGATCATTTCACTGTATTCTAGCCTAGATGACAGAGCAAGACTCTATCTCAAAAATAAAATTACATTAAAAAAATAGAGGCCTCTCCCCTGGCATCTCATGCAGAAATGTTAAGAAAGAGGCTAAGTGTTCAGCTGCTCTAGCCAGTCAATCTAGGTTCCAATTCAGGCATTGCTGCCTATTAATTTTTTGACCGTGGGCAAGTTATTTCATCTCTCTGAACCTCAGTCTTCTCATCTATAAACAGGGATGATATTAATAGCGCCTATCTCATAGTGTTGTAATGATTAATTCAGCTCATATACTTAAAAGATTCCAAACACATAGTAAAATCTTAGTAAATCTTAGTTCTTACTAGCTGGGAAGCAATGTATTCTAGAGCAATGGCTTTCTCATATTTTTTGACTATGACTGCAGTAAGAAATATAGCTTACATCATGACCCAGTACATAAAAATATACATGTCATTGTTGTGTATATGTATATACACATGTGTACATAAACATACACACACACACACACACAAACACACATATATATTTCATTAAATGCTAGTTATCCTTGCCTATGTAATGCAGTCATATTTTCCATTTTAGCCTATTTCACTTTTTATCTTTTGAAGGCACACGATCAGATCTATGTCATCTTTGAAAGTACTAGCTGCAACTCACTAAACGGATTTCATGACTCACTACTGAGTCTCAGTCAGCAGTTCAAAAGATTCTGGCCTAATGGAAAGCATATAGATCTTGGTGCAAGAAAAACCTCGGGTCCAGTCTCAGCTCTGCCACTTTTTACTTGTGTAACCACAGGTGGAGTTTTATTGTTGGTTGAATCTGATCTTCAGTTTCCTCATCTGTAAAATGAAGATAGTGTTCATCTTACTGGATTATAACATGGCCTAGGACCAGGCACTTAGTAGGTACTCAGTAAGTTGTAGCTTTCGTGATTTATCTGCTTCTCTATGCAGATGAGACTCTGAGACAATCTTGCCTCCATTACCAATGCCTTTGGGACCTCCAAATGCAATTACCACGAGGCCCTTTGTCTCAGGACTTGGTATGGAAGCAGCTTCGAGGTCTGTGATGCCTTCGCTTAACAGCATGCTTCCAAGTCCTGCTATTTGGATTTGATTTTTTAAAGTACTTCCTTTATTTTAATTCAGACCCCAGGGACCTGGAGAGTACACCGCTGCTTTTTCCCAATAAAAATCAGACCAGCAATAAGTATATTGCATCTGAAATGGTGAAGCTGGGCGCGCCTTCAAAGGGCACGCATTAGGACTTGGCTCACTCCCAGCCTGGGTTAGAGCATCAATTTCCCTGGAGGAAATGGGAAGTCCTGCCACAGTCTTGCAGGCTGGTCGGCTGTAAGAAAACTTGGCTTTAACCAACTGCTTTATGACGGGGCCAGTGAGGCACTAAGAGGAGAAAGAAATTGTCTGAGTTACACAGCGTATGAGTGGCAAATTGGGACTTAACGCCCTACAACTTATACCTCATCTTGGAAATCTGAACAAGAAGGAATTATCCAAGAGGGTCAGCCCTCTTGGTCTCCCGCGCCTGGCTGTAAGAGAGCTCCTCTTTGCTAAACAGGACTTAGTTATCAGAGGCATTTTCATTCCTGGGGAGGACAATTTCAAGACTGATAATCTTACAAAAACAATTTCAGTAGTTAAAAATTTTTTTAAATATGTATCACTCACTAGATGCCAGGCATCATTTTAACTGTTTAACACATCTTCATTCATTAATTTTCTCAGCCCTATGAGATAAATCCTATTATCCCTGGTTTTAGGAGTATATTAGAAAAACAGAGGCACAAGGGGATGAAGTGATTTGCCCAAATTCCCATAACTAGGAAGCAACAGATCTGAGATTTGAACCCAGGTAGTCTGACTCGGGTCTGTAACCTTAAATGCCACAGCCCCCTGGGACTAGCATGAGTAGCTAACGCAAGGTCAGGCTACAATGGCCTGTGCAGCTCTCTACCTGTGCCCGGAGCTGTCTTTTCTAGAAGCTGCAAGGACAAAAATTGTGAAAGACCCTCCATTCTGAAACAGTACAAGGGCCAAATAACCTGAGAGGAAAGAAGTTGTTTGTTTGTCAATGGTACCCTCCTGTTTGAGAGCAGGGTGGTGGCTCCTGACCCATTCATCAAACAGACATTTTCTTTCTTTTCTTTTCTTTGTTTTTTTTTTCAAATGGAGTCTCATTCTGTCACCCAGGCTGGAGTGCAGTGGTGCAGTCTCGGCTCACTGCAACCTCCACTTTCCAGGTTCAAGAGAGTCTCCTGCTTCAGTCTTCCGAGTAGCTGGGATTACAGGCGTGTACCACCACACCCGGCTAATCTTTGTATTTTTAGTAGAGACAGGGCTTCACCATGTTGGCCAGGCCAGGCTGGTCTCAAACTCCTAACCTCAAGTGATCCACCTGCCTCGGCCTCCTAAAGTGCTGGGATTACAGGCAGAAGCCACCACACCCGGCCAAACACGTATTTTCTAAAGACCATGCCAGGCACATGGCTGGGCTCTGAGGACTCAAAGATGCACACAATCTCTGCCCTAAAATAGGTAACAACCTAAGAACCAAAAGGTTGGTAATGACCCTTTTGAAGCTCTTGCTGTGGGTCAAACATGGTGTTCAGGGCTTCCTACACACAACATCATTGTCTCCTCCTATTGAGCCTGACATTTGCTATGGTTTGAATGTCGCCTCCAAAACTCAGGTTGAAATGTAATTGCCATTATTATGATGTTCAGAGGTAGGACCTTTAAGAGATTAGGTCATGAGGGCTTTGCCATCATGAATGGACTAATGCCGTTATCGAGGGAGTGGGCCAGTTATCTCAGGAGTCCAGCCCCTTTTTCTCTCCCGAGCATGCTCTCTTGCCATATGATGCCTTCTGCCATGTTATGGTGCAGCAAGAAGGCAGATGTGGCCCCTCAATCTTGGACTTCTCAGCCACCAGAACTGTGAACCAAATAAATTATATTCTTTGTAAATAATCCAGTCTCTGGTGTTCTGTTATAGCAGCAGAAAATGGATCAAGGCAATATTAACACCCCTTTTTGTAACTGAAGTCAAAGTGGGTGAAACTAGGATTTAAACCTAGGTTTGCCTGACTCCAAAGCTTTTATTCTCAACCACAAAATCATACCCAGTTCCCACCCCAGGGAGTAGAAATCAGCTAAGTGGATATTGTAGTTACTACCCCAACATCCAGCCCACCCATCCTCTATTGTAAAATAGCCTGTGATGTGGCTGGGAGAGTTCTTGGTCTAAATGAATCTAGAATATGTCATTCCCTTCCATGGTGATTGGTTCATAAACCAGATTTAAGCCAGTTAGTATATGGCATGAACACATGCACATGAGTTGATCTGGAGTAATCTAATCAGAGAGAAGCTCTGGCCTATCTTCTGATCATTGCAGGAAGGGTTATTGTTTCTTTCATTGTAAATGTGCGTGGTAAGCACGAAGCCCCAGTTGCTGTTGGCCACCATCTTGCAACCAATTAGAAAGCCAGATTGAGGACGGAGCCAGCTCTTAGAAGAGTACAGAGGGGAGACCAGAGCTAAGAAACAGAGGCAGAGCCCTGAAAACAATGCCTGAAGCTTACATGACCTACTTCTCAATTTATTTATGTGAGTCAAGGTGTCCTCTTTGATGTTTAAGTCAGTTTACTTACTTGCAAATGAGAACATCCTAACTAATATATAAGGTGTTTGGGAGAGATTGAGATTTATGAAGTTCACAGTCATCATCCTAAACTTCTCATCTATTTGCCAAGTAAATACAACAAAACTGCCAGATAATTCATAAGTGAAAAAATGTACAGATTTGGCTGATAAAATTCTTTAAAAGAATTTTAATTCTCCAAAACACAATATAAATGTAACTAAAGAACATGCAACAAACTACAAAACATATTTGCTGCCCATTTGACAATTAAGAAGTATATCTCCATGAATTTGTATAAACTAATAAGAAAAAGAAGAGCACCTCTATAGAAAAGAAATGAGCTAGGACATGAGCATTTCTTGAACTGGAAGAAAGAGAAATGAATAAATAAAAGTGTATTCCAACAGTGTGATATCTCAATGTTTCCCTGTTATATGAGAAAGGAGTAGAAGAAATGATAATACTCACAGTTGGAGAGAATGTATAAAAACTCACACTCTCATGCCCTTTGGATTGGGTGTAAATCTGTACCACTTCTCTGGGGGACAATCTAGCAATAGGTATAACAATTTTAAAAATATGCATACAGGGGTGGGGCATGGTGGCTCATGCCTATAATACCAGCACTTTGGGAGGCCAAGGCAGGCGGATCACCTGAGGTCAGCAGTTGGAGACCTGCTTGGCCAAAATGGTGAAACCCCGTCTCTGCTAAAAGTGCAGAAATTAGCCGGGCGTGGTGGTGGGTGCCTGTAATCTCAGCTACTTAGGAGGCTGAGGCAGGAGAACTGCTTGAACCTGGGAGGCGGAAGTCACAGTGAGTAAGTCGCAGTGAGTCGAGATGGCAACACTGCACTCCAGGCTGGGTGACAAGAGCGAAACTCCATCTCAAAAAATAAAAAATAAAAATAAAAATATACATACCATTAGAATCACCTACTTCTCTTGAAATTTCATCTAAGGAAATAATACAAATAGTATGCAAAACTTATGTATTTGAAGATATTCATTGCATTTTTTTGGTAATAATGAAAATTAGAAAACATAAAAATATTTTACAGTAGGGGAATTGGTAAAATAAATTGTGGCCATCTCATATAATGAAGTTCCATGCTGCTACTTTAAAAGACAATATAGATATATAAAAAATGAATGATATACTGCTTAGTTATAAAAGCAGGTTGCAAAACAAATATATACAGGTTGAGTATCCCAATGCAAAAATACAAAATTTGAAATACTCTAAAACCTGAAACTGTTTGAGCACTGAGAGATGCCACAAATGGAAAATTTCACACCCAATCTCATGTGATGGGTCATAGTCAAAATGCATTGTCTCATACACAAAATTATTAAAAATATTGCATAAAATTACCTTCAGGCTATGTGTGTAAGGTGTATATGAAACATAAATGAATTTTGTGTTTAGACTTAGGTCCCCTACCCAAGATATCTCATGTACATGTAAATATTCCAAAATCTGAAAAAATCTGAAATCTGAAACCTTTCTGGTCCTAAGCATCTCCAACAAGGGACACTCAACCTGTATTTATTGTATGTTTTATATATATATATAATGTGAATGTATGTTATACATATATAATATTAATATTATGTATAAATTAATTAATATATAATTAATTAATATAATTAATATATAATATATAATGTTAATGTACATTATACATATATAATATTAATGTATGTTATATATATAAATGATAAAAAATATTTTATCTCTGTTTAAAATTGGAAGCATCTAAAAACAGAAAGCATTATTCTAAAAGTGTTTTTTACAATTTAAAAAAACCTACTCCTGTAATAATGAATGAACAGGTTACTGCGGTGTGTGGAAACCCGTGCTGGTGTGATCTGTAGCCTGGAAGTATCAGGCTTGCTGAACAGGGTGGGGCTGATCCCCACAGAGGATGGGAAATGACCCTATCAGAGGCCATGTCATGTTGTGAGACACTTGTCTCATGGGAGGAAGGTCACTCGCCACCCTGCTGAACGAGCTTCAGGTGCCCAGAGCAAAAGGGAATCTGGAAGGAAAAGTGCAGCAAGAGTGAGGAGTGTTAGCTCTGAAGCTTTTCAAAAGAGCTGCAGTTTCTCAAAAGTTGTTACACTAAATCCTAATGACAAATGATTTTTGTCATAACTCCATCCATAGATCAGAAAAGATTTCCTGATAAATATAAATGTAATATACATTTTTATAATTACATAATACTTTTAAGATATTTTGCTAATTCTCAGTGTGAAAATTCATAAAGAAAATGCCATATTGTGTTTGCATCACTGAATGGATAGGTTTTATGTAAGTTTATTTTTTTCCATTTTCTGGTAAAAAGCGACATTTTTGACAAATACAATATGATGCCATTTGTAATGTATACATCAATAGATTCACAGGACATATTTACATTAAATTTTTTTACCTTTTATGGTTTCTTACCACATACTACATATCATAGCTTCCATTTTAATGTAATTTTCCATCATTGTATTCCTTTGAAGTTAAAAATCTAAATCTCAGAAATATTGTTAATGTAAAATAAGTCAGAATTTAGACCTTCTAGGTATCTGATCTGTGTGTGTGTGTGTGTGTGTGTGTGTGTGTGTGTGTGTGCTCATGCATGTCAAAATATTAGCAATGGCTGTCCGTGGGTGGTTGGATTATGGGTAATTTACATTATTATTTTTTTCTTTTTTTGACTTGCCAGCATTTTCTAATATTTTTTATGCTGTTAATACTAGGAGTAAAAATTCAGGTTAACATACTCAGATATTTATGAAATGTTACTTTCTTTATCTTTTTCCTGTGAGTTTAACTCCTGCTTCTAGCTGCTCTTCCTCTTTGTGGCAGAAAATCTTATTCAAATCAGAGTCTCCACTCTCATTTTCCCAGGTTCTCTCAGGGCTTACAAAGTACTAAGCCACGAGAGGGCAAGAGTCCTCTGCTTTACCCACACTGGTCACTGCTACACAACCCTTGCCTAGACCACACTCCCCTCCAGGACTGGCTCCCTGCAGTGTCTTCCACGATGCCCTACTGGACAAGGGAGATCTCCGCAAGGGTCTCTCAGGCCCCCTCGCCTGTCTCCCCGGGCCGCCACTTCTAGTCAACTGCTCCCTTCATGCAGGAAAATTCTGTAAGATTTGCCTCCTCCCAGGCTCTGCTCAGAAGCAAGGCAAGAATCCTCTCTGTTCTTGAATCTCTCAATCTGAAATTGTTGTTACCTCCACCACTCCTAGCACTCAGTCTGTGTGGGACGAAGGGCAGGGCACCAAGTTCCTTCCACCCCTAGGTCACTTAGCACTTTTGCTTTTTCTCTGTTGCACTCCCCCTTTGTCCCCGAACTGCTTTCATCCAGCAAATTTTATGTAGTCCCAGAGGAGTGTGTGTGCAGGGATTTAAAAAAAAAAAAAAAGAAACTGGCTCTAAACAATCATGTACGCTTCTAAATCTTTTGTTTGTTTCTGTAAGTGAAACCTCAAGAATTCGACTTATCTGTTCTCCAATTATTATGTCACATGTCCAATTACGTACACATTTAGTTAATTTAAACAAATAAGTAAATTAAAACAGAAAACAGCAAAGTTCGTTCTTGCTCTCCTTTTATCTTGCACGATTATTGTGAGACTCAAGTAAATAACAAATGTGAGCGATAATTCAATACTGCTCTGCTAATGTATCAGGTAGTATTCTTGGTGCTTTGCCTGTATTAATTTTGCAAATCCTCAAAATAACCCTTAAAGTAGGTACTATTATTATTCTTACTTTGTAGATGGATAAACTTTGTAGATGAGCTGAATAGAGATTATGTAATCTGCCCAAGGTCACCCTGCTTACTAGTACCAGAGCCAGGATTCAAATCCAGGAGTTGGGCTTCAGGGTCCGTACATCTCCAGATTGATAAACTTAAGCTGTTTATGATGCTATGTGCTAATGCGAGGTGAAGCATATTTCCAAAGGTCACCCAGCTAATTTAACAGGTTCAAACCTGGGACTAGATGCCAGTTCTTCCACTTCCAAGTCCATCTTTTTCTTTTGCATTTCTGATTTTTGAGATTGACAGAGCTGATGATTTTGCAAACCAAGGCCAAGGTAAAACTCCCCATCACTTCCACACAGGATGTCTGGGACAGCTTTGCTCTGATTTGTGAGTGTAATCCATACTGGGACTGTCATTGCTTAAGATTCTTAATAGACACGATTGTCAGGTCCAGCTCTCAGGTTCAAAAAGAAAAACTGTTCAAGAACAAGACAGGGAAGGAGAGACTTAGCAGCTACAGCCAATGGGAAAATTCTCAGCAGAGATTTTTCACGGTCATGGAGCTGAGAATGAGTCAGCATTCTAGGTGGGGGTTCTCAGATGCTCCTGGGCTATATTGACACATGTTTCCTGGTGTCTTAAACAGGGATGTGAGGGTCCTGCTCTCATCTGTCACTGGAGCCTAGGCTCATTTTGGGACTCTATACTTCAAGGACGGCACAACCAGCTACAGCCCCTGAGACGGGCTGCAAGTTTGGTGGAAGAGGGTTGGAAGCTGTGTCAAAGGAAGAAGAAAGAAGGATCTGAACTGGGGCTCTTATGGATGGAAAAGCACACAGTTGAGGGACATGATTGCTGTTTCCAAAACTCTGAAGGGCTGTCACAGGAAAGAGTGAGAAGACTTGGACCGTGAGGCCTAAAAGCGCAAACCTAGAGTCAAGAAGTGGAAGGGAGAGTGAGAGTGAGAATGGGAATTCAGAGGCAGAACTCAAATAAGGCGCTTAGGAGCACAAGCTTTGGAGTTAGACAACTTAGATTTGGATCTCCACTTAGCTGTTCCTTAGCCCCTCTGGAAGCATCAGCTTCCTTGTCTGAGGAACAGGAATAATAGCACACCTGCCTCAGAGAGTTCTTGGGAGCATTGACTGAGACAAGCCAGGTAAGGTGCTGAGAACTGAACATATGGAAGTGCCTTATAAATGGTCTTTGTAATAATTATTATTATCAGAGTGTTACTGTTACTTTTATTGCCAGAGCTGTTTAGCAATAGGTTGTGTGCAGATGGTAGCAAGCACCCCTACTCCTACAGATCCGTGTAAGCAGGGGTTCCAAGACTCAGCACTCAGTGAAGATATGGTGAAGTAGATTCAAGCCTTGAGGTGCAAGAAGGACTAAAGAATCTCCAATTATTTGGAATGGAGATTCTATGAATTCTGCCACGAGCCAGAAGTGCCCTTCAGAGGAACATCCCCTTCCCATTTCTGGAGTCTGGGGAGCAACATCATGTGCCTGATGCTCCTGTTTCCAATGAGAGTTACCAAGCCAATCGTTGGGAATAGCCTGGCCTTTGTCCAGCACAGATGAGCAGAGACTGCTCATTTCTTGGCAGTGACCACCAAAGGTGATGAGAACAAAGCACTCAGTGAGGGCCATAGCTCTGCCCACATGAGGTGTGACAATGAGCCAATAAACACCTCTGGGGTGCACTGAAGCAAATGCAGACCGTGAGTATCGAGCAAAATAAACTGGCTGCTGAAGGCCCTGCTGGCAGGGGTTCCCTGTGTTCCATGCATATCTGTGGAAAGCTCAGGGCTTAGCCCAAGTCTAAAGTTGAAGGGGCTCCTGGTAGCAACCTGGAGGAGGGTGGATTAACAAGGGGATGGGTTGGGGTGGGTGAGGGCATGTGCACCCTGAGTGGAGGGGGTTATGGAGGACCATGTTTTCTGGACCAGGCTTGCAGATGTGTACCCAGCCAGCCCTCATCCATGCAGGTCTGAGTCCTAGAGATGTGAGCAGTAGAAAGAAGCTATAATGTGGTTTGCAGAGAGGATATCAGTGAGACATGGGAGTTCGGGGCAGCCTTCTTAGGGCTCATCACAAAGTGCAGCTGCCTGCACGTGGACTTGTGCCATGTGCCTGTGGAAGGAAAATATTCTCCCCACTTCATCAGGACAACTTACGCATGGGTATGAGGGTGGCCAAGGACAATTTCAGGACCATCAACAGGATACTGCACCTATGGTGACAAGCAAACCTGCAGCAATATTGCTTTGCTCATTAATGAATTAGCTAGTTAATTAATTTGATATGGTTTGGCTGTGTCTCCACTCAAATCTCATCTTGAATTGTAGTTTCCGTAATCCCCACATATTGTAGGAGGGACCCAGTGGGAGGTAATTCAGTCATGGAAGTTGTTACCCTGTGCTGCTTTTCTTGTGATAGTGAGTTCTCACAAGATCTGATGGTTTTATAAGGGCTTTTCCCCCTTTTTCTCAGCACTTTCCTTCCTGCCAACGTGTGAAGAAGGACGTATTTGCTTCCCCATCCACCATGATTGTAAGTTTCCTAAGGCCTCCCAGCCCTGCAGAACTGTGAGTCAATTAAACCTCTTTCCTTTATAAATTACCCAGTATCTGGCAGTTCTTTATAGGAGCATGAGAATAAACTAATACATAATTAGGTGATATTTTACTGATTACCTAGTGTGATGGTGAATTTTATGTGTCAACTTGACTGGCCTGCAGGATGCCTAGACCTTTGGTCAAACATTATTCTGGGTGTGTGTGTGTGTGTGTGTGTGTGTGTGTGTGTGTGTGTGTGTGTTTCTAGGTGAAATTAACATTTCAATTGATAGACTGAGTAAAGCAGACTGCCCTCCCTAATGTGAGTGGGCCTCATCCAGTTAGTTGAAAATGTACATAGAACAAAGAGGTTGGGTAAGAGAGAACTTCTGCTACCTGACTGCATGAGCTGGAACACTGGTGGTCTCCTGCCCTTGGACTGGAACTTACACCGTCAGCTCTCCTGGTTCTCAGGCCTTTAGACTCAAACTGGAACTACACCACTGGCACTCCTGGGTCTCCAGCTTGCCAACTGCTCATCCTGGGACTTCTAAGTATCCATAATTGTGTGAGCTCATTCAGTATAATACATCTCTTTATATGCGTGTGTGTGTACATATATGTGTGTGTGTGTGTCTTCTATTCATTCTGTTTCTCTAGTGAACCCTGACTAAATAGTCCTATCATGTGCCAGATGCTCTGTTCTGTGTGCAAACAGTTTCAATCAACAGCCCCTTTAGCAGTGGACATCAGAGAAAAAAGAAATAGGTGGACACCACATCAAAGTGACGAAGTTGTTCTTGAATACATGTAAGGCTTTCAGAAATAATTTGAGGAATGAAGATGATCAAGAGACTGAGGATCCTAAATAAGATGCAAAGGCCAGAGGCAGTAAAAGACAGGTTAATTACTCTTAATGGGAATGCATTTAAAACCCCAGGATGCTGAGGGTTGGAGAAGTGTGTGTGTGTGTGTGTGTGTGTGTATGTGTGTGTGTGTGTGTGTATCTGTCGTCTGCAGTTGGGAACTGAACCCAGACAACTAGATGCCAGATCCTATTCACAAACATCAACACTACATACCACCTTTAAGAAAAGTGAAGACCACAGGCTTGGATTTTCAGCAAAGGATGAGAAAATGTGTTGTCATGTACTGTTTGTATATGCATGTCTTTCATATGTGCACAGAATGTGTATAGGTACATTCACACAAACACAGACACACAGAGAGTTTTTAGGTTTCTTCAGGAATTGAGTCTTTGATCAAAACAGAGTCCCAGGCTTCAGGCCTGGTGAATCCTGAGTTTACTGTGACCCATCAGAGAGAGCCCATGTGGGGAGAGTGCTGTCCTGGGTGCCAATCACGCCTCTGCAGGCAAGATGAGTGCAGGGCTCCCCAGCCAAGGTGTGTGTAGGGTTTCTTCCTGTTTGATAAGGATGCCTTGTTCTCATTGGGTCCCCTGGAATAGACCTGAACTCAGGGCCACACTTGCATGGACAGAAAGCGCAGGCATCAGGGCCTGCTGGTGTGGGGAGTCTCCGTGGCCCCCAGGGCGCACAACCATTGCAAAGGCTGCTGCCTTTATCTCTTGCCAAATCTCTGAAGCTCCTGAGTCAGGAATTCTCAGGCCTTTTCATGCTCTGTCCATTGTTTTGACCTGCCTTCCTGGGCCAATTGTGGACTTTATTTATCCTACAAACACTCTCAGTGGACCTATCACAGACCAAGGACTTGTATTTGGCATGAAGAATTCAGACATAAACAAGACATGGACCTTTTCATAGAGCCCTGGAAATCTGTCCACTTTTTTAAATCATAAGAAAGCAGGAAGGCAGAGGACTGGGGAATTCAACACTAACCTTCATCCATTCATAGGCAACTGATTATTTCCTGAAGTTGGATTTTTGGAGTGATCATTAATTTTACCTTGTTCTGCCCTCCTATAAGTAAGTTTGGAACCAACCAAGAAATAAAGCAGAGGACATAGATAGAAATCAAAATATCAAGATATCATCTCTGAAGGTGATTTGAAGAGCATGGCTTTAGATCTTATGGCCACAGTGGGCTTCCCAGCACTTCACTTCAGGTTCCAATTTACCCATCCAGTAAATGGGCTGACCACAGTGTGCCTGTTTCCAGGGCAGGGCTTGTCCTGGAAAACTTGCCACATGATACTTGGTCCTGAATGCATCCTTCCTGAAGGTGGGTCCCAGAAAACCCAGAAAAGGCTGAGCTGAGCATGCCTGTTGTGATGTATCTGAAACAGGCCCATCAGATACATCACTCCTCCTCTGGGGACTAGTTCGTGAAGCTGCATGAATACCGGAGTGTCACTTCTGCTGCCATCTCTTCCCTTAAGAACATGGGGCACAGGAGAAGGAGATTCCTCCCAACACCTGATATGTGTACCCATGTTTTAGGTTGCTGGTAATAAGAAAATAAACTTAGGATGCACAGGCTTCTGGTTGCCATGGAGACCACAACAGAAAGAGCACTGGACCTGGTGTCCAGATGTCTTAAGTTTAAATCCTGACTTTGTCACTTACTAACCAGGCCACCTTGAGCAAATCATCTTAGCTCTCCAGGACTCAGGTCTGTCCTCTGAGAAATACCGATACTGATGCTGAGTCTGTGGCAGAGGGTTATCAGAGGACAAAATTTGAGCTTGGATATGGACAGGAGGGATTGTGCTTATTGTTATTTCTGATGTCGCCTGGCCTCGGTGTTCTTGTCCCTGAGGGGAAAAATACAGTGTATGAGCCTGCCTTATAGTCAAACCTAACCTGGATCTCATCTTGAGGCTCAGACATTGTGGAACTACTTTAATAAAGGAGGTAACTTCTAACCACAAGACCTGTTGGAACTCCTATGTTTCAGAAGGTTCATCATGAGCCTGTCCAAGACCAGTTCAGAGAACTGGACACTGAAGATTCTCCATCTTTCCAACAACCTCTAAGTCCTTGAGTAGCTCAGGGGAGATTTTGCATCATACTAATGTACTTTCTCTGTCTTCTGGTCAGCTATACCACACTATACTACATTATACAGACGCACAAACACACACACACACACACACACACACCAGAGAATCCATCTCAACTCTAATGGCTTAGTTGTTTTTCAAGTAGAGAGAGAATTTATAAACAACTCCTCAGAAGTTAAAGGAGAGAAAGAAAAAAATCTTGTATCCTGCTCAGAATGGATTAAAAAAAAAAAACTCTAAGAGTCAAGCTTTCTCTTCCCCTGAGATACGATTATGATTTTTCTCTTCTTTTCTCTCAACAGTTTCAAGTGCATTAAATTCCCAGTGTGGAGCTCGTTGGTGCTGCGTGCTTCTGTCCGGTTCTCCTTCCAGGCACAGAATGGGCTGCATTTCCTGGCTCCTTGTGGCTGGATGCAGCTGGGTGACTAGTTCTGGTCAATGAGTTGTCAGCAGAGGCAACACATGTTGCCTCTAGGCCAGAGCATTTAACTGTTTAGCTGCCATTGTGAGTCCTCCAGAGTGCACACTCTCTCCTCCGGTGTTGTGGCTGCGAGGTTCAAGATGGTAGCTGCTATACCAGCAGACCATGTCTCTCATAGAGAGGCAAAGGGCACAGCCTCCCGCTGACCCATGAGCAATATGTACTTGAGCAAGAAAGCAACCTTCACTGTCGTAACATGTTAGAATTAGAGAGTTGTTTGTAATTGCAGCTTAACCTAGCCTATCTTGTCTGATATGCCCATAATAAATGAAAAAATACATATTCAGACCAAGTGTCCTGACATTGTTTATAGGTCCTAGAGAATCCAACTTGGCCATAAATGGCACCAATTTGTGGGAGACTGAAAATAACAAGTTCTGCAGTGTCTACTTTCATGGCCTGGTTTAAAGAGAAGAACATGCTTCCCAGAGAACGGGTTTAGCCTTTGCATTAAACATCAGGCTGCTTCCTCTACCGCATGGCAGGTTTTCATCTCCTCTGAATAATTTTTTAGCAACTTGAGAAACTGCAATCCAAACATATAGTATTTTTGGCTGGAAATTAAAACACGTCACTTTTAAAACATAAGCAGCATGCCCTGAATGTTTATGGTAAAAAGCTCACTCCTGGCCAGACTGCAAAGCTCACATTACCGAGAGGCAAACCCTGGAACATGCTAGCAGTTTGCATCCCAGTTCGTCCTTCCTACACAGTGCAATGACTGTGAATCATGTCTCCTCTGGCACATGAACTCCCAGGCTTTCTGACTCCTTCCATATCAAAGAGCGACTGGCTAGAATTTCCCCTTGCTGTAAAGGGACAGCCATAGAAATGAGAAGACAGGTTTCTGTCCACCATACTGCCCTTGTGATAAGCCAAAGATATCCATTCAAATCAAATTTCCAATGACACTGCACTGAAGGTGCTGGCCATGAAGCCCTCTGTTGAGGGGAGTCACCTTTTGGCTCCGTGCACACATTTATTTATTTCATTTATTCATATGTTCATTTGTTAATGCCTACAAGGAGGAAGTATCAGTGAAAGATGTTGTGAGGGACCCAAAGACAAAGATAATCTTTGACTCTTAGAGGCCTGCAGCTTAACATTTGAAGCATTTGGTAATACAGGTCAAAAGAGAGACACAACATATTCTGAGAATTTAGATGAAGGAGATGCAGCAGGGAGTTCATGAAAGAAAAGGGCATGAAATGAACAATTTTGACTGCATATTATCTACCTTATTTTATTCCATTTCTACCATACTTTCATGAGGTGGTAATTTATATATTAGGTGAAGAAACTAAGCCTCAAATATTAAGGTCAGAAAACTGTTAGTTGGAAGAGTTATATTTCACACACAGGCTAGTCTGATCCCAAAACCGATGTCAAGTAACTTCACCTCTCTGAGCCACGACTTACCCATCTATAAAATGGAAATCGAATAAAAGTACTGATCTCACAGAGTTGTTTTGAGGATGAAATGGGATAACCTATGAAAATTAAGTTCTTTGTCTGGCACACGGTAAGCACCCAGTAAGTGTTTGTCAGGATATTCTTATTGTGCACCTGCTGTATTGGAAACCCTTACTCAGTACTTCATAAAATTATTCTTATCATCTTCCCTTTAAGGATAAGGAGAGTGAATCTTAGGTAAATTAAGGAACTTGTCCAAGGTCACCTAACTGGTAAATAAGAGTGCTGAAAGTAGGACTGAGGTCTGCCTGATTTGGAACATCAATGCCCTTTCCGTCATGCCAAGGTGTCTTCCAAGGCCAATTCAGAAGACTAAAAGCCTCCCAGGAGTGAATGAATAGTGTTCATCAATGCATTACATATTATACAGTGCTCATGAGTGGAGGCTTTGCATTGCCCAGGTAGCTTCACATTTTAGTAATCCTATGACCTTGAGCAAGCTATTTAACCTCTCTGAGCTCCTCATAAGGCTGATGTGAGGACTAAACAAGATAATGCATATGAAGCGTTTAGCAAGATGCCTGGCACATAGACAGATCTCAATGAATGTGAATGTTGATGATAACAGTGATGATGATGATGATGATGTTGATGGTGATGTTGATGATGGTGGTGATGATGATGACAATGGCTCTGGCATCACTGACCTCGCCTGTGTGATAGTGCACCCATGGAAGCTGTCACTAAAGAGAGGGAGAGGTAGTTGCTCCAAGATTATTGCCTTGGCCAGCACACACTTCTGGTTAATCAAAGAATGTTCAGGATGCAACAAGTTAAGGAACTATGGAGAATTGTGATCCCTAACAGAATTAGTGCACTAAGAAAATGTATTCTCAAGACATTTACTCTTTATGTGACTTTTTCAAATGTTGGTTGGCGATGAAGCCAGAATTCTCTTATCAAAATGAAATCTGTAGAATACAATTTTCAGCTCAAACAATGTGGTTTATACAAAGTGCCACCCTTGCAAGTCAGATGAGGAAATATAAAACTGTTCAAGAATGGATATATTGTTTGCACACAAAAGGCCCTGTGAATCCATGTTTCATGCCAGGCCTCATTTGGCATCTTCAGTAAAGGGGAAAAACTCTCTCTTCTCCAGAGGAAACCCCAACGGAGACCTCAGCACCATATTAGCTGAATCCTGTGCTCCTTGCAAAATGTCAAAAGACCACACAAAGTGCCAGAAGTCCTACCTCTTTGCTCGGTGGGACTCCAGGTTCCTGGAAGGCAGAAACCTAGCATTTATCACCATTGGTCCTTTTTGTTAGACTGAGATGACTCTGGACTACTTCCCTCAGTGGTGGATTCCATGCTACAGAAATCCATTGAGAGCCCACTAAATGCTGCTCTAGGCACCATGAGGAGTACACAGGTGAGTTAAGATTCAGCCTTGACCTCAATGTGCTTGCCATCTAATAGTGTGGGGAAAAGGCAAGTCCGTGAAGGCAAGGCAAATTTTTACTGTCACAAGATAATCATCTATGCAGCCAACAGTCTTTCATCATTTCTTCACAGTGTGCCTGCTGTGTCAGGCTCAGTGCTAAGCTTGGAGGAGGGAAAAGCAAGAAGGCACATTTCCTGGCCTTAGGAGGATCAGAGTCCAAGTGCTTTAGGAACTCAGCTGAATGAGAGACAGCATCTAATTGGGAACCAGAAAAGAGTTCTGGGAGGTCTTAGAAGACTGGTAAAATTCAACACATGGACATGGGGGACCATCCAAGGACCAGGACCCAAAGTCACAAGTCAAGGTCTGATGGGTGGGTTGTAATCATTGACTGCTCCATGGGTTTGTTACCTACCACTGAGCCTGTAGCCACTGCAGACCACTGTGGACATCTGGGGGCTGATCAGCATTCAGTGCTCCCGTCCCTTTAACTCCTTTGTTTCCCATGAGAATTCTCCCTTGTATGAAGACTTGATTGGGAAAAGGACAAAGCTCCCTCCAAGGATGTAGAATGGGCTTCATCCTCCCTTTCCCTGCTCAGGCTCCGCCCCTCTGGAAAGGCCTTTCTGAGGAAGTAGCATTTGAAGGATTTCAACCAAGTTGAGAACAGGAAGAAGAGTCTTCCAGGGTGAAGAAACAGCAGGTCAAATGCCCTGAGGCATGAATGGGTTTGGCGAGTTCAAGGAACCCAGAGTATAGGATGAACAGTAGAGGTGACAGTAGACAGAGAGCGGAGATGGGCTGGGACCAGATCCTGTAAGCTTGGAGGCTATTGCAAGGGATTTGGAGTTTATTCTTAAGCTGCTAGAGGGCTGGAAGCAGAGGGGCAGTGGGGTACTCTAATTTTTAAAATATTCTTCCTGCTGCTGAGTAGAGAATGGACTGTGGAGAGGCAAGACAGGAAGGAGAGAAACCAGCTAGGGCTATTGCTGTGGCCTGGGGATGAGACGGTAACAGCCATCAGTGACACTGGAGAGAAGGAGATAGACTTGGAATATAATTTGCAAGGTTAACTTCCACTGGACGTGTGTTCTGATGTCACAGGCAAGGAAAAGAAGAATCCAGGGTGACTCCTGGGTTTGCAGGTTGCACAGCTGATAGTGCTACTTAATGAGTAATAGTGGGCAAAAGATAAAGCTATTACTGGGGACATCACAAGGAAGGCCATGTTTTGCTAGGAAAAAAACCCAGTGTTTTGTTCTGAGCATTTAAGGTACCCAGGTAGAGACATTAAGCAGAGAGTTTTGATATGATTCTGGCATTGGGTGTACAGGAAATGGTTATAGATACAAATGTTGATGTGCTTAGCACACAGATGGGATGTACAGCCAAGGAATGGATTGAGGTCACCTAAGGAGGGAAATAGAGTAAGAAGGTCCAAGGACTGAGCCTCAGGGTGTTCCAACAAGCCCTTTAGAACAAGAAAAATCTGAAATGTGCCTGCTCCCTTCACACTTGCATGCCCCACTGCATCAGGATAAACTGCAGAGGGAAAAGCCGAACCTGTTAAGACCATTTTTAACCTCATTTGAATACTGTATGTACATAATTAAAAACATTTGGCCCCAAAGATTAATAACTCCTTTACATCTTCCTTTGACAGTCGCACTGATTTGTCGGGCGGGGCGGGTGGGGTGGGTGCTTTCTGAGTTGATTAACACCTCCACGTTGCTTTGAGAAAAGTGTGGGGCGGCGACAGAAAATGCCACATTGCAGATGCCTGACTTGGGGATGGGACTCTGACTTCACGCCTCCCGATAGAGGCAGAGACTCACTTCTGACGGAGGGAAAGTATTACAAAAATATATATGTAACACATATTCTATTCCTGATTTAGGTCTATAATCTTATGAGCCAGACTGTAATGAATAAAGTTATAATTAGCTGTAGATGAAGAACACGCAGCCGTGTTTTCTAGGGTGCACTTTAGGGCTCCAGTCCAATCTGCACATTTACAAGCTGTGCTATTTGCATTGACTTCCACAGACTCCACTCCGAGACAGAAGAGGCTGCATTATTGATTACAGCGTGTGCATCCTGCTTAGCTCTCTACTACACCCTGTGGGGTGTGGAAATGCAGGAGGAGGGAACAGCCAGGAAATCCGGAAAACACTACCCCATCCTCACAGAATAGTTCTCCAAATAGCAGCATCAACGTTTAATCTACGCCAGAAAACCTCTGGCATTTCCCCCCAATGAGATCTACCAGCTTGGACTAAATGGATGTAAATTAACTGTATGAGTGACTGAGACATGAGCTGTGTGACCTTAGGCAAGTCACTTCCCCTCTCTGGGCCCTGGGTTTCTATCTTTGAAATGAGAAGTTGGGCTTGAATATCTCCAAGGGCCTTTCCAGCTTCAGCATTGGAGGATATTTGATTCTATCAAGAGACAATCATATCAGATGGTCACTGGACAAGCTCCTGCAGGACCAAGGCTTACCCCAAGCTGCCGAGGAGCCTAGCCCCCCATACACCTTCTCCATGTGTTTGATGTGGTATGAAGTAGCATACTGGTAAATGTTTAACAACTGGCTCTCCAGTGGAAAAGCTCTGATTTATAGTGTTTTCCAATATCTGTGGTGTAAATACTCCCACTATGGTGAATGTCAACCTACCAACATGATGTCACTGAATACAGAGTCGGGAAAAGATGCACATAATTGGCTCTCAGGAGCTGGCACTCCTACCAACTGCAGTGCACCACTCATGGTTTGTGTTGGGAGTTAACTGGCAAGTGGCCCCCCGTCTCTTCTCCATTTCTCCTAGACAAAAGACTTTGAGCAGGAGTCAACACCATTTGTTGCAGGTAGCAGAGAGAGTGACTTTGATCCTCTGGCTAATTCCCCTGCTATGTGGTTCTTGAGGTGACTTTTGCCTCAGGGTTCTGTCTCATGAGCCAGACATCCATGGTCCAAATTCTGGTTCTGACACTTACCAGCTGTGTGGCCTTGGTCAAGTGACTTAACGTCTATGTAAAAGATGTAAAGTGGGAATCGTAAACATACCTAGCTCCTAGGTGTGTTCGTCAGCTCAGGCTGCCATAAACTGGGTGGCCTAGACACCTCAATTGTATTTGCTCACAGTTCTGGAAGCCGAAAGTCTGAGATCAAGGTGGCACCATGGCTGGGTTCTGGTTGAGGGCTACCTTCCTGGCTTGGACAGCCACCTTCTTTCTTGCTGTATCTTCATATGGCAGATCAGGGCTACACTGTTAGGACTTCCTTTAATCACTTTATTACGGACCCTACCTACAATACAGCAACATGGGGAGTTAAGGTTTCAACATATGAATTTTGGGGGACACAATTCAGTTAATAGCAATAGGGTTGTTACAAAGGTTGAGTTAATAAATGTAAGAAGCCTGCTACATGGTAAGCACTCAATAGACTTATTAGTTGTTGGTATTTTTTTTTCTAATATAATGTCCTATTTGAGTTTGACCCATGGAGTCAAAGATAAAAACAAACAAACTAAAATTTTTAAAAAGCAAAACTTTTGTAACTCTAAAATTCAATTTTCTTGCAAGAGCCAAGGGCCCACCCTGAGTCAACAAATGTCTGATCTGATGGTCAATTCAATCCAACTGTTGGTCTAGAAGCTCTGCGCTTGGATTTTGGATCTGAAGAGCAATATCTGGAAACCCATTAATTTTATCCCCTTTGGGTATCCATAGCTAGCTAGTAACTAGGCCAGCAGAGGAGCCAGGAGTATTTCCTGTTTCTCTTACCTGCAATTCCAAGATGTCCCACTCCCCAAACTGAAAGCCGGACTCCTGGTACCTACCAATCCTTCCAGCTTCTGGGTGAGCCCCTCCCCAGAAAACATCTGAGCCTGCTTCAACTTGTGGCTGCATTCCACCCCTGCCCTCCTGACCCTCCATAAATCTACATGTGCCTTAGTAAGGAATAAGGTGAGGAAAAGAGAAGGTTGGATAAGAGGAAAAGTGAAAAAGGAGGGAAGGGAGTGCCCATTTCTTGAGCACCTTCTGGTTGTCAGACATGATGCCACATGTTTTGTGTTCATCCCAATGCTGATAGAATCTGCCAGCAACCCTCAGAAGCATTCTACAGACAAGGACACTGACTCTGGGACTGTCACCAATGCACTGGTACACAGCAGGTGAAGGCAGAGGAGCTGGAATTAAAGCCCAGTTCCATGCAACTCCAAACTCCTTCAAGCCCAGTTCCACGCAACTCCAAACTCCTTCAACAAGTCCCTATTCTGCCTACAGTGCGCTAATAGAAATAAAAATATGATGTCCAGACATCTTGATTTGGCCAGAACAGTCTTGGCTTTTTTTTTTTTCTTTTCTTTTTTTTTTTTTTTTTGATATGGAGCCTCTCTGTGTCACCCAGGCTGGAGTGCAATGGCGTGGTCTTGGCTCACTGCAACCTCCGCCTCCTGGGTTCAAGAGATTCTCCTGCCTCAGCCTCTCCAGTAGTTGGGACTACAGGCACGTGCTACACCTGGCTAACTTTCGTATTTTTAGTAGAGATGGGGTTTCACTATGTTGGCCAGGCTGGTCTCGAACTCCTGACCTCATGATCTGCCCGCCTCAACCTCCCAAAGTGCTGGGATTACAGGCATGAGCCACTGCACCCAGCCTACAGTCCTGGCTTTTGACAACTGAGTCTAGTGGTGAGGTGACCCTGAAAGTTTTGTTCTAGATATTACCCACTACCCATTATTCACCAACATTCCTTGGAGGTGTAGCCAACTCAAAAACAAAAAAGACAAAACAGCCCAATTTGAAAATGGGGAAAAGACGTGAAAAGCCATTTCTCCAGAAAAGATATACAAATGGCCAAGAAGCACATGAAATGATGCTCAACATCATTAGTCATTAGGGAAATGCAAATCAAAACCACACTGAGATGCCACTTCACACCAACTAAGATGTCCATAAAAAATGGTAAATAGTAAGCGCTGATGAGGAAGTGGAGAAACTGGAACCCTTGTACACTGCTGGTGGGGATGTAAAATGGTACAACCTCTATGGAAGACAGTTTGGTGGTTCCTCAAAAAGTTAAAGATAGAATTTCTGTAAAGTCCAGCAATTCTATTTCTAGGTATATACCCAAAATATTTGAAAACAGGCACTCAAATACTTGTACATAAATGTTTATAGCAGCACTATTTGCAATAATGAGAGATGGGAACAACCAAAATGTCCATCAGTGTTTGAACAGACAAACAGAATGTGGCATATCCATACAATGGAATATTATTCGGTCATCAGAAGGAATGAAATACAGATACGTGCTACAAGGGGGGTGAACCTTGAAAACATTATGCCAAGTGAAGAAGCCAGACACAAATGGTCACATATGGTAAGATTCTATTTATATGAAATATCCAGAATAGGTAAATCCACAGAAACAAAAAGCAGACCGGTTATTGCCAGGGTCTTGGGGGTGGTGTGGAGGAATAGGAGTGACTGCTAAGGAGCAAAGGGTTTCCTTTTGAGGCGACAAAAAATGTTTGGAACTTGATATAGATGGTGGTTGCACAATATTGTGAAGGCATTAAATGCCACTCAACTTATGCTTTAAAATGGTTAATTTTATGTTATATTCTGTTTCAAAATGTTAAAAAGGGGTGTGGGGGAGACAGAAGGCCCCCAGGTTCTTTTCCTGATTACCGAGGTTCAGGGTCCAGCCTGGGAAAGGAGAGGAAGGAGGAACTCACAATTAATGAACTCCCCAGATGTGCCAGGACCAGTGCTAGGTCTTCTACCTGCCTTAATTCATTAAATTTTCCCACTTTGCCAGACACAGTACCACTTGCTTTGTGTTTATTGCAACTCTGGTTGATTCTCCCAACAACTCTGAGAAGCAGATGGCAGGGCTATTATTCCCACTTTATAGATGGGGCAGCTGAGGCTCTTGTGTGTCAGGACCTGGTTTGGAACCCAAGCCTGTCTGACCACAGAGCTTCAGACTCTCATATCAGCAGGTGTCCCTAAGGGCATCAGTGAAAGTCACAGCCAATACTCTTATAGCCGCAGCCACAACCAGCAGGGTTACTGGAGGGAAAGGGGAGGGAAAGAGGGTGTTGCATTGCTTAGTTGTGTTTATCTCTCAGCTCCCCTTCCCTGTCCTCTAATCAACAGGGTAGAAATATGGCCCCTTAAGTGTGAGTATCATCCTCCACAACAGTGGAGACAGCAGCTTATTCATCTGAAGACAGAAAACTTGCCTTGGCAGCCTGAGGCCTGGGAGTTATGTCAGAACTTTCAGAATGGTTGGCGGTGCCTTTGCCTGTGCTGGTCCAGGTTCTACGTCGACTTGGAGAAGCTTTTTACTGCGTCCACTGAGGGACGCCCAGATTCCTCAGAGGGAAGTCGGGTGTGCCGGCTGGAGCACAGCAGGGGTCAGAAGGGGCCTGCCTGGCTTCCACCACAGCAGTGAGTATCATTGTCCTTCACAGGCCTTCTCTCCTCGCAGGGCCTCAGTTACTTTGTCTCTGTGGAATAAGGGGGGTTGTACTTCCAACTCTGAAATGTCGATGATTCTCCCTCAACACCTTGACATTTGCTGAGGAACTTGGCAATGGGATGCGGATATAGGTGTCCCTAAAAGCAGTGCATGAATCAGATCCTCATTATGAAACCACACTTGTGTAAAGCAGAGAGCCATGGTGTAATGTGAATAACCAGCCTCTAATTCATCACAAGCTTGTAGATGTTTATAGAAGCCCAGAAGGAAGAGAAAGAAGAAAGGAAGGAAGCAAGAGACGGGGGAAAGGATGGAAGGGGTTAGGAGCAGGCACTTGGGAGTCAGAGGTTGTCAGTTTGGAGTTGGTGTCTCTGCTCTTCCAGCATGACCTTGGAGAAGTCACTTGACCTCTCTCAGCTTCCATGTTCTCATCTGTAAAATGGGGAAACAAGTACCCACCAAATAAAATAACCTATTTGAAGGGCTTACCAGTCCTGGGCACTTAATAAACTCAATCAAATATAAATTATTAAACAAAGAAGGAGAGAGTAAAAACAAAGAATTGAAGGAGCGTTTTGGGGAGGACAGGAAACCCTGATTGAACCACACTAAGCATGGGCCTGGTATTCTCAGCCACACAACCACAAGGAACATACCCAGAATCATAGAAAGGTTGAAACTGAAGGGAAGGACTGATTTCTCCTTTTCTTTCTCAAATTTGGGGATGTGAAGTGAAGAGGTAGACATGGGGATCCTCTTTAGGCCACCCCAGATTCCAGTTGCTGCTGCTTATATTGCTTTGAAATACACCCCAAAACAATCAGCATACATCATCCAGAAAAGCGCATTCCCTGCCCCACATAGACATAAGCTCTTGTGTATGCACTCTCACAAGATATTTCAAAACGCTCACTCGCTCCTTGTCCCACACACTCACATGCATCCCCAACAAGATTTGAGCAGCAAGGTCAATGCTTCTCCTTGTGAATTACCCTTTTATCACTTTGAATTGATTATCTTAGCATTATTTCCCTCCCCCACTCCCAATGACATCCCCACCTCTCAGACTGGGTCCAGTTCCTCTGTCCCGGGCTATCAAAGCCCTGTGCTCCTTTCTTGCATGGCTCTCAGCATAGTTTATCGTCACACATGGATGTGCACAATTATTTGATTTGTGTCTACTTCCCCTCCTAGACTTGCTTCTGCTTCAAGGCTTCAGGAATCAAGTCTGTTTGGCTCATCCTGCACCTAGCACCACGGCTGGCAAACAGTAACAGTTTAATAAATACACATGGAATGTTGAAATGAATGAATGAGCACATAATAATGAGTCTTTTCTAACTCAAGGCCTCAACACCTCAGACCCCATCCCTGACCCTGCCTTGCTGCAGGGACCTTGACCTTGTATGATACCCCAGCCTCTGCTCTGAGTCCAGGGCCTCTGCCCTCTGCCTCTGCTCTTTAGCTTCCTTGGCCAGGTGAGGCCCACTTTCTGGAGTCCAGACAGCCTCCTCTTTTCTTCAGCAGTGAAGCTTACGGCCTCTCTTCCAGAAGGGTGGGCAGGGATCCCACCTTAGCATTCCCCAGCTCTGAGCTGGGGTCACAGTTAGGATACAACTACTTCAAAGGGGTCTTCAGGCCAGTGAACCCTCTGACCCTTTTCTGACCTCCCCGCCTTTTTCTACCTGCCAAACTCAGCACTTTCCCTCCCTTCCTTTATGCCCTTGACTCAAGCCTCGGATTCATTTTTTAAAATATTTACATTTCCACCCTTCTTCAGGGGACTCTGTCTCTCTAATAAATAGAACATGAGCAGCTGCTCTCACCTGACCCTGCAGCAGCACTGGGGGTGGTGGGGAGCCCTGGCTGCTGCCATTCCTCTCCACGCAGGCGCCCTGGTCAGACCCGCTTCTTCCACGCTGCCCTGACGGCCACCCACCCCCAGTCATTGTCTGATCCCACTCCCAGGAGCCCAGCGGAGCCCTGCCCTCCCCCTCATTAAATCAGTGGCCATGCTCCTAGAGATGCGACAGAGGCAGCTGCCTGGCTTCCCAGACCCTTGTGGGCCCAAGGGGTTGATTAGCATATTGTTGTAAGGAAAGAAGCCTGGAGTAATCCTTTTTCCTATTGATGGTAAATAACATTACCTGAAGGTTCCTCCACCCCTCCAGCCGGCCAAAAGCAGCCAGAGAAAGCTCTGATTCTCCTCTCCTGTTCTCTCCCTCGTCCCCAACTCCCCTCCTCCTCCCCCTCTCCCTCTCACCTCCTTTCCCCCCCTCCATTACTCTTCTCCCCAGCCCCCTTCTATCTTCACCTTAGCTCCCTCCTCTTTTAAAAAATGCAAACACAGGAGCCACCAGGAAGCAGCTCATCGTCTCCTCTGAAGAGGCCAGGCTTCTGCCTCCCTTACAGCTGGGGGCGCCTTCGCAGGACCAGTGCTTTGCTCTGCCTGGAAAGCCATGGGAATGACAAATCTTTGGACAAATTACTGATTTCTCATCTAATTTACATCCAATTAGTGTGAGTGAAATGAATCATGTGGTCAGCCCCTCAGGGGAAACATTGAGATAACAAATACCCAGGGCTTCTTTCCTGGGGAACTGACGGGCCCTGGGGGAAGTCCATGATTTACCCCTCGGGTCAGAGGCCCCCTCCCTTCCCCCAGGCAGGTTACCCAGCCCATAGATCAACCCCGCCCCCTCCCAGCCGCCTGGACAGGCCCCAGTGAGTTCAGGCCGGTAAAAAGGATGGGCTGGGAGAGGACCAGGTCTCACGTTGCGCCCCGACTGTGGAGATCCACTTCAGATCTGAGTGCAGCCATGAGGTTTTGGAGCAAGTGCCAAGTCCTGGGCTGGCGGCCCTCATGCCTTGAATCTCCGCCACCCCCATAAGGACGTGGAGAGGTAGGCAGTCCCAGGCTGGTGATCCTAACTGGTGTTTTGCTGCTATTCACCGCATCTCAGGCCCCCGTTTTCAATGCTTAGCGCCGTGGCTCTTAACCCTCACGACAACGACAACATACTCTAGAAGGCAGGCACTACTAGGGCCTCTGCTTTACAGGGAGGGGAACTGAGACTGAGACAGGAGTTAGCCAGGAAGCTGCGGGGCTGAGAGTTTTGGACACCGGCAGTGTGATCCCAGAGTCCAGGCACTTAACCATCAGGGCTCCTTCTGCTACGTGCATTTTGCAGAGGAGGAAACTGAGTCTCAGAGTGGTGCAGGGGAAGTCACTGGCCAAGGTCACGGAGCGCTTTTTGGCAGATCAGGAAGGTCAAGTCCGGTACGATTCTTCCGCTTGCAGCTTCGTGTTGCTCGGTGCGCAGGGCAACGTCAGAGCACCTCTGACTCCAGGGAGGTGGAAGCGGCTTCCGGGGTGAATGCGGTTGGATCGTGCGAGGCCGCCACCACTGCCAAGAAAAGAAACACACCACCGCACACCTTGCCATCCCTGGGTCACCACTTCCTTCTTCGTGTATGAAGAGCAGCAGACGGAACTCAGCAATGTTTTTCTAACACAAGAAGGATGACTTTCCGAAATCGTTTGAAGTGGGAAGACTGGGGCGAGCGGGCGGGGCGGGGCGGGGGGCGAGCGGGAGGGGCGGGGCGGGGGCACGGGCTTCTTGTCTGAACAGTGCAGTGGCTGCATGTTTGGGGTGAGCTTGATCTTCCTGTGTAAACTTGTTTCTAGTCTGCTATTTAAAACCTGGCATATGGATGGGATCTCAGCTTCCAGTACTGGCAGTTCTTAACATTCACAGCGACTAAATAAAAAGGGAATTTTAAAAACCAAATGCAGTTTTACCCCATAATGAGGCAAAGAGAGAAGTACTAAGAAGTTAACAACTCCCGAACTCAGGCTCAGCCAACCCTGTAAATGTGGGGGCCTCTGCAATGCAGCGTGGGGTTCAGAGGAAAGGAAACGACATTTTCTGAGTACCTAAGGTAGGCCTTAGCTTTTTGTGCTGGGGGCTTAGCCCCAGGGTTAGGATTAGGGTTAAGGGGATGGCCTTCGTAGTCAGCCACCAGGTTTTGAAGCCCAGCTCTGTCACTCACTACCTGAGTGACCTTGGAAAAGTTACTTTACCTCTCTGAGCTTCCTCAGCCCTAAAACAGGCCTAAAAGCAGGACCTAACTCACAAGGATGCCATCAAGATTATGTGAGCTAATGTTTGTAAAGTGTGTAGCTTGATACTCCGCACATACTAAGTGTGGAAAAAAAAACCCGGTATTATTACCTGCACATCTGCTGGGGCCGTGAGGATTATTTTCCCCATTTTCGGCTATTGAGGCTGCAGAGGATGCTATATGTGCATGGAAGGGGGTGCATCTCTTTCGAGGGCTGAAGACAACCTGTAATCCCGGGAATGGTAAACAGAGTAAGAAGAGAGGCCTGAGATGGTTAGGGAGTGAAAACACTGAGAACAGGTTCTGGAAAGAAGGAAGGGGCTATAGCGGGCATGTGACTTAGGTCACCATGGGCAGGAGCAGAGTCACAAGGCTCCTGGGGCAGCAATCAGGTAGATTCCTCTCTGGGACCCCAGTAACAACAAAAATTATTACGTGCTTACTATGTGTCTGGCACTGTTCCAACTACTTTACAAGTTTCATTTGTTTGTTTTCACTTAAGCCTCAGAATGGTTTATCGAAGTGGTTATTATTATTTTTGAATAGGAAATCAAGGCTCAGAGAATAAAGATCCAAGGTCACACAGCTAGAGAGTGAGTGACGGGGCTGGGTAGTCAGGCTCCTTAACTAAACCTGCTTGGTTTACTGCCTCTACCAACACAGGTCTTGGCACCAGGGGCATTTTATAGCAGAGAATAAGTAATTGTCCTGCGAGGAAGGTAGAAACAGCCCCTTTTGTCTAAGTAGACAATCAACTTAGCTGTCAGCCTCATTCATCTCATTGGGGCAGAGGCCCCTAAGACTCATTCAGGACTGCTTGCAGAGTGCCTTGACAATCAGACCACACCACTTGAACAACCAGCAAAGAGCCTGTTCCCTGACCACCCCCACGAGGGAACCAATACTCCCTAGATGTGTGACCTCAGTTTCCTGATCTGTAAAATGGGAAGATCATGGTACCTACATCCTAAAACTGTTAGTGAGAATTAAGTAAAGCAGCTAGAACTGTACCTGGCACAGACTTCTCAGTTCTGTTGTTGTAACCAATGAGGAAACGGAGGTTCCGAGTGGTGAAGCGACTTGTTCAACTGCACAGCAGCAGATGAGATCAATATCAGAAATGTTTCCTTTGAACACTGCTTGGTCAGCAGGGCTGGAAATGGGGCCATGGGTGTTGCTGGGGAAATTGTCTGGGGCACCTGCTGGAATCCAGTGATCTGAAGGACCACGACCCCAGTGATGTCTTGGGTCATCTTTGACTCACTTGTCTCAAAACACATGGATGAATGCCCCTGCTTCGTAGAAGCTCCTCCAACACATGTCCCATCCCGACTCTCCATTTCTCCGGAGAGTTCCTTGGGAGGAAGAACTTTGTCCTGGCTCAGAGATTCGCCCCAGGCACTGAGGACGTATGGGCTCGGAGCTCCTGCTTCAGAGCCTGCCACTGTCAAGACTTATGGTCGCCTCATCTCTCCCCCTCGCTGGGTCTGGCTACATCACTTATCTCCCTGACGCTGACCTGCCAGCAGCTGCAGGAGGCTCTCTCCGGTAAGATTTGATTAATGAGGTTCAGCAGCAACAAATCAGTCTTATGGAGCAGCCCTCGCCTCTCTGGGACACACTCTCACAACACCCGCTGCATACAAACTGCCCGGTGGGTGTGGGGCTGCTCCCAGCCATGCCTGTCAGCAGCCCCTGGCTCAGTGTCCCGAGTTCCATGGGCCAGACCTGCCTGGAACTCACAGCTCACCCACCAGTACTCACTGCACCCGTGTACAAGCAAGAGGTGCTCATCTTGTCTTCAAGAGAATCATATCTTAAGATAATAATATGATAGTGTAAAAAATAACAGCTACGAGGTGGGAGGATCATCTGAGCCCAGGAGGTCAAGGCTGCAGTGAGCCACTGCACTCCAGCCTGGGTGAGGGAGTGAGACCTATCTCAGAAAATAAATAAATAAATGAATAAAACAGCTACTATTTGTTAACCATATGCAAGGCACCTGCAATCTTATCTAATTGACAACCCTTTTGAGTGAGGATTTTATTATTCCCATTTTAAAGATGAGGTAACTGAGATGCAGGTGGGCTGGTAACTTGCCCAAAGTCACACAGTTAGAAAGTGGCAGAGCTGGGATTTGAACCCCGGCATTCTGGCCTGTAATCATACTTCCTTGCGTGCTTGAAATCTTACAACCTTTTGGAAATATGATGAAAGTGATAGTCCTTCTCCTAGCAAAAAAAAAAAAAAAAAAAAAAAAAAAAAAAAAAAAAAAAAAAAAAAAAATTATCCTATCTATACACCCATTGCTCTACAATTTCAGCATATGCCGATGTACCCACCTTGAATGCCATCCATGGTCCTGAGAACCCCCACTCTCACTCACTGTAAGACTTAGTCACAGCCTTTCCTCCTTGGGGCCTCAGTCTCCCCTGTAAGGACAGACTCTGGGGGATCCTACCTCCAAGGGCTCATCCCTCTCCTACTCTCTCTGTCAAATACATGATACCCAAGTCCTGCTTCCAAGTCTCATCTGTTCTCTCACATTTGGAAAGTTCTCGGCATTGGAAGGCAGAACTGTTCTTCTCTCTGAATTTCCAACCACTAAATGTGTATCACCCATCCCATCCCACCCTTTCTCCTTACCCCCCAGTTTTATTGGAACTGTTTGTTTCTTAAGCAGTTACAGGAAGCCCATGGCGCGTCAAGGTCCATCCATTCCTTTGCAGCATAATCTACACATCATTCAAGTGCATGCCCCTCCAGCCACTGGTCAACCCATGTCACCTTCCTGGGAGCTTTTCTGAAGTGAGTGCCCTGCTTGGCTGCTCCTTGTCCCCCTCCCCCGACCCCCACCACTTCCTCTTGCCCCTGGACCACCAGGCCTCGAGCCACACCCTTTCTCTGGAAGGTGAAAGAACACTGGCTCTCCCCTTTCTGTTCCCCTCTTTACCTTCCCCAAAGCCCTCACATCCCAGAAACATTTGTCAGAGATTTGCCAATAGTCACTTTTTCATCTGCTGGGGCAAGAGTCATCTTTGCATATAGATGTTTTGTAATAGATGCTGCATTGATTATGTTAAGTTCTTTTGGGAATCGCCTGGCCATTTCTGGGTCCTCACTGACCAGTTCCACCTCCACCACACATCTCAGATCTCCTGGGTCAGGAGTGCTGAGCCACCTGAACCAGAGGCTGCGGGAAGGGGCACAGCCCCAGATAGGTGGGGACTAATGGCTGTACCCAACCAAGATGAAAGTGCATGGCCCACTCTTTTTTGGATGGGCTAGATAAGGAAGGTCCATGTCATCTCCACATGGCCCGTTTCTCAGTTGGAGTTATAATGATGACCCTGGTGATGAGCATTTTTTGTACTTTGCAGTGTAGAAAGCAAAGCACACTCCTCCATTAGTTCATTCTATGCTCACAATCACCTACATGCAAGGGGCTATGATCAGGCCCACTTTAGAGATAGGGAAAGTAAGGCGCGGAGAAAGGACTTGCACAAGAATGCGTGGTTCACACCTGGCAATTCCTGCCCTTGAACCCAACTCGTAGAACTGTCAGATCGCTACTTTTTCTCTTACACCATTTTGCTTAAAAGCTCATTTGCAGAGAGTGGCATTTCTAAGGTACTCTTAGATTTCCTCCCCGTGTCTCAGTGTCCTCCAGGAGTGTGCAGGGAACAGCCTGTGGTTATGCGCATTTGTGCTGGGAAGAGATGTAACTATCCATGTGCAGGACATTTGGGAGGGGTGGGAGTGTGTGGGTACGTGGCCCTGTGCAGGTTGAGTGTGCATGTGTGTGAGGAGGTGGGTGTGGGTGAGTATGAGCTTGCTGGGTGTGGGGAGGAGAGAGCACACTCTGCACATTCGTGGGGGTGTGCAGTGTATGTTGTCACGGGTATGAGCCCCCAGCCTGCTTCCTCCTCTGATGGCTCACTCTGCACTTTGTCTTCAGAGCCCAAAGCCTGTGGGTTCAGCCTCTTAGGACAAGAAGACTGGGGTGGATCACCATTTGCAGACTATCTGGGGATGACTTTAAAATAAACACTCTAACGAAAGTGCTCAGCCCTCCTCCAAACATGCTCCCCCTGCAAGCTGGGGTTGTGGTTCAAATGCTTAGAGTTGGCTCTCCAAAGGGAAGTGCCTTTGAAGTCAGTGAGCAAGTCACCCTGAAAGGAGCCACAAGCATGTCTTTTTGTAGGTGCAGGATGTGGGCACAGAAGGGTCACTGTGGAATAAGGCCAACAGTCCCAAGTGGCAGAGGTGGAGGGAAGAAGGATCAGGTGTGCAAATCCCTGTGGGACAAAACACCTCTGGTCACTGTGCCCAGGGGTCATGGGGAAGTTGGCAGGGAGATCAAGGCAGCTCAGCTGGGCTGCTGAAGATCTTGTATCCCAGGCAGGCAGACCCGTGGATGGGGTCTAGCGGTCTGCCTACGATCTGAAGGCATGAAGGCTCTCAACCCTTCCTCTGGCGAACCTCCAGCTATTTGACTAAAGAGGTCCGGAGGGGCCTTCTCATTGAGTGAGCACTGAGAGCTCACAGAGAGGCCTGGATGTTCCCCCGCCAGCCCCCACCATGGTCTGTGCACTTGCTAGCTTCCAAGTGGACCCAAACACTCTGAAAATGGCCTCTAAACCATTCATAACACTGAGTCTATAACTGAGCTGCAGGCAGGAAACAAAGTCCAGTCAAGCTGGTGGAGTGCCAAATGTGCCCAAGCCAGAGGATGGCAGAATTCCCTTTCTGCCTGCCCCCAGGTTGGCATTCCCTGCAGCAACTCCGGAGCTTCCCCTGGAGCTTCCTGCTCTGGCTTCTACCTGCACTTGGCACCCCCCTGTGCCAATTAGAGTCACACCTCCCATTTAACCAGAAGCACATTTTCCAGCTTGTTCTTCCACCAGGCTGGGCTCCAAATGCCTCTTGTGGTTGTTTCCCGAAATCAAATCCAACCTCAAAGCATGAAGATTTGCCATTATTAAAGACGAGCAAAAGCATATGCCCCAGGCTCTGGAGAGAATTTCTAATGAGGATTCCAAAGATCACAGCCGGCTCACGAGCTCTTGGAATCCAGTGGGCCCTTAGCAGTCATGGAGCCCTCTAATTACATTCCCTGAATATCCCAGCTGTACCCGCCACCATGCCCGTGCTGCACCGCTCCCACAACAGTCATCTGTGTGATGTAGAGATGGTGTTTAAAGTCCGCGAATAAAGGGAAAAACCAAGCATGGTCAAAATTATCCTTACACATCCTTTAGGAGGGAGACCAATATACCATCTCTCGGTGAGTCCAACACAGCTGGGTTTTCCTTCAGCGTCAGAACAAATCGCTTTTCTTTGGGTTAAGCACCAGATGAGGTTGTTGGCTTGATTTGAGGGGCCACGTTACATAAAGGATGCATGTCTTTGAACACTAGAATCACCCTCAGGGTGATACTCACAGGAAGAGAGGCACAGAGAGCCTAAAAGCCATTGGGGAAACTGCAGGATCCATCTCCCATCCTGTGCTTCTCCTTGAGTGAAATGGGGGTCAGAATCCTCCGCTTCATTCTCCATACACACCTTGTTGTTGTTATTGTTGCTGTTATGATTATTATGCTGTGTGCATATACATTACTATGCTGTGTGCGCATATACGTTATGCTGTGTTCAAATGCATGGAGTACAATCTCCCTGGAAGACTCATCTCTGGCACCGCAATTTATTTACATCGGCCGGGCACAGTGGCTCATGCCTGTAATCCCAGCACTTTGGGAGGCTGAGGAAGGTGGATCACTTGAGGTCAGGAGTTCAAGACCAGCCTAGCCAGTATGGTGAAACCCATCTCTACTAAAAATGTAAAGATTAGCTGGGTGTGGTGGTGCGCACCTGTAATCCCAACTACTGGGGAGGGTGAGGCAGGAGAATTGCTTGATCCCAGGAGGTGGAGGTTGCAGTGATCTGAAATCACACCACTGCACTCCAGCCTGGGTGACAGATGGAGACTCCATCTCATTAAAAAAAAAAAAAAAAAAGAATATACATAAACTTACATCCTTCAGGGCTGCTTGTGCATTCTAAATGCCACTTCTTCCAGGAGGCATTCCCTGATTTCATGGGCTGAAAGTGGTGTCCCCCAACTATGAACTCCCACAGGATATTATCTGTACCCATCTGATGACGACTGATGCCACCCTGTGCCTCATATCATAGTAACTATGTGTGTATCTTATCTCCCCAAGTATGTCAGGTCCCTGTCTGCTTCACCTCCAGGGTCCTGACAATATTTGGCCCAATGTCTCCCATATATGCCTTATCAATAAACATTGATTCAAAGACTAGATATATGAATGAATGAATGAGTGATGAAAATGGCTCATCTTGGGACACAAAAACATCTCTACCTTCTGATACAGAAGCTCTGTACTGCTGGATTCAGCACAGGCTAGAGAGAGGACTTCCATGTTGACCTGACCCCGTAGATTGTATTCCTTTGAGAAATGTCTTTCCATGCCTTCTCCACTCCCTTCCTCTGCTAAGCTGCCTTCCCTGACCAGATTCTTCACTTTTTTTTTTTTGAGATGGAGTTTTGTTCTTGTTGTCCAGGCTGGGTTGCAATGGCGTGATCTTGGCTCACTGCAACCTCTGCCTCCCAGGTTCAAACGATTCTCCTGCCTCAGCCTCCTGAGTAGCTGGGACTACAGGCATCTGCCACCATGCCCGGCTAATTTTTGTATTTTTAATAGAGATGGAGTTTCACCATGTTGGCCAGGCTGGTCTTGAACTCCTGACCTCAGGTTATCCACCTGCTTCAACCTCCCAAAGTACTGGTATTACAGGCGTGAGCCACGGCACCCGGCTGGATTCTTCACATTCTGGTGCATCCAGTGGCACACATTTGCACAGCAACAAGAGCAAAGGCCTCCACACCCTCCACTGCTGCCCCCCACAACCGCCACCAGCCCTGCTAGGTGGGAAGGGAAAGCCTTAATATCCCCATTTTATGCACCAGGAAACCGAGGCTCAGAGGCGTGTGCCTGGCCCACCATCACACAGCTAATGAACAGCAGGGCCTGGATTTGTACGAGTCAAAACCTTTTTTTTCCTTTTTTATTTGATCACATGCTATCTCTAGATAGAGATGCCATATTCTGTTTATAATGACCATCCAGTTAGTGTGGAGGCTCTACCCCTCCCAGGACAAAGAGATGCCTGTGGACAGTGTCCTAGTGACTTCTTATCCCATGGGAGCGTGTAATGTGGAAAGAATTTAGGAACTCCCTGCTGAAGGGCCAAAGTGCAAAACATGCCTGTGATGTGGGCATCGGCAACTCTGAATGCCCCCTTATATATGACAGGTCACCTGCCCCCTTTGCCGAGGTCTCTCAGGATGCTTGGATTTCTATATTTTCTTCCGAGACCCTGGTACCCACCTCCAAACTGCATATCTTTAATTGGCAGGTCCCCTTCCTTACTTTTCACCCATTTCCTTGTGGCCAAGGACCATCTCCACTCCTCCAGAGGATGGCACAGCATGGGAAATGAGGCTTTGGGCCTAGCAGATCTGGGTTCCAATCCTAGCTCAGCCTCTTTAATAGTTGTGTGACTGCTGGCAGTTACTTAACTGCTCTGAGCTCAGTTTCCTCCTCTGTAAAACCAGGATAATACATCAAAGGTTTTTTTTTTTGGTTGTTTTTTGTTTTTTTTTTTTTTTTTACATGAAGCTAATGACCTATGAGTATCAAGATTCTTCACTCAGGCCTCATTTAGCTGGAATTCAGAGTGATCTGAAGCTAATGCTATACAGTGGTCAAAAGCAAGTCAGACCACCTGGGTTCAACTCCCAGATCCTGCACTTATTCACCTGCTGTGTGACTCTGGGAAGTTTACTTGACATCTCTGAGCTTCAGATTCCTCACCAGTAAAATGGAGATAAAAACAGTGCCTAACTCGCGGGGCTGCTTTGCACTGAAAAGCCATCACTCACATTAACAGCTTAGCACAGTGTCTGGAACTTGACCAGTGCTTAGTAAATGTTTGCCATGAATTATTAGCCATTAGTAATGTATTAGTGAATTGGTGGGCAGCTCTACAAGGAGCAAATTTGCATAAGGTTTTGACTATAGGAATGGGAAGGTAAACAAGACATTGGTCTCAGATCTTGGTCTTTGGGGCTGTCTGGCATCTGATCCCTGTTGAGGGACTAAGCAGCAGGCAGAATGAAGGTGAAGAGCCATTTTCACACACCAAGTTACAAAATGTGACACAGGATGGTTTAAGGCAGTGGCATTTCCAGGAAATATAAAGCATCTATTTATTGAGCAGCTATTATGTTCCCAGGCCTGTGCTTGGTGCTGAGGTTGAGTGGTGAGCCGGAGATGCAGCCCTGCCCTCGTGCAGCATGGAATCTGGTGCTGCTTGTGGGTCTGCACACCAGGGCACTTCCCTCAGGGTGAATTCTAGCAATCTTGCGGGGGCCCAGCAGCCTCTGCCAGTTCCAGGCTGCAGATATTCCTGGAGGAGTTTGGAGAAGCAGAACATCAGAGAACAATTACCCGCCTCACAAAAGACACCCCAGAGGGCTTCCAGAAGTAAGAGGGTGAGATCGTGAAAGGGCAGGTGGGAGCGCGAGGGTGCATTCAGGGCTGTGATGGTGGAAGGGTGGCATTACGACCTGATGACCAGTGAAACCTGGGGCAGTTAAGGATCGGAATGTGGAGCACCTGATACGAGGCACAGCACTCCGTCGAGGAGGGCTGCTTTCTGCCCCTCGCAGGGCCTGCCCACAGACACAGACACACTCAGCACCCTCCACATTCATTCTACATGCATGTGTTCAAAACACACAGCCAGCACACATGGAGCATTCCACAGGGTGCACACAGGGATACACCTCACAGTGTACTCAGAAGACACATACCTCAGACCTCAAACACAAACCAGAGGAGCCTCTCCCCCTGACATCTCCACACACCTCTGCCGTCTCGCTTCCCCTCCCTCTAGCATCCTGTGGACTTTGGGTGCTGGACAGTTATGGGCCCCAGTCCCAGCCCTGCCACCTCGTAGCTGTGTGACTTGGTAGAGTTAAACTCTTTGAGTCTCAATTTCCCTTTTCTACAGAAGAGGAATAGCAAGACTCCCTGCCTCAGAAGGCTGCTGAGAGGATGAAGTGAGTTCAGGCATGTTAAGCCCTTAAAACTGTACCTGGTACATATCAGGACTTAATAAATTTGAGTATTGTGTGTGCCCCCCACACACGTAAGCATGTGCACACCTACACCCTGCAAACAACGTGTTCCTCTGTGGGACCCATGCCTGGAACTGGTCATAAAACACACGTGAGCATCACAGATTCTAGCCTGGAGACCATCTCACCAGGCCAAGACACCCCCCAAAACACACGACCCCAAAGACCCCAAGCCTGGCCTCCTTTCCCTGGGCAGCCCTGTGGAAAGGTCCCACAAAGGCAGCTTTTCCAGGAATGCCCTTGGAGCCTGAGCCATCCTGAGACTGGCATGCAGCCGGGAGCAGCTCTGCGGGTGGAGGCTGGACTGGGCAGCCTCAGACCCTGAGGTGCTTCCCTATCCTTCCTTTCACCCCAACAGTACCCTCCGGCCCCATGGTCCAGTGGAGACTCAGGATCCAGCCCACAGCTGCCTCCCCGCCTTCCCCCCTCGCGCCTCCGCAGCCTTTGTTATCTCAACTACTTTGAGAGAGTTCTCTTTTCTCCCCCTCGACTCCTCTGATGCTAATCTCTCTCCATAAATCATACCCTCTAATCTTTTCATCACCTTTCTCTGATTAAAGCAGCCTCGGGGGTTGGGAGCCCCAGTCCTCAGTGACTAAAACACTTTGATGTCCTAAGACAGTCCCAGAGGCTGCAGCGCTGGCTGGCGCGGTCAGGCCTCACCCACCGCGGGGCAGGCCGGGCGCAGGCGTCTACACGGACACATCCCGGAGTTGTCCTGGGCTGCCAGCACAGCCCAGCACCTCGAGGGTTTCACAGATCTCTTCATGAATATTTCTCACTACACACTGGATGTCATTATTCTATTGAGAATCAATTAGCCCAAATGTTGTTATGACAGCTACAGAAAAATGATATTTTTAGCTTCGCTTTATGCTGCTCTGTCTCTTCGCAGAATTATTGAAAACCTTAAAACTAATCTAGTGGCGTCGCGGGCCTTTGTGGCAAGCCGGGGGGCAATTGATCTGGGAATACGAAATTGTGGGAAATGCAGGGCTTTTCTCAATGAAGTGGGATCGCCTCAGAAATAACTTCCAGGATGGGAGGCAAAGCTTGACCTTGGGCAAGGTACTTAACCTCTCTGAGCCTCAATGTCTGCATCTGTCAAATGGTAGTAATAGCCATGTCTACCCTTAGTGTTCTTTATGAGGACGAAATGCAGCAATGCAGGAAATGCATTTAGCAAGGCACGCAGCAGCACCATGGGAGGCGCCCAGCAGGTAAGTGACACTAGTGATGGTAGCTAAACTGGGAGACCCTGGAGCAAGGCTTCCTAGGCTCAAGTCCCAGCTCTGACACTTCACAGGTATGTGACCTCACACACATCACTTCACCTCTCTGTGCCTCAGTTTTATCATCCAAAAAATGGGATTCATCACACCTTTTTCTTTTTTTTCATTTTTGAGATGGAGTCTCACTCTGCCACCCAGGCTGGAGTGCAATGACACGATCTCAGCTCACTGCAACCTCTGCCTCCCGGGTTCAAGCGATTCTCCTGCCTCAGCTCCGGAGTAGCTGGGATTACAGGTATGCGCCACCATGCCCGGCTAACTTTTGTATTTTAGTAGAGACAGGGTTTCACCATGTTGGCCAGGCTGGTCTCGAACTCCTGACCTCATGATCCACCCGCCTCGGCCTCCCAAAGTGCTGGGATTACAGGCGTAAGTCACTGCGCCCGGCCCATCATATCTATTTTATAATGTCGTTGTTAGAATTAAATGAGCTAATACAAGTAAAGCACTAAAAAACCTGGCCTGGCTCCAAAAAAATGTCAGCTCATTTTAACATAGGATGGCTGTCACTGTCACCTGCTCCCCACCTTTGTTCATCCTGACCCCTTAGCCTAAAATCTTTCCCTTCCCATCTTTGCAAGTTGGAATCCTCCCAACAATAAAATCTAGCTCAAATGTCACCTCCACCACTATGCCTGACAGACTGGGGCTGGGATTCTGGCTTCAATAATCATCACTGGGAGACCTCGCACAGGCATTTAACCTCTTTGCCTTAGTTTCCTCATCAATAGAAAAGGGATAATAGCTTCCTGCCTTCAAATCAGGGGCTGGCTGCAGCCACCTCTACAGCCCCATCCAGTTCTGAAGCTGGGTCAGCAAGTCCTCATTCAAATGCCAGCTCTTCTTGGAATCATTTTTTAAACACTTGCACACTTCTTTCCCCATCAGGAGAGGTTTTACAGACTTACAATAAACAAGGAAGCTGTTTTATAGCAAAAAGAAAAAAAAATCCTCTTTGGCTGGGAAGTCCTGAAACAGAGTTGAGGGAGAGGCAGTTCCAGGACAGCCTCCTGAAGCAACATCCTCTGCCAAGGCAGGAGCTGGTGTCAGAACAAAGGCTGAACCCTTCCCAACACCTTTGCTTCCAGCCAAGTTACGCCCCACTCTCCCATCCAGCGGGTTTTGTCCAGCTGGAGTTTAACAGCACCTGACGGCTGACATCTTTCGGCAGGGAAAGAGCCAGCAGAGCAGGCTGGTAGAGCACCCCAGGGCCCCCAGTGTGCCCTGTACCCTGTGCTGGTCACCCCTGGCTCTCTGCCTGAATAAATTCTTGCAGTGCTCTAAGACTCAGAGTGAATCAACCCTTATACAACCTCCCCAGTCCCTTCATTTGGGATTACTTTCCCTCTCTCACCCCTAGCCCCCCATTGCACTCTTTCCGGCTGCTGCCGTAGCCTTTGTCATAGTTGCCACCTCTGACCCCAGTCGTGTGCAGGCCTGTCTCCCCTGCTGGACGGTGACCAAATGGAGAACTAAGACCTGGCTCCGACACACTGAGTGTTTCCCACTCTGCCCTCCTGCTCTTGTCACCGCATTGTCTGCTGGGTACAGCTGTCCTCCCTAGAGACTACCCTGTTCAGCACCAACTCTTTGGCTTCTGGAAGAGCCCCCTGCCCAGCATTGTGTCCAGGATCACCTTGTACAGCCATGTAGGCTGTGGTGCACTGCCCAATCGATGGTGCTATTCACATAGTCCAGAATGGTTCTGCATGGATGTAAAAGAGTAGGAAAACCATCATGGATGTCTGTGAAGGACATCCCCAGAGTTGGGCACCACAGCACCCTTGCCTGTGCTTGGACCTTTTAAAGACGTTCACTGACTCTGGATATACTGATTTTTGAAGGCCACACCATACATAAAAACATGCATATGAAAACACCCATATACCTCAATTAATAATTTCTTGCTATAAAAATATTTTGAAAAGATTTTTCTAATTTGACTTCTGTAATAATTTGGTTATAAGCAACTGATTTATGTTCAGCTATGATTTCTCAGCAACCATTGTGCATTCTTCAGGATCCTTGAGAAAAGAGAAAATCAAATCTGCAAGCTTGTTTCAAATGTAAAGCAATTTTTAGGAATTTAGCCATTAACAAAGTTGAACTAGTGTTTTAGAGGCATTTAATTAAACACCTTTTTGAAAAAATCTTGTGGTTTTCTTTTTCATATTTTGGAATCAATAATTTCTTCCAGAATTCAAATATTTTCATGGGCCTCAAGCATGAATACACTTCCTTCCCAATTTCCCCTCAAATGGCAAAGCCAGTCTATAACTTTTAAAGACACCTTACTGAAGGGTTAGCGACAAGCAAGTGGTTACATGTCCCTATTTATTCTGGCAATCTGAGTGTAATTATTACTAGCTTCCCTTTCATTCTCTAGGGTGTGCCGATTTGGACCATCAACTGTATGGTCACTTTGAAAATAAAGGAAGGAAGTGCCATGGAAAAAAGGATGGCCCAGACCCAGACCTGCCCCAGAGTCCCTTCCAAGAGGGCTCTAAGCCTTTCCCTGGCCGTCCCCCAAGGGGTCCAGGGACGCTCACCCTCCACCCCACCCCACCACCTCTAGGAATGTTCTAGGGATCTCCACACCATAGAGTCCAGAACAAATTGCCCCTAGTACCTGAAACAGAAAAGTCTTTTTCTTATGCCCAGTGAAGGCCTGCTTACCAAAGTCCTCATTTCCTGCTGCAGGAATGACATCTTTCTTACAAGGCTGACAATGGACATTTTCATTTCCTTTTGTGCAAACCCTACTCCCATCTATAAGGGTGTGCTCTGGCCCTATGACCCCAACAATAGAATTGCAAAACAGTTCCACATTGATAACTGTCCCAGAGTCTTAATCTATATATCTTTAAATCTTAAATCTTTTATGGAACAAGGCAGAATATCAGTTAATCAACCAATCAATTTCTCTTTTTAGCACCAATCAGATTGTATCATGATTAAATCCATGGGTCCCCCTCCCTCTTGGAGAGGGATGTGGCTTCCTCATTCATCTCTGTATCCCCAGTGCCAAGCCCAGTCAGGCACACAGCAATGCTTGCTGAAGGATGAGAAGATAAATAAATATGACAGCAATTTTCTCTTGGATTGTGAGCTCCTTGAGAGCAAGGATTGTGCTTGTCCATTTCTGTCTCCACCACCATATGCAATAGCTCATGGCAGATGCTCACTGGAGGGCAGAGGCTCATGGAACATTTAATTGGATGGATGGATGGATAGATAGATAGATAGATAGATAGATAGATAGATAGATAGATAGATAGATAGATAGATAGATGATGGGATAGTTGCATAGATGGATGGTTGGATGCATGCTTAGAAGGATGAATTGTTAGCCTGGGAGACTGGGTGGGGTTCAGGAAGAAAACAGAGCTGCTTTGACCCCCTAATAGTTTCTCAGGTCTCAGCTCCAATTCCCATTCATGGCTGCCTTGTGGTTCCAATCCTTGAATTTCAAGAGAATTTTATGTGTTCTTATAATAAACTTTCTTCTATTTGAGACAGTTTGATTTGAGCGGATCTGTTCTTTCTAACCAAAAGACCATGACTCAGATAGGAGCCCTCCCAGGTGGAGTTGGGGTAGGGGGGAACTAATACTTACCTCTTGACTGTACCACAAGTGGGTCTTAGGAAGCATGGCATATTCGTTCTTTCTTGAGGTCTTCCCTAAGACAAGGCTACAAAGCTAGGCTGGTTAGTGATGGTGGCTTAGCTCGGTTTAATGAGCCTGATGTGGGAGTGCAGGTCTGTGCCAAGTGTTGGGTGGACTTCTATGAACAACTTGGTTCTTGGTCCTTGCCCTTGGAGCAGTCCACCAGCTCCTAGCATCACTTCCAACAGTTGCCGCATCATCTCAGGTAAGTCACTCCCTATTCTGGGCCTCAATTCTCCATATATAAAATGTGACGTTGGAAGGAAATCACCGAGCTTTTCCCTCTTTAACATTTTAAGGTTATGTGATTTGCCCAAGGTCACCAATATAACCCTGTTCTAAAAGATTCCTACTCTTTAGGTGGGATCACAGGCTTTAGCTCACCAATTCTGATGCAAAGCCCCACCCCTTTTACCAGTGTTCACACAAGCACAGAGAATATAGTTTGATTCTGTCATTTTTCTGAAGATATGTCAGTTCACCCACTCCTCTAACTCACATTCCTCCTGACACCCAGGTTTCCTTCCGCATTCTTCCTGGCTTAAATCCAGCCCACCTTTTAGGCCAGTCCTCTCCCCCAGGGTACCTTCCCTGCTCCCTCTTTTGGAAATGACATCTCCTTCCTGGCACCCTCTGCAGGGTGAAGTACCTGCCTTATGTCACAACAGGTTCCATCTCCCTGGTGTGATTTCCTTTGCAGGATGGTGAGTTCCCAGGAGGCAGACAGAGCTGAGTCTACTCACCCCTCTGAGAGGGGCTTGCTCGGGGCTCTGCACACAGTAGACACCACTGAATGTTTAATGGTATGGACAGCTAGGCAGTGATTTTTATGATATTGTAGAAGGATAGTTTATGACCTAGTAAATATTTGGATTATTGTTAGATTTTCCTTAAATGCCAATCACAAAACAGCAGGTATTCTATAATATAACATTTAGCTAAAATGTATTTGAAGGAGCGTGGGGAGATGTGTGCTCAAGACATCATTCGTGGTGGCAGGATCTGGGGTGACTCTAATTTTCTTCTTTCAGCATATCTGTATTTCTAAACATTCTAGAGTGAGCATGTTTTCACTTTCAGAATGGGAAAAAAGAGAAAAGCAATTTAAAAATAAATAAGTAAATGTTTAATGAATGAAAGTGCCAGGCTCTAACACGTTATGGGAGACTCTAATTTGGAGCTGGATCTTGGAACAGAAGTCATCCTCTGCCAGGAAGACCCCCCACCCCCCGCCGCCTCACCACCACCACTCAGCCATTGCCAGTGGAACTCCAGCATGCTCCTGACTGTGAAATTGCTCCTACAGAGTTTGCAATGATCACTCGTGGTCCAGCAGGAGTCATGGTACCCAGCTTTGCTGACAGTGATAACCACAACCCCTCCATGTCTACAGCACTTTATATTTGACATACTATAAAGCTTTTTACATACACCTCCTCATGTGTTCCTTATAATTCTGCAAGGAAAGTATTAATGCCTCCTAGTACCTATGTGGAAACTGGGGCCTAGAGAGTGACTGATGAGGTGGAGGTCAAAGTCACGAGCTAGCAAGGGGTAGAGCTGGGATTTGGACCCCTGCCTTTCACTCAAGCCAGGTCCTCTTCCTCCAGTGCGTGCAAATCTCCTGATGTGCAAATCAGAAACGGTGTCTAGGGTGACAAGGTACCCATATTTCTGTATGCACCAGGATGGTTCAGTCCCCAGGAAGGCAGGTTGAGGGAAGAGCCATTTTCTGCCTGGAATCTGCAATGCTGAGGAGCTCTCCAAGGAAGGCCCCCACAGGAGCAATCCCTCCCTCCCAGCTAGAGGGAGACCATCTGCTGCCGCCTATGTAAACCAATGCCTTGGGCGCCACAGTGGCATACAGGGCAGCAGCAGGTGTGGTCAAGCAGCGCTGGTGCTGGCAGAAAGCTGGGAAGCATTTCTGCTGGGAGATGTGGTCTGTGTCTGGAACCCACGGCGGAATCCACCTCTCTTGGAGTGGAATCTGGGGCTGAGCTTGGGCTACACTGCAGCAGGGAGAGGCACAGCCGGGGAGGCCCAAATGCCAGGGCCCCTCTCTTTCTATTTCCTGCAGGTGGGGGAAACCTCTGTCCTCAGAGATCAGACAAATCCTCAGAAGTTTTCCATCTGCTGTCACCATCTCACCACAAGACCAATTCTTCCACTCCTCTACAGATGTCATGTAGATCCATTGACAAACTTCTAAAAATTAATTACATTTTTATGAAATAAAATTATAAGAAAAATAAAATACAAAATACTAGGGAAGATATTAAATATTGAATTTGTATATAACTTCCAAATTAAATCATTTCAAATGTTTTAATGAGAAACTTGAGTTTGCTTCTGGAAATATTTTTTTAATATCAGGTTTTATACTGGAAATGATTACACACAATTGATCAACTGACTCCACAGAAATAAGCAAAACTTTTAACGAGGAGCTTTTCAAATTCTTGACAGGCACCATTAATGAGACAGTTTGCTCTCACGTACGATAAAATATTTAAAATCATTTTTAGGCGAGTATTTAACGCAATGATTGAAATTAGATTTACAGAATTGAATGGGTCGTTTCTTTATTGACAAAAGTAACATTGGAATTTCTTTTGCTAAAGCCGGTGTGTGTAGGAACCAATCAAACTTTTCCCCATCGAGTATTTCAAAATAACCATGCAGCTCCGGTCTGCAGACCAGAAACGCACTGTTGGAGGAGTCAGCCTGCAGTGGTCCTCGATGCCTCCAAATGGGCAAAGCAGGAAGGGCAGAAATATCCAACTGCATGTGAAATCAGATCCAGGGTCACTGGATCTCGCCGCCCCCCGCCCTGCCCCCTACCTCCTTGACCCCAGCCTGGGCTGAGGACACCTTGGACATCTGGAACACAAATTACAGACACTCTAAGGGGCCCTTGATGACCTGAACAGCGGTGTGCTCTGTAATCCACTGCTGTAAGTGTCCAAGGGGGAGGGAACTTCCTTGACCACACCCAGCCCATTTCAGCAGAGTAGGGAGTGCTAGATGCCACACATCCTGCCAGACACTCTTAGGAAACTCAGGGTGCCCTCCTTAAATCCCACCAAGGAGCCCCAGCCCAGGCTGCTCCCTGCCAGAGACAACTAGCCCAAGAACTCCAGATGCCCCAGGGGCCACTTGGCTGCTTGGAGGGTGAGTAAGGATGGGGGCATCAGTATTTCCTGGTCCATCAGGTGGGAGAGTCTGGCTTGGAGGTGCCACCTGCTAAGAGAAGCTGAAGGTCTGGAATTTACCAGGAGGAATTTTTAGCCAGCTTTAGAACAGTGTTGGAGAGCTGTGCTTTGGAGAAGGGGACCCAGTGGCAAAAGAGGCAGTGCCCAGAGTTAACGTCATTGGGATGGTCAGCCAGCAAAAGCCACATGGATAATGGGGACTTGGCCCACATAGGACCTGAGGCCCCTTCCCTTCTATTCTCCTAGATCTACAAGAACCCTCTGAAAGGATCTGAAAAGTACATGGGACCAAGGCTTTTCTCCAAACCACCATGCAGGCATCAACCACAGGAATGAGAGGCCTGAGCTGAGACCGGCATCCTTACTGTTGAGGGAGAGGAGGAGGGAGAGACCGGAGGCAAAATTAGAGAGGACCCAGCCAGGATGGAGAAAGTGAGATTGGGAGAATGAGACAAACGGAAGTAAAGACAGAGACCGGGAGAGAGAGGCAGAGAGCTGGACCTGGGAGAGATACAGATGGAGAGAGGCGGAGATGGAAGGAGCCGAAGGGACCAGAGAGAGCGTGGACGGGAGGAAGACAGACACGAAGAACTTAAGAGGGGAGCGCGCCCAGGATGGGAGCGAGCCAGAGAGGAGGGGGCGGCGGCGGCGAGAGCGGGCGGGGGACACGGGGACCGGGAGACGCGATCCGGAGAGCGGTGGGAAGTATTCGCCTCCGTTCCTCAAACACAGGATGCGAGCGCCCTTTGGAGAAGTCGCGCTCGGCGGAAACGCTAACTCCCCGGCCAAGTGCAAATGTAAAGAGGCCCTGAGAGCACTTTGTGCAAATATCAGGCCGGGAAGTGCTGCGCCCGCGGAGCTGCCGGGCACCTCGGCGCCCCCGCGCCCTCGGCTGCGCGCTAATTCACTTTGCCGTCACCTCTCGGGCGGGGTCGGGCGGGCGCGGGCAGCCGGAGCGCGCAGAGGGCGCAGAGCGCCTCGCAGGGCCAGGGGCCGCGGCCCTGCCTAATGGAGCAAAAGACAGATCAGCAGAAGCAAGGCAGGTGGGGCGGGAGCGGGAGCGTGGACATCCGGCACGAAGTCAGAGAAGAAGCCGCAGAGACTCGGAGGAGAGAGCGCTGGGCTGCTCAGGACCTGGCCTCGAGTTTGGGGCTTCCAGGTTGTCAGGAATGGAGACTCTCAGCAAGACCTCCACAGCCTCCGTTTACTCCTCTATAAAATAGGAAAATAAAGCCTTTCCTGTTCACCTCAGGGGGCTTTTGTGAGGCTGGAATGTGAAGTGATTTGGAAAGCAATAAAGTTCATATATGCCAACTCCTGATAACAATAGCTAGCCCTTTCACAACTGTGTAGGTGAAAAAGGGCTCTACAGACATTTGCTCGTGTGGTCCTTACAAATACCATCACTTATGCCCATTTTACAGATTATCAAACTGAGGCACAGGGAGGTTAAGTCACTCATCCAAGGTCAGACAGCCGGTAGCTGGCTGGTGAACCCCGACAACCTGGCTTCAGAGTCTATGCCACTCTATAGTGCAGGGGCAGATTTTATTAAGGCCCACATTTTACATATGAGCAAACGGAGGTTCAAAACGCTGGGGCCATGCTCTATGTCCTATAGACAGTAAGTAGCAAAATCAGGACTTGGGGCTTCAGGCACAGAAGAGTACATGGAAAGAACATGGACTGTGGGGTTAAGTAACTTAGGTTCAGTGTCTTGTTCTGCTGCTGTGTAACATCAAAGTGTTGATTTAGCGTCTATAATGGGGGGTATTGACCATGTCCATCAGATTACTGTAAAGATTAAATGAGGAACCTGACACATAGTTGGCACTCAGTAAGTTCATTTGGTCAATGTCTATCCAGACTGTGCTGGGTCCTGAGGATGCGGTGATGACAAAGATAACAAAGTCCCCTGCCCTAGGGGGACTTGCCTTGTCATTGGGGAGACAGAGGACAAATAAACAAATCATTACAGATGGTGCCTAGGAAGGCTAGGAAGGTAATGAAGAGCATGCTAGAATAAATTCATATAAGGAAACGACTGCACACAGGAGATCTAGTAAGGCCTCTCTGAGAAGGTGATATTGAAGCTGAAAGATGAGATGAAGCCAACCAGGAGGAGAACTGGGAATCGTGTCCAGGATAAAGGACAGCCAGTGCAAAGGTGCTGGGGTAGAGAAGAGCTTGGCAGACTCCAGGAACTGGTAGCAGAAGCAGAGTGAATGGAAAACACAAGGGCAGAAAAGGGGTTCAGAGACTGTGTAAGCCGGAGATTTTATCCTAAGCCTAATGAGAAGTCACAGAAGACTTTTAGGTAGGGGTGACATGATCCAATTAAAAATCACCCTGGCTGCCACGTGGAGACTGGAGAGGAGCAAGAGTGAAGGCAGAAATTGTTATAGGAGGTGAGGGTCTATCCAGGATGGAACCAAGAGATGTCAAGGGAGAAGAAAAGCTATGGATGGATGCAAAAATATTTTAGTACCATGTAAATGCTGACTGCCGCTCACGTTTTCATCATCGATTAGTGCTATCTGGTCTGAGGCTCAGTTTCCAGGTCTAGTGGAATGAATGGGTTTCCCACGTCCCACTGGGAACACAGGGCAGTGGCTCTCAGTTACTTCCTGAGCTGGGTTGAGGATCAGGCTGGCCCACTGCTCGTCAAAGGCCATAGATCAAATGACAGGTCTTGGGACTGTGGGCACTGACCCCAGGACCCAGAGACTGGAATCTTTGCAAGACTGGCTCTCTCTCCTCCATCCTCCTCCTGTCTGCTGGGTTAGGCCTGTGAGGGTGGAAGAAATGAATCAGCCATGGCTTCAAGGTGAAGTATTCAGGGGGGCCGGTCACTTTGGAGGAGATCTCAGGAGAGAAAGTGGGGATTTTCCTGTTGTGTTTCTTTAAGCATTTGTTGTTGAAATGGAAGTTACAATCCAAGCTAATTTGAATAACAGAATCATAGGAAAAACACCCTCTAACCACAAAAATGAATATTCAACATTCCCACCTTATCTTCTTTGCTTTGTAGGGCTGTTTCTCAGCTGCATATTAAATGGCCCCTTCATGTGAAGCTGGCAGAGCGGTGGTTTTGCAAGACAGAATGCTGCTGGGCTAAGGTGCTAAATTCAGAACATAAGTCATTCTGGGCCCCCAGAATTTCAAGGATCTTACAGAGACAAGCCTAGCACCAAAGGGAAGGTGGGAGGACTGGGGTAAGTTTGGATCAAGACCATGGAGTGTATTGAGTGAGAACTGAGTGTTCCTGACCAGCTCTCACAAGCCCAGAAGTTGCCAAGCCTGTCCTAACCCTGGTGGGGCTCATAGGGAAACCCTTCAAGAGAGGAGCATCTGCTGTGTGGATATCTCCAATGGTAGCCCTGATAAATGAGTATTGTGTGCCCGGAGGTGCCACTGCAGAAATCCCACAAGTTGTGTTGATATTGAAAACTGAGACTTCCCTGGATTCAGCTGGCTCCTGAGAAGTACTCAAGATACTGATATTCTCTGCCATCCACCTTTTCCAGCCATGCAAGGCTTCTATGTACTCAGTGGCCTGCACCAGATGCACCGTTCTACATGCAGTTCCCTGAACACAACACTAACTTTCCTGTCTCCTTGCCTTGCTGTGCTGTACTTTCTTCCAGGAATGCCTTTCCTCCCGATTGGACTCCTAGCAGATATCTGCTCCATGTTGCCTCTGCTTGTGTTTCCTGGCACCCACCCACACCAGGTTCCCACAGGACTTACACATTGTGCTGTGCTGGAATGACCTGTTTTTGTGTCCTCCACCAAACTAGATTGTAGATTCCCCAAAGGGGTCTCTGCATCTGCAGCTCTTGGGCAGAATCTGGCACCCAGCCAAGGCCAACCCAGGCATATTTATGCACAAATGAGACAGTGGCTTTGGGATGAGACTTGTGGGTGACCAAAAAATAGAGAAATAGTAAATATGTTGGGTGATGGAATCAGGATCTCATAAGGTCTGACTTGCGGGATTAGTGGGCTTGATTCAACAAGAGGACTTTAACAGAAATAAATGTTGTGTCTTGAACTTATATTACAAACCGATGGCCCTATAGGAGCAGAAGAGGAGATCCAGGGAGAGCTGCCAGAGCAGCCTCTTACACAAAAGAAAAGCCTGGTGTGATTAGCAGTGACAGGCGTGTAATGGGCTGCCATAAAAAACAAACTCATCCCAGGCAGAATTAATAAAAGTATTCTGCCTAGAATAAAGAGAGTAAAGGGAGGGAATATCCTGAAAAATTACAAAGAGACTCAGATAATCTGAGGGATACCGCAAGGAAATAAAATGAAAACATGAAGAGCTGGCTTCAGATCTCCAAGGGGTTGGCCAAGAAAAGTGAGGGCAGATGGGTCCTGGGGAGCTTCAAGAGGCAAAATAGTGGCTTATCCTCAGCACTTTGGGAGGCCAAGGCGGGAGGATCACTTGAGGCCTGGAGTTCAAGACCACCCTGGGCAGCAAGACCCCACCTCTACAAAAATAAATAAATTAGCCGGGTGTGGTGGCACACGCCTCTAGTCCCAGCTACTTGGGAGGCTGAACGGGGAGGATTGCTGTAGCCCAGGAGTTTGAGGCTGCAGTGAGCTATGATCATGCCACTGCACTCCAGATTGGGCAACAGAACAAGACCCTGACTCTAAAAAGCCTGTCCAAATATCACCTCAGGTAGAAGTAAGCTCCCCATCCCTGAAGGTGTGCAAGCAGTGGCAGGACTGGCCGCTTGACAGGGAGGCTGTAGAACCTTGCTGCTACTTCTTCCAGCCTCTTTTCTTACTGTTCTCCTCCCCACTCACTGTGCTACAGCCACATTGGTGTCCTAGCTGTTCTTCGGTACACTAAGCACATTTTCCCCTCAGGGCCTTTGCACTTGCTGCCCCCATAGCTTGGAAAGCTCTTCCTCTAGAAATTAAAACGTCTTTTCTACCTAGGCAGTACCATTCAGGACACAGGCACAGGCAAAGATTTCATGGCGAAGATGCCAAAAGCAATTGCAACAAAAGCAAAAATTGACAAATGGGATCTAATTAAACTAAAGATTTTCTGCACAGCAAAAGAAACTATCAACAGAGTAAACAGACAGAATGTGAGAAAAATTTTGCAAACTACACATCTGACAAAGGTCTAATATCCAGTATCTATAAGGAACTTAAACAAATTTACAAGAAAAAAAACAAGCAACCTGTTAAAGGTGGGCAAAGGACACGAACAGACACTTCTCAAAAGAAGACATAACATGTATGTGGCCAAAAATCATATGAAAAAAACTCAACATCACTGATCATTAGAGAAATGCAAATCAAAACCATGAGATACCATCTCACACCAGTCAGAATGGCTATTTTTAAAAAATCAAAAAATAATGGATGTTGGCAAAAGAATGCTTACACACTGTTGGTGGGAATGTAAATTAGTTCAACCATCGTGGGAGACAGTGTGGCGATTCCTCAATGACCCAAAGACAGAAATAACATTTGACCCAGCAATCCCATTAATGGGTATATACCCAAAGGAATATAAATCATTCTATTATAAAGACACATACATGCTTATGTTCATTGCAGCACTATTCACAATAGCAATGGAATCAATCTAAATGCCCATCAATGACAGACTGGATAAAGAAAATGTGGTACATATACACCATGGAATACTATGCAGCCATAAAAAAGAATGAGATTATGTCCTTTTCAGGGACAGAGCTGGAGCTAGAGGCCATTATCCTTAGCAAACTAACACAGGAACAGAAAACCAAATACCAAGTGTTCTCACTTACAAGCGGAAGCTAAATGCTGAGAACACATGACACATACAGGGGAAGAACAAACACTGGGGCCTATCGAAGGGTGGGAGTGAGAGGAGGGAGAGGATCAGGAGAAATAACTAATGGGTACTAGGCCTAATACCTGGGTGAGAAAATAATCTGCACAACCAACCCCCATGACACATATTTACCTATGTAACATACCTGCACATATACCCCGAACTTAAAAGTTAAAAAATAGAATGTCTTCCTCCCTCACTTCAATCATATTGCTGCCCATTTGTCACCTCCAGAGAAACACATTCCCTGACCACTCCATCGAAACCTAATATCTGTTTACTGTCTGCCTCTCCCACTATAATATAAACTCCTTGAGAGCAGGGCCTTGGTCTTATTCATGGATGTATCTCCAGTGCCTTGAACGGCCTATCACACAGCAGGTGCTCATTAAATATTTGCCAAATGAACAAAATGAATCACCTCATACATTCCCATTCACAATAACCCTTTCTTGTGTTAATTTCTACAAAAGAGTCTCATGAGGATGAGTCTCATGAAGTCTCAAGAGTCTCATGAAGGAAGATTCATCACCAATGGCATGTTCAATAGACAAGTCATAGAGGCAAGGAAGAGGCGGGAACTCACCCTGACAGTACCTGCCCTGCTGGGCACCATCATGTACATTATTTCATTTAATCTCTACAGGAAAGCTGTGAGGCACAATTATTTCCCCCAAATTTCAAAGCTAAAAGGGCTACATAACATTAGAATTCGTTGGTTGTAAGCAACAGGAGTAATGTTTACTAACGTAGGCAAAGAGGGAATTCTCAATAGGAGGAATGAGGTCATTCACAAGATTGAAGGAAAAACTTCAAAAAAGATGGAGAGCAGAGCAGCTGCAGAGACCCAGGCCCGAGGTGCCAATGGTTCCCACTGGCATTTGACCTGCTGTCTCTCTGTTCAAGATTCAGATTCCTTCCCAAGGGAGAGTCTGATTGGCAGAGCTTGGATCATGTGACTCCCCTTAGCCAGGAGAGGTGAGGAGAACTTGATTGACAGGCTTACAAGCACCGCACAGGATGGGAGATGGGGCTGCCCAAGGGAAATGGAGATGCTATTAGCAGACAAATGAGGACAGGACAAAACAAGAGCAGGTCACTTCCAGGGCTCACAGATCACGGATCCAATGCCCTGCTTGTGCAGAAGCTCAGAGGGGCAAGTGCTCAGCCCACGGTCACACAGGGCGGACACAGGTCCAACACATAGGCCTCCTGGCCCCAGACTTGTGTGAACGTCAAGTCTCACCAGAAGTGGGTATCCAGATCCTTTTACTTCAAACAAGCCCACAAGGAACAACTCTTGCTCTCGTCATGCTTGGAGGTCTTAGCACCACTGTGGACTTTCTTCCACGGTCTCTGAATCCAGGCTCTAAAATACACCCGCTCTAAAATACACCCACTCAAAGGCTCTTCTGAACTTCTTTAACTGCTGCACTGATGGCCACTGGATCTCAAGTGAGAACTAGCATTGCCGACTTCAGGAAGTGACTGTCATAACTAATTTATTTTCATGTCTGTTGTGAAGCCCTCCTGGGGTGGTATAATCCACAGATACAAGCCTGCTTCACCTCTACTAGAAGGGTTTTAAAAATGAAATTAGACATGTTTTTGAGGCAAAATCTCTCACAGCTAACTCCCTGGTTTGGCACAAATTCTCTTAGCATTCGTGACCAAAGGAGACTCCTCCAAACCATTTCCTGTCATCTCCTCTGAGCTGTCAACTTTGATTATTCCTTTCCTGGTACTGTGCCTTGTCTTATACTAAAGGAATAATAAATACCTCCTTTCCCTTTTCTAAATCTAGGACTACCCTGGCACTTTCTATTTCCTACTTTACACAAAACTTTTCAGAAGAAGCTCAAAGGCAATGGCAGCAGTTGCAATAATAAATCACTAGGGAATGAGACCGAGGCTGTTTCTAGGCAGTGACCCAGGAACTGGCTTGTTTGTCCAACATGTGGTGAGCCTACTATGTGCCAGGCCTTCCCCTGTTCTTCCCTCACTGGGCCATTGGCAGTCAGTGTCTTCAGCCATCAGTCAACCAGAACTGCTCTCTGTGGTCCCCCATGGAAGTCCCCTTTCAGCCCTCATTCCCATTCACTTCTTAGCAACGTTTCTTCACCTTGTTCTTCTGTATCCTCCTCACCAGAGCGCAAGCTGCCTGAGGGGGGGACTTTTGTTTTGATCACCACTGACATATCTGCCTCAGAATCCAGAATAGTGCCTGGCACATAGTAGGCACTCAATAAATAGCTGTTGTATGAACAGACGGATGAACCAATGAACCAATAAATGAATGGATCCCTCGTTTCCTTGGAACTCCCTAAATCCCCACACACCAGTATCTCTGGATTCTAGCACAGTGCCTGACACATAGTAAGCGCTTTAAAAATGTGCAATATGCTTGAATAAAATTCTCCTCCCCCTTCTCACTTTGCTCCTTCCCCTCCTTCCTCAGGAATTTCTTTGTCCCTCCTCCTCCCCTTGGCCCCTTATTAAGTGTCTACAGTCCTTGGGGTTTTGTCCTTGTTCCTCTGCAATTCCCACTCTGCAGAAAATGCTCTGTGAGTGATCTCATCCACTCCCACGCTTTCAGCTTCCATCCCCACACCGATGCATGAAGCTGAAAGTAGAAAAAAAAAAAAAAAAACTAAACTAAAAACCGAAATCATTGACTTGGAAGTCCTTAGGAACCTCAAAGCTTGGCAGGTTGAAGGTGTGGCAGAATAATGGATTGAAAATTTAATTTACATTTTGTTTTCCCTGATGTAAGAGAGTCAGAGAAATGATGCGTATTTTATTCTCTGTAATTTTTCCTCACCAATTCTAAGAAAGTACCCAGGACATCTTGCCTCGGGGACGGTGGTGTTGGCTAGACTGAGGGCAAAATTAGCCTGAAGCCTGGCACTTGCCTTTGAAAACAAACTCAGCAAGATAATTCTGGGTCAGAGTTTCTCAGCCTCAGCACTGTTGGCATTTTGAGATGGATAATTTTTTGTTGTGAGGCCATCCTGTGCGTGCCTACCATCATCCCTGGCCTCCATCTCCTAGATGCTAGGAGCACCCTTCCCGCAAGTTGTAACAACCAAAAATCTCCCGGCAATGCCAAACATCCCCTGGGGATGGGGCACAGTGGAGCACGGGGTGGGTGGGTGGGTTACGGGGAGGTGGGAGTGTCGATGGGGGCGGGGCAGGGAATTATCCCTGGCTGAGAAACACTGTGCTAGATAGATCATCCACAAAAGGAGAGAACAGGGGCCCGATGGAAACTGCCAACCTTGGGAATTGGACAGCTTCCCCTACACTGGGAATGGGGGACCCATGAGATTCCAGGAACCACAGTTGGTTCCTCCTTGTTATGTGCTGGGCCACAACCAAAACACAGGTTTCCTTTCCCAGGATCCTCCTGGCTTAGCACGGTCTCTAGTCCTTCCAAGATGGCAGCAGTGTGTAGAGGGAAGGCAGTCTTGGAGCTCTCAGAGTCATTTGGGGTGCTGACTTCCTCGGTCCCGAATGCCTGCCTGCAGGCTTCTGCCTGGTTCCCTGGCTGGGTCCGTGGGCCAGTGATTTCTAGCCTCCCTCTCCACCCCAGGGCTGCTCTTGGCTGCCCCCTTGCTGTCAGGAGCCCCTACTGCAGCAAGACACAGATCAAATCTGTGGGAAGTTTGCTCCTTGTTAGGATAACGTTTGACAAACTGCTTAAAGCATCCCCCAAATCCCCTCAATGTCTTTAGTCCTCTGAGGCTGAATCTTCCAGTAAAGATGACATCCTTTTTAGATCTCTGCTCCCTCCTTGTCAGAAAGTTGTACTCTATGGGCCAGGTACCGTGGCTCATGCCTGTAATCCCAACACCTTAGGAGGACAAGGTGAGGGGATCACTTGAGCCCAGAAGTTTGAGACCAGCCTGGGCAACATAGTGGAGCCCCGTTTCTACAAAAATAAATAAATTAGCCAGGCGTAATGGTGCACTCCTGTAGTCCCAGCTACTCGGGAGACTGAGGTGGGAGGATGGCTTGAGCCCAGGAGGTAGAAGTTACAGTGACCGGTGATTGCACCACTGCACTCCAGCCTAGGTGACAGAGAGAGACCCTGTCTCAAAAAATAAATAAATAAATAAATAAAGCTGTATTCTACATAGCACCAAAGAATGAACACTGCCCAGTGAACGATGATTTCAACTCCATCTCCTCAAAATTGTCCTGCACTTTACAGAAGCTCCTGCTTCACTGAGTCCTTATAAGTGAGTGACATTTTGCAAATACATTGGACTTCCCATTGGTTCCTCCCCAACAGCCACTGGCAACTGGCCAGGCCCAGAAATCCAGATGTGTCCTCTCCATCTGCTAAGTCCTGCCAGACATATGAAGGATGCTTTCTCTTTATCCTTTTCTGTCAGGAGTGTCTGGTAATCCCACTCCTAAACAACCCTGAACATCCCTGCATTTCTGCCAAGCTCTCTAAGGCATTCCAAACTCAGGGCATGCTGTCTCCATCACTGTTGGTTTGTTTGGTGTCCTGTAATGCACGCACATTCTCATCTTCCCAAATGTCTTATGTGCAACCATAGATGGAATTACATATGGACTCTTGGACTTGGGAATAATGCCATGAATTAACATTCTCTTCTAAAATGAATTAATATTTTCCCCTAAAACATTTGTTTATAGAGAATCTTTCTAAAGTGCTCTCTCAAAAAGTCCTGTAACTCTCTTCCAGGGATTCCTTTTTTCACAGCCCATTGATGAAGAGAAAACACGTTTCTCGTTGCTTGAGGTTTCCCTATCAATTTCTCTGTACAGTCCTCAAGTTCTGGGATCGCCAAAGTCCAGTGGGTTCTTCTGCCTCGGAGACTGCCAGCTGAGGCGTGTCAGAGGTCATCCTCCTGCGTCCCAGTTTTTATGTCATGGTAAGTACCAGCAAAAGGCCTGTGTTGGTTGAGTGATGGCCTATCTCTCTCTGCCCATTGCTAATTGGGGTGCACAGAGAATGTATGCGGAGACTGGCAAGATGCTGCCGCCTGTCTATGACCCGTGAAGGAAGGCTAACCCCGGACAGAGGGGAGACCTGGTCCCACTGCATGGCTCAGTTTGTCCAGAGATGCTGTGGTAATGCCTCACCATAGCAGGTCCACAACCTCTCAACCCCACCACCCACCCTGGGAAGTTTCAAGCTCCCACAACATACCCCAGGCAGGGTCATTCTCTGCACCTGGGCCACTGACATCAGGCCCCATCAGAATTTGTAAAGGAACATGGGCTAGGTCGTGGGCATAGAATGACTGAAACAATAGTGATTTCTATGTTCAAGATACTTCTTCCTTCATTTGCCTAGACCTCTTTGAGGTTTCACTGGCCTCAGAGAGAAGGCCTGGGATTACAGGATGGTAGCTTCCATAGAAGGGCCTTGGATCACAGGCAGGTTTGAACCTATGATTTCTTGGGCCTGTCTTGCTCTGGCCTTGGGCAGAGAACCACCCCCATTACTCACACATTGTGCCCCAATCCCACCCACTGAGAGGCCCTGGGACCTGGCTGGGAATCAGGAGCCCCACCCACCCCTCCCACCGGTGGGTAGAACATGCAAGCTGTTGTGTCACTCTGAGCTCAGTCCTGGCCTGTGTTCAGGGCTCTGGGCCAAGCCTCCAGGGGTTCAGTAAGCTGCAGACTCCCCCAGGGCCCTGGGAGTGGAGCACTGTCCTGGGCATCTGCCTGGTTACTCCTCTCACCTCCACAGCTTTGGCTTCATTTACATCACCCTGAATCTTGTTCTGAAAAATCTTTTACAGTAGGAAGGAACCCAGCCAGGGGACCTCTCTGGCCAGGGGCCAAACTCCAAATCAGAGCATTCAGAAGACTCTGCTGCTCACATCCAACCTGCTTCCCCTCTGGCCTGTGGACAATGACTCCTGAGGATCAAACCCACAAGGGAGTGTATTTCTCAGCCTTGGACTGGCCTTGTTCAGGTTTTCTCCTCTCTCCCTACACCCTCCACTCCCCCAGCATAGAGGTTCTAGCTGCCCAGGGCGGGCACTACACAGATGGACTAATTGGGACTGGCACCCATGGGTGTGAAAATCGTCAACTATCTATACTGATTAATGGGTTAGTGTCAACCTGGAGAAGAGTTTAAAGACTGCCCTCAATGTCTGTTTTTAATGTCCTAAACCAGCATACACTTTCATGGGGGGCAGCATCTGTGCCAGGTGCTGTGTATAGCACATTCACAGAATCCATCTCTCTGCGGCCTGAGTAAAGACATCCAGGGCAGACAGAGCAGGAGGCCAGGAGGGGCAGCAAGGAGGCCAGGAGCTAGAATCAGGACATGAGAAGACCTTACTGGCTGGAGCAATTGGACAAAATAGAATGTTCTGGGGACCCAGGGCAAATCCTGGACTTCTGGCAACACAGTGAACGGAGCTGATACAAAAGGGCCTCCCACCTCCCACAGCCACATAGATATGAAGATTGCAAACACATAGTTGAGATTAAAAGAAAGAACTGGGATCCCCAGGCCTCTGGTAGAGACCCCAAAGCCAAAGCTATAAGCAGAAACAGAGAGTACAGTGGTCCCAGGTGTCTTGGACCTAGTGACTTGGGGGGGCTGGGATTTTAATAATCCCAGGGGCTGCACTGTGGCCTTCTGCCTGCACAAGGTAAGAGCATCAAGGGTCAAGGAAAACTATTTCCATCAGTTCAAGGAAGCATCAGACAGATTTCTAGGCCCATGGATGGAAATAAATTGTAAGTCATCTGCAAGAAATCAGAATCCTAGGTGACTCTTCCGTGTAGGTCTGAATTTATATTCCCTAGGTGGTGGAGGAGCCCCAGGCTGCCCCCCGCCCCCACATACACACCCAGAATGATCGGAAATATAAAAGACATTCCACAATCCATGAGACAATCTGAATATCCACTAACAGGAGAACTACTACATTACAGTATCCGCATACAACATTTAGAATGCATGATATATAGCTATATGTATCAACATGGATAAATTTCTTTAAAAAACACAATTTTGAGTAAAAGGAAGCAAATTGAAAAGAAGTAAAAAGGATGATGCTTGTTCTTGTTTATGTTTTCTACATGAATTTTACAATTTCCTTGCCCAGTTCCCCATTCTCCTTCTCGCCCCCACAAAAAGAGCTATTGGTTTTTTTATGAGGATAACATTAAGCTTAAAAATTAACTTAGGCCAGGTGCAGTGGATCATGCCTGTAATCCCAGCACTTAGGGAGGTAGAGGTGGGAGGATCACTTAAGCCCAGGAGTTTGAGACCAGCCTGGGCAACATAGCAAGACCCTGTTTTCCACAAGAAGAAAAAACAAAAACAAAAACAAGAAAAGAAAAAAATTAACTTAGAAAAAAATTAACTTGGGGGAAAATGAAATAGTTATGGGGTCAAATTTTCTAATTCAAGAATATAGCAGACTGCCATTTGTTCAAGATTGTTTTAGTAGCCTTCCAAGCAGTTAAAGGTAGGTTTTTTGTTAAGTTTTGCTTTGTTTTTCATATATGCCTTGGACATTTCTTGTTAAATTTATTCCTAGGTGTTTTATCTTTTTGTTAATTTTGTAGCTAAGTTTATTTCTTCCATTATATCCCGTTATATTCATATATATATAAACAACTGGTCGTTTGTATGAATATAATGAAGGATGTAATGGAAGAAACAAACTTATCTACAAAATTAAAGGATATAATGGAGGATACAAGTTCATTTCTTCCATTATATCCTCCATTACATTCATATAAACAACTGGTTGTTTATATATATATATGAAAGTTAATGATTTATTTATGTTCATCTTGTACCCTGCTACCTTTCTGAATTTTCCTATTTTTGACAGTAGTTCCAAAGTATATCTTCCAAGGTTTTTCAGATATACAATTATATCATCTGAGAATTATAACTTTATTTCTTCCTTTATAATTTTTATACTTCTCATTTCTTCCTCTTATTTAATTTCATTGGTTTCTTCCTCTAGTACAATATTAAATAATAGTTTTGAAAGTGGGAATTCTTCTCTTGTTCCTGACTTTAGCAGGAAATCTTCCAGCATTTCCCCATTATTTATGATGCTGATTTTTTAGTTGAGAAAGATTTTTTCATCTTAAGGAAATATCCATCTATTCCTATTTTATTGAGTTTTTTAAAAATAAAAAACCAATGGTTCCTTTTCATAGATCAATCATTTTAATATAACAAATAATTTAAATTGGTTTCTTAATGTTAAACCATCCTTGCATTCCTAGAATAAATTCCACTTAAGTATGATTTATTATACTTTTAAGTGCTATTAATTTTGTTGCTAATGCCTTATTTTGGATTTTAAAATTAATATTCATAAGTGAAATGAGTCTGGCATTTCCTTTTGGGTTCAGTCTTCACTGGGATTTGTCTCTGATGTATTGCTTAATGTATTAAAATAATTTGGATTTTTTCTCTTCTTTTCAATGTTCTAGAGCTGAATCATTAATATTGGAATATTGGAATTATTTGTTCTTTAATGCAGAAAAAAATTATTTGTAAAACCATTTGGCCTGGTGCCTTTTGGAAGATAGCTCTTTGACAACTTTCCCATGAATATCAGTACATTTAAAATGCTTTATGTCTTCTGGAATCATTTTGGTAAATTATATTTTCTTAGATAATTTAATAGTCATTCTAGTTTTCAAATTTGTTTTTGTAGAGTTGAACGGTTTTCATGATTAATTTTGTCTCTGTGTTAATTCTTCTTTATTATTTCTATTTTGTGTATATTTGCCTTCTGATTTTTTTTATTAGGAATAGAAACTAATCCATTTTATTGTCTTGTAAAATATTTTTTCAATTTTATTTATTCTATCCTTATTCCATTTTCTGTGTTTTCTAATTCATTACATTATTCTTGGTACTTTATTCACTTTTTCCTCTTTTTTCTTTAGGCTCATTTTGTGATTTTTTTTTTTAACTTTCCAGGTTGGATGCTTTGTTCTCATACTTGTTTACTGAATTTAAGACCAAATATTTAAAACTATGCATTTTTTCTCTGGCATTTCTAGCTTTTTCCCACTACTTCTCCGTGATACCCCCATGCAGCAGGGGCTTTTTGTTATCTGATTTTGTCGTTATTTTCTACCTAATTGAATTATGATCTGAAAATAATCTCTGTACTATATTTTTTGAGGGCAGAATTTATTGAGGGAAAAACTGCTACAGTTTTCCTTTAAGTGCCCATGGAAAATCTCTCTACATAACTCTCTGTGATATGTATATATGTGTGTGTATATACATATATATGTGTGTGTGTGCATATATGACACATACATTATACCTTGCTGATTATATTATTTAGATTATAATTTATTTATATTTACTTTTAATCCACTTAATCTGTCAAACAGAAAAAAGTAAAATCTTCTACTATTAGTATGTTTTTCTTTCTCCTTGCATTTCCCATAAGTTTTATTGTTTTTCATGTAGATTCTACTTTATTTGGTACATAGATAGTTCATAACCTTTATATCTTCATTAAAGTTAAGTACATGTAACATAAGCATAATATTATAAATATACACATAAACATATATGATTGGAATTTGAAAGTTCTCTTCTTTGTCTCATTTAATGACTTTTTTTTCCCACTGGCATTTCCAGCTTATTCCCACTACTTCTCCATGACACCCTCAAGCAGCAGGGGCTTTTTGTTCTCTGATTCTCGCTTTGTTTCATGTGAAGGTGGCAGTCCCAGCACCTAGGCCTTACCATTTCTATTACCCTAGTTTCTGACGGCTGCCAAAACAAAACACTACAAACTGGGTGACTGAAAACAACAGAAATCTAGCAGTCGCAGTTTTGGAGCTTAGAAGTCTGAAGTCAAGGTATCAGCAAGGCCATGCTCTCTCTGATGACTCTAGAGATGAATCCCTCCTTGCTCTTCCAGCTTCTGGTGTTTGCCAGTGATCCTTGGTGTTCCTTGGCTTCTAGATGCATCACTCCAGTCACATGGCTGCCTTCTCCCTGTGTTTCTCTTTATATCATCTTCCCTCAATGCATGTCTGTTTCCAATGGACTGTGGGTTAGGACTTCACCATATCTTTTTTTAGGGCACGCAATTCAACCCACAGCACCACCCCGAGTCTGCTGGGGCAAGATGACAGAATGGTTACCAGAATCTGAAGACAGGATAGCTCTGTGGAAAGGGCTTCCCTAGAAAACACTGGCTTCTCTAAAGGGATTCAGGCCAAGCAGGTGACCAAATAGGGAAGAAGCAGAGGAATAAATAACCCTACATCACTTTCTTCCCCCTCTAGTTTCTCCCAACATGTAACATTGGGAAGCAGAGGACAGAGGGTAGTCCAATGAGGCAATTCACATGGGTCAGCTTCCCCAAGGCACAGGTCAGTCTGGAGCAGGATGGACGGAGGATATGAAGGGCAAACAGAAGTTCTCCAACATACTCACAATTTCCAAGTGCTCTGGGACAACTTTTTTCTCATGCATGTTCTTTATGTGTTAGTAAGTGATCTTTTGCTCTTTTTCATAGAACATCTTTGTATTGATGACATGTCAATTCCTTTGTATTACTCATTAGGGAATTAGTTCAGTTTCCTGAAAGAATCTTTCTCCCTGGGGAAAGAGGGTCAATAAACAGGTAGGTTCAAAGCAATGTTCCAGTGGTTGTTTTCACAACACAAATATTCTTCTCTTTTTTTTTTTGAGGCAGAGTCTCGCTCTGTTGCCCAGGCTGGAGTATAGTGGCATGATCTTGGCTTGCTTGCTGCAAGCTCTGCCTCCTGAGTTGACACCATTCTCCTGCCTCAGCCTCCCGAGTAGCTGGGACCACAGGCGCCAGCCACCACACCCGGCTAATTTTTTTGTATTTTTAGTAGAGACAAGGTTTCACTGTGTTAGCCAGGATGTTCTCAACGTGTTAGCCAGGATGGTCTCGATCTCCTGACCTTGTGATCCACCCACCTTGGCCTCCCAAAGTACTGGGATTACAGGCATGAGCCACTGCGCCCAGCAAATAGTCTTATTCTCTACTGCCACAGAGACAGACTGCTTCCTGCAAATATGGCTGTCTGTGTGATTCTTCCTGTAGCTGCATCTCCTTTGCTTCTTTGAACATACTAGATCCAGAGAAACTACTATTTCCACCTCAGCTCACTGCCTTTCCTATACTCATGGTTATAAACAAGAGATCTGCACGCTGCTTTTGTACCTTAGATCGTGACATTTGCCCTCATAAAATTAATTTTTTTCAAAGACTTTTGAGATCTCCCAGCAATGAGTCTTCTTATTGCTAAGACTTCTCTGTTCAGTTTTTTGTCTCCTCTTTGTTCATCGAAATGCTGCTTGGTCTCAGCTGGATTTGGCAGCCCTTTCACATAAATTAGAGTCTGGTGATTAAAACTGCCCTGTAGTTTCAATAAAAAGTGAAATTTACAGACTTTTATTTTTCTCCTTGTTGCTTTTCAATGCTTTCCTGGAGGAAAGGGAGAGAATGTTGCTTTATACAGCCACATAAATGAAGTCTTTTCCAATTGTTAAATAGTTATGATAGATTCAAATTGCTCTTAAAAGATTATTAGACCAAATCAAATATATCTGTGAATCACATTCAGCCCATGGTATGGGGCTTCTTCATTAAGGCATAGTGGTCAGTCACAAAGCTTTGCAGATGGCCAATCCAGTAGGGTGGACTGAAAGGTGCACCACCCCCAAAAAGATATGTCCACCGGGCATCTGTGAATGTGACTTCATTTGGAAGAAGGGTCTTTGCAGGTGTAGTTAAGGATCTAGAGATGAGATCATCTTGGGTTATTCAAGTGGGCCCTAAATCCAGTGGCAAGTGTCCTTCAAAGAAGAGGAGAATACAGGCACACAGAGGAGAAAGCAACATGAAGACAGAGCACACGTGGGAGTGACACATCTATAGGACGAGAAATATTGTCAGTCACTGGAAGCCAGAAAAGGCAAGAAGCCGATACTCTCCTAGACTCTCCAGAAGGAACCAACCCTGCTGACACCTTGATCCCAGAGCTCTGGTTTCCAGAACTATGAAGGAATACACTTCTGTTGTTTGAAGCCACCCAGTTTGTGGTCATTTGTTGCAGCATTCGCAGGAAACTAACACACCCAGTTTCAATCCTGCCTTCGCCACGTTCAAGCTATGTGACCTTGAGCAAGTCTCGAGATGCAGAGGAAGGAGGCGGCTGGAAGAGCACGACTGAATTCAAATCTCTGCAGGGTTATGATGGGACAGCAGGAGTGCCTGTGTCATGTGTGGCCACAGAGGACAGGGCTAAAACCGGGATGCCAGTTTGGGCTTCAGGTAAGGGAAAGACTTTCTAAAAGTCTGAACAATGCAGACATGGAAAGGTGATCAGCTCTGAGTGACTGCAAAGACACTGTCACTGGAGATAAGCACAGAGAGATGAGACCCACCTGCAAGGTGAATATTAAGAAGACAAGTTCAATTAGCTGGGTGTGGTGGCGGGCGCCTGTAACCCCAGCCACTCGGGAGGCTGAGGCAAGAGAATTGCTTAAACCCGGGAGGCTGAGGTTGCAGTGAGCTGAGATTGTGCCATTGCACTCCAGCCTGGGCGACAGAGCAAGATCCCGTCTCAAAAAAAAAAAAAAAAAAGAAAGAAAGAAAGAAAAGAAAAGGAAAAAAAAAGAAAGAGGACAAGTACGGGGTCAGAAAGACCTAGGTTATCATCTTGGCCCTGCTGCGTGACTTTTGACAAATGACTTAAAGTTTCTGGGCCTCAGATATCTCATCTATAGTATGGGGTCGGCAGCACCCAGAGTTATCATCAGGATTACATGAGAGCTACAAGGAGAAGTGTACTTCACTACGTACCGGGTACTATGCTAAGTACCCTTTACATGCACTTACCCATTTAATGATGAATGCTCCATAAATGGTGCCTTTTAATTTGGTGGTGGTGTTTTTTCATGTCATTGTAGACTGTTCTTGACCAGGAGGTGGACTAAATGTAGGGAATCCACAAACCCCACACAAGTTGATATGTATGTGTGCTTTTCCGCAGAGTGGATCCACAGCGGTCTCCCAAGTCTCAAAGGGAGCAGTGACCCTGAAAACCACAAAATGTTGCGCAGAGGGAATTGGATTCTGCGTCCCAAGAGACTCCTTCCAACCTGGAACTGAATGACATGGAGCAGATGCTGCTGTAGCCCAATGTGTGTCCAGGACAAAATGAGTCTGGGTGTCCTGTGGGGGCGCAGGGATACCTCCCGCTACATTCTCCTCTCTGTTCTCTCCTGCCTGTGAGCTGCAGGCAAATTTCGGTGGGGGAAGCAGCGAGAGAAGAAAAAAGCAATGTGCAATTTTGATGCACAAGGGGCAATTTCTAAAGACAATTCTTGGTGACCATAAACGCCCACCACCTCCGGCGGCTCCACCTGAAACCCAAGGAGCATCATTTTCCATTCTCGCTTCTGAGATAATAAGTTGGAGAGAAGCTTCATATTTCAAATCAAAACTATTTTCCAACTAGAGGAAGAGTGGAAACTTTTCAGGCAAATTTCATATGCAGTAACACAATTTCCTCCTGTTCCACTTCTTTTTTCACCTAATACATGATAAATATTCAAGATCTCCTTGAGGGAGCATGAGCGGAGAGCGGGGAGGCATAATCGTCATGGCTGCTCAGTGGTGGCAGGCAGTGGGGTGGACCGAGGTCCCTCTCTCTCAGGGCCTGCCTGGATACCAGCCTGAGCTCCTGGCTCCCTAACCTGCCCCCAGAAGAGCCCTCACTCCATCTGGCTGATGAGAATGAGCCCTGGCGCGGGCTTGAGGGAATACTTGAAAATTTTATTATCTTTTTTTCTTTTTTCTTTTTTTTTTTTTTTTTTGAGATGGAGTCTTGCTCTGTTGCCCAGTCTAGAGTGCGGCAGCGCAATCTGGGCTCATTGCAACCTCCACCTCCCGGGTTCAAGCAATTCTCCTGCCTCAGCCTCCCAGGTAGCTGGGATTACAGGTGCGACACCATGCCCGGCGAATTTTTTGTATTTTTAGTAGAGATGGGGTTTCACCATGCTGGCCAGGCTGATCTTGAACTCCTGACCTCATGATCCACCCGCCTCAGCCTCCCAAAGTGCTGGGATTACAGGCATGAGCCACCGAGCCTGGCCGAAAATTATGTATTATCTTAATGGCTATGAACAGTGTTCACTGGGAAAATGCCTTGAAGAGGTACTTGGGATAGACGATGAGACTTAACACAGAGATTATTAGTGACTTGGGGGGGATCCCAGGCCAGGGGACAGGGATAAGGGGACACAAGAGAGGCAACCCTCACCAATGGAATCTGTGGGCTCCAGCCACATGGTAGAAGGTTGATGATAAATAAATGGTGGCCTGTGGTTGGGAGCACAGAGGGCATCTCTCTGTTAAGAGATAACAATAGCTAGCTTCTCTCTACTGGGCACTTGCCATGTGCCTAGCACTGAACTAATGCTTTACGTGCACCACCACATTTAATCCTCATAGCACTGCTATGAGGTAGGAACTATCATTATTCCCATTTTACAAAGAAACCAGAGTTCAGGGAGCTTACATAAATTGCCTGAGATCACACTGCTAACAAAGTAAAACACAAAATACCACTACACATTCTATAGAATGGTACAATTAAAAAGACTCACCATATCAAGTATTGGTAAGAACTAGAGCATCTGGAAGTCTCATATATTGCTGATGAACATATGGCGCAATCACTTTGGAAAACTGGCAGTTTCTAATAAATTTAAACACATACTTACCCTATTACTCAGAATTCCACTCCTAGGTATTTACCAAAGAAAAATTAGTGTATGTATGTCCACAAAAAGTGTGCAAGAATGCTCATAGCTGCTTTACTCATAAGAACCCCAAACTAGAAAACTCCATCAACAGGCAAGTGGATAAATACCCTGGGTGCATACACATAAGGGAAAATTGCTTAGCAATAAAAAGGAGCAAACTAATCATACTTGCAGCATGGATGCATCTCAAAATCAACACGCTGAGCAATAGAAGCCAGATGCAGAGTGAGTACCATGTATTTCCAATGGCAAGAAGCAGACTCCTGGTTGCCCCAGGCTGGGGTGGGCAGGGACCACTTGCAAAGGGCAATGAGGGTGGTGGAAATGTTCTATGTCTTAATAGTGGTGGTAGTTACATAGGTGGAGACATCTGTCAAAACCCATCTAATGAACACTCAAAATGGTTAAATTTATAACATAAATTATACCTCGGTAAGGTTGTCTTTACAAAAATCTGAAGTCCTTACACCACGGCCTGTACGTTCCAACATCCCTCCTGCCTCCACCTCTCCCTCCACTCTCCCCTTTGGCCTTCTATTCTGGCCACACCAGTCTCCTTGCTGTTCATCAAATTGTCCAGGCACATCTCCCTCTCTAGGGCTTTGTCTGTGCTGTCCCCACCACCTGCAATGCTCTCCCCACAATGTCCACGTGACTCACTCTCTCACCTCTTGCAGATCTCTGTTCAAAAGTTACCCAGCAGTGTGGTCTTCCCTGACCCCAGCCCCCGCATAAAATAACACCCACTGCATACTTCCCTGGTCCTTTACCCTGCTTTCTTCTCTATAGCACTTATCACATCCTGGCATATTATACTTGTATTCATTTACTGTCTGTCTCCCTTTCTAGAGTAAGCCCCATGAGAGCTGGAACTCTGTTTCACCGGGCAGTGCTACTTTGAGGTCTAGAACAATCCCTGGCATGTGGTAGACCCTCAGTCATTCCACAGAATGAATGAATTAAGCCCTTCCTATCCTGCTTTCCTTCCCTTTTCCCCACTGATCTTCCCTTAAAAAAAAAAAAAAGAAAAATCATTTAATACCAAAAAGATCTCTTTCAGAGATATCCCCACTCTAACACAAAACAGTCTTTTCTTCTGAAAATAACAATAATATAGAATATTTTACTTCTCAGCTTCTATCATTTGCATTTGGGGATTTCACCAATACTCAGTAATACTCCAAGAACACGGAGTGGATATTTGTCCTACGTTTGTATAACTGAAGGACATCCAAAACAAAGAACCATTTTTTCCAAGGTGACTTCTGTCTTTAACACCAGAGACTGGTAGGAACTTAAATCTGCTAGCAACTTAAAAAAAAATGCAGTGTCTCTACAATACTTTTGTTCTGCCTCACTGATCACCCTTCTACATGTATATTTATTTATTTACATAATCAGGATTATACAGCATGAAGACATACTGTTCTGTAACCCGTTTTTCTCATTTAGCAATATAGAGTAAGTATTTTCCCATGTCATTAAAAATTCTTGGAAAATGTAATTATTAATGGCTAAGGAATGTTATAATTAATAATGGCTAAGGAATGGCTAAGGTATCTAGATGTACCATAGTTTATTTAAGCACTCTCTTACTGTGGAAGATTTTGGTTGCTTCCTTTTAAAAAAAATTTCAATTATAAATAATGAATGTCATTGGGTATAAATTTTTGCCTGAATTTCTAAGTATTTCCAGAGATGGAATCCTAGCTGCAAAGGATATGGGTGGTTTTTCTGTTAAGGTTTTTAATAAGAAGTCCCAACTTGTATTTTAAGTTTTAATACATAGTTCCACTTCTGTTTTCCAGAAGAGAGACACCCATTTAAATGACTAACAACAGGATATGAGAGCACTGTAAGGTTTGACCCTTTCAAGCAGTGGGCATTACCATTTCTTAAATCTTGTCTTCTATTTCTTTGATTATTAGCAAAGTGGAATGTCTTTTCACATGCTTATTTGTATTTCATCTTCTGTGAATTATGTTACTCTCCTGTTTTGTAATTGAAGTGTTAGTATTTATCTTAGTGAATTGTCAGAGCGCTCAGTGAATAATAGGGACATTAACAAAGAATCTTTGTTTCTTTGTTTGCTTGCCTTTAATTGTGTTTATGTTGTTTCTCAAATACACATATTTTTAACTCTCTTTGTTGTTAATGTTGCTTTGTTTAGAAAGTCCTTTCTCATCCCAGAATGGGTTTAGAACCCTGCTGACTATAAGGCATAGGTCTGTTGCATAAATTCTCTCCTTCTGTCCTCCAACCATGCCATGAAGTAAGCATTATCATCCTCACTTTGTTATTTTTTACTATGTAAAAATTTCAAACATACACAGAAGAAAATAAATATATTGATTCTGGGATTTGCCTCAAGATAATGGGGGCGGGCATGAGGGTAGGGAGAGGACCAATAAGAATGACCATGAGCTGGTGATGATTGTAGTTAATGATGAGTTCATGGGGGTTCTCCCGACTTTTGCAAGGTGATGTGACCTGGTTGACACTTCAGGAGGCCAAAAGGGGAGCTATTTCCTGGCCCCTTCCCTATGACAGGCACTGCCCTGGGATCCCTGAATCATCCTACTGAACCCCACCACTAAGGGGAAGGAATCATTGGTCCCATTCTACAGATGAAGACACTGAGATTCAAGGGGATGAATTACTCAAGGTCACGTGATGGATAAGTGCAGAAACAGGATCTGAACTCAGATCATCTTGACCCAAGTTTTATGTTCCTTCTACTGGGCCAGACTATTTCTTTGGAGGCAGAAAGTTTAATGAAAGAAAAGATAGACATCTTTGACAGAGCTTGGCTTAACCACACTCCCGGGAGAGGGCTCTGATTAGAAGTTAATCCGATTTTAAAAAAATAAGAAATATAATTCTTCTTGTTTGGCTGAATTTATGGACCAAGATTCAGACCTGCTACTCATTCATTTTGTCCATCATAATCTCAGCAATCATTCTGAGCACCTGCATGAATTGGTTTAAAATTCAAAACAAAAGTAGAAACAAATTAAAAGAGTTCAATACCAGTGATGCAATCAGAGTCCCCCCACCCAAAATGGCCCTCTCACTTTGCATCACAGACATTTGGCCAAGACCTTTCTTTCTAACATAACACTTCATTCACGTCCTAGTGTTCTAGTCAACTATTGCTACAATAATGCCGCATAAGAAACAACCCCAGAATCTCCGTGGCCTACAACAGCAAGCACACACTGCTCCCCCATGGTCTGCAGGTTGGTTCTCTAGACCCCTGCCCTCAACCCCCAGGGACACTCAAATACATAAGAAATTTGCCTATATATTAAAGCCTCATAGACACACACAGATTTTGATGAAACCAAAAGTATAACATGAATTTGTAACCTTATTAACAGTACAGCTGAGGCAGGGATGGGACTGGGGACACAGTTCCCATTCCCCTGGCCGTAACTCTTTCTCTGTCTCATTCACTCAGAAACCGTGTTGGAATTTGAGAAAGTGAGAGTGTTATCATGACAGAGAGGTCCTTGAATCTGCTCTGATTTATCTTTTTTTTTTTTTTTTTTTTTTAATAAATCACTCACAGCACTGGTGCTTTATCATTCACCACAAATCACTCATGGTACAATGTCACAGTCCTACCCCCAAGAACAGTGGAATTACATGGCAGCAGGTAAGAAATGTAAGCCATTTAGTTATTGGGACAGCATATATTAGTTAAGCATCTACTATGAACTAGGCACTGGGGAGACCCTGCCCTCATGAGAACATATTCCAGTGGGGTCGGCATCAGGGAACAGGCAATAAATGAATTTTTTTTTTTTTTTTTTGAGACGGAGTTTTACTCTTGTCACCCAGGCTGGAGTGCAATGGTGCAGTCTTGGCTCACTGCAACATCCTTCTCCTGGGTTCAAGCAATTCTCCTGCCTCAACCTCCAGAGTAGCTGGGATGACAGGCACCTGCCACCATGGCCAGCTAATTTTTGTATTTTTAGTAGAGACGGAGTTTCACCATGTTGGCCGGGCTGGTCTTGAACTCCTGACCTCAGGTGATCCGCCTGCCTCGGCCTTGAATGTATTTTTAAAAGGTCATCTGATGATAAATACTCAAGTGATGGATGCCCTAAATATCCTGACTTGATCATTACACATTCTATGCATGCAACAAAATGTTATGTATACCCCATAGATATGTACAAATATAGTGTATAAAAAAATTTAATAAAAAATTAAAAGGTCATTGGAGTGGATGATAAGTGCAATAACTGCCAGGGAAATCAAGCGAGGTAGTTGGACAGAGCAGGAGGAGGCACATCAGGGTTGACTTCTGCGGGAGGTGTAATGGATTGAGTCTTGAATGGCAAGAAGTCAACCATGCACAACTGGAGCAAGTGCATTCTAGGCAAAGGGAACTGCAGGGACAAAGCCTGAAACAGGAGCAGAAACAGAAAGGAGTCTGGCATGGCTGCAGTAGAATGAAGGAGGGGAGGGGGCAGACCAGTGGGAGAGGCAGAAAGGAACACCTCACAGAGGCCCTGGGGGCCTGGAGCAGGGGTTGGGATTTTCCTCTGATATTGGAAGACCCTGGAATGTTTCCACACGGGAGTGGCATGATCAGACAGGATCTCTCTGACTGCCCCAGTGACCACCCAACAGAGCTGGCTCATCTGGCTGACTGCACAAGGTCTCTCCTCATTTTCCATGGCCCTTCCCCTGAACTGCACTTCTGGAGAAAAAAAGGAGGACCCTCCAGAGAAAAGGGGGAGCCCCTGTGGCCCAGGAAAACCAGCAGCTGTGTTGCCTTCCATGTGCAATGGAAGCTGCAGTATTTTTCCTTCCAAGCAGCACTTGTAACTTCCCAGAAAACTTCAGCACATGCAATGGGATAAACCCACATGGGTGACTCTGCTGACCACAGCGCCAGGCACTAGGGCTTGCAGTCAGGGAGAAGTAGGAGATACACAGGACCTTCAGCAGCTTTCCTGTGCCAGCTGCCCTTCAGCCAATGCTAGGCCCCAAGTGGATTCTCCCAGGTCCTGTGGCCCAAGAGGTGAAATTCCCTCCAGCATCACCACATCTTACAGATCCTGAAGAGCTGTACTTGCCACAGCCCTCAGCTATCCCAGGAGGCAGCCAGGGCAAGACTGCTTGTCCCCACTCACAAATGAGAAAACCAAGGCATAGGGAAATGAAGTTTGAGCCCAGAGTCACGGAGGTCTAAAGAACAAGGCCTGGAATTGAACCGGGCACTTCTTGCCACAAACTCAGTGCTTTGGCCTTTCTTAGTTCTTCTGCCGCAGTCAGAGGCAACCCCAGGAGAGTCTACCATGGACGAGGCATTGCTCTGAGAGCTTTACACATATGAATAGATTTTATCCTCACAAAAATCCTGTGGGGTGGATACTACTACTATCCACATGTTACAGATGAAAAAACATAGACAGAGACATTTGATACCTTGCTCAAGGTCACACAGGGCTAGAAAGTGGCACAGCCAAGATGTGAACCAGTCTTTATCACTATGCTATGCTGCACCTTACACTCATCTGTGGAAGGAAGGGAAAGGAGGGGAAGGGAGCGGGACAAAAGCGTATGAACATAGCATGCTACTTGTATATTTGTGTGTACAGCTGTCCGTGGGTGTGCATGTGTGGGTGCACCAGTGTGTATGTACACACTTGGGTGTGTGTGTAGGTCTGTCTTCACATGAGGGTTTTACCGAGTGCTTATCACCTGCTTTTTATTTTTTGTGTTTCTATGCACACCTGAGCATCAGGTGTGGTTTTGTTTTTTGTTTTGGTTTTTTGTTTTGGTTTTTTATTTTATTTATTTATTTTTTTGAGACGGAGTCTCGTACTGTCGCCCGGGCTGGAGTGCAGTGGCGTGATCTGGGCTCACTGCAACCTCCACCTCTTGGGTTCAAGTGATTCTCCTGCCTCAGCCTCCCGAGTAGCTGGGATTACAGGCATGTGCCACCATGCCCAGTTAGTTTTTTGTATTTTTAGTAGAGACAGGGTTTCACCATGTTGGCCAGGCTGGTCTTGAACTCCTGACCTCATGATTCACCCGCCTCGGCCTCCCAAAGTGCTGGGATTACAGGTGTGAGTCACCGCGCCCGGCCAGGTGTGGTTTTAGGTGTATCTTCTCGTAAGTGCAGGCATGCACACAGGCACTGGCATGCATATTTATGTACCCATGCATATGGCTGCATCCAAGCATATGAGTGAGTTTGTTAGTGTAACTGTGCCTCCCCACAAGTGCGTATTATGAGGGCAGGTATGCTTTTTCGGTGCATGTGTGTGAGTATGTGGGTGTATGTGACCTTGAGCATTCTCCTGTGCAGATGGATGTGATTTTGAGGGCAGGTGCACCTATTTATTTACGCCCTGTTGTCTACGGCTGTGCTGGTGTGCCCAGGAGTGCACATACTCTTGGGAGCTGTTCTGCTTGGCCCAACTCCAGCCAGTGCTCCACAAGAAAGACAAGGGGAGCCCCGAAATTAAAAGAGCCTCTCTGCGGGGTCAGAGTTCTGCACCATCATCACCAGAAACTCTGCAGAAAACAGGTTTTGAAAGTGGACAAGAAATTGATATGTTTGTTATCTAAATCCTGAATTATTTTCCCCCTTGCTTTGGGGTGTTTGGAAGCTGCCTGCAGCACCTTAGAGAGATGCTGTGTGCAACCCATTGCAACCTGCATGTGATCGGGTGCTGAAGGAGAGGGGAAGGTCATTTTCAGATGAGCTTCTCCAAGGATGTGACTGCCAGCAGGCTCAGGAAGTATTAGCTGCTTGCAGTCCTCCCTCAGCACTGGCCCTGCCCAGCCTGCACCTGCCTCTGCCAGCCAGCTTACAGGGGACAAGGATGCAAATAGGGAAAGTGGGGAGGAGCTGCAGAGTGGGGAGTCTGGGGAGAAGAAAGGGAGGACTTGGCCAGGGATGTGGGGCTCTGTTTCAATGGGCCTTTGGTTTATAATTCCACACGTCCTGTGTTTGTTCGGCTTCAGCTTGCATAACTCCAGAGATGGGCTACTCACTACCTCTTGAAGTCACCGGTTCCCATTAGCTATTAGGAAGTGGGGTCATTCAGCATTTCACGGCCCACTGTGTGCCCAGCAAGGCTGCCACCCTCCTGGAGCCCACTGTACTGCAGTGGACAGGCACAGCTACGTTTGTTCCATCTCATTATTCTGTCCCAAGGGCTGTCCTCAGCACCTGCACTGCAGAAGTGGGCACATCATTTCCCCTGTAACCAAAACATTCCTCTTCCTTTTACAGCTCCTCAAATGCTGGGACATGGAGTTCTGTCTCTACTTCCCTCATTCTATCCTTGCCCTGCCCCACTCACCACCTCCTCTCCAGCCCCCCTGCTTCCCAAGGGAGGCCGCTGGAGCCTGAGGCATGCACTTCCCAGTCTTGGCAAGGCTATGGGGCCCAGGCAGTTCTCAGACCCCAGGGCCCAGATGCTGAGAAGAGAGGAAGGAAAGGAATCCCTAGGTACTCTCTTGGCACAAGACAAGGTCTCTTGGAGGCTGAGCCTCTCTTACTCAGGAAGGCCCTGGAGTATTGGCCAGAGACAAAGCATGAAGTTCTCTGACAATACTAGTAAGAAGGCCACATTTTACACCAATAAAAGGACTATATCTCTGGCTAAAACAGTGATGGTGGGAGATTGAGAGAAAAAACAGAAGAGTCATAGGGAGAGAGAGACAGAGACAGATACAGAAACAGAGAGACTAGCAGAAATAAAGACAAAGAAAAATGTGCACAGAACAGAAAGAGACAGACAGAAAGATATAGAGTCAAAGAGAGAATCAAAGCAACAGTCTCGGAGAGACAAGGATGAGAGGCTCAGAGATGGGAACAGATAAAGATGGTCCTAGAGACAGGGAGAGATGCTCATCAATGGACATATCAGCCACAAAAGTGGGAAGAGGGGCCCGAGACCCAGAAATCCAGAGACACAGAGAGGGATGCCCACGTACCTCCCAGACTTCCTTTTTACTCTCTTGACTAATTTTTTTAAAAAGCAGAAGAAATAAAATGGTTTGATTTGAAGTCACTTCCAATAAAGATCCATGTGCAATAAAGGATAAGCATGAAAGGGAAAAGGCAAATCTAAACTGTTGTGGAAGAAGGAAAAAACTAATTATACCGAAGACCTAGCTGTGGTTACTTTAGTGGCCTGCAATGAACTACCTGATTTTCATGCCTCGTGTACACCCATGACCTTGATTCTGGGCTGGCCCTGTAATCTCCTTTTACCAATAGGATGTGGTGGATGTGACACTGTGCCAATTCTGAGCCTAGGCCTTAAGTCCTGGCAGTTTCTGGGAGTGTGTGTGTGTGTGTGTGTGTGTGTGTGTGTGTGTGCGCGCGCGCGCACGCACCTGAGTACACACGCTTTGGGGAAAGCCATCCACTGTCTAAGATGTTAGACTGTACTGAGGCCATCTTGCTTATGTGAAGATGCCTAAGCTAATCACCTTGAGAGATCATGTGGGGAACAAGAAACTCAGCCAACAGTGAGAACCAAGGCCCCAGATATACACCCTAAATCAAACTGCGCCACAGCCCTCAGCTGCACACACAGAGAGCAGAGGTCAACTCTCCCCACTAAGCCCTGCCCAAATGCAGAATCATGAGCAATAACAGAATTGTTGTATTTTAAGTCATTACATTTTGGGATAGTTTGTCATGTAGGAATAGATTGCTGAAATACCAGGTTACTACAGTAGCAGTAATTAAGTCTAGCAGATTCCCTAATTTCCTTTGGCTGATGGATTATGTGGGAGACTCAGAGCATCTCTTTCCCCTGAAGAATAAAAGTGATACTCAGCTCCTTAATTGTAAAATCAGCAAAAGTCCATCATTGGCAAACTGGAAAGAAAATGGTAATTCACAGACTTACCTGCTGTGGAATAGCGATGCTGCTGCTGCTAATGATCAGTGACTGACTAACGATGGGTAAAGAGAATCAGCGCTACATTTTTTATTAGCACTTACCACATGCCAGTTTATCCCATTTTATAGAAGAGAAGACAGAGGCACAGAGATGTGAAATGACCACCCAAGGTCTCACAGCCAGTCCTTGTCAGGGCCAGGATTTGAGCCCAGAACCCAAATTAGATTAGAAATCAAGCCGAACAAACAAATCCCTACCCAGGAACTACAAATTTAGGGGCCACCTCTGTATCCCAAAGGCCCTGAGGCCAAAATGCTCACCAGACATTCCTGGGAAGTGGGCAGTGGGGAGGATGGGCCAGTGCTCTCGCCCTCTCTCGGGGTGGGCTGGCTCTAGGGTGGGGTCTGTTTTTCTCTAGAGCCCCGGGCAGACGAGCACCCAGGGAAGGCCCCCCATCAGGTCCACCCCACCGTGGCCCCGTGCACTGGTCTAGCAGGGCAGCAGCCCATGCCTGCAGACTCTGTCTTGAGGCCTGGAGGAATCACTTGACTCTGAGATTGTTTCCAGGAATACTTTCGCTTCTGTTATTATACTGCCTTCCCTGACACCCCCTCCCCCCAGTACTTTTTTTTTTTACACTAAACTTTCTCTGAATTCACCTGATTTTTCCCATCTCCTTTACATTCTTTATGGCAATGGAGAAATAATCACCGCTTCTCCGGCAGGGTGATGGGAGTGTGCAATATTAACTGTAAATCAGGCAGAAATTGGTAGAAGGGGAAGGGTTTGATGAGGTGCAGAGACATTATATCATTTTAAAGCACTTTTCTGGTCTCCAGTAATCCCCATGTAAATGAAAAGGAGGCGACCGTGCCTCTCTCTCCCAGGCTGCCTTGAGGAATGCAGAGAAAATACTCCTGGAAAGCGGACCTGGGGCAGAGGAAGGTTGGCTGGGGCTGACAGGGGAGGCAGAAATGCCCAAGACGATGCCCCCAGCCCCTCCACACCAGGGCTGTGCTCACGCTGGGACTGGAATCATCCTGGCCATGCTGCGCCTTCGTGAAAGATGAGGACCCGAGGCTATGGACCGGGAGGCGTTGGTGCTATTCACCAACAGGGGGCAGGGCTGCATCAAACCATCTGCATCTTGTAGCCCGGTGGTCTCAACCCGAGTGGTACTGCCCCCAGGGGAGCGTCTGGAATGTGGGGCCTCCAGGGACTCTGTCCATTGTCAAATGTCTTGGAGGCACTGCAGAACTTGGTAGAAGCGTAACATCCTGTAATGCGCAGAAGACTCCCACATAACAAAGAATTGCCCCTCTTAAAATGCTGGTAGCTTCCCCTCCGTGCCATGCTCACACAAAGAACTTCACTTTCCTGAAGAATGACCATCTATGGAGACTTATAACTGCAGGGCCCATCGCCAGGGAAGGTTCATTCTCTCCCTGACCTCCCAGGTTCCTTTAAACTTAAGTCAGTTCATTTAGGCCTACTGGCTGCTGCTTCAGCTGAATTCAGCTACCTGCGTTTCATCCAATCTCAGGTGTTATTGATTGATTGTAAAGGAAGGCACTGTTTTATAGACTACTAAAAAAGGAAAAAATGCTGCAACTCGATGCTTTCTCATTGGTTAGATTTTTTTTTTTTTTACTTTATACTTATTGAAAGTGTTCTTTCATACTTATTTAATCATTGTATATCATGGAATGTTACAAGTGCGGTAAGTTAGCTACCATATTCCTAACCTTCCCATTCAGGGTCCAATCTTACGCATCACTTTTCAATTCAAAGTCACCAATGTCCATGTTTCTCCACGTGGAGTTGAGACAGGATAGTTCCCTTGACCCACTTCGTGGGCCAGAACTGGAGTGGCTCATTTCACTCAGCCCGCCGCTGGCCACTCCTCACAGGAGGGAACCAGAGTGTGGAAACCACAGCAACCAGCCAGTGGCTCCTCTCTGGCGGGAACAGCCTCTGTGCAGGCCCTGCAGCAGCGTCCAAGCGTGTTACAACCAATGTTCTTTCAGCTCTGCCGTCCAGGGATGGCCAAGTACCAACCAACTCAGTGGAGGGTCAGGGTGACAGCCCCTGCCCTCTTGGCACCCGGGTTCTTGTCTGGCGTCCAGGAAGAATCAGGTCACACAAACTGTTTGAAAGGTGATGGATGTGGACGACTTTATTGAGCAGTGGGTGGCTCTCAGCGGAAAGGGAAGCTGGAAAGGGGATAGGAAAGTGATCTTTCCCTGAAGCCACACCATCTGAAGTCATCAGCATCTATCCATAGTCTCCGATGCTCAGTTGCTTTTATGCTCACCGCTCAGCCGCTTGTATCCTCAACGCTCAGCTGCTTGTATTGCTCTCAGAGCTTTTATGGGCACAGGATAGGGGTGGGGCAGGACAAATGGGCAACGTGTGGGTGGAAAACCGCGGTCAACTATTTTCACTTAGGGCCGGGGTTCTATGTTTAAGGGTGGAGTTTAGCTGGGAGCCCAGCCCTTCTGCATAGAATCATCATTAGTGACATCAAGAGTGGAGATGATGCTGCGTTTCTTCAAAGAGGGCTCCACTCCTGTCTCTGGGATTTTCTTCTGAGCTGTTGATACCCATTTTACATTTGTGGTGCTGGCTGTTCCTTTTTTATTTTTACTGATACATAATGGATGTACATATTTTCAGGGTACATGTGATAACTTGATATATTCATATAATGCGTAAAAATCAAATCAGGGGTAACTGGGATATCTATCACCTAAATATTTATCTTTTCTTTATGCTAGGAACTTCCAATTATTCTCTTATTCCTACCTTTTTTTTTTTTTTTTTTTTTTTTTGAGACAGGGTCTCACCTTTTTACCAAGGCTGGAGTTCAGTGGCTGGATCTCAGCTCACTGCAGCCTTGACCTCCTGGGCTCAAGTGATCCTCCCACCTCTAAGTAGCTTGGACTACAGGCACACGCCACCATGCCCGGCTCATTTGTTTCTTTTTTAAGTAGAGATGGGGTTTCGCCATGTTGGCCAGGCTGGTCTCCAACTCCTGATCTCAGATGATCTGCCCGCCTCAACCTCCTCCCAAAGTGCTGGGATTACAGGCGTGAGCCACCATGACTGGCCACTAGCTTTTTCTTGATCTTCCCAGAATGTGTCAACAAAAAGTTTCAGACAATAAACAAAACTTATTTCCTTTTCCAAATGGTCATCAAATATTTTGTTGATGGGCCTTCAGGGGCCTGCCTGCTGGCATCTGACCAGGTCTCCCAGCATAACTGCATCACCACATCAGTGAAGGGAAGGCGCAGCCTCTGGGGGCCGTGTCACTACCCCTGTCTGAATAGCAGCAATTGTAAGATGATAAGATGGATCCTGATTATAGAGATGCTAAAATGGGAAGAAGTGTATACCTCAGAATCTACAAAATACATTAGAATATTAGTTGGTCTTTATGGATAGATGCCCAGAGCTCCAACAGAGACACCTTAGCACTGAAACAAAGACTGCTTGAGAGGCCCGGGAAGGTTTTTCAGACAAAGATGTACTTTAGACAGACAAATAAATGGAAAGAGGTTTCCAGGCAGCAAGAATTTGTACAAAGCAGTATAAATATAGAATTTTAGGAAGAGAGAGAAGTCCAGTGCGCCTGGATCATGAGGTACATTGGGTAGAAATGTGGCAGGAACTGGGTTGGACTCCAGGGTCTGTAATTTCATATCTGTGTGACCTTGGATGGTTTATCACTCTCAGCCTTAGTTACCTGAACATCAAACAGAGAGGTCTTCAGCCTCAGAACTCCCAGGGCACCAAGCAGTACAATTTGAAAAACAGTTCTAAAGGCATGAGGATTAACAAAGGATCTCAAAACATGAAGTGCACATGGTCAGATATGTGTTTTAATAATAATGACAACAATAGGAACCACTGATGCAATACCTACTATTTGCTAAGCCCTTTGTAATTATTAATAGAAGCTACTGTGTATTATTTGCCAGACACGGTGATAAACATTTGCCTTCAGTATTTCATTTGGTCCCCACAACATCTCTCCGATGCTGCTTTTTATTATCTCCATCTCATAGAGAATGAAAGTGACACTCAACTCGATGATCAGACTTGCCCTAAGTTCCACTGACATCGGTGGCAGAACCAGGACCAGAACCTAGACTGCTGACATTGAGACCTGGTTGCCATGACTCCCTGAGTAACTGAAACTCCTGGAAAGTTGCAGAGGTTCCCTTGCACAGCATATTCTACAGACTTCCCTGGGAGAAGCCTTGTCTCTCCAAGCACAAAGAACGGCTGGAATCAAAATTCCATGTGCATCCTAATTTCTGTGCATAATATTTTAAATGACAAATCAGGCTGCAATCAGAAAGCCCCTAACCAAAATTCAAGCCATATGCAAACAAGCTGTGGTCAACATCCACACGGGAGGATCAGCTCAGGGAGCCAAGTCTCAGTGGGAGGGTCTCTAAACTGGGGGTCCCCCGGGAACGCAGCCTAAGGGACTAGAGGCAGGCGCCTGATTTCTCTGCCAACTGCCTGCAATTACAGCAATTCTCTCAGTGCTGCAGACTCCCAGGGAAGAGTCATCTGCCGTTTGCTTAAACTGATTAGGAATTACTTTCCCTGTGTCAGAGTCATCCCTGAATCTCAGCAGTATGCAGAGTTGCTGTCCAGGCTTCCAAATCAACACGGATCTTCAAGATTCCAGGATCATCTCAGCTGCCCTCAGTAGTCTGGGGATTTTTGTTTCTGCTCTTTTCCTGTCTTACCAGGTTTTGTGCCTAGCGTGCTACCTAAGTAACAGCAGTGTCCACTCCCTTCAGGCCTCACCTGGGGGAACTTCTGAAAATACAATTCAGAAGCTTCTCCCCACTCCCATTCAGGGGTCATGTGGTCCTTCCAGAGCTTGGGTGGGCCTGGACAGTGCTAGGAGGTGGCCACTCTGTGGCCAAGGACTGGCCTCCCATGAGATGGGCCATCCTGTCCCCTGAGCTGCCCCTGGCCAGAAGAGTATAATGGTTTCTCTATTGTGCCCAGCTCCTGGACACCAACAAGGTGCTCCTCAGCATCCTTCTCCTGGAAGTTTCTTGTCTTTATTGATGTATTTAGTCAGGTTTGGGGTTTTTTTGTTGTTTGTTTGTTTGTTTGTTTTGAGACAGAGTCTTCCTCTGTCACCCAGGCTGGAGTGCCGTGGCGCGATCTCGGCTCACTGCAACCTCTGTCTCCCAGGCTCAAGCAATTCTTGTGCCTCAGCCTCCTGAGTAGCTGGCTAATTTTTGTATTTTTAGTAGAGACAGGATTTCACTATGTTGGCCAGGCTGGTCTCAAACTCCTGGTCTCAAGTAGATCTGCCCACCTTGGTATCCCAAAGTGCTGGGATTACAGGCGTGAGCCACCACTCCCGGCCATATTAGTCAGTTTTTCGTCTCTTAACAAATAACCTCAAAATCTTTGTGGCTTACCGCAACACACATTTATTTTCAAAGTTATAGGTCAACAGGTTGACCTAGGTTTGGCTGGTCCAGATGAGTTCATGTGGACCAGAGTGGCCCCAGGTATTGGGCTAGGCTCAGGTCTCCTCCACACACACATTCATTCTGGGGCCCAGGCTGCAGGCGCTGTGGATTCCAGGAGCATGTCCTGTCCACAGCAGATCACAGGGGCACAAGAAGGCTAAGGAGACACAGTGATGCATCCTAGAGTCTCAGCACAGACTGGCAGCATCACTACTACCCACGTTCCACTGGCCGAAGCAAGTCATCTGACCCAGTTCGTTATCAGTATATACCAGCAGAGAAGTCTACACCACCCAGTGTGGTTGCAGGAACTGCAAAGTCACATGATAAAGAGCATGGATGTGTAATCCCAATATAGGAAGGCAGTAAAGAATCGGAGCAACAAGACAATGTAATGTGGGTTCTTAATGGGACATGGTTACTAACATCTGACACCGTATCAGCAGGATAACCCGATAACCTGAGATGAGGCAGTGAAGCTGGACCCTGTGGCTGTTACTGTGCAAACACATTGGGGGCTGCCTTGACAAAGGGGCGTGGGGCTGCAGTCCCTTCCAGAGAGCACCTGTGTGAACCTACTATGACCCTGAGACATCCCTGGAATCACTGACACAGCAGGAAACATGGAAAAAAGAAAACCACTTGGATATCTAGATTTACAGGACCAGGACAGCAGGGCTGTTCCCCCAGCATCTTGACTTGTCTTGGAGAACCAAGTCTTCTAAGAGGCAGGCTCAGCGCCCTCATCAGCCAGAGCCAGAACCGCATTGAGCTCAAAAAGGACTCCTGTGACTCGGGGTCCCAAGGGGCATGCCCACCCCACTGCAGGGATCTGCAGACTCCCGAGTCTTGGCTCAGAGACGTTCCACATCAGGGCTGGAAGAGTGTGTGCAGGGCATCTAGTCAGGTCCCCTTGTGTGCAGATAGGGAAACTGAGGCCCAAGAATGAAAGACACCACCGACAGTCAGCGGCAGGGCTCCTTGTCTCCTACATTCATGCTTCCTCCAATACCCCAGGGAACCTGATGGCCCCCAGGACCTCTCATTCTCTCCTCCCTTTCATTACCCATTCCCCTACTGACCTTGCTTCTGCCTTGACTTGGGCTCTTCAAGAATTCTGGTGGAAGCTGCAGCGCTGGCTGTTACATTTCTACTTGAGAGGAGCGGCATTTTCCCAGGGAGGATGAGTTGACAGCGGAACCAGGGGCAGGAGCTTGGCCAAGAAAGCCGCGGCCTTCACAAGGCTGGGCTGGGCGGATGGAGAAGCGGCTGGGTTTCAGCATCCAATTAGCACCCCCTGTTCTTAGAGCTGTTGGAGCCGGCTGCTGAGCAGCTGGAAGGGAGCAGGCCAGCCAGCTGGGCTGGTCAGTTGGTGAATGAGCACTAATTGGGTGTCAGGCACGCCAGGCCCCATGGCTCCCCTCCCCTCCCCACCAAACACTGGAAGACCACCACAGAGAGCTCAGGGGTGGAAAGCAGCTAATTGGCCTGGCCTGCCCAGCAAGCCCTTTCTCCACAGATGCCCTGTCACTCTGCTTTCTTTGTCTTTCATTTCAAGGGCTTGGGGAAAATTGCCCATGTGCTCTGAGAAGTTTGCTGTAAACCTCAGAACCGGAGGGGAGCTTGTTTTAAAAGAGGCTCTTAGCAGAGACATTTGGGCTCATTTCCCACAGTGGCCCCCATGCTCCTGGCTGTGGAGAACTGTGGGGACAAGCCTCCTGCACACTCCCTCACACTCCTGCTTGTCCATATTTTTAGACAAGAACAAGCTAAGGAAATGCTTTCTGTTGCCTTTTGCCTGCCAATTTCACTGTTCACTTAGGGAGAGAAAAAAAAAACTATTAATACTACTTAATTTTTTCCCGTACTTAACTAGAAGAAATCACACTTACCCTAGAGGAAGCAGGCATGAATTTGAACATGAGCATCGAAACAAACACAGATAACAGGACCCTGACTCTAAGTACCCCCAACACAAAATGTATTGAACTTAGGGAAGCAACGAAGGCTGGAATGTATTTAACAGGTGTGGCTGGGATGATATTTTGAGATACAAGTCTATCCAACCTGTATTTTTTCTCCCCTATATTTTCCCTTCTCACCCCACCATCCCCAAAGAGGAAGTCAGCATTCTGCTCATTGCCTCAGGGGAAAGACGCAGCAGGGCAAAAACCAGAAATAGCCTGGAAATCTCTCTGGCTTTTGTGTTCCAAAAGCCTGAGCCCTTGGGGGAAGGGGATTTCTCAGGCTTTGACTAGTGTCTTGGCCAGAAGCAGGGGGAGAGCTGAGCTTCACTCTCTGACCCCTTCTCAGAGGAGCAGATAGAAATTTCGCCAGCTAGGGGAGGGAGGAGAGAGAGACAGAAAGGCGTAGAGCAGACTTGTTCTCATCAGCACCTCTGGGAGGGTCACCCAGGCAGATGGAACTGTGAACAGTCCAACATGGCCCTGAGGCAGTAGAAAGCCACCAGGCCATATAGGAAGCCACAGAAGAGAGTGCTATGGGAACCCATGGCCAAGGCAAGAGGTTATTCCCCCACTCTCCCTCTCTCTGCCTAGGAGCCTCGAATTGCAACTCTTCCCTGGGTGCCTGGGTGGGTGGGTTCTCTAAGGAAGGTTAAGGTTTATTCCCCACCCCCCGCCACCCCACCACCAAACTCTATGAAATGAGGATTCAGAGCAAAATATTCAATTTAGTATTAGTACAAACTTTTAAGGCAATATGCCTTACACACATGGATGTGTAGACACCTCATCTCTGGCCTTAAGACATTTTTTATATCACCTTCACAGACAGGCCTTCCTTGACCACCCTGTCTAAAATAATCCTCTCTCTCCATTCAGTCCCTATCCTCTTCATAGCACTGATAATTTTCTGACATTACATTGTATATCTGAGTGTTTATTTAGTCATTGTCCATCCTCATGAGGGTAGGGATGTTGTCTGTTTTGTTCACTGTTTTACCTATACCTAGGAGAAGGCCTAGCACAGAGCAGTGTCAATATTTAGGTGTTGAATTAATGAACGCATTGTCTGCTCAATGGTGGCACCTGCTGGCAAATGGGATATTGCTGCTCAGCTCTACCAAACATTGTCACTGCTTCACCTAAAGGAGGATGGAGGACTTTTCTAAATATTGTAAGTGATAGGGTTTGGAAACTCCAGGCAAAGGGAAAATTTTTCTGGACCTAAGATACATACTAAAGAGGGCCCCTGGGGATTGTGGTAGAAGAGAGGTAAGAGTAGAGCATGGGTCTAGTGAAGAAAAAGGAAATATAAAATTAAGATTAGGCCTTTGACTCTCAGACCATAGCCATCAAGTATCACATTTTGTAGGGTGGTCACCCTGCTTCTGTTTCATTATCTTATTCTTCCTCTTTTATTCCAATTCACTTGCCTCAATTGTTTTTTTAATTTGAACACCAGGTGGGGAGAGAGGTGAGGTGAGGAGAGAGGTCGGTTGCAAGAGAAGTATAAGGCCCACTGCAGATGAGCTTGAGATCAGGCTAAGGAGATAGGACAGGATGAGTGTGTCTTGACCACCTCCAGCATCTACAGAGGAATTTGAGGCTTACAAAGTCCTTTTCCATATATTTCCTTATTAGATCTCCCTATGACCCATCCTGGCAGGCGGGGTAGTAATTCACAAGCCCCATTTTATAGATGAGGAAACTGGAGCTCAATGAAGAAAGTAATTCATCCAAAGTCCTCCATAAAGAATCCTCGCAGTATCAGGATCCATATCCAAATCTTTTCTTGCTTTACACATTCTGGTATTTAATATAGAGGTCTCAGCCATGGAAGAGCAAAAACTCTCACTGGAGAAACAAAGTATACAAGTAGGAAACAAACAGGAGACCAGAGCACCAGAATTCACAGGAATCTGAAAGCCCAGAGGCAGAGGATCTAACTCTACTCTCTGCAAAAGTTTTCACTACAGTTACCTTACCACAAATGATGACACTTTACTACTGGAATTTAGATAAAGTGGGAACTTTGACATTCTCTATTTGGGGTCAGAAAGTCAGATCCTCCCCATCACACCCTGTTCTTTGTAAGAGGAAACCACTGACTGCACCCCTGGGAATGTTTGCCCCAATTCACTATCAAACTGCTTGCAATTATCAAACCGTGCTCCCTTGAGTTGACCTTTAGCTGGGGAACAGCTATATTTAGAGAAAACCAGCCCTTTGTAATTACCCCCACTCAGATTACTTAAAGGTCAGCGGCAGATGTGACAGTATGATCCGTGGGAAGGGCTGTTTCCAGGATCCCTGGATAATTATTCAAACCAGACAATAATTAGCAAACATTTTCTGCAAATGAATCTATCCCTGTTTTTCAGCCCCAGAAGGGAGCCCAGAAGTCTCTCTGGGCCAAAGTTGCCCCTTGCTATGGTTTGAATGTGTCCCTCAAAAGTTTATGTGTTGGAAACTTAATTGCCATTGTTATAGCATTAAAAGATGGAGCCTTTAAGAGCTGATTAGGCCACAAGGGCTCCTCCACTCTCAGGAAGGGATTAATGCCATTGTCTGGTTATCTTCAGATTTGGTTTCTGGTGGAAAGGATGAGTTCAGCCTGATTCTTCTCTTGAGCTCACTTGCTTTCACCTTCTCACCTTCTGCCATGAGATGAGCCTTGCCAGATGCCAGCACCATGATCTTTGACTTCCCAACCTCCAGGACAGTCAGCCAAATAAAATCTTATAAATTACTCAGTCTGTGGCATCCTGTTACAGCAGCAAAAAACAGACTAAGATACCCACTCTAGATATAACAACAGCAATTCTTTCATGTATATGCCTTTACAGTTTACTAAGAACTTCATATCCCACCTTACTTCCCACATCAGTGTTGTGAGACACGCTTTCCTACTTCATATTCAATGTTCATACAATGTTCATACAATGAACATAGAATGTTCAATGTTAATGTTCATACATTACAATGTTCTCATTCCAGATAAGAACACTGAGGCTCTGAGAGGTTAAGTAGACTTGCCCAGAGTCACACTGTGGAACCAAGACTTAAACCCAGGTCTTCTGACTCCAAATCTCTTGCTTTTCCTAGGAAAATCACTCATTCTGCAAACATTTATTGAGTGCATACTATGTCCCTGACCTTGTAGTGGGCTGTGGAAAAAAAAGAAAGACCTCGACATTGTTCCAGGTGTTCAAAAACTCAGGATTAATAGGGGAGCGAAGAGGGGCAGGAGAGACACAAACCAGTGGAACACTAGAAGCAGCAGCACCTCTAGTGAGTGTTCATGAACTCCCCTGCTAGAATCTTGGGCATCAGAAGTTAGGAGTCAATTTATTTGAAGAGATTAAGGAGGTTTGTGGTGCAAGTTAGCCAGAAACAGTGGAGGGATTGGGAAGGGAAAAAAACATAAAAATGAAGTCAGCCAATAACCTCGAATAGCACATTTAAAAGTACCTAAGTAATGAAATGGTACATGTCACCTGATCCCAACGTGAAGAGGAATTGGGGCTATGAATGACATCTCCTCAAGAATAATTTTCTGAGGCCAGGCACGGTGGCTCACGCCTGTAATCCCAGCACTTTGGGAGGCCAAGGAGGGTGGATCACCTGAGGTCAGGAGTTCGAGACCAGCCTGACCAACTGGAGAAACCCCGTCTCTACTAAAAATACAAAATTAGCCGGGCGTGATGGTACATGCCTGTAATCCCAGCTACTCGGGGGGGCTGAGGCAGGAGAATCACTTGAACCCGGGAGGCAGAGGTTGCGGTGAGCCAAGATCATGTCATTGCACTCCAGCCTGGGCAACAAGAGTGAAACTCCATCTCAAAAAAAAAAAAATAATTTTCTTGGTTTGGGCAGGGATGGTCTTTAAGCCCCACTTTCCCTTCATCCAGAAACTCCATTTATATCTGATTTACATTTTCAGTTTCCATTAAATAAAGGAGTCTATAATTTTTAAAAATATAAGAACTACTGGTTTACTCATAGGTACGGTGGTTTAAGATATTTATAAAGTGACATGAATATTGATTGACTTCACAATGTCTTATTTAAAGTGCAAAAAAGGAAAGTAGTCATTGATAGTATCTTTAAAAGAAATTCATCTGAACTGGCCAATCATCAGATTCTAACAAGATAAAATAATGATTAAAAATAATAATGTTAATAATAATTAGCATGTATTTAGAAAGTACTATATGTTAGGGACTCCTCAAAGTACTTTAGAGGAATTAATTCATTTGATTGTCCCCATAACGCTGTGAGGCAGGTACAGAGCATTCACAAGAGGTGATTCACACGGGGTCATGCACTAAGGTTAAGCAGCACCAACTAACTGCACAAAGGAGGGCTGGATCTGCAGAGAAACTGTAGATAATAATGAAAGGAAAGGAGTTCTGATAGACCCCATGCATCATCTCAGTTGGCAGAGTGATAATGCCACCAAATAAGTAGGAATTGGGATGACTCTAACATCCAGTTGTGACTCCCTGGCTGTTTGAGCTTGAGAACGGTGGGCAGATAGGAGCAGATCAAGTGACTGCAAAGTCCCCTTCGAAGTCAGAGTTTCTGTAGTTTCCATTTAGAGATGGAGGGTCTTCTGAACAACCCAGGCTTTGAGCACACAGGACATACAAGGAGGGTTGGGGTTGCAACAGCTTCATCATAATCACCAATTGAACCTCCACTGGGAAGAAATGAATAGTTCATGCAAATGAGAGCTTGAGATTTGCTCATACTAGGCTTGAGAGAGAAACAGAAGGAGAAAATGGCAAAGTTTGAATAAACTCTTAGGATAAATTCCACCATAAAGATATTGTATAACTCTTTAGGGAAGATAGTTATCCAACATTTCAGAAGCACTCAGTTGTCTACAAACAGTATTTATGTTTCCATTTATTATATCAATCTTCATGATTCTATTCATTAGTGCAAATCCCTGCAGACCTGCCCTGGCTCCATGCCTTCAGTCAGCTTGTCTTTACTCAGCTGCCTCCTGGTGTCAGACACTACGCTGGGCTCTAGAGGATGCAGTGGTAAAATAAAAGCATGGAACACTCATTTTAGATTGGCACTGACCAATACCGTAACTACTAGCCAATGTGGCTATTTAAATTCAGATTTTAATTAGTTAAAAGCAAGTAAAATTGGCCAGGTGCAGTGGCTCACATCTGTAATCCCAGCACTTTGGGAGGCCGAGGCGGGTGGATCACCTGAGGTCGAGAGTTCAAGACCAGCCTGACCAATGTGGAGAAACCCCGTCTCTACTAAAAGTACAAAATTAGCCGGGCGTGGTGGTACGTGCCTGTAATCCCAGCTACTCAGGAGGCTGAGGCAGGAGAATCACTTGAACCTGGGAGGCGGAGGTTGCGGTGAGCTGAAATCGCACCATTGCACTCCAGCCTGGGCAACAAGAGTGAAACTCCATCTCAAAAAAAAAAAAAAAGGAAATAAAATTTAAAATTCAGTTCCTGGGCCGGGCATAATGGCTCACGCCTATAATCTCAGCACTTTGGGAGGCCAAGGCAGTCAGATCACTTGAGCTCAGGAGTTGGAGACCAGTCGGGACAACAAGACGAAACCCTGTCTCTACCAAAACTATAAAAAATTAGCCGGGCGTGGTGGCACATGCCTGTTATCCCAGCTACCTGGGGGGCTGAGGCAGGAGAATCGCTTGAGCCTGGGAGGTCAAGGTTGCAGTGAGCTGAGATCGTGCCACTACACTACAGCCTGGGTGACAAAGTGAGACCTTGCCTCAAAAAAAAAAAAAAAATTCAGTTCCTTTCTCACACAAGCCACATTTCAACATTTCAAGTGCTCAATATGTGGACAGCAGTGTATCCTGCAAAAGACAGTGCAGATATAGAACATTTCTCTAATGTTCTTGCCCAGAGTTTCTAATGTTAATAATAATTAACATAATTAATAACACAACATTAACATAAATAATAACATAATAATTAACATCTAACAGAAGGTTCTGTTAGAAGGTGCTGCTAGATGAAGCAATGCCTGCACTGGGTGGAGGTAAGCCTGCTTTAGTTACTAGCTATTCTGTACAGTAATGGTTGCCTATCTTTTGAAATATTTGATAATTCCAGATTTTTAGCCAATTCATACTGGCTCAGCTCAGGTTAGTCTGAATATGTGCAGTAGAATAGTTCTTAGATTCATTTGGATACCATGAGCTTGGTTGAAAAGGAGGTTTTTGGTGGGGGGTGCATAATGTATGGACACAATCAGGTGACAACGTGCAGTACATCTGCTCACTGGAGCCCATATTGCAGTGCAGGTATGCATGAGCTCACGTATACTCACACACACCTGCACACACACACACACACATGCATTCACGCCTGAAAATATCTGCTCACTTAGTTGCACACATATAGACAATTAAACATGCACATACACATTCATTAACACACTCAGACACATACGCCTTTACACATATGTGATATGAGATATGCAATCACATCCAGCTCTTACAGATCACACACACACACACACACACACACAGGTTTACACCAATGCATCAATGCATTCTGCATTGCTGCTGGGTTGTCACACATGATTGAGTTGGCTACAGTTAAGTTCTGTGGCTTTTTGCTATCCTGATATAATACAGAAACAGATGGGCCAATCTTTCTTGCATTTTCCAGATTCAAGATAAATGCTTGGGAGCTCCACGATAACCCTGTCCTTGGGATCCATCCATTCATTCAGTGTTCAGCAAACATTGATTGAGGGCCTAGAAATCGACAAAATCACAGAGGAGTTTTGGTAACTAAACCACAAAAACTCCATGATGAGTATCAGACTCAGAAAGGGAAGAGTGTCATCCTACAGAACAGAGAAGCCAGCAGTCCCTTGCCTGGGACCAAAATTACAAGCAGTGACCCCATCACCACCCCCCTCTAGGTGTCCCTGCCAAGGATATGGGGCTGTAGTTGAATCTGGGAGGAGAGAAGGGGATTACATGTCTAGGTTAGGCCAGATGATGTGGATTAGAGAAGTTCAGAGGTAGAAAAGTCCACCAGCCTCTCCTAACTTCCTCCCTTATCTCACCTGCATCTCTGATCTCTCATGCTCAGCTCTTGCCATCGGCAGATCATACTCAAGTCTCCCCATTTTAAAAAATACCTCACTTGATTCTATAACTCCCCTTCCTAACTTACAGCTACTGTCTATATCCTCTTAGTCACAGCAAAACTCTTCCAAAGAATTGTCTACACTTACTGCCTTTACTTCCTCAACCCAATGGATTCTTGAATCCACCACAATATGACTTCTGACCCCTCCTCAACTCCATGAAACCACTCTCCCGGAGTCACCGGTGGTCCCCGCCCTGCCAAGTCTGATAGACACCTTTCATCCCCTATCTTAGCAGACGACTGTGCTACGCTTCACATCAGTCAGTCCCTTCTGATTCTCAAATTCTGCTATATGCCAAGCACCACGGGGGATATTATTATGTGTGAGCCTCAGGTGCTGCTGTCAGGAAACTCACGGTTTCACTCACTTCACTGGTAAGACCCTCTGTTACGTCATCTGGCAAGAAGGGGTCCAGCAAGCCCTCTACATTGCAGCTGAACCCCAAAGTTTACCCTTGCCTCCCTGGGGCATTGAGTCAAGGGCAGTGGAAGAAATAACTGATAGATCTGGGGAGGGTAGTTAGGATGACCTAGAGTCTGATAGGTCCTTGTTCTGGATTGAATTATATTGAAAAGATAGGCTGAAGTCCTAGGATACCGGTACTTCAAAACATGGCCTCTATTTGCAAAGAAGATGGTTGTAGATGTAATTCGTTAAGATGAGATCGTACCGGAGCAGAATGGGCCCTTAATCCACTATGACTGTGTCCATATAAGATTGAAGACACAGGAGAGGATACAAGTGATGATGCAGACAAAGATTGAAGTTATGCAGCTGCAAGCCAAGTATTGCCGGCAGCACTGGCAGTTAAGAGAAAGGTGTAGAACAGATCCTTTCCTAGAGCCTTGGGTGAGCATGGCCCTTCCAGTGCCTGAGTTTTGTACTTCTAGCCTCCCAAACCATGTGACAACGAATGGCTGTTGTTTGAAACCACCCAGTTTGTGGCGCTTTGTTATGGTAGCCCTAGGAAACTGAGACAGTCCTGCTGTCCATTTTTTGGAAACTGAGCTAATTCCAGTGAGGATCCACCTGGGGCAATCTTCACCGGGATTTGCCTGAGGCCCTCAGCCCCTGAGCCAATATTTTGAGGCAGCAGAACACGGAAATGCATGAGTGGCAGAATTGGTGAGACCCGAATTCAAGGCCTGGCTCCGAGGTGACTCTGAGCACCTTAGCTACTTAACCCTCTGAAACCCAGTCTCCTCACCTATACAGCAGGATTCTCATGGGAAATTAACAGATTGCTATGTGTAATCTCATCTGCCTTTGACTAGAAAATAAGGTCACATTAACTTCTAATGACTGAGTTATGGTGGCTCCAAGTGTTACCAGCTCCACTTACAGAAATGAGTCTCCCCAAAGAGTCCCCCCATTTTTTTCTAGGAGTTGCCAAAAGGAACTTCACATATTTCCACAAAACCAGACAGCTTCTCCCATCGTTTGCCACCAGCCCGTTCTTCCTCTCCCACCTCAGTTCCTTCTTGTCTGTGTCCCTACCCCCCCCCCCACCCACCATGAAGCCAGCTGGGGAAGAGCAGGAAAGGCAGCCGGCAGCTGCCTCCAGCCAACAGCTCCCTCAGGGTCAGCCTTGGAAACCTCACTCTCAGTCACCCTTCCTTGGGCAGCCTGCATGAAGTGACTGAGCCAGGTGGGGACACCAAGGCCTGACCATTTCCACCAGATACAGACACTGATGAACGAGTTGCTCCGAAGCTCCCCATGCAGTGGGCCGAGGCTGTGCTGGGCTTGCCTCATGGTTCAGCCTCTTCCTCCAGCCAGTCCCGCTTATGCGCCCTGCCCTCTGGAGGTGTGGATCCCTAGCAACACCTTGTGCCCCAAACTCCTCAGCCTCTGCTTCTGGAGAATGCACCCTACACCGACCCTCATAAGGTGGCCTTTGTCTATTTCAACAAGGCAGTTCTGGAGATTTGCAAAGCCACCAACCTTCATGTTCCAGGCAGAGGTGGGGAGAGATCCTCCTCCAAAGCAGCTGTGCCATGCCTTGAGCCTCACAAATTCTCCCTGGATTCCTGTCCATTTCTGTCCAGGATTTTTTTTGTCTAGATTCTTACCAGGTGTCCCATGAAAAAGAGTTTGTGGCCTTGTCTCCTGACCATAACAACCAAACCCAGGCCATGTAGTGGGGCAGATGGGAAGCAATGCATATCATCCCCTCCAGCTTCCTCCCCTAGAACAGCCCTTGCTTCCTTTGCTATAAAACAAAAGCTGCCATGCAAATCAATGGTTATGAAGCAGACCCGGAGTGGGAGGGAGGTGGGTGGAGAGGAACTGGGGGAGGAACAGGAGTAGGCCCTATTCCACATGTAAAACACCTAGCCCAGTGCCTGGTCCACAGCGAGTGTCCAATAAATGATAGCTATTATCGTCATTATTATTATTATGAACCATGAAGCTATCATCAGTAGTTGGTCTGCTGGCAGCGGGAGTCAGTGCGGGCTGGGCTGCTCCCTGCTCCAGATCACTAACCCGGGCTAAGTGGTGGTAATTATGACTTTGAGGAATACTGGTAACAGTGCCAAGTTCCAGAATAGCTACAGCCGTGAGCAGAGAGGCCTCTGGCTCAGCTCCGGGCTTCAGGCTGAGTAAGAATTAGTGCAATTGGCCATGCTGCAAGGTGAGAACAGTACAGGGACATCACAGGCAGATTGTCCCTCCTGGTACTTATGAGCAGAGAGCCCCTTATGGACACACAGTGGGGAAGGAGCTGAGTGCCCACATGCAGAAGGACAACAAGGTTCCAAGTCTGTCACGGCGGCCCCAGTCCCCAGCAGCCTGAGCCCCACGGAAGCCCTTCTGTGGCTCATTAAAGACTTCCACGTGGGCCTTGCTCCATAGGAAACCACAGATCTTTCTGCAGCCTGGTCAGACCCTGGTCTGGGGCTGCATTCTACTGGCAATTACTTTGCCAGGAAAGCACCACTGCCTGACAGGGATTCTTGGGAGTCGCTCAGGCCTGCCTATACAGGGTTACGAGGAGCTCAGCAGCAGGTGAGACTTGGCGCCTAAGGAATTGGTGCCTTCCTTTTTAGAAAAACTGATCCCCCTACAGGCCCCCAAATTTGCTCCTGTCTTATCCTTAATAGCCAATGGAAAAGTTGGCAGGTCCAGTGCAAGTCTCAGCCTATCAAGAGTTCTTGTTATTCCTGCAATTCCCTATGCCTCCTTTCATCCCTGCAGCTGAAAGTCACAGGTGCCACAGGACAGGACAAAGAAGAGCAGGGGTCCAGGCCATCTGGCACCCGACCTCTATCCCCCCATCTATTCATCACTCATCAGCTCCCTCCAACTGGACAGTGAAGGTGTGGCTCTTTCCCCAGATTCCTCCTAGTCAGGGGGTCTGAACTGCTGCAGAATGCTTTTACTCAGAGTGTGAAGTGAGGGTCCATTTCCTTGTGATAAAACAATAGGGCCTTTTGTGCCAGCCTCCAAATCCACTCCCTGGGGATCCAAGCACACTGAACCCTAGTGCACTTCTGGCCTCCAAGCTTTTGGCACACGCTGCTCCTTCTTCCTGGAAGGCCCTTCTCCCCAGTCCACCTGTGAACTCCCAGCCATTGGTTAAAGACCATCTCAAGTGTCAATCCCTCTTTACAACTTTTCCTGACTTCTCTCCCCCATCCTATCCCACCCCTGCTACCTGCTGACTTAATCATCACTCTCTCCCTGGGGATTTAATCACCTCTGCCCTTGAGCTTCCTCCTAACTTTGCAATGCACTCTCTCTCCACTCTGACCTGCTCCACAGTGGGGACCATGACCGTTTCATCTCTGTACCCCCACCAGTTGGCAATTGGAAGGCATTGCTCAGCATTCATTGCAATGATGGTAAATAAACAAAGATAGAAGGAAAGGAGAGATGAAGGTGGGGGAAGAAAGGACTCAGAAGAAACTGGAAAAAAGAGAAAGAGGGAGGAGAGAAGGAGGAAAGAAGGGAAGGAAAGAGGAAGAAAGAGATGGGGAGAGAGCTAGAGAGGGAGAAACGGGGAAAGGAGTGGACCTCATGAACCGGCTTTTTTGCATCTTCCATGGGAATCTATTTGTGCCAGGTGTTGCTCCTGAAAACCTAAGAATCCCTGCCTGGGGAGACACCCAGGAGGCAGTACAGGTCACAAGTGGGAGCACCGTACCATAAAGCATGCACCTAGAGAAGGCGCTGTTGTATCAAGGGGCCCCTAAGCCAACCCTGATGCACCCACGTGCCAGGCTCCAGCAAAACCCCTGGGTTTGAGCTCCACTTAGTCTCTGTGCTCTACTCGATATTCCAGTCTTCTCTCCTTCAGCCCTGACCCTGACCCTTGAACAAGCACTCCTCTGGCCTTCAAAAGCATCCTGCCTTTCTTTAATCTTCTAACTTGCATTAAAACCCCATGGAACATTCTCTTAGTTCTGGCTCCCTCCCTGATTCCCCAGTCACGCTGATCTTAGGATATAAAAATTGTAAATGTGGCTGTAATGTAAACGATTTCAAACTGATTGCTAAGTCACTGTTTCCTATACTGTCTACATGCACTAAAGTGAGACTCATGACTTATTTTCAGACAATGGAAGTAAGAAATTGTGACCTAAGCCTGGACCCTCATTATAAAATGTGAGCTAGATGGAAAAATCAAGTGCTTTTTCTATTTACTCATAAGTTTCTAGAGTCATGTTTCTCCAATGTGCCAGGTCATCAGAGCTAAAGGAATTACGGTATGTGTACAGGTCTTGTCCCTTGGTTCACAGTTCTGGTCCACTAGTTGGATGCTGGGAGCAGCCCCACATCACAGACCCCACACACTTTGAAAATCTGCAGGCTTTTTCACAGTCAGCATCTTGAGCCTGAGTATACACCCAGCAGGACCTCCCGGAGATGGATCCTGTTCCCCTGTCCTGCACATAGGCCACCAGGGGCATAGCAAACTCCTATGGCATCAATGAATGAATGAAGAAATAAATGGAGGAGTGAATGAATGAATGAATGAATGTGTGTGAACAAGTAAGTAAATGAATGAGTTACTGAATAAATAATGAGTGAATCAGGGACTGGGGAAGACATACTGAGCACCAGAACACAGTGCAGTTGTCCAGGGGGCGTGATTACAAGACCAGCCTTTGGAAAGCTGCACTCACTGTCTTTGTAAGCCCTTTGTTTTTCCTTTACAAGTAGGATCTGCCCTTTGGAAAGACATTTAAAGTTTAGAATGAGAGACAAGCACATTGTCCCTTTCTCTTGAATGTAAACCAGTCAAGACTTTATTATCATTTTCTTTGTTTATTTTGGAGATGGAGTCTCACTCTGTCACCCAGGCTGGAGTGCCGTGGCGTAATCTCGGCTCACTGCAACCTCCACCTCCTGAGTTCAAGCGATTCTCCCGCCTCTCAGCCTCCCGAGTAGCTGGGACTGCCGGCGTGCACCACCACGCCCGGCTAATTTTTGTATTTTTAGTAGAGACAGGGTTTCACCATATTGGCCAGGCTGATCTTGAACTCCTGACCTCAAGAGATCCATCACCTCGGCCTCCCAAAGTACTGAGATTACAGGCATGAGCCACCGTGCCTGGCCAGATCATTTTCTATTTTAAACCTTCAAGAACAACTTCATATTTGAAGACCAGGACGGTTTGCAGCCAAGGTATCCAGTGAAGACTTGGGGTCCTGAGGAGGTAGTGAGCTCCCCATTAACATGGTCTATAAGCAGGCATTGGGTATGTTGAAGATGACCCACTCCTCTGATAGGCATGGTCCCTTTCTTTTTTTGAGACAGAGTTTTGCTCTGTTGCCCAGGCTGGAGTGCAGTGGCGCCATCTCGGCTCACTGCAACCTCTGCCTCCCGGGTTCAAGTGATTCAAGTGATTCTCCTCCTGAGTAGCTGGGATTACAGGCACCAGCCACCACGCTGGGCTAATTTTTATAGAGACAGAGTTTCACTATATTGGCCAGGCTTGTCTTGAACTCCTGATCTCAGGTGATCCACCCGCCTCAGCCTCCCAAAGTGCTGGGATTACAGGTGTGAGGCACCACATTGGCCATGGTCCCTTTCACATCTGAGTTTCTAAGTGCTCCATGTAAGAGGAAAATCATTACCCAGGTCCTTTCCTCTAGCTTTTCCCTTTGGGTGACACTCAGTACCTGGCTTTGTTTTATTTTGTTGTTGCTTTGTTTTGTTTTTTTGTTTGTTTCTTTCTTTGTTTGTTTTAGGGAAAAAGGCATTCAATAAATGGTGGCTATATGCCATTCATCTGTAAAATGACAGGCTGGATCCCTAAATCCATGAATTCCATACCACCTCCTCATGGTACTTATCATAGTTGCAGTTTTACATTTACATGTGAGAATGCTTGATTAAAGTCTGGTTGGTTAACAGCATGAATTAAATTCATCTCTATCTCTTCTATACTGTCTACTTCTATACTGTGTGACCTTGGGCAACTTACTTAACTTCTCTGTGCCTCAATTTCCTCACCTGTAAAAAGGATAATAGTAGCTACCTTATGGGATTGTTGTGAGTGTTAATTGAAATAATTCAACAAATGCAGTTTGAACAGTGTGTGGCACATAGAGGTAACAAAGGCTTTCATTATTTTAATAGTTTATTTTTTAGGAAAAACTATAGAGTCACAATAATTTTTCCTCGGAATTTGGTAAATATTTTCCACTATGTTTGAGCACAATTTGAAGATAAATCGGACAATAGTCCAATCCTCTTTTCTTGTTGGTTTTTCTGACTCTTCCTTTTAGGATAGTCTTCCAAGTTCTAAGCTTCCTTTAATGTTTTCTCCCAACCCTTGGTGAATATTTTTATTTGAAGATGTATAGTTTTTCAACTCAAGGACAGGACATTTTCTTTTAGTGTTTCTTTTATTATAATTTCACCTCGATAAAGTCCCCTCCTTCTGGGACTTCCTTTATATGGAGGTAGCCTCTCTGGATCTGGCCCTCATGCTATTTTGCTTACATTTCCCTGATCTCTCTAAAATTCTTTTCTTTTCCCTCAGCATTTTTGTTGCACCTCCTCATACCTTCTTCTGAGTTTTGGGAGAATTTCTCAAGTAAGTTTACTGATTATTCAGGTTGGTTTTTGAAGTATCCATTCTGCTATATATGGCCTCTATGGGGTGCTTTAATTTGAAAATCATGCCTTTCCTTTCTAAGACTTCTTTATTGTTTTCAGATTGATCTTTTTTGTTTTAATACTTTAAGTTCTATGGTACATGTGCACAATGTGCAGGTTTGATACATAGGTATACATGTGCCAAATTGGTTTGCTGCACCTATCAACTCATCATTTACATTAGGTATTTCTCCTAATGCTATCCCTCCCCCAGCCCCCCACCCCAACAGGCCCCAGTGTGTGATGGTCCCCGCCCTATGTCCAAGTGATCTCATTGTTCAGTTCCCACCTGTGAGTGAGAACATGCAGTGTTTGGTTTTCTGTCCTTGTGATAGTTTGCTGACAATGATGGTTTCCAGCTTCATCCATGTCCCTGCAAAGGACATGAACTCATCCTTTTTTATGGCTGCATAGTATTCCATAGTATATATGTGCCACATTTTCTTAATCCAGTCTATCATTGATGGACATTTGGATTGTTTCCAAGTCTTTGCTATTGTGAATAGTGCCACAATAAACATACATGTGCATGTGTCTTTATAGTAGCATGATTTATAATCCTGTGGGTATATACCCAGTAATGGGATTGCTGGGTCAAATGGTAATTCTAGTTCTAGATCCTTGAGGTATCACTACACTGTCTTCCACGATGGTTGAACCAATTTACACTTCCACCAACAGTGTAAAAGCTTTCCTATTTCTCCACATCCTCTCCAGCATCTGTTGTTTCCTGACTTTTTAATGATTGCCATTCTAACTGGCATGAGATGGATCTCATTGTGGTTTTGATTTGCATTTCTCTGATGACCAACGATGATGAGCATTTTTTCATGTCTGTTGGCTGCATAGATGTCTTCTTTTGAGAAATGTCTGTTCATATCCTTTGCCCACTTTTTGACGGGGTTGTTTGTTTTTTTCTTGTAAATTTGTTTGAGTTCTTTGTAGATTCTGGATTTAGCCCTTTGTCAGATGGGTAGATTGCAAAAATTTTCTCCCATTATGTAGGTTGCCTATTCACTCTGATGGTAGTTTCTTTTGCCATGCAGAACCTCTTTAGTTTAATTAAATCCCATTTGTCTATTTTGGCTTTTGTTGCTATTGCTTTTGGTGTTTTAGTCATGAAGTCCTTGCCCATGCCTATGTCCTGAATGGTATTGCCTAGGTTTTCTTCTAGGGATTTTATGGTTTTAGGTCTAACACTTAAGTCTTTAATCCATCTTGAATTAATTTTTATATAAGGTGTAAGGAAGGGATCGAGTTTCAGCTTTCTACATGTGGCTAGCCAGTTTTCCCAGAACCATTTATTAAATAGGGAATCCTTTCCCCGTTGCTTGTTTTTGTCAGGTTTGTCAAAGATCAGGTTGTAAATGCGTGGCATTATTTCTGAGACCTCTGCTCTGTTTCATTGGTCTATATATCTGTTTTGGTACCAGTACCATGCTGTTTTGGTTACTATAGCCTTGTAGTATAGTTTGAAGTCAGGTAGTATGATGCCTCCAGCTTTGTTCTTTTTGCTTAGGATTGTCTTGACAATGCGGGCTCTTTTTTGGTTCCATCTGAACTTTAAAGTAGTTTTTTCCAATTCTGGGAAGAAAGTCATTGGTAGCTTGATGGGGATGGCATTGAATCTATAAATTATCTTGGGCAGTACGGCCATTTTCATGGTATTGATTCTTCCTATCCATGAGCATGGAATGTTCTTCCATTTGTTTGTGTCCTCTTCTATTTTGTTGAACAGTGGTTTGTAGTTCTCCTTGAAGAGGTCCTTCACATCCCTTGTAAGTTGGATTCCTAGGTATTTTATTCTCTTTGTAGCAATTGTGAATGGGAGTTCACTCATGATTTGGCTCTCTGTTTGTCTATTAATGGTATATAGGAATGCTTGTGATTTTTGCACATTGATTTTGTATGCTGAGACTATGCTGAAGTTACTTATCAGCTTAAGGAGATTTTGGGCTGAGATGATGGGGTTTTCTAAATAAACAATCATATCATCTGCAAACAGGGACAATTTGACTTCCCTATTTCCTAATTGAATACTCTTTATTTCTTTCTTTTGCCTGATTGCCCTGGCCAGAACTTCCAACACCATGTTGAATAGGAGTGGTGAGAGAGGGCATACTTGTCTTGTGCCAGTTTTCAAGGGGAATGCTTCCAGTTTTTGCCCATTCAGTATGATATTGGCTGTGGGTTTGTCATAAATAGCTCTTATTATTTTGAGATATGTTCTATCAATACCTAGGTTATTGAGAGTTTTTAGCATGAAGGGCTGTTGAATTTTGTCAAAGACTTTTTCTGCATCTATTGAGATAATCATGTGGTTTTTGTCATTGGTTCTGTTTATGTGATGGATTGTGTTTATTGCTTTGCATATGTTGAACCAGCCTTGCATCCCAGGGATGAAGCCCACTTGATCATAGTGGATAAGCTTTTTGATGTGCTGCTGGATTTGGTTTTCCAGTATTTTATTGAGGATTTTTGCATTGATGTTCATCAGGGATATTGGTCTAAAATTCTCTTTTTTTGTTGTGTCTCTGCCAGGCTTTAGTATCAGGATGATGTTGGCCTCATAAAATGAGTTAGGGAGGATTCCCTCTTTTTCTATTGATTGGAATCATTTCAGAAGGAATGGTACCAGCTCCTCTTTGTACCTCTGGTAGAATTTGGCTGTGAATCCGTCTCGTCCTGGACTTCTTTTGGTTGGTAGGCTATTAATTCTTGCCTCAATTTCAGAGCCTGTTATTGGTCTATTCAGAGATTCAGCTTCTTCCTGATTTAGTCTTGGGAGAGTGTATGTGTCCAGGAATTTATCCATTTCTTCTAGATTTTCTAGTTTATTTGTGTAGAGGTGTTTAGAGTATTCTCTGATGGTAGTTTGTATTTCTCTGGGATCAGTGGTGATTTCCCCTTTATCATTTTTTATTGTGTCTATTTGATTCTCCTCTCTTTTCTTCTTTATTAGTCTTGCTAGCAATTTATCAATTTTGTTGATCTTTTCAAAAAACCACCTCCTGGATTCATTGATTTTTTGAAGGTTTTTTTTCTGTCTCTATCTCTTTCAATTCTGCTCTGATCTTACTTATTTCTTGCCTTCTGCTAGCTTTTGAATGTGTTTGCTCTTGCTTCTCTTGTTCTTTTAATTGTGATGTTAGTGTGTCAATTTTAGATTTTTCCTGCTTTCTCTTGTGGGCATTTAGTGCTATAAATTTCCCTCTACACACTGCTTTAAATGTGTCCCAGAGATTCTAGTACATTGTGTCTTTGTTCTCATTGGTTTCAAAGAACATCTTTATTTCTGCCTTCATTTCGTTATTTACCCAGTAGTCATTCAGGAGCAGGTTGTTCAGTTTCCATGTAGTTGACCGGTTTTGAGTGAGTTTCTTAATCCTGAGTTCTAATTTGATTGCACCATAGTCTGAGAGACAGTTTGTTACAATTTCTATTCTTTTACATTTGCTGAGGAGTGCTTTACTTCCAATTATGTGGTCAATTTTAGAATAAGTGTGTTGTGGTGCTGAGAAGAATGTGTATTCTGTTGGTTTGGGGTGGAGAGTTCCATAGATGTCTATTAGGTCTGCTTGGTGCAGAGCTGAGTCCAGGTCCTGGATATCCTTGTTAACTTTCTGTGTCGTTGATCTGTCTAATATTGACAGTTGGGTGTTAAAGTCTCCCATTATTATTGTGTGGGAGTCTAAGTCTCTTTGTAGGTCTCTAAGGACTTGCTTTATGAATCTGGGTGCTCTTATATTGGGTGCATATATATTTAGGATTGTTAGCTCTTCTTGTTGAATTGATCCCTTTACCATTATGTAATGGCCTTCTTTGTCTCTTTTGATCTTCACTGGCTTAAAGTCTGTTTTATCAGAGACTAGGATTGCAACCCCTCCTTTTTTTTTTTTTTTTTTTTTTGCTTTCTAGTTGCTTCATAGATCTTCCTACATCCCTTTATTTTGAACCTATGTGTGTCTTTGCACGTGAGATGGGTCTCCTGAATACAGCACACTGATGGGTCTTGACTCTTTATCCAGTTTGCCAGTCTGTGTCTTTTAATTGGGGCATTTAGCTCATTTACACTTAAGGTTAATATTGTTATGTATGAATTTGATCCTGTCATTATGATGTTTGCTGGTTATTTTGCCCATTAATTGATGCAGTTTCTTCATAGCATTGATGGTGTTTACAATTTGGCATGCTTTTGCTGTGGCTGGTACCAGTTGTTTCTTTCCATGTTTAGTGCTTCCTTCAAAGCTCTTGTGAGGCAGGCCTGGTGGTGACAAAATTTCTCAGCATTTTCTTGTCTGTAAAAGATTTTATTTCTCCTTCACTTATGAAGCTTAGTTTGGCTGGATATGAAATTCTGGGTTGAATATTCTTTTCTTTAAAAATGTTCGATATTGGCCCCCACTCTATTCTGGATAGAGAAACTAGGGTTTCTGCCGAGAGATCTGCTGTTAGTCTGATGGGCTTCCCTTTGCGGGTAACCCGACCTTTCTCTCTGGCTGCCCTTAACACTTTTTTCTTCATTTGAACCTTGGTGAATCTGACAATTATGTGTCTTGGGGTTGCTCTTCTCAAGGAGTATCTTTGTGGTGTTCTCTGTATTTCCTGAATTTGAATGTTGGCCTGCCTTGCTAGGTTGGGGAAGTTCTCTTGGATAACATCCTGAAGAGTGTTTTCCAGCTTGGTTCCATTCTCCCCATCACTTTCAAGTACACCAATCAAATGTAGATTTGGTCTTTTCACATAGTCCCATATTCCTTGGAGGCTTTGATCATTTCTTTTTATTCTCTTTTCTCTAAACTTCTCTTCTCACTTTATTTCATTAATTTGATCTTCAATCACTGACATCTTTTCTTCCACTTGATCAAATTGGCTATTGAAGCTTATACATGCATCACAAAGTTCTCGTGCCATGTTTTTCAGCTCCATCAGGTCATTTAAGGTCTTCTCTACACTGTTTATTCTAGTTAGCCATTCATCTAATCTTTTTTCTTTTTTCCAAGGTTTTTAGCTTCCTTGCAATGGGTTCTAACATCCTCCTTTAGCTTGGAGAAGTTTGTTATTACCGACCTTCTGAAGCCTACATCTGTCAACTTGTCAAAGTCATTCTCTGTCTAGCTTTGTTCCATTGCTGGCGAGGAGCTGTGATCCTTTGGAGGACAAGAGGTGCTCTGGTTTTTAGAATTTTCAGCTTTTCTGCTCTGGTTTCTTCCCATCTTTGTGGTTTTATCTACCTTTGGTCTTTGATGTTGGTGACCTAGAGATGGGGTTTTGGTGTAGATTACCTTTTTGTTGATGTTGATGCTATTCCTTTCTGTTTGTTAGTTTTCCTTCTGTCAGGACCCTCAGTTGCAGGTCTGTTGGAGTTTGCTGGAGGTCTACTCCAGACCCTGTTTGCCTGGGTATCACCAGCGGAGGCTGCAGGACAGCAAATATTGCAGAACAGCAAATTTGATTTAAATTGCTGCCTGATCCTTCCTCTGGAAGCTTCGTCCCAGAGGGGCAGCCACCTATATGAGGTGTCTGTTGGCCCCTACTGGGAGGTGTCTCCCAGTTAGGCTACACAGGGGTCAGGGATGCACTTGAGGAGGCAGTCTGTCCATTTTCAGAGCTCAAACACCGTGCTGAAAGAACCACTGCTTTCTTCAGAGCTGTCAGACAGGGAAGTTTAAGTCTGCAGAAGTTGTCTGCTGCCTTTTGTTCAGCTATGCCCTGCCCACAGAGGTGGAGTCTAGAGGCAGTAGGTCTTGTTGAGCTGTGGTGGGCTCTGCCCAATTCAAGCTTCCCGGCCACTTTGTTTACCTACTCAAGCCTCAGCAATGGTGGACACCCCTCCCCCAGCCAGGCTGCTGCCTTGCAGATTGATCTCAGACTGCTGCGCTAGCAGTGAGCAAGGCTCTGTGGGTGTGGGACCCACTGAGCCAGGCACAGGAGAGAATCACCTTGTCTGCTGGTTGCTAAGACCTTGGGAAAAGTGCAGTATTTGGGTGGGGAGTGTCCCGTTTTTCCAGGTGGTCTGTCACAGCTTCCCTTGGCTAGGAAAGGGAAATACTCCAACCCCTTGCACTTCCCAGGTGAGGCAACACCCCCCTCACTCCCCGCTTCAGCTTGCCCTCCATGGGCTGCACCCACTGTCCAACCAGTGCCAGTGAGATGAACCAGGTACTTCAGTTGCAAATGCAGAAATCACCCATCTTCTGCGTAGATCATGCTGGGAGCTGCAGACTGGAGCTGTTCCTATTCGGCCATCTTGGCAACTCCCCCCAAGATTGATCTTTTTAAATCAACCTTACAGCACTTCAAATCTCACTAAAAGTACAATTAAGAGGGCTTTTTAAAGTTCTTTCTTATTTCCTGAAGAAACTTTTGCTGGATATAGTTTGTGCTGTATGTTTTACATTGGTTCCTCAGTCCTTCTCTTTAAATTGCTAAGTCTTTTCATAGTGCCAGCAGCTTTTCACCATTTGCTCATACTTGTTGATGAGGTTTAGAGATGGTTTACTCTGGATAATCTGTTGGTGATTAGTAAGTCACTGTACCTTCCTCTACTACTGACTGAGGGCAGCCAGCAGTTAGGGCTTATGAATTAGAATTAGTTTCAGCTACAAGTGACAGCAAATGTAAACAGTGCTTTAAATAAGATATAACTTTATTTCTCTTTCAGGCAAAAGAAACCCAGAGGTTATCAATCTCAGGTTGATAGGATGTTTCACAGTGTCAGGGGCTCTGGCTCATTCAATCTTATTGCTCCACCTTCCTCAGCATACGGTCTTGGACTGCATGGTTCAAAATGGATGCTCAAGCTCCAGCCATCAAGTCTATATTCCAGTCAGCAGTAGGAAGATGGGGAAAGATCACACATCCTCCCTTTAAGAACCACTTTCTGGAAACGACCCTCACCATTTCTACTTATATTCTAGTGATTAGAACTCAATCCTATGACCATACCTAGCTGCCAGGGAGGCTAGACAATATTCTCTGTATTCTGGGTAGCCACTTGATCAGCTAAACGTTCTATTGCTATGAAACAAGAAGAGAATGGATGTTAGGGAACAACTTGAAATTTCTGACATGGAACTTTTCCTTTATCTGTTTCCATCTGTTCCACTCTGATCCAAGAAGAATTAGGGGCCGGGGGGCAGAGTGGGAATTGCTTCACTCAATGGATAGCAGAGAGAGCAGTCCGTGCTTGCCTCCATCTATACTCATGCTCTCCTCTTCCTTTGTTTATTGCCAAAATCTGCAGAGATTTCAGATGGGTGGGTGAGATCTCTTTGTGGTTTTCAGCACTTACATAGGATTTCCCTGTTCCTTGGTTTTATCACTTCAGCAGGAATGATGAGAAGAAATCAAATTGGAGAATTTAGTTGGTACCTTGGTTCAAGAGCCTAAACACAAATTTGACCCTAAGAGTCCTCTGTTTAAAATCCTGCCCTCAATAGCACATGAAAAGATGTCAATATCATTAGTCATTAGGGAAATGCAGATTAAAAGACAACAAGATAACACTGCAAACCCACCAGAATGGCTAAAATTACAAGGATATGAAGCTCCTGGAATTCTCATACATTGCTGGTAGGAGCTCAAAAATCTTACTACATCAGAAAAAAAGAGATTGGTACAACTTAAACATATGCTTATCATATGGCCCAGCAATTCCACTTCTAGATATTTGTCCAAGGGGAATGAAAATATGTCCACACAGAGATTTGTACATGAATATTCATAACAGCTTTATTTGTAAAACTAGAAACTAGAAAACAATCCAAATGCACTCAAATGTGCATCAATAGGCAAATAGAGAAGCCAATTGTGGAAATCCATACAATGGACTACTACTCAGCAATATAAAGGAATGAAGTACTGACACACGCAAGAACATGGACCAAAAACATTATGCTAACTTCTAAAATAAAATAAATCAATCTGTATAGTGATGAATCAGACCAGTGGCTGTCTAGGTCAGAGATGGGAGGGAATAGAGAGAAAACATAAAAGGACACGAGGGAAATCTAGGGGAGTGACAAGGGTGTTCCACATCTTAATTGTGGCAGTATTTATGCAAATGAATACATTTGTTAGAATTCATCAAACTGTATCCTTAAAACTGATGGGCCAGGTGTAGTGGCTCACACCTGGAATCCCAGCAATTTGGGAGGCCGAGATGGGTGGATCACAAGATCAGTAGATCGAGACTGTCCTGGCCAACACGGTGAAACCCCACCTCTACTAAAAATACAAAAAAATTAGCTAGATGTGGTGGCGGGCACCTGCGGTCCCAGCTACTGGGGAGGCTGAGGCAGGAGAATGGTGTGAAACTGGGAGGCAGAGCTTGCAGTGAGCCAAGATCACACCACTGAACTCCAGCCTGGGCGACAGAGCAAGACTCCATCTCAAAACAAAAGACAAAAAAACGAAAGCTGATGCATGGGTGCATTTTACTGTGTGTAACATACCTCAGTAAAGGTGATTTAAAAAACAAAAATAAAAACAACTCCTGCCCTGCTTCCTACATCCAAAAGGATAAAACTGAAACTCTCTTTATAAAAAAAAATCACAAAGGCTTTCGTGATCTGGCCCCTGCCTCCTTCTTCTCCAGCCTTCAGATCCATGTGGTCATAGTGACCTATCTACTCAAAACTCCAATCATCTATGTCTTTGGTGAGGAGAGTATTATGAGGAAGAAATCCAATATTGCTTAATAAATGCAGTTTTCTTGGCATTTCCTACCATCTTTCAGGTGCTAGGATGTATAGAAATAACACAAGTAAACCTTACTGACAAGGGAGTTGGGGCTTTTCGAAAAGGTTCTCTCTAAGTGGCCCCAGCGTTAATAGCCTAGGCATCGGTTCATCGACCCCCAGCAGAGCCTCCCTGCTGTAGCAACATGCTCCTAAATAAGTATTTTTGCCAGGACAACCCTGTTATTTTCCTGCTTGAGAACGAATTTTAAATTTTAAAGAGGAAAAAAAAAAAACCCTCAGATACCTTCAGTCATTCATTCCATACCACCCGTAATATGTCACTTTGTCTTGAAATTTTCCCCTGTATGGCTTGGCTTTAATGGGTTCAGCATTTAGTGAGCTAGGCATGGATTATGTGCGAAATGCATTAACCTCTCACATGATTGTAAAAATTGCCTTAATAAAATAGAGCTAAATCCTACTTAATAGCAATAAAACAGAAGCCACTATATTCCAGGGATGCTAATGACCTGTGAGTCATTCCTTTTTATTTTAGAAGGTTGAACATTTGGAATTTGTCCTTTTTTATGAAATTTTTAAGCTTGGGCAACTGCTGGAAAATCACACAAGTTTAAAGAAGTTTCCTGCTCACAGATACTGGAGAGCCAAGAAACTTCATCATATTTTTAAAGCTTTGTCATCCTGAGATGTGCTTTTGAGGTCATAGATGCAAATGGCAAAAGGAAAGCACTGATTATAACTAATATTTGCCTAGTGCTTTACTGCTTACAAAGCTTTTTTTTAACCTATATCCATTGATTGAGCTCGTGTAACAGACTTGTGAAGTAGGTACTATTATCTCCATTTTACAGATAAAAAATCACAACTCAGAGAGGTAAAGGAATTTGTCCAAATCCTCACAGCTAATAAAATGAAGAACTAGTATATGGATCCAGGTCCTCTTAATTCAAGTCCCATGCTATCCTTAAGTGCTGTTTTCATATTTATCTTGAATGATAATCATCTGCTTATAAATGGAAGGAAATGGTAATAAGTGCTCAATAACCTGAAAAACTGCCAAGTTTTGGCCTCTTCCCTTTCCCAATGTTAGGGCTCAAAAAATTACACCCTAAACTGTGGTGCTTTGGCATGCCGAGTACTTTGAACTAAAGGAGATTGGAAGGCCTCAGAAGCAAGTTCTCCCTGACCTTCTCCTCCTTTCCGCTCTCTTACCCCTCTTACCTCTCTTCTCCCATGAAGCAAGTAATAGAAACTGGAATTCTTCTTCCCCAAGGTGGTTTCAAGGAAGTAGAACCCCTCTGCCCCAAAGCAAGCCATAAAACCTAGACCTATTACTTTAACCTTCTCCTGCCTTTCTGTGTAGGAGCCAGCCATAAAGAAATTATCTGACCCACCTTGTCTGAGGATAGGTCATAAGACCCTCATTCCAGAGGGGTCCTACCCTGTACCTGAGTGGGAGGAATGTTACAGAGAAAGGCCAAGAAGAGTCTGAACAGACGGGCCTTGCTTGGTCTCCCTGCCCTCAGTCTACTACCATTAGGTCATTCCCTTTTGTCCAGTTGTCTCTCTACATGGCTGTGCATCCTTCATCTAATATAAGCATTAAAACGGACAGTTTTGCCTGAGTCTTTGGCTCTTCATTTTTGAAGGATCCTGTGTCACCTAAAACTTTGATTAAATAAATCTATTATGTTATTCTCTTGCTAATCTGTCCTTTGTTATAAAGGCGTATTGGCCATGACCCTTATGATGGGTAAAGAAAGATATCACACCTTTGTATTATCCCATTCACACACTGCTATAAATAACTACCTGAAACTGGGTAATTTACAAAGAAAAGAGGTTTAATTGACTCCCAGTTGCATAGGCTGTACAGGAGGCATGGCTGGGGAGGCCTCAGGAAACTTACAATCATGGTGTAAGGGCAAAAGAAGCAAGCACTTCTTCACATGGTGGCAGGAAAGAAAGAGAGAGCAAAGGGGGAAGTGCTACACACTTTCAAACAACTAGATTTCATGAAAACTCATTCACCATCACGAGAACAGCAAGGGAGAAGTCTGCCCCCATGATTCAATCACTTCCCACCAGGCTCCCCTCCTCCAACGCTGAAGATCACAATTCAACATGAGATTTGGGTGGGGACACAAAGCCAAAGCACATCATCCTTTTTTTGCCCTTATCACACCTCTTTGCCCCTACACCAGCAAAGTCAGGTTTACCATGGAAGCATTTGCTATCCCATATCAGAACCACAGTTTTCTGCCAGTCTTTGTAATAACTATGATAATCATAACAATTATTATTGCAATAACAATAACAATAGCAACAGTAATCATACTAACTGCTGTCTTCATTGAGCACTGCAACTGCTGTCATTATTAAGCACCATGGTAGGCATTATTAAGTGTCCTATATGTTTTATCCTATTTAATACTCACCATAATGAAATAGATATTATTATTATTTCCCATTTTTCAGATGAAGAAACTAAGGATGAGAGGAATTAAGAAACTTGGCCAGTCATGGAATATGGTAGATTAACTATTAAATTGACCCCAATTTCCCATCTCTCCCTGTATTCCTGCCCTTTGCAAGATGATTTAAAGACGTTCCCATAAAGACATGGAGAGATTTCCATACCTGCGAATCCAGTCTCTGACTTGCTTTAGTCAACAGGATGCAGCAAAAGTCATGATGTGCCAGTTCTGAGCTTGTGCACTTCTACTATCACTCAGAACACTGCCACTGCCATGAGAACAAATCCAGGCTTGCCTACTAGACAATAAGAAACTACATGATCTGATCTGTCTCAGCTTCAGTCATTCCAGACCACTCAGACCCTAGCTGACCTACTAGGTGACCACAGACACATGGGCAAGCCCAGCCAAGATCAGCCATGTCTGTCCCAGATCGACAGAACTCTCCAGCCAACCCACGGACTAATGAGAAATCATAAATTGCTTTCTTAAGCCACGAGGTTTTGAGGTAGAGTGATGGTTAATTTAATGTGTCAACTTAACTGGCTAAGGGATGCCCAGATATCTGCTTAAACACTATTTATGGGTGTGTCTGTGAGGGTGTTTTCAGAAGAGATTAGCTTTTGAATCAGTACACTGAGCAAAGATCACCCTCATCAAGGTGTGTGAACATCATTCAATCTGTTTATGGCCCAAATAGAACAAAAAAGGCAAAGAAAGTAAAATTCCCTCTCTTCTTAAGCTAGACATCTATCTTCTCCTGCCTTCAGACATGAGAGCTCCTGGTTCTTGGGTCTTCAGCCTTCAAGGCTTACACCAGAGGCTCCCTGGTTCTCAGGTTGTTAGACTAGGACTGAATTATATTACTGGTTTTCCTGGTGCTCCAGCTTGCTGATGGCATATTGTGAGACCTCTGCCTCCACAATCATGTGAGGCAATTCCTATAATAAATCTCCTCATATGTCTATCTATCTATCAATCTATCTATCTAATTATCTATCTATCATCTATCTATCCTATTGGTTCTGTTTCTCTGGAGAACCCTGACTTATACTGGTGGCTCGTTACACAGCAATAGCTAACTGTTACAAGGTGAAACTGAAACAAGAGAGTTCCCTTATCCCCCTCACAGGATGTGTGACAGGGGTGTGGCTTGATCCTTCAGTTGCCCCAGTGCTCAAACCCCTAGGGGAAGCATGCAGACAGGCAGGTGCAGAGGCTGTGGGGAGCACTTTTGGGATCCAGCCCCATAGCAGTGTCTAGGGGTGGGTGTCTGTGACTCCCAAAGCCCAAGTGGGTGTGTGTTACAGTGTGCTCTTTCAGCTTTGCTGTCTGCAGACACCTTGTGTTAATTAGCTCAATAGACCCTCTGCCTTATCGCAAGGGCAGAGGGCCAGTGTGACAGCTTTCTGTACCCCGAGCTCTTGCCCAGTGTACCAGAAAAATTGGATCACATGTGGGCTCAAAGGATGTGTGCAAGGTTTTATTGAGTGGTGGAGGTGGCTCTCAGCGAGACAGATGGGGAGTCGGAAGTGGGGGATGGAGTGGGAAGGTGGTCTTCCCCTGGAGTTGGGCCACCCGGCAGCTGGACTCTTCTCCTACTGCCCCTAGCCCCAACCTGACTGAACTCCCCTTGGTGTCCAGATGTCCTTCTTCTTCTCTGTTTCTCTGCCATGTCATTCCGCTGTTGCTGGTCTGCCGGTCAGCTGGTGTCTGTGCCTGCTCAACATTCTCTGCTTGTGTCTGTGCTTGCTAGGGTCTCGGGTTTATATGGGCACAGGATGGGGTGCATGGCAGGTGAGGGTGGTCTTGGAAAATGCAACATTTGGGTGCAAAAGCAGGAGTGCCTGTTCTCACTTAGGTCCATGGGCATAGGCCTGAGGGTGGAGCCCTCGCCAGGGACCCCATCCTTCTCTACCCAGCACTTTTCTGCCCCCTTCCCATATCAAAACCAGGATTTAGACCTAGGTCTTATGGGTTCCATAGCTTGAACTCTTCCTTGTACTCTGCATGGATAAGCCATATCCTTCTAAACAATCACAGCCAGCAGGATTGGGAGAAACGTCAATGTCAGCCCAGGGGAATAGGATAGGATATCTCATTCACTGATAGAATTTGGGCCACTGTCAGTTTAGGTGTAAAAATTGAAAGACTCAGATGACCTGGGTTCTGAATCCAGCTCTGCCACTAGAATCTGTAAAACCTTGACCAAGCCACTCATATATCTAGGCATCTGTGATCTTATCCACAAGAGGAAGAGGTCAAGACATATTTGCTCAGACTAATGTTTGCCAATAGCTGCAGTGTTAAGCAATGTGCTACATGCCAAGGATACAAACCTTACAAAATTCTCATCCTCAAGAAGCTCACAGTCTAATGGAGACATAAACATTGCAAACAAAAAAATTGGAAACAGATAGGTATTGTGGTAGGCAAAATAATGGTTCCCCAAAGATACCCACATCTTAATCCTGTATCCAGGAATTTGGGGATATGTTATCTTCCATGGCCAAAAGCACTTTGCAGGTGTGATTTAGTTATGGATCTTGGGATTGGAAGACAGCCCTGGATTATCTGGGTTATTGTAATCTAATGTAATCACAGGGATTCTTACAAGAGGGAGGCAGGAGGGCAAGAGTCAAATAGGGAGATTTGAAGATTCAACACTGCTGGCTTTGAAGATGAAGGAAGGGGCCACAAACCAAGGAAGACAGGCAACCTCTAGAAGCTGGAAAGGCAAAGAAATGGGTTCTTCCAAAGAGCCTCCAAAAGGAATGTGTTTCTGCCAACACTTTGATTTTAGACAAATAAGACCTATTTTGGACTTCTGACCTCTAGAACAGGAAGAGAATAACTCTGTGCTGTTTTAAGCCACTCAATTTGTAATGATTTGTTACAGCAGCCATAGAAAATGCATATACCATGCCTGGCTCAGTACCTGGCACTTAAGATGTTGCCTGGCACACAAGAGGTGACTGACTCCAAATGATTCCCTGGTGATGTTGCCAGTCTCAGGCCCTGGTGTGTTCTTGAGAAGGTCTCTTGGAATGCGCAGTCTTTGGGTCCATGGTTTCTTACAGAGAGAACTGGGGGGAAATAAGATGGGATATCTCTGGCTGGCCACCAATTCCCACCACCTCTTGGCTTCTGCTGCTCCTATCCAGCCACAAGGCTGTGCCAGGCTGCGGTAGAGGAGCATGGAGAGAACCAAGGCACAGTCTCTTCCCTCTGGAAGGGGAGCTATACAAGAGCGTGGACTATCTGAGCAAGGCCTGTAGCCTTGGGCACCGGGTGGGAATGACTCCACCTTCTCCCTTCTAGGCCAGGAGCTTTCAAACATTTGACTAAGACCACCTTTCATAGGTATGAAATACATTTCATACCACCACCCAGTACACACATCTGTGTGTATAGATGTATGTATGCATAACTAAGCGAAAGTTTCACCTAACAGCACTTGATACATTCTAGTTATTTAGTATTCTAATATGCTTTATTTGATGTAAAAATACTGGCCACAACAGAGTAAAGTGATTTCACAACCCATTGATGGGGTGCAATCTGCAGTTTAAAATCACTCTTTTAAACCATCACATCTAGGGAACCTTTTTTTTTTTTTTTTTTTAAGACTGAGTCTTGCTCTGTCGCCCAGGCTGGAGTGCAGTGGCACGATCTCAGCTCACTGCAAGCTCCACCTCCCGGGTTCACGCCATTCTCCTGCCTCAGCCTCCTGAGTAGCTGGGACTACAGGCGCCTGCCACCACACCCGGCTAATTTTTTTTGTATTTTTAGTAGAGACGGGGTTTCACCGTGGTCTGGATCTCCTGACCTCGTGATCCACCCGCCTCTGCCTCCCAAAGTGCTGGGATTACAGACGTGAGCCACCGCGCCCGGCCTAGGGAACTTTTAAAACCCTGTCAGTTGCCAGGCCCTACCTCTAGAGATTCTGATGTCACTGGTCTGGGGAGTGGGCTCAGGTGTCAGTATTTCTACAGAGCTCCTCAGGTGCTCAAAAGTGAGTCAAATGTGCCATCAAGATTGAGAAGCACAGTCTAGACCCAAACCCACCGTGAAATGAATTTGCCGACAGCAGAACTTGGGCCAGGACACTCACTTGCACAAGATATTCCACTGGAACACACTCACAGTCACACATGCATACACACACACACACACACACACTTTCCTATGGGATCAATTCCAGACTCCTTGTCAGAGCATCCAAGGCCTTTGATGAATAGACCCCAACCAACCTTTGCAGACATGTCCTCTCTACCATGCCGTGGTTCCCCTGGTTCCAACACTTCAGTCATACACAATTGTCGTCCATCAGGCCAGATCTGCTCACAGCACTGGGCTTCATACTTGTGGCTTCTCTGCTGGGAAAGCCCCTCCCGCATCACCCTCCTCGCCCCGACTCAGTTCACAGGCTCTCTTGGGAGTCTTCCTACTTCCTCGATTCTCTGTGTGCATCACTGGAATGGAACCCTCACCACTGTGCTCAGGAATTACCAATCTACCCATCTGCCTTCTTCACCTGTGCAATAACTATATATTTTTTATTTTCTGTATTCTTTTTTTTTTTTTGAGACAGAATTTTGCTCTTGTTGCCCATGCTGGGGTGCAATGGCACAATCTCAGCTCACTGCAACCTCCGCCTCCTAGGTTCAAGCGATTCTCCTGCCTCAGCCTCCTGAGTAGCTGGGATTACAGGCGCCTGCCACTACGCCCAGCTAATTTTGTATTTTTAGTAGAGATGGGGTTTCATCATGTTAGTCAGGCTGGTCTCGAACTCCTGACCTCAGGTGATCCACCTGCCTCGGCCTCCCAAAGTGCTGGGATTACAGGAGTGAGCTACCACACCTGGCCTATTTACTGTATCCTTAATGCTCTGGCATCTGTGGCCTTGTTAACTGGGGAGAGACCATTCCTTTCAGGGCTAGCAAATTGCAAGAGATGCAAACTACTCCCTTTCAAGGGAGTCTTTCACAACAAAACAACCAATCCAAAGCCCACATCCTCCAGGCACCTCCTTCAATGGGCTCTCTCAGGCTCTTATACTCCAGGCCATAATCACCCCAGGGCCAAGTACCAGACAACTCCAGACAGCCCCTACCCCCCAGAGCCCACTGAAATTATTCAAACTAGCCAATCCTAAGGCCACTTTCCCTGCTGTGCCTGTTCCTTCCCATGGAAACCACAACCAAGGCTCCCACCCCCCACCTCACTCTTTCAGCCTCCTGACAGACCCCGGTGCTCCTCGACGTGGTCCTGTGTGGTGTGGTGTGCCCCCTCCTCTTGGGACTTGTGAGTAACAAACTATCTTTTTAATGGCAATCGTTTCCTGATCTGCTGTCTCCCTATAGTTGAATAATAATAAAACCTACACTTTTAAAACAGCTCATCTGTGAGTCCTAAGGCAGGGACAACCTTCTAACCCTATCTTTCGCTGAGCACTTGCTGAGTGACAGGCACTGTGCTAAGCCTTTTACTGGTATTATTTTATTATTCTCACAACAACCTGATGAGGTAGGGACTGACCACTCCCAGTTGACAGGTGAGAAAATAAAGCCAGCAATGGACAGCGCTAGGATTCAAACATAGGTCTGTCTGGCTCCCAGGTCAACTCCAGATTACCCTCTTGGAGGAGGGGGTGTCAAACTCAGAGGCCACAACCTCAGTGACAGGGCCTCTGCAAACAGGACTGCAAGGCACAGGTATGCGGGTTTCATGAAGGCCCCTGGCCAATGGAGCAAGGAGACCAAAGGAATCAGCCTCCCAGGCTGGCCAAGGTGGGCACCTCAGGGCTGCTTCCTTCCAGAAGGGACTCCTTTTTCTAGTCTTCACTCAGGGGCCATCTAGATTAGCCCTATATCAGAACTGCAGTCCTATGATGTTTGCTAATCTAATTTCCCCATTGCGTTGTGTGGAGAGGACGCATTCTGAAGGCATCTCAGTATAAACATCAGAGGCTGTCATGGATGTGTCAAATCAAGGCCCCAAGGCTTCAGGCCCTGAGATAAATCCTGCCCCTCCTCTTTAATTAATTCTCTCATCCTCTTTATGTTTAACATAGACTGGGCCTGTTCCTCAAATTCGTTTATTTGGTTCTGCAAGAGAAGATTCCCAGAGACATGTATTTTAAACAAGTCTTAACTTTTGTCAGTGTAACATGTGATTAGCACTTTCCACTTGAGCTCTGTTATAATGCCAAGTGGCCCATGTCCCTCAAAACTGGTGTTAGGAATCATCAATGGCCTCCTGCTGAGTTCTAGGACACAGCAGAGACTTCTTGCTCCAACTGTCCTTATGTGCTGGTCACTTATTGTCCTAACAAGGAACTGGGTTTTCATTGCCCAGAGCTCTTGCTTTTCAAAAGTAATCTCTTAGCTGTTCCATAAGAATATCACTTTTACAAGAGGCATGCGCTCTCCCTCTCCCTCTCCCTCTGCCTCTGCCTCTGCCTCTGCCTCTGCCTCTGCCTCTCCCGCTCCCTCTCCCTCTTCCTCTCCCCACGGTCTCCCTCTGCCTCTCTTTCCACGGTCTCCCTCTCCCTCTCTTTCCACGGTCTCCCTCTGATGCCGAGCCGAAGCTGGACTGTACTGCTGCCATCTCGGCTCACTGCAACCTCCCTGCCTGATTCTCCTGCCTCAGCCTGCCGAGTGCCTGCGATTGCAGGCGCGCGCCACCAGGCCTGACTGGTTTTCGTATTTTTTCGGTGGAGACGGGGTTTCGCTGTGTTGGCCGGGCTGGTCTCCAGCTCCTAACCATGAGTGATCCGCCAGCCTCGGCCTCCCGAGGTGCCGGGATTGCAGAGGGAGTCTCGTTCGCTCAGTGCTCAATGGTGCCCAGGCTGGAGTGCAGTGGCGTGATCTCGGCTCGCTACAACCTCCACCTCCCAGCCGCCTGCCTTGGCCTCCCAAAGAGCCGAGATTGCAGCCTCTGCCCGGCCGCCACCCCGTCTGGGAAGTGAGGAGTGTCTCTGCCTGGCCGCCCATCGTCTGGGATGTGAGGAGCCCCTCTGCCTGGCTGCCCAGTCTGGAAAGTGAGGAGCGTCTCTGCCCGGCCGCCATCCCATCTAGGAGGTGAGGAGCGCCTCTTCCCCGCCGCCATCCCATCTAGGAAGTGAGGAGCGCCTCTGCCCGGCCGCCCATCGTCTGAGATGTGGGGAGCGCCTCTGCCCCGCCGCCCCGTCTGGGATGTGAGGAGCGCCTCTGCCCTGCCGCGACCCCGTCTGGGATGTGAGGAGCGTCTCTTCCCGGCCGCCCCGTCTGAGAAGTGAGGAGCCCCTCCGCCCGGCAGCCGCCCCGTCAGGGAGGGAGGTGGGGGTCAGCCCCCGCCAGGCCAGCCGCCCCATCCGGGAGGGAGGTGGGGGGTCAGCCCCCGCCAGGCCAGCCGCCCCATCCGGGAGGGAGGTGGGGGATCAGCCCCCGCCCAGCCAGCCGCCCCGTCCGGGAGGTGAGGGGCGCCTCTGCCCGGCCGCCCCTTCTGGGAAGTGAGGAGCCCCTCTGCCCGGCCACCACCCCGTCTGGGAGGTGTACCCAACAGCTCATTGAGAACGGGCCATGATGACAATGGCGGTTTTGTGGAATAGAAAAGGGGGAAAGGTGGGGAAAAGATTGAGAAATCAGATGGTTGCTGTGTCTGTGTAGAAAGAAGTAGACATGGGAGACTTTTCATTTTGTTCTGTACCAAGAAAAATTCTTCTGCCTTGGGATCCTGTTGATCTATGACCTTACCCCCAACCCTGTGCTCTCTGAAACATGTGCTGTGTCCACTCAGGGTTAAATGGATTAAGGGCGGTGCAAGATGTGCTTTGTTAAACAGATGCTCGAAGGCAGCATGCTCGTTAAGAGTCATCACCACTCCCTAATCTCAAGTACACAGGGACACAAACACCGTGGAGGGCCGCAGGGTCCTCTGCCTAGGAAAACCAGAGACCTTTGTGCACTTGTTTATCTGCTGACCTTCCCTCCACTATTGTCCTGTGACCCTGCCAAATCCCCCTCTGCGAGAAACACCCAAGAATGATCAATAAAAAAAAAAAAAAAAAAAGATCCAAAAAAAAAGAGACATGCCCACAGTATTACAACCATGGACAACCTCAGTGAAACTCTGGGTTATTAGCTGGAGACCTAAAGGTGGCACCAAAATGAGTATCTACGTTCAACCAAATTAATGACACTCCTCAACCTTTGACCACAGAAGCCCATGAAGTCACTAACCAATGCCATCTGCACTCCAGACACTCACAGTATAATGCATCCGCCCTTGGAGCTAGAGATCCCCACAGCCTGGTCTTGCAGCTCCAAGGCCAGCGGCCCCACGCAGAAGTCCCACCTGACCCTGCCACCAGCCCACAGCCTCTGGTCACCCTTCTATACCATCTGGCTTCAGAGGGCTGAGGGGCAGTTCACTGCCGGCCAGTTCAGCCAGGATTTGTTGGACACAAAAAGAATGGAAATGTGTATTAGAAATGAGCACTATATAAACAGTCAATAAATATAAGATCATGTTACGATCATGACTCTTGTTACACACACCCGCCCCCCCAACCCATGTTCTCGTAACTAGTTCTTGCTCTGGGTTGGGTTACAACTTGGTTTCAATCTCTGTTTACTGATTATGTGACCTTAGCTATGTTGTTTGGCCTCCCTATGCCTCAGTTTCCTAATTTGTAAATTGGAGATGAAAACAGTTCTTGTAGGATTATGAACAGTTCATAAATGCAAAGTGCCTGACACAGAGCAATACATTCACAAGCCACCTTCACACTTTCAGCCTTTGCACTTGCTGTTCCCTCTGCCCCAAAGTCCCTTCCCTCCTCTTGGCCTGGAAAAGTCCTACTTTCTTTCCAGGACCATCCTGGATGCTACCTCTTTTAGGAAATGTTCCCCATCCCCTCCAAGCTGTGACTCCCCACAGCCTGTTCTGTGCTCCACACAATCGTGCTCCCTCCTCTAGGATAGCGTTGGCCACACAGAACACTATTCTCTTACCACAGTTCCCTCACCCTAGCCATGAAGTCCTTGAAGGCAGGATTATGCCATCCATTATTGAACCTCCAGATTACAGTTCCATGCCTGGTATTAAGTAGATGCTCAATAAAGTTTGGCTGGCTTAAGTAATGAATGAGTTATGCTCATAATGAGGGAAAAGCCACAAAAACACAGAACAGTCTGACAGCCATCTAAGGCATAGTGGGGTTAAGCATCCCTTTGAGCAGTGTGAGTGGTGAGCCCTATAGCTGTGATTCTCTCTCCTACTTACGTAATTGGTTTGGGAAGAGACCCAGGAATCTGCTGGTTTGGTTTGGTTTTAGCTTGCCAGGTGATCCTAAGGGGTGGCCAGCTTTGAGAACTATTACTCTACCATCCTGCCCTAACATCAGGTCCTATGAATTCAAAGCAGGGGCAATGCCTCAGCTTACCATAGCTCCCAGGGCCCAGCCACATCACCCGAAGGGTGCTGCTACCTGCAGGAGCTGGTCCTTGGGCTCCAACTTGACAGCTGAGCATCATATGAAAGGTGACAAGGTAAGGAAAGGGAGCTAGACAGACATATGGGGTGAGGACAGGTGAAAGGCTGTGAGGTGAGGAACAGGTCCCCCATCAAGCTGAACCCCCTATCCTTTAGCACCAAAGTCAGCCTTTACTTCCTCCTGAGAAGCCTTTGCCCAGGCACCTCCATGCCCTGAAGGCTCTCTCTTCAGCTCCCCAGTAGCCCCTGCCTGCCTCTCCCCAAGCCTGCCTCTCCTGCAAGCACCCTGCCTGCATCATTCATTCCATTTCCCTTATGCCAGGCACAGTGCTGGGGCACATGGATCATCCACTGGTTGGTGAATGCCAAAGTAAAGTGAAAAGTCTGAATCATACAGAATATTTTTAAAGAAAAGCACTCTAACTGCCTTCCAATGTAAAAAGTTCTCCCAATAAGAGCTAACAGATTAGACCCAGGGAGCCCGCTTTGAGAAAGCAGGAGTGTAATTAGCACACTGTCGATGTATAAACAGCAGCCTCAAAGTAGTTGTGAATAGTTTATTTGCTGGTGTGAATTAGCATTCCCTTGCAATATTATGATAACAATGGCCTACCTTAGTTTCCTTGCACTTCTCCACCTAATCTTATTTATAATCATTAATAGTAAAAAGGAAGCCTGGTTTTCCTGGCTTCAAATCATGCCAGACTCCAAACCAGTGAGGTCTGAATTAATGAGCTTGAACTGTCTGCATTTGCCTCCTAAAGCTGTCTCAGCTCCCTCCACGGGTTTTCCTTCAAGGGCCATCTCTCAGATAACACAGCCTCCTTTCTCTTGGCAAATGCTATGAGTGCCCCCCATTTTCAGATGGGAAAGTGGAGGCACAGAAATGGACAAAATTGTCTGAGTAGCACAGGATTCAAGCCCAGGAGATCTGTCCCAGTGCCTGCATTTGTCCTCAGAGAAGCCCCAGTCCTAGAAAGTCAAACCACAGTTACCAGGGCCTGGAAGAGGAGGCCATGGGGAGTTACTGTTCTCAGCTACAGAGTTTCAATATGCAATGACAAGAAACTTCTGGAGATGAGCGGCGGGGATGGTTGCAAAACAAGGTGACTATACTTAACGCCACTGAATTGTACACTTAAAAATGGTTAGAATGGCAATTTTATGTTCTATATATTTTACCCCAATTTAAGGGGAGTTACACTTGTTTTTTTCTTTTTGTTGTCTTTTGTGTGTGTGTGTGGAGAACGGGGTCTCACTATATTGTCCAGGCAGGTCTCAAATTCCTGGCTCAAGCTATCCTCCTGCCTCTGCCTCCCTAAGAGCTGGGATTACAGGCGCGACCCATGGCGCCCGGCCTTTAGCACAATTTTTAAAGATGGCTCGGGGCAATGGCTCACACTTGTAATCCCAGCATTTTGGGAGGCCAAGGCAGGATGATTGCTTGAGCCCAGGAGTTCAAGACCAGCCTGGGCAACATGGTGAAACCTCATCTCTACAAAAAATTAACAAAATGAGCCAGGTGTGGTGGCATGCACCTGTAGTCTGAGCCACTGCAGAGGCTAAGGCAGGAGGATCGCTTGAGCCCAGGAGGTTGAAGCTGCAGTGAGCTGTGATCATGCCGCTACACTCCAGCCTAGGCAACAAAGTGAGACCCTGTCTCAAAAACAAAACAAACAAAAAGATTCAAACTTCAGTTCTGCTACTAACTGTGTTCTTTTCCACTGGAACACTACTGTTTCTTTATCTATAAAATGAGGACAAGAACTGACTTCTCAGGTTTGTTGTGGGGGTTAAATGAGATGGTGCATCTCACGTACTTAGCACAGCACTTACTATGCAGTAAGAACCCATACGGACAGCGCTATCACTGGCCTTGCTGCTGTTATTTATATTCTTTGCTCCTAACTCCTACATTTTACAGGTAAGGTAAGCAAGACCCGGAGATGTGTGAGGCAGAGCATCCTGCCTAGTGTCCCCTGACCAGTTGATGAAGGGGCAGGTGCTGGCACTGGACCTCCTGCCTCCAACAGCCCCTCTCAGTGGCTAAGCTCCCATGCTGGGTTCTGCTGTGCCGTTGGCAGACACCGTGAGTCATCAGGAAAGGCCTTTGCCCGCACACGCACACTTCTGTTCTCTTCCACTATGGAGCACGTGTTTTAAGGTACACATGCAGGTGAAACCATCAAGGTTTTCTTTTGCCTTGCTCCCCAGTTGACTCGAGAAGCTTTTCCACATGTGACACAAGTAACAGGAGATAATGTGAGCAAACGTGGCTACCCCTCTAAATCCTGTCATCAGAACCACTCAGGGGAACAGAAGGTAGTCTCCAGCCCGGTTGGCCTTTCTTTGTCGAATTCTTTTCTAATTTTTCAAGGGTAGTGAGTAGGGGTGAGAGGGGTGCTTTCTCTTTCCTACTTTCCCAAAATGTCCTCAGCAGCAGCTGCCAGGGGCCCTGTGACAGCACAAAGTGCAGATGGAGTGAAGGTCTCCCACAACTAACTGTCCCCGCCTGCCCTCTCACACCAGCACTCTGTATCCCTACCATGGTTCTCCCCTAGGGCATGACCATTTGATATCTCAGTCCTTCTGGAACCAAAACCCTTTGGATACAGTTTGAACAAAATATATAAAATAATATTGCATCATAACCCAGAGTATAAAATACATATGTAGAAGTCCATACTAAGATAAATACATGAGTGGCCAAATAAATGGGGAAGAGACAATCCTCCCCTGCAGAATTCCAAATTATTTATGTAGATACTTGGTCCTCAAGGAGGTGCAGCATTAACTCCCCAACACTTAGTATGGGCTGTATATAATGACTTCCTTCCAAAGGGTACAATATGGAAAGGGGGAATAAAGACAAACTGCACTAAAGCAACCTGACAAACACTGCCTCCGCCAAGTGATCAAGATCAACATCAGCAGTGAGGTCATGTTAATAGTGTGTACTCTTGATAAATGAGATAAACACAGCACTTTACCTCTGTGGCCTTTCTCCCTAAAACCCATAACCCTAGTCTAATAATGAAGAGAAAAAATCAGACAAATCCCAATTGAGAGATAGTCTACAAAATACCTGACTGGCACCCCTCAAAATTGTCAGGGTCATTAAAAAAAGGAAAGCCTAAGAAACTGTTATGGACTGAACGTCTGTGTCCCCACAAAATGCATATGTTGAAATCCTAACCCTTAATGTCATGGGATTAGGAGGTGGGGCCCCTGAGAGGCCATTAGGTCATGAGGGTGGAGCCCTCATGAATGAGATTAGTGACTTTATAAGAAGAGATACGAGAGCTTGCTTTCACCCTCTGCTCCTCCACCTTGCGAGGCCACAGTGAGAAGACGGCCATCTGCAAGCCTGGAAGCGAGCCCTCCCCAGACGTCTGCTGGCACCTTGATCTTGGACTTTCCAGCCTCCAGAATTGTGAGACATAGATGTGTGTTCTTTAAGTCACCCAGGCTGTCTGAACTAAGATAGAAACTGTCACAGCCAAAAAGGTCTAAGTTAGAGACATGAGTACTAAAAGCAATGTGGTATCTTCGATGGGTCCCTGGAACAGAGAAAGGACCTTCAAGGAAATCTGAATAAAGTATGGACTCCTGTTCACAATAATGTATCCATTCTGGTTGGTTCATTAATTGTGAAGATTGTACTATACTTAAGTTAGATGTTAATAATAGGAGAAAGTGAGTGTGTGGCCTGTACAGAGAAGCCCCAGGTGGGTCAGGGGGCTCTTAGGGCCTGGGTATGCCTAGGGCATAGATACTCTTTCTGTAGTATTGCACACTTTTCCTGTAAATCTAAAATTATTCTAAAATAGAAGTTTATTTAAAAACAAAAACAAAAGCAAAAAACCTCCTTGGATAATACAGAACAGAACCACTTATGTTGCATTATCTCAGAATCACGAACAATGCCAATGGGTCCTTTGTTCACCACTCTTCGAATTATTGGGTTCCTCAGGAGGCCCCAGGGACTGAATGGGCAGGCAGAGCCCACCTCCCTTCCCCTCTCAGCTCCCTTTTCATCTGCTTTATACCCTCAGCTTCTACCTTACTGCTGAAACAAAGCGTTCCTCTACTCTAAAGAGTTGACAACTACCGGTCTAGTCCAACCCCATCATTCAAGGTACAGGAGGAGGCATCCTCAGGGGATTCACCAAGTAAGGGACAGAGCTAGAGCTGGAACCTCATGTGGTGGACACCTGAGGCTGTTCTCCAGGTGTTACCCCAGCTCTCACCTGTGAGCCTGGAGCTCCTTGAGGCAGGAACAGTGCCTGGTTTGTCTGTGTCCATAGAACCCAGAAGAGCACTTGAGACAGGGAGGAGTCCCGTGGGATGAATGAATGACACTGTTCCCACCACGTGACTGTTCCAAAATGCCAGTGCTGTTCAAACCTGGAAAATTCTGCAGACATTTCAGATAAAGGCAAAATAGAGATCTCCTTGGTCTGCATCCATACTTTTAATTAAAATAGACTCTTCTATCTGTCAGTGAGCTTGTGTACTGCAGCCTGGCTTTGGAGGGACATTCATGTATCCATTGTTTCACTTTAAAAGCTTTATGGAGGCCATGCGCAGTGGCTCATGCCTGTAATCTCAGCACTTTGAGAGGCTGAGGTCAGGAGTTTGAGACCAGCCTGGCCAACATAGAGAAACCCCATCTCTACTACAAATACAAAAAAATTAGCCAGGTATGGTGGTGCGTTCCTGTAATCCCAGCTACTCAGGAGGCTGAGGCAAGAGAATTGCTTGAACTCAGGAGGCAGAGGTTGCAGTGAGCCAAGATCATGCCACTGTACTCCAGCCTGGGCAACAGAGTGAGACTCTGTCTCAAAAAAAAAAAAAAAAAAAAAAAAAAAGCTTCATGGAGCACCTCCTACACATTATTAACAATAGCAACAACAATAATTCATACAATAAGCATTCACTAAGCACCCACTATGTGTCAGGCTGAGTTCCAGACATGAGAAATACAACCCTGAGCAAGGCAGACACATTCCCGCCCTCAGACAGCTTACATTCCAGTGCCCTAGCAGAGATCCCTAACTGTTATAGATGCTTCCCATGTGCCAGGCATTGTGCTCAAAGGTTCTCATTTTGCCCTGTGAGGTAGGGATTTTTGGTTCCCTGATTTTTCAGATAGGGAAATAGAGGCCTAATTCCTTGTCCGAAGTTACTCAGTGAGCAAGTAGCTGAGCTGGGATTTGAGCCCAGGCACTCCGAATCAAGAACACATATTCTCAATTGTCATATGAAAGAGTAGTTGTGGGTCAGAGGACCTGGCTAGTGAAGCACACACACTAGGTGTCCTATGTGAAGCGCACACACTAGGTGTACTAGGCTTCAGTGGAAAATGAAGCAGCCCTTTATTACTAGCAACTGGTCATGCATCCAGCATCCCTTCCTCACTGCCCCCCCACCCACACTCATGGCTCTCTGGGAAAAGCTGAGATAAGGAGATAAGCTTTGCCAGGAGGTCTGTGCAAGGGTTTCTTACCCAGCACTCCTGAACCTAAGACGGTGAGAGCCTCAGAGTCGCCCCCGCGTGACTTACCCTCTCGGCCTCAGGCCCAAAGCTGCATCCAGGGTGGGGTGCCTGGCTGGACTAACAGGTGGAGGAGGCACAGAGCCTCTGTTCCTGCCTTTAAGATACAGACACCCACCCACTAGTACGATTTGTTCCAGAGAATATCCTTACTCTGTTCACTCCGACTATCAACATCTCCTCCCGTGGGAGGGGCATGACTAGGAGGGATTAGAGCAGGGGCAACCCCCAGGCACGAAGGGAGGTAGAGTTCTTTCTCATCTTGGAGCAGAGAGGAACTATGGGCAGGGGATGGAAGTATTTTCTTATTGCATTGTGGGCTTACCCCTGTGCTGGGCACAGGTGGTACATGGAGAAGAAGCTGGGATTCCTGTCCTAAAAGGATTCACAAGAGGGTGAAAGAGACCACAGACTTCTACATGAATAATACAGCCCAGTGGGGCTGTATGAGCTGGTTGGGTGATGGTGGAGGCTTCTCAGAGGAGGGTGAAGGCCTTGGTTCCTTCGTCTGAGCCGGGTTTTGAAGAGTGTGTTGAAGTTCTCCACACAGAGAAGAGGGGAAAAGAACCCAGGAATTAGATTCAAGGCCCCGAGCTTAGCAGCCACATGGGGTCGGGGGTTCTCAGGGGATGGGTGAGCCTGGGGCACAGAAAGTTCAGGCAGGAGTGTGAAGAGTGAGGCTGGGAAGACGGGCTGCACGTCAGACTGCAGCAGCCCTCGTGTGTGATACTAGGGAACTCGGCCTTTTTTTTCTTTTGATAAGCAAGGAACTCAAGGATAAGTTTTGAGTTACTTGGTTTTGTCAGGGGAGGGGAGAGTTGTGGCTTGGGGGCTTATACAGTCACACTTTTTATTTAGAAATTTATTCTGACAACTCATCTGAAGAACTCATTGTCATTCAAATAATTATTTGGCACCTACCACATCCCTGACACTAATAAGGGGCTGGAGATACAGTGGCAAACTGAATAGACATGATCCTGGCCATCTTTGAGCTTACAGATAGGCCGAAAAGATGAACATTAAAGAAATATTGAATTCCAGTTATGACAAGTCTATGGAGGAAAAGCCCAGTGGGGGTGAGTACATGTATCAGGGCAATATAGAATCTGCTGGGGATGGCAGAGAAGGTTGTGCTGAACTTATGGCACTGAAGGTGAGTCCCGGAGCCTGAGTAGAAGTGTCTGGTCAGGGAGCAGGAGGAGGGTGTTCCGGATGGAAGGAACAGCATGTGCACAGACCTGGAGCTGGAGAGGAGCGCAGCACAGCAGAAAAACACAAAGGCGGCCCATGCACTCGTAATACAGCAAGCACGGAACAGGGTGGCATGAGATGGGCAAGCCCTCAAAAGCCATCACAAATATTTCAGACTTTATCTTAATATCAGGGTCAAGCCATCAAACAAAGCAAAGTAACAGGATCCCGTTAGAGTTTTATCCCTATTACATGGGAAACTTATTGGAACAAGGCTCCATGAAGGCAGAGGGGTCATTAGGAGGCAGAATCAGCAGGCTTTGGGTATTGTCTTTTTTGAGGTGAAGATGAAAAGGGAGAAGTAATTGGAACGTGATTCTGAGGATTTGAGCTTAGAGAAAGGGACAGATGGCAACTTCGGATCAAGAGGGAGCACACAGGAGAAGGAGCAGATGCTGGCAGGGACCAGGAATGTCTGCACAAGAAGAAATCCTGCAACCTTCACTACCACAGAACTAGAGAGCAAAGATGAGTTTCCAAAGAGGTGGGAGAGGGTCTGGGCTGGAAAAGAGGCCCAGAGAGGCAGTAGGTGGAACGTCCCCTGGCACTCCAAAATTCACTATTTGTACCTCCAAGGGAAGCTGTCAGGGAGGGGACAGGAGCACTCTGAGCCCCTGCCCTGACCCCACAGAGGTGCAAACTTACTTCCTGCTGGCTAGGTAAAGTGGAATCAAAGGCAGAAAAGTTCCCCACTGGCTGACATTTTGGGGAGCTCACAGAAGGGTGAGTTTCTTAAATCCAATCTCAGCACCAATGAGGAGCTGAAACATATTGTACCCATTAGAAAAGAAATGCAAATCAGAAAGTCAGGCATTTGTGTCCATGACAACAGGGGGAACGTATTTTGGCAAATCTGAGTTCATTTATATTCAAATAAATATTTCAGTCTATGACTCTGGCACTTTTTTGCATGAGATATTTCAGAACCATATTGAATGTTGCTCTCATGCTAAAAACTTGAGAATTAAAATGAGGTCCAATTTCAAAGTCTATCAGGCTCCAAGATTTTGAGGTTGGTTTTACCTCCAGGAATGAAAAAGAATGATAAACTAGAGAGTGATTCAGCACATTTGTACAAAGACTTTTTGAACTGGAAAGGCTGGTTCAGTATTATCCCATGCAGCCCCTTCTTTGTAAAAATGGGACAACAGGCTCAAGTGAGGCCAAAGATCACATAGCAAATTAATCTAGAACTCAGGTCTCCGTCAGGCCAATGCTGTTTCCAGCACATCAAGCCCGGTGTTGGAATAGGAAGAACAGCAGGTATAAGAAGACTTTGACACATGATCAGGTTCTTCTCTGTTAAGGTAGGATGTTGTCCTCTAATTATAAAAGCAATCCATGACCTTTGTGGAAAATCTGTACAGTGTGTTACCCAAATCTTCAAAGATATTATCTGTAGTAAACCCTATAATTCCCCATATAATCACCGGTAGCATTTTAACACATTTCCTTCGAGCTTTTTTTGTGCATATGTCTTGTACATAGTTGAAGTCTTAGTAATGCACAATTTTGCATCATAAGCATTTTCCTGAATCATTAAAAACTTTTTCTATGCAAAGAAAAAAGTTAATGGATAAATAATATTCCACTCTATAAAAATACTATAAATTTCCTAAATCATTTATTTAATTCACTGTTGGATATTTAGGTAATATCCAATTTTTTGTCATTTAAATAATATTTTGTTGGATGACTTCATGTTTAAATCTCTATTTACACATCAGATTATTTCCTGGGACTAGATTTCTAGACATGGAATTATTGGGCTAAAAGGTATAAGCATTTTAAAGACTCCTGATGTATACCATGTTGCAGAAAAGGTTATATTGTTGCTAGTGCAAGGTGGAATGCAATCTCACCATGCTCTGACCAACCCATTAAGCACCACGCCAGCCTTCAAGGAGCACACAGCCCAGCAAGGGGTGTGAGGAAAATGGCCTAGATAAACAACCTGCTACCATAATTTAGAGGAGTAAGAAGAGATGCTCACCCTTACACTGGAGAGATATTCCTAATTAGATGCTGACTCTGTTCTCTGGGAGAACTTTCCACTCTCATTACTTTTTGTGGCTCCTGACTTGGCTCTCAGAAGTTTCTCCTTGCTTACTGTCTTCTGTGGCCCCATCTGAAGTGGGTTTTGTAGAATATTCCCTTCTTTAAGGCTCTACAACTTTTGCAGCTGCTTTCTTCCGTGCAAGTTCAGGGACTCAAGAGGTGTTTTAAGACTAACCAGCCAAGTTGCTCTTGAGCTCACCTCCTTCTGGTAACACATTGCAAAAGCAGAAAGTAAAATCCAACTGATACTATTGCTTTGACTCTTTCAAACTGTATGCCCTAATGCAGCAGGCTCAGGAGGCACCTGGTCTGCCTTCCAAGTTGTCACAGGTGAGTTTCACCAAATGGTTTGCCCCTATTTGTCATGGTTTTCCATAAGTCCAGCTCCAAAATCAGTTTCCTTGCTGCCTGCCACCTGACAACCAAGTCAATGTCACATATTTTAGGTTTTTGTAACAGCAGCACCCCACTTCTGGTAACAAGTTCTATATTAGTTAAATTAATACTGGCTGCTGGAGCATAAAACCCCCCAAATCTCAGTGGATTAACGCAGCATAAGGCTTTTTTAAAGTCCCTGAAAGTCCTAAAAGGAGGACTAATCTGACCAGTGGGATGCTCTCCTCCATTAGTGATTATGTTTCTCAGGTTCTTTTTATCTTGTGGCTCTGTCATTTTCACCCCTTAGCATATGAGGTGACCGTGCTCATCTGTATCAAGCTGGGAGAGGGAAAGAGTATGGAAAAGAGAATGTTAGATATTTTTTAATGGCCAGGTCTGGAGTAGCTAACGTCAATTCCACTGACAATCCATCAGCTAGAACTTGACTGCACACACTTAACTGCAAAACCACACTTACCTGCAAAGGAGGAGGAGATGTGTAGTTCATCCTCAAGCCAAGGAGGAAGACAAAATGGCTTTGGATGAACTCATGGCAATGTCCTCGCTACCTTTCACAGTACACTCTACATTTGCATGGTTCATCTCTTTACCTCACCCCATTTCTGCCCCTGTCAACAGAGCCTGTCTTTAACTAGAATGTTGGTATTTTATTCATCAAAGATTTTTTCATTAATTTTAATTTTTAAAAATACTACACTAAGGCCAGGCACAGTGGCTCACGCCTATATTCCCAGCACTTTGGGAGGCTGAGGTGGGTGGATCACAAGGTCAGGAGATCGAGACCATCCTGGCTAACACGGTGAAACCCCATCTCCACTAAAAATACAAAAAATTAGCCGGGCATGGTGGGGGGCACCTGTAGTCCCAGCTACTCGGGAGGCTGAGGCAGGAGAATGGCATGAACCCAGAAGGCAGAGCTTGCAGTGAGCCAAGATCATGCCACTGCACTCCAGCCTGGGCGATGGAGCGAGACTCCGTCTCAAAAACAAAAAACAAACAAACAAAAAAAACCCAGCCTGGGCCAGCTTGTGTAGGAAACACAAAACAAATATCTGCCCTCATGGATTGTACAGCTTAATAATGAGTCAATGGAAAAATATATGTGAAAGACCTTGAGAAAGAATCAAGCCCTCTATACATCTACAGCCAAAGAGGATCCAGGCTGTGGCCTCACTGACCTCTTCAATGTTTGCATTTTTAAATAGGCTGCTTGGTGGAGCAGGGGAGCAAAGGGGCAGGATGTTGGGGGGAGCCCAGGGCGGAGTAGGGTGAGTGGCAACGTCGCTTCATTTTAAGGACAGTAATTCTCCTGGCAACACCCATTAACCTGAAACCCCATCTTGCCTCTTACAAAATACCTGCTAGAAGCTCTTTTCCAAAAGGGCCCACAGTCCTTGCCACAAAACAATTTTAGCACATTTAAACCAGGACTTTGAGTGTGGATTTAAAGTGGTCCTATGACATCATGTGTGGAATATATAGAAACCTTCCATGAGCAGAAGATTTGATTGAGCCTCATTGTTGACAGCACATCTGTCTGGAGCAGCTGCAGGGGCCAGGCACTATTCCGGGCACTGTGGGCAGAAATGGAATGAGGGATGTTGTAGAGGCTCCTGTGAGGCTTACAGTCAAGGTGGGAAGGCAGGATGGGCACATGGAACAGGAACACGCCTTCATTAGTCAGAACTCTGTGCTGCAAGTGACAGATACCCTACTCAACTAGCTTAGGCAAACAGGGGGATGTTGATTATGAGAATGTTGGTGTGTCTCACAAAACCTAAAGAATAACCAAAGCCAAGGACTTGGATGCAGCCAGCTCTCTCTCCCTCTCCTGTCTCTCCTTCTCTTGTGTGACAAGCACGTTCTTTCATCTCCCATAGCCTGGTTTTCTCCTTTCACCCAGGGGAAAACATGGCTGCCAATAGCTTCAGAGCTTGAGGTGTCATGGCCTCAGCTACCCCGGGAGAGAAACAAAGCTGACACCCAAGATTCCTAGGGAAGGTATCGATGGCTCCTTTTGAGACAGGTGCCACCTCTGGAATAATCAACGGTGTCCAAGGGATAGAAGGACAGCACACCAAGGTGGCAGCTCCCATGGTGATTGTATGGATGGGGATGGGAATTTCCTAGAAAAAGATCTGGAGAGATCCACTGAGAACCATACAGGACTCTGCACAATGAGAACCGAGAGAGACATTAACAGGAGGTCAGAGGAAGAAGCAAAGGAACCAGCTCCGTAGGACCTTGTTAGGCAGTGTTAAAGGGGTAGTGCATCCAGGGGCCTATATGAAAGATGACCAACTGTACTTGTGTTTCCTCCCTTCTCATCTCGGGGAAAGTGGGGAGCTGGTGGTGAAAAACAGAGAATGAAGCCCTTAGCAGCCAGCTCCAACCGCTCGCTATGTGCCAGATGCTATGATAAGCCCTTATTTGTATCTCAATTAATCCCCACAGAAAACCTGTGAGGGAAAAAATAAGTATCCCATTTTACAGGTGAGGAAACTGAGGATAGCAGAGATGAAGTAATTTGCCACAGATCACACAGCTGTAGGTGGAAGAGCCAAGCTTTGAACCAGGTGTGTGTGTGACACCATGCCCCATGGCCTGGCTTGGCACCCCTCCACTGCTGCACCCACCCAGATGGCACTGATGGTTTCTAGGTAAAAAGATGCCTCAAGGAACATCTACCGATCCCCTCTAGAACACTGTTTTGAGAAGGTGCATTAGTCTGGGTCCTCTGAGGAACAAATGCCAATCAGAATTAGATGTGCCAAAAAGTTATTAGGGAAGCAATAGTGATAGAAAATGGGGAGGGTGGGCTGGGCACAGTGGCTTACACCTGTAATCCCAGCACATTGGGAGGCCGAGGCAGGTGGATCACTTGAGGTCAGGAGTTTGAGACCAGCCTGGCCAACATGGTGAAACCCATCTCTACTAAAAATAAAAAAGACTAGCCAGGCATGGTGGTGCATGCCTGTAGTCCCAGATACTTGGGAGGCTGAGGCAGGGGAATCACTTGAACCCAGGAGGCAGAGATTGCAGTGAGCCAAGATTGTGCCACTGTACTCCAGCCTGGGTGACAGAGTGAGACTCCGTCTCAAAAAAAAGAAAATGGGAGGGTGCCAAGAGAGGCTGGAATATAGTTTGAACCCCAAATGAAGGAGAAAAAGAAGGAAGGAAGACTTAGTGGAAGCATTCTAGACTGCCGCGGAGTTGTAAGGAAAGTTTGGCAGGCTGTCAGAAAGGTGTCAAACCACAGTTACCCATCAGAAAAGACCCATGTCTCCTAGGAACAAGTTTGCCTTAGTATCGCTGCCAGGCTCTGTTCCCTGGGAACAGCCTACAGAAGCACGGCTTGGAGGCAAGCTCAGGAAGGAGACACTGTGGAAGGATTTGAGAACTCAGCGCCAGGGCTGCTGGTCAACCGTGCTCCGAGCTATTGGAAATCTAAGAGGTGCATTCCTACCACCACCACAGAAAGGCTGCATCATACTAACACCCATTTTTAACCATTATCTGGAAAATATAACTGTTTTATACCCATCATGGGAGATCAATAAGCGATTTAAAAAGCCAATGATAATTCTTTGATTCTTTTTTTTTCTTCCATGATTGAGGAGTGTAATTCTGTTTCCCCAGTTTATCATTAGAAAGTTCCACTATTTTCTTGCCTTTATGTTCCTTATTATGTTCCTACCAAATAATGCTGTTTCTTTCATTTTTGGGGGGGTCTGGGGCCTTCTGATATTTATTTTCTTTCCAAGGCTATATGTACGGTTCTAGATTTGATCCCAGAATGCTAGAAACCCAACATTGTAAGGCTTTAAACGCTGTCTCTGCTGTGGACATCCAAAGCACTTTGGACTTCCTCTACCACAACAACCCTCCCACTTCACTATAATTTCTTGCTTGCATATAATAAACTAAACTCCATGAAGTCAGAGACTGTCACTAATATGTTGCATTTCTAGCTCCCTACCATGTGTCTTGGTTCAATAAATATTTCTAGAATTAATACATCACCCAGTCTAGTCTCTTATATTTTCCATCAAACACATTTGATGATTGGTTGATGGGCTATTTTTACTCAAAGACAATCTAATGATATTTCAACATTTCCAATTGATCAATTTTACTTGAGAATGTATATGATTTTCCCCATTACAAGCAAACTAAACTCTATCTGTACTTTCTGGGCAAGGGCCCCAGGAGCATCTGAGACAGGTATACTCCCTGCCATTCCTTATCCCACCATTACCACCATCAAAACCCCACCATGACTACTACTATGACACCTTTGGACTGAATAAAGGGAGCATCTTCTTTTGTCCCATGGAGAACCTTAAGAGGTTTGCAGATGACAGGTTTTTGAGAAGCGAGCCATGATCAAGGTTGAGACTCAAGAGGCTACATACCCAAAGTCAGTGAGTAGGATGGATAGCAGGGGGAAGGATGAAAGTCTAAAGGCAGGAGACTAGATATGAGACCATGACATGAACAGGTGAGAAGCACAGTCTTACACTCACTAAGTCCCTATGTAGTTTAAAGTCATTCATTTCAATGTCCTGTCTCACATCATGATCAAACCTCTAAATCTAATTTAAAATGCAGGTTTTCCACTGTGTCACCCCAGGATGTTGCAGGTAGGAAGCCTGCAGTCAGAGAAGAGGGACATGGTAGATCTCTTCTTTTTCCTCACCTATGACTCTCCTCCTCTCCTAATTGCCAGCCACCTTTCTGACCTCTCCAGGGATAAAGTGAAAAGAAGAGAATGAAGTAAGGGAGCCAGAATGTTCTGTTTTGACTGGTACATGGAGATCCAGCACTGCTATTCTCTAACATAGCAGATATTTAAAGCTGACTTCTTTCCTTTCTCTCGTGGGCTCTTTGGAGACACCACTGTCCCTGCAGTTCTCCTGAGTAGGGCAGAGGTATCTCTGCTTAAGACAGTCATTTGCCCTTCCTCAGTTGCAAGGCATTGGGTGACACCTCCAGCTTCTCTCTATTGAGGTTCTTTTGCCTCTCCAGGTGGCTCTCCTGGACAAGACGTTACACTGGCTTTCTCTCTCTTGCATATTCTCAGTAAACCCTCTTGCATTCTTTTGCCTTTTTTATCCCAAAAGATGGGAGTGCAGGGTCTCCAAACACAGCAATTTCTGCTAGGCTCCCACAGGCTGCCTCAGTCACTCTCTTGCCCTTTAGGTTTTTCAGATGTCCTCCAACTAGAGGGGATGTATGTGAAGCTTTCCACATGACCTGAGAGAGCCCTTTCTCAAGGCTTGAGGCAAGAGGCGTGTATCTCCCATCCCTCCCCTTAGGGCCCACAGCATAACAGCCTCCCTTTCCAAAGCTCCTGTCCCTGAGGAGGACCTCTCCTTGTGGTACCCTCATTTGGTTTAAGATTAAAAGGCAGCAGGTTCCACCCCTCCAGGGAAATTGGGATTGCATCCATAGCACAGTTTTCTCGGAAGAAGTCATTTCCCCAAACCCTCCCCAGATCTTTGATTCCTCTCCTTTTCGTACCCTTAATGTGAGTGAGGAGTTCAAGAGTTGTCAATCATCACCTTTGAAAACCTGTCCCATGGTCTAACTCTGCATTCTCCAATACAGTAACCACTAGTCCCATGTGGCTATTGAGCAATTGAAATGTGGCCAGTCAGGGCTGGGTGTGGTGGCTCACGTCTGTAATCCCAGCACTCTGGGAGGCTGAGGGGGCAGATCATGAGGTCAAGGGATGGAGACCATCCTGGCCAACATGGCAAAACCCCGTCTCTACTAAAAATACAAAAATTAGCCAGATGTGGTGGCACACGCCTGTAGTCCCAGCTACTTGGGAGGCTGAGGCAGGAGAATTGCTTTAACCTGAGAGGTGGAGGTTGCAGTGAGCCGAGATTGTGCCACTGCACTCCAGCCTGGTGACAGGGCAAGACTCCATCTCAAAAAAAAAAAGAAAAAGAAAAAGAAAGAAATGTGACCAGTTGGAACTGAGATGGCTTATAGGTATAAAATACACAATGGCTTCTGAAGAGTAAGTACAAAAGAAGAATGTAAAATAAATAACTCTCTAATAATTTTTAAATGATTATGTGTTGAAATTATAGTATTTTGGAAATACTGGGTTAAAATATATTATTAAAACTAATTTTCCTTTTTTTACTTTTAAAAAAATGGCTACTGGAAAATTTAAAATATATGGAGCTCTTAGAAATGACACAAAAAACATGATCCACATAACCAAAGAAAAAATTGGTAAATTGGACTTCAAAATCTATAAAACTTTTGCTGTGCCAAAGACACTAAGAAGATCATTAAGAGGCAAGCTATAGACAGGAAAATATTTTCAAACCACGTGTCTGACATAGGATTTGTATCCAGAATGTATAAAGAACTCTCAAAATGCAATAATAAGAAACAGGTAAAGGACTTGAACAGATACTTCAACAAAGAGGATAAGAGAGGTCAAGTAAACACATAAGAAGATGTTCAACATCAATAGTCATTAGGGGTATGCAAAATAAAACCATGATGAGATAATACTACATACCTGTAGAATGGCTAAAATAAAAAATATTAACAATACCAAGTGCTGGTGAGGATGAGGAACATTTGGAAGGCTCATAAATTTCTGCTGGGAATGCAAAATGGCACAGCCATTATGGAAAGCGATTTGACAGTTTCTTATGAAGTTAAATATACACATACCATCTATACCAGCAACCCTACCCTTGGGCATTTACCCTAGAGAAGTGAAAACTTATGTTGACACAAAAACCTGTACCCAAATGTTCATAGCAGCTTTTTCTGTGCTAGCCAAAAGCTGGAAACAACTCAAATGCCCTTCATTGGGTAAATGGATAAACAAACTGTGGTACATCCACACCACAGAAAACTACTCAGCAGTAAAAAAGGAAAGAATTATTGATTAAACTCAACTGCTTGGCTGAATCTTAAAGACATTATGCTGAATGAAAGAAAAGCCAATTGCAAAAGGTTACATACTGCGTGCTTCCATTTACTTGACATTCTTAAGAAGACCAAACTCTGATGGTGGAAATCAGATGAGTGTTGCTAGAGATGAGTGGTTGGAGTAAGGTGGAATGCCAAATGGATAGTTCAGAGAAAAAGTTTTGGGGTGATGGAACTGTTCTGTACTCTGTGGTCATAGTTACACAGATTTATTACATGTGTTAAAATTCATAGAACTGAACACTCAAAGATAGAAAAGTTAATTTTGCTGTATAGTTTTTTTTGTTTATTTATTCATTATTATTATACTTAAAGTTTTAGGGTACATGTGTACAATGTGCAGGTTAGTTACATATGTATACATGTGCCATGCTGGTGCGCTGCACCCACTAACTCGTCATCTAGCATTAGGTATATCTCCCAATGCTATCCCTCCCCCCTCCCCCGACCCCACAACAGTCCCCAGAGTGTGATGTTCCCCTTCCTGTGTCCATGTGTTCTCATTGTTCAATTCCCACCTATGAGTGAGAATATGCGGTGTTTGGTTTTTTTGTTCTTGTGATAGTTTACTGAGAATGATGATTTCCAATTTCATCCATGTCCCTACAAAGGACATGAACTCATCATTTTTTATGGCTGCATAGTATTCCATGGCGTATATGTGCCACATTTTCTTAATCCAGTCTATCACTGTTGGACATTTGGGTTGGTTCCAAGTCTTTGCTATTGTGAATAATGCCACAATAAACATACGTGTGCATGTGAAACTACCATGAGAGTGAACAGGCAACCTACAAAATGCGAGAAAATTTTCACAACCTACTCATCTGACAAAGGGCTAATATCCAGACTCTACAATGAACTCAAACAAATTTACAAGAAAAAAACAAACAACCCCATCAAAAAGTGGGCGAAGGACATGAACAGACACTTCTCAAAAGAAGACATTTATGCAGCCAAAAAACACATGAAAAAATGCTCACCATCACTGGCCATCAGAGAAATGCAAATCAAAACCACAATGAGATACCATCTCACACCAGTTAGAATGGCAATCATTAAAAAGTCAGGAAACAACAGGTGCTGGAGAGGATGTGGAGAAATAGGAACACTTTTACACTGTTGGTGGGACTGTAAACTAGTTCAACCATTGTGGAAGTCAGTGTGGCGATTCCTCAGGGATCTAGAACTAGAAATACCATTTGACCCAGCCATCCCATTACTGGGTATATACCCAAAGGACTATAAATCATACTGCTATAAAGACACATGCACATGTATGTTTACTGCTGTATAATTTTTTAAATTTTATTTTGTAAATTTTTCAAATTTCATTTGCGGCTAGTATTATATACCTATCGGACCATGCTGGTCTAGCTCCATTTTTAGAATGTCCTGTTTGCTTGACTTAAATCCGAGCAGGAACTTTCATCCTGACACCTGCTCCCCTTCTATCTCTGCACTTTTCACAATGGCAATATAATTTCTTGTTGAGTTGTCCATCCCCAGTACTGGACTGTGGGCACTCTGTGGACAGGAATATGTTCTGTCTTATCTCTGTGCTCAGTCAGTGAGACAGAATAGGGCTTAGTCATATTTGTTGAATGAATCAATGAATCAATCAATCAACAGAATACACGTTTGAACATTTGGAAAAGTAAGATAAAATATTAAATGTGCTGCTTTTTGAACCCCTCTCATCCTCATCCTGATGAGGGTGAGATCACAGGGTCCCAGGCTTGGCCCAGGATCCTTAAGAGCTGAGGCTGGGGGTGAGAGTGGGCCTGCCCAGCCTTCAGCCATAGGGCACAGGGGAAAGGGGAATCCATGTCCAAGTCCAAGGCAAAGGCAGCCAGAAAGCTCACCAACGAGGTGCAAGAGAAGCTGTAATGGAACCTGGAGCCATGGAGGAGCCAGTGAGAGGAGGCAAGATGGTCACACAGCACTGGAAGGCAGGGTCTGGGAGCGAAACCTTCAGGGAGGGAAGGGGTCTTTAGTCCACATCATCAGCCAGCATTACTAATCCCACCGTTTATTATTCTTTGGGAGGTTGATATACCAAAGCAAATGGGGGAAATGTAATGTGTGCTGTCACAGATACAAAGTGGCCATGTTTTCAGCCTGGCACATTTTCCAAGGCAAATGAAAATTGTTATGAAAACAATTTATACCCAGCAGACATGGATGATTGCCCATGATGACCTTTTGCCAGAGAAAATGAGTATGATAAAGAAAAAATGTGAGCTCATTAGGATAAATTAGAAAAAGCAAATGATTGCTCTTAAATTATGGAAATTCCAAGACTGGTGACTCTCTCTGTCCTTTTAGGACATAAAAACAATAAAACATAAAAAGAAATTGTTTATTCAGAAAAAAAGTGTTATAGAATTTGTGTGAATAGATGCAGTTTTGTTTCTTGGGAGGTTTTAGAATAGAGGTTTTTAGTAAACTAAATGAAATTTAATTGACTTATTAACTGTGCTGTGAATTCCTCCATAAATCTAGTAACAACTAAAGGAAGAAGGAAAAAGCATTGAGAGGGGGCAAAATTAACTTCACTTTCTATAAATGCTATCAAGGAATATTTCCACCACTGCAACATGATAGAATTTGGGGCATAATGTTGGTGCTTCCACTAAAAAAAAATAATAAAAGGGATTTGCAGAGTTGCAGATGTAAGGTGAGGGAACAGAGGGGTAAAGACATCACTCAGGAAAGCTATAACATCCTCCTACTTCCCTGATAGTCACCCACAGGCATATAGAGCTTTACAGTTTCTAAAACTGCATTTTCATATACATGATCTCCTCTATTCTCACAGCAACCCCTTTTATTCATGTATGCCCTCATTGCACAAGTGAGGAAAGTGAGATTGGGCAAAATTAAGTGGTTCATCAGGTAGTAAAAGCTACAGGCAGGATGAGAATCCAAGACTATCCATGCTCTCCCAAGCAATCTTTTGCCCCCACTCTATCTTAGGTACCCTTGATGCATCAGAACTAGAGTTACAGGATTCATGTATTTCTCTGCAGGAAAAAGCAGGTGGGCGGCAAGGGACAGAAGGAGGGGAGGAAAAGAAGCCTTTTCCATTCAAATCCATCAGGGCTCTTAAAACAGTACTCAGCAAAGAAATATGTATTGGAAAGGATGGCCTAACTCCCACATCAGACAACTCCAAAATCTCAGTGTTTAAATACCAGGAAGGTTTATTTCTCTTTCATGATAGTGTTCAGTGCAGATCTGTGGGTGGGACTCTGCTCCATGCAATCATTCAGGGACTCAAGCTCCTTTCATCTAGTTACTCCATCGTCTCTTAGGGACTCAGAGTCCTCCACTCGATTGCTGAAATAGCCAGAAAACAAGGGAGAAGGGGAACATAAAGGGTCTCTTGAGGGGCCAAGCCCAGAAGAGGTAGAGTCACTTCTGCCCATGTTCATCAGCATGAGTCACATGGTCCTACATGCCAGGGAAATATAGGGTGTCATGGAAGGAGGGGAAAACGCTGATGCTGATGCTGATGGAGAATTCGAAGTCTTGCCATAAATTTTTTAAGTGCTTCTTTGAGTATGAATTATTTTCCCAAGTGCCTTGGAAGAATATTTCTGTGAGCCCCTAGCCAGCCCCCCATACCTGTGGTTATTCCCCAAGTGGGACCACCTGACTACACAGGGCTAGACATAGAACTTTTATTTTTTCAAGTTAGAGGAAGTGGACCTTTCAGGCTTATAGAGCAAAATCTCTCTATATATTTTCTTCCAACATAGCTGAGTAAAAGGGCAAACAGAAATTTGAAAGCAATGATTGCTTCCTTTGTCGGGGAGAAGGATACCCACTGAGTTGGGAACATATATGAATTCTGATTTGCAATCATTTCCACTATTTATGAGGTCACTGGACTTACTCCTGCTGAGTCCAATTTACAAAGAGCTTTGGTTGGATCAGGGAAAGGAATATTAGAATCCTGTTGACTTGGTGATGGCCAGAGTACTATGGATACCAAATGCAAGAAAAGTATCAATAAACTTCAAGGAAGCAAAATCCTCAACATCAGCTCTGACATGCCACATCCAAAAGTGTACAAAGATATACGTTTCCAGGGAAACTATTGATGTTGGGTGCACCAACATTGCTATTTGACTACACACCCCAGAAGCAAGTGGGGGGATTTTCCAAATAAAAAACTTGTTAGAAAAACATCCAAAATGCCTAAGATAAGCAAAAGAGTTTTCCTTACATCATCAGCATATTCCACTCCCAAGGCAATTGTAGGATGCTGATGCTGTCTGATCATTGGTGTCTCTGCTTCTTACCCCTCTCTCAAGTTCTAACCCAAAATATCCAACATTCTCCTAAATGTCCCATAGGCACATCTATTTCAGCATATTCACATCCGAACTCATCCTCACCAACCCAGCCCCATCCCCCATGGCTGCTCCATCACCTTCCTCACCCTCTCAATAAACGATGCCACCACCACATGATCACCTGAGCCACTGACCTAAGAATGAAAAATGCCTTCCTCTCCTTCAACACTGCTCCAGTCAAGTTCAGCCAATTCCACCTCCTACATGTGTCTCAAATCTGTTCTCTCTTCTCTATCCCCACTGCCACAGTCTTCCTGGGTGAGAGTACTCTCTCCAAGCTGGATTTTCTAACGGGAAACTGCCATTCCACCCCACCCACCCTACTGCTCAGCAGCAACCACTCAGTGTGTTAGTAAGGCTGCTTCTCATTCTGTCCTCTGAAGCCTCACAGGTACAATCTCCCAGTCATTCTTCCCTAAGTCCACTCATCCTGTGCTTTTGCAACAGCAGGTGACTTGCAGTTCTCCTTTCTCCTGACTTTGATAGTTGCTATTGTCTCTGCTTCAAATGCTGCCCCATTTCCCCACCCTTCCTCTATGTAGCTAACACCCACCTGTCCTTCGGTACTGAGGTCAGCTCACTTGGAAGCCTCGCTTGACCCCCCAGACTCATGTACAACCTGCTCTTCTGAAGCTCGTCAGTTCTGTGCTTGCCTCTATGATAGCTCTTGGGATGCATGGGGTCACCAGTGACCTTCTTCCTTCCCACCACCCTCCCCATACCATAATCTGTTAGCTCCTTGAAGCCAGAGACACTGTTGTCTCAGCTCTCTGGTCACCAGCACAATGTCTAGGAAAAAAGGAGTCACTCGGTAAATGCTTAGTTGCTGAAGGAGCACATGAATTTGTAAATAAATTACGTAGAAGCATAAAACCCTGTTCAAATGGATTCATCCATCATGTGAGAAGGGAGGGTGAGAAGTCAATCTTGAGGCATGGACCTCTCAGATGAATCAAACAATCGGGACAATTCAGAGTCACCACGTGCCCAAGAGATGTGGATTATCAGAGAAATAAAACATAGTCACTCAGTGCACAAACCAAACACTCAGTCACGCTTCGAGTACAACGCTTTGAAAAAGATTCTGTGAAAATACAAAGCAGATGTTGTCACTGGTGCCATAGTCAAACAGGATAAACCCGGAGGGGAAAACAAAATCCTTTGTGGAAACGTCTCTTGTAGTTGGGTTTGCTTAATACCAAGGATCAGAGACTCACACAAACTGGGGTGAATAAAAAGGTGATGTGCGGTTTGTTTGTTTGTTTGTTTGTTGTTATTGTTTCTAATGATGACAAAGTAAGGATATGCAAAAACGAGAAACACAGCTCTGGACAGAGGCCACATAGATGCAGAAGCAGCTCTGCCGCTTTCCAGCTGTGACACCAAGTGAGCCTTGTGTCCTCTAGTCTACAGTGGGGTGAGACTAGAACCTACCATAGTGTTGTCATGAGCATGATAGAAGATTATGCAGGTAAAGGCTTAGCATGTTTGTGGCACATAAATTTTATTTTTATTCAAGAGAATGTTCTAGAACTCTCTCGGAGGAAAGACAGTGAGGACTCCCAGGAGCTGGTATCTCTCCATCTCACCTTGTTGGCAGCTCTGCGCCATTTACCTCCCTGCCCAAGCTGGCTCCTTCTATTCACAGTGTCTGCTCCCTCACATGTCAGCTTGTTCAGGGCTCTGACCCTCCTAGGTTTCCCAGCTCAGCAGCCCAGGCAGGTTCATTCTCCCTGAGCATGAATACTTTATTCCTGGGAGAAAGACAATGCTTGAAACAGCTAGAGATCAAGTGTACATACCAGGGCCAACCAGCTGTGGCCGAGGGAGAGGAAGAAGAAGGAGAGGTGAAAGAACTCTTCTTATCTCTCATTACCATAAGTTTTAGGTTATCTTTCATTGCCATGAGTTTTAGGATCAAACAAGCCTGGGTTTGAATGCCAACCCCACCATTTATTAACTGGGTGAGCTTGGGCACACTATTTAACTTCTTTGAGTCTTCAAGTCCTATTGTTAAGTGAAGATAATCCTGTATCTTTTCACTTGTAGCATTCTAAAATTGGGATGTGTCTTACAATTGATGCATGTATTTAATGTGATAGTGTCCCCCACCTCCCAAAAAATTAATAAACGCATGGTGTGTCTTAGAATCAAGGAATTATATAACCAAGACCAGCTGCATAGGATGATGATGCAGACTGTATGAGCCGATGCAAGTAAATGCTTAACAAAGTGTCTGGCATATAGAGAAATCTCAGTGAAAGACCTCCATGTTATTACACACAGGGCACTAAGACCCTCTCCTAGTAAGCAGAAGCCTGAGTAGAAGAGGCTACTTTTGCAAGTGTATGTGTCCAGGAAGGTGGTGACTGGCATCTCTAACACAGTATCAACCAGGAAGAAATCCAGTAGCTTGAGAATTAGCTAAGAAGTAACTACGAATTCATGTATAAAGCCTGCTGGAAGCAGGATGTGCTAAGAACACTGGGGCTAACAGAGCAGTGCTGGAAACTAGCCTAAAGAGAACTTGACTCATTGTGTGACCTTGGATAAGTGCCTTGGTTGTTCATGTGCTTCAAGAGCTGGGATAAGAAAGCTAAAGTAGGCTGGGCACGATGGCTCACACCTGTAATTCCAGCACTTCGGGAGGCCACTGCAGGCAAATCAGGATTTCGAGACCAGCCTGGCCAAAATGGCAAAACCCTGTCTCTACTAAAAAAAATACAAAAATTAGCTGGGTGTGGTGGCACACACCTGTAGTCCTAACCACTCGGGAGGCTGAGGAATGAGAATCGCTTGAACTGGAAGGCAGAGGTTGCAGTAAGCTAAGATCGCACCACTACACTCCAGCCTGGGTGATGGAGTGAGACTTTGTCTCAAAAAACAATAAAAGGAAAGCTAAAGTAACATTACCTACAATGGCAAATGCTGATATGAAAATGTGTTCATTTTTGGCACTGCTTATTTTGATAAATGCAGCTGGACCAATGAACAGTGAGCAATATTGGGAATGTGCGAGCCAACAGGTTCCCCTAGAAGCAGGCCCAGGAAAGAAATGTGAGTGCATGTGGTTTATCTGGGAGACGAAGGAAACACTGGCAGACAACTGGGGAAAATAGAGCAGGTGCATTATTGTGCCAGTTGCAGCAGGCAACAGAGCCTCCTTCCACTAAGGAAACTCAGTGGTCAAAGCAGACGTGTACCCAGAGTTATCCCATCCCCAGCGAGCAAGGAGATGGGGGCATTTATTTAGTATTTCCATTCTTTGACATAACCATATCTCTTCAAGCTCAATATGTTAGTCTAGGTCCAATCAGGAAAGAAAAAACACACAGTAATTTGAACAGAGAAAGCTTAATATGAGAATTAGTAACCATAACAGGATTTGTTAAGGATAAGTAAAAATATAACAGGATTAGCAAAAGATAAGTAAAAAGAACTCTAAAGAACACAGGAATAGCACAAATAAGGATCAGCCACTACTTCCCCAAGGGCTGAGATAGAGCATCTAAAGAAGAGCTCCCAACCCTCGTGCTGAGATCCAGACCTTGTTGGGGAGGGTCTAGGTGGGTTCCATGCAGAGGCAGAAGGAATGGGCTGCTTTCCAACTCTGTGCTATGTTTTGGACCTAGAACTTCAAAGTGCATAACAATAATTTTCTTAAAATTGTGTTCATGATTATCTTGCCATGGAACACAAAAAGAGAAAAGTGAATACTGGGCTTGTTCATGTGCTCCAAGAGCTGGGATAAGAAGGCTCAAGTAACTTTACCCACAATGGCAAATGCTGATATGAAAGCATGTTCATTTCTGGCATTGCTATACTTTGATGTACTAAGATAAATGCAGCTGGACCAATGAGCGGTAAGCTCTCACTTCTGCTAAAGCAACATTGGGAGTGTGTGAGCCAATAGGAGATAAACCTCCCCTTTTAATGTAGCCATGTTGGAAGAGGTGACCCTTGAGGAACCAGTGCCCACGTCTGACTTCAAGAGCAAGGGAATACTTCAAATGAAATGAGACCTGGACATAGGCCAGAACATAGGATGCATGAGTGGCCTGCTCATTTAGGTGACATTTTAAGACTCAATTCAATTGATCAGTATTAAGAGTAAGTCATCTCCCTTTGCCTCACATTTCCGACTCAGCTCAGAAGGGGACTCATCTAGCAACACTCCACCTCCTCTCTACATCCCTGCACTTAATTCTCTTGATGTGGCAGAGATGGTTGTCCTGACTGCCAAGCCTAGACATTCACTGGACCACATTTTATTAGTGGGGACAGTTTCTACATTTAATGGCAAGAAGTAGGACATCCTCTTCCCCTTGCACAGTGGGCTCTTTTCTGCTTCCTGGGCAGGAGAAGCTCTTCTCTAAGCTCTCTCTATTCTACCCATGACTGAGGGAATGAAGCAGAGTCCTCATGATCCCTGTTGGCTGCAGAAATAGAGGGGCGGGGGGATCCTGCTTTATGCTCTACCACGTAGGTCTGTTTGTTCCTAAGGCTCAGTCACGTGTCTCTTTTTTGGATTTCAAAAAACATCTCAATGTCCATATGATAAACCCTCATTGTTTGCTAGCCCCAACAGAGTTCATGAGACTTGCATTGGTCCTAATTAACATAAAGAAAACAAGAAATGAGCAACCTCAGCACAAACAGACCAATGATAAGAAGACCCTGCTTCTGATAAAAGAAAAAGGAGCTGGGGATGGGGCAGGGCAGCTCACTGGGGTCGTCCAGCAGGTCTGAGCAATCATATGGCCTTTTATCTTTCAGAGTTCCAGTCACAACCAGAGCCCGCTGGGATGCATATCTTACTTGGCTGGGGAACACTTCGAGACCTGCCTGAATTCTTGGCTCCCTGAATTAACAAATTCCTGAAGTCAGATGCCAAAAAGTAATTTAGCTGTGGTCCAAAAGCAGCCACCTTCATCTCAGAGGAAGGAAGCCTGCTCTTGAAAGTAGCTTCCCTAAGCTCAGGAATGGAAACTGGAAGGACAGGATATCAGCCCTGTCTTCCCATCACACCCCAGATAAACAGGCCTCTGCCCCAAGATGGTGCAGTTATGTTGCTTAATTCCATCAGCCCATTGGGCAGGTTGGGATGAGACGTTTCTCAGCTGCCCTATTCCTCTTGCTAACTCTGAGGGAGGCTGCCTGTTAGCTCTCCCTCTAACTCTTCCTGCCCTAAAGGCACATGCTCACCCCCTGCACCATCCTGGTGTCCCTCTGCACTACACTCACCTTCTTCAGCATAAAAATGAAACCCCCCAAACTAGTTAATGTCCACTCAGCCTTCATGTTGAAAGTGACTTCCTGGTGAAGCTCTCTCTGACTCTCCCAACCTACACGGTTTCCCATCACATGTTCTCGTGGCTCCCTTTGCCTCTATTCTACAGCCAGTCACCACCTGTGATTGAATATTTGGGTGGATGACTGATGCCCACCTACCCCTCTGGACTGTTAGCTTCATAGTGACAGAGACGCGTCTGTTTTGCTCACTACTTATTTCACATACCTGAATTCAGGAGGCATGCACTTCGGCCCATTTGGGCTACTATAACAAAATACATTAGACTGGGTAATCTGTAAACAACAGAAATGTATTGCTCACAGTTTCAGGGGTTAGAAAGCCCAAGATCAAGGCGTCAACAGATTTGCTGTCTGGTGAAGGCCTGTTCCCCTGTTCCTCATAGACAGCAACTTCTATGTGTTCTCACATGGCAGAAGAGCAAAAAGGGGCTAGCAAGCTCCCTTAGGCCTCTTTTATAAGGGCACTAATCCCATTCATGAAGTCAAAGCCTTCATGGCCTTATCTCCTCCCAAAGGCCCCACCTTTCCATACTATTGCATTAAAAATTAGGTTTCAACATACAGATTTTGGGAGGATGCAAACACTCAGACCATAGCAGCATGTCATGGATAGTTGAGGCCAGGTGTAGTGGCTCACACCTGTAATCGCAGCGCTTTTCCAGGCCAAAGTCGGCAGAACACTTGAAGTCAGGTGTTCGAGACCAGCCTGGCCAACATGGTGAAACCCCATCCCTACTAAAAATACAGAAATTAACCAGGCATGGTGGCACATGCCTGTAGTCTCAGCTACTTGAGAGGCTGAGGCATGAGAATCGCTTGAACCCAGGAGGCGGAGGTTGCAGTGAGCCAAGATCGCACCACTGCACTCCAGCCTGGATGACAGAGCGAGACTCTGTGTCAATAAATAAATAAATAAATAAATAGTTGAATATATGCAGAGTAGTTAAAGCTCTGCAATCAGACTGGCTGGGCTTGGACCCAGATCCGGGGGGGGGAAAATGTGGAATAATAATGGTTGGAAGGACTAAATGAAAGCATTTACAATAGCACTCAACACACAGTCGGTACTCAATAAATGTTTGTGAATATTAGTATTGTTGCCATTAGTCCTGTCCGTGTTGGCAGGATGGGTGAGGAGCATATGTAGACGCTGTTCAGTTGGGGTCACTGATGTATGTGTGTGTACTGGGGTGTTGGAACGTGGACACTGCCTCCATGAGTGCCATTCAAACAGAAGGCATGGAAAGGCACAGGCTCATATTTTGGAGAAAGGTCAGTTTATCAATCTTGCAGCTGGCCAGAGCATGTTCTCTCCAGGGCATGCTGACTTTGGAATTGCCTCTCATTGATATTTCATGGCCAGATAAGTGGCTGGGGATGAATTGCATCATGAGAATGTTGTCATCAAATTGTCACCTTAAGGTAAGCCATGTTGGGAACAACGGGGTGAGAATACTTAAATGGATGTCTCTATGCCACCTGTGATCCTAGGTCAAAGTGAGAGAATGATGCCCATCAGTGAGGGCCACAGTGGTTTCCAAATGTGTTACAGTAACAGAGACCTTTTACCAGAAGAGCATCCTACAGAAGACCCAGGACATAAAACCAAAGGAGTGGAATAGCTTTGGTTGAACCAGGTGCTCAGGGCCTCATCTCTCAGCCCCACTCCCAGCCCTCAGGGTTCAACTGGACACTTCCAACACTGGAAGTGAAAATTCATGTTTGACTTCCTTTCCATAGGACACGAGAGGGTGTCCTGTCAGCAGTGAGCTTCAAAACTCTCTGGAAAGGGACATGGTCCCTGCTGAGTGCACCTCTCATCCTCCCACAGCTTCTCTCTTCTCCTGTACGAGGCCCCGGGTGCTTCTCCACCCACCAGAGCTGATCTGGGGCTGTCCTGGGCTTTGGTAGAGATGGAGCCACATCCACAGTGGCCAGGCCAATTACTGCTTTGTTGCGTGTGACCTGTGCCGTCACACAGGGCCTGGCTCTTAGAAGGGCTTATTCTTAGTTTAATGCTCTGCTGTCATTGTCGTGAAATTCATACTGATTTTTAAACAAGGACTTCCACATTTTTATTTTGCTCTGAGCCCTGCTAATAATGTGGCTAGCCCAGACACTTTGTAGGCATGGTCTTTCCCTCTGAGCTTTTACCTTTCAAGCTGATTTGGGGAGCTGGGGATGGGGCAGGGGCAGCTCACTGGGGTCATCCAACAGGTCTGAGCAATCATATGGCCTAAAGCAGACTCGTGGGCCTTGAAGACAGACAGATACTGTTCTTGGTTCCTAGGCCACCTACCAGCTATGTGAACACAGGCAAGTGACTTTTCCTCTCTCAGTCTTAGTTTTCTCATCGGTCAAATGGAGACAACATTCCCCTCTCCCCACACTGCTGTGGGATCCATTGGGATACCAGATGGCTCCCAGTGTTTTTGCCACCACTGATTTCCTCTCCCTGTGCCTCATCCTCAAAGGTTTCCTTTAGAGATTCCTGGTGCCATCTATCACACTAGCCACTGCTCCAGGCTCTGCTTACCAATGTGCAGACATACTAGGCTAAGCACACAAGCACAGGAGAGGAGGCTGCTTTCAGAAAGGCTTCCCTTCCAGCGGCTTCTTCCTGCTGGCCAGCCCATCCACCACAAGATCAGAGTGACCTTTCAAAATCATGATGAATTTCCAGCTTCCTCCAGGGTTAAGGCTAAAGTCCTTGAGCACAGTATTCCAGTCTTATCAAGTTGAGCCTCACTTTCCTCTCCAACCTCATCTCCCTCCTATCGTCACCAGCACACAGCCTAGTGAACTTCTCAGGAAACATAACTCATTTTTTTCATACCCCCAGACTTTTGTTCATGCTGGTACTTTTCCTAAGACGCTCTCCCTGCAACTCTATCCTCAAAAACATTCTCCTTGAAGATGCAACCCCTCTCTGAAACACTTCCTGCTTCTCCCTCCACTGCCCACTTTGTCCACTGTGCTCCCAGGGGGTCTTGCACTCCCCTCACTAGTAGCACTAGTCATCATGAGTCTTAAAGGACTGTTTATGTATCTATTACCATGGAAACATGGTTCAGGGCATGGGCTCTGGAGACAAACTACCAAGATTCAAATCCCGGCTCCCCCAGTTCCCAGCTACATGACTTCAGCAAGTTCCCTAACCAATCCATGCTTTGATTTCCTCATCTGCACTATGGGGATGGTAAGAGCACCCACTTCCTAGGGTTGCTGTGGAGAGTGGATGAGTTCATAAACTCACAAGCACTCAGTAAATTTCAGTTATGGTGATTATCCCTCAATCAACATCCACACACCTCCAACTACATGCAGTCACTGTGCAAGAAGCTGGGGATAGGGGATACAGTGGGAGACAAGACATACATCATCGCTGCCCCCACTGAGTTCCCTGTCTTATAGTTGTGACAGTTTTCAAACAAATGGCCACAGATTCTTTGAATTATTCCCATTGAGAGGTGGGAGCAATGTCCCTCTCCTTGAATCTGGGAGGTCCTGGGAGTGCTTCAACCAATAGAGTATCATAAGAGTGTTGCTATATAACTTCCAAGACTAGGTCATCAAAGGTCACACAGCTTCTGCCTGGTTCTCTTCATAAGCTCCTCCTGCACCATCCACCATGGGAGAAGTCCAACCACTTGGAGACCATCATGCTGGAGAGGCCATGCATCAGGGCTCCGCTAAACATCCCTGGCTGTGTTCCCAGCTGATAGCCAGCATCAACTGCCAGCCACATGAGGAAGCTTCTTGGGTGTCCAGCCTAGCCAAACCTTCAGGCAATGCCAGCCCCAGTTGAGAACTGATTGTGAGATTAAAACAGTTGTTGTTTTATGCCACTAAAATTCAAGGTAGAGGTGCAGCAATTGCTACTGCAATGTGGTCTCACTTTGTCATGGGCTCCTTGAGGGCAGAAGTTGTATTTTATTTATCTGTACCTCTAGTGTATATACTGTGTCTGTCCCCCATGTGCTGATAATACCCCCATGTACACGTTATGATAGAGGAACCCCAGAAGGCTATTACAGGTAAATCTGCAAGTAAGAGGCAGATAGAGATCATTTAAAGGTGTTCATATATACACTCCTTGGAACTGGGCTCTATTCTTCCAGGAAAACCTGCTTAGTCAAGAAATTTGATTACAGTAAATTGCCACACGTCAGGTGAGGTAGGCAGAATAATGCCCCCCAAGATATCCATGTCTTAATTTCAGAATCTGTAAACATGTTATGTTAAATGGCAAAGAGGAATTAAGGAAGCAGATGGAATTAAGGTTGCCAATCAGCAGACAGATAATCCCGAATTATCCAGGTGGGCCTCACATATTCTAAAGAGTCTGTAAAAGTGGAAGAAGAAGAAAAGAAAGTCAGAAGATGTTATTTGGAGGAATGGTCAGATAGATGCAACGTTGCTGACTTTAAGCATGGAAGAAGGGGCCATGACTCAAGGAATGTGAGTGACCTCTAGAAGCCGGAAAAGGCAAGGAAATTACTTTCCCCTGGAGCCTCCAGAAAGAAATGCAGCCTGGTCAACAACGTTATTTTGGCCCAGTGAGCTCTGCACCAGACTTCTAACCTACAGATCTGTAAGATAAGTGTGTGCTGTTTAAGACCACTGAGTTTGTGGTAACTTGTTACAGCAACAGTGTGTTAAAAAACTAACAAACCACCTCTATACCAATGTTTTGATTCACCTTTCTCCATTCAACTCCATAAGGGTCTCCATTCTTTAAAAACAGGCCTGGGTAGGCGCAGTGGCTCATGCCTGTAATCCTAGCACTTTGAGAGACTGAGGCGGGAGGATCCCTTGAGCCCAGGAGTTTGAGACCAGCCTGAGCAACACAGCAAGACGCCATCTGTACAACAAAATTTTAAAATTACCTGAGGATGGTGGCACGCACCTGTAGTCTTAGCCACTTGGGAGGCTGAAGCAGGAAGATTGTTTAAACCCAGGAGTTCGAGGTTGCAGTGAGCCATAATTGTGCCACTGCATTCCAGCCTGGGCAACAGATCAAGACCCTGTCTCAAAAAAAAAATAATAAATAGAATAAAATAAAATAAAAACAAGCCTCTTTCCTCTTCACTTCTGCCTGCCTCCCCACAACTCCATACATGTTAATTCCATGCTTTGCACTGGACAGGTGAGAGCAAATATTTGCTGCATCAATGAATACCCTTATTAGCCAAGATTTTGGAATACCCTGGATTCTAGAATGTAGTTAATACCAAAATATTCAGAACATTCTAGGGTGTTTCTCTGATGATTCAGAAGAATCTTTTGTAATTGCAACCCAGAGGTCATAATCACAGGAAACAGTGTGCAAACATCCCCCGCAGCCCCCTCAACCCCCCCCCCATTTGCTCTCCATGGTCCTGAATGTTCTCAGGAACCTAAGAACAACAGGACGTTGTTGCTGACTGGGGGCAATGGAAGCAGCTTCCCAGGAGCTTAGGAGCTGGGCAGTCTAGTTCTAGCTCTGCCACTTCCTGGCTTTATGGCCATGGGTAAGTTCCTAGCTCTCAGATAAAATGAAGGGCTTGGACAGTGTTATCTCCAAAGGGCTTTCTGCTGTCAGCATTTCTGGTAACTCCTTTCTGGCATTTGCCAGAAATATCTGGCGTTTTATAAACACTCAAAAAATTAGACCCGCATACTGGCCCTTTTGTTGATGACTGACACATGTGGTATTTGGGTTTCAATGTTGCCTCCTAAGGACGAATTGTAGGGAAATATACAGTCCTTTTTGGAAATATGGCCTCATAACTTAGTTTCTTGTCCTGTGGGGGAGGCCTGCATATTGGAGGAAGGAGCCATAGGCCCCAGGGAGTCATGAGCACACAGGTGCAATGGAGACAGAAAGCCACAGGCAGTGGAAGGCTGAGTGTTATCACTAATGCTTCAGAATGGGACACCAACCTGGAGGCCGTGGTTTATATCCTTGTCTACTTCTTACTCTGGGCACATCATGCCCATCTCTGAGATTGCTTCTTTTTAATAATAATAATAATTATTATTATTATTATTATAAAATATATCATACAAAAGAAGGTTTAAGACACACATGTACTGTCTGAAGAATAATCATGAAATGAAAGTCCATGTACCCACAACCCTGGTGGAGAAATAGAATACTGGCCATGTCTCAGAAGCTTCCTCTGTCCTGCTCCCCAATCTCATACCCTTTCCTGTCAATCCCGCCCCACCCTATGGTAACCACTACCCTCAGTTTTGTTTTAACCATTCCTTAGACTTTCTGTATAGTCTTACCTTACCTGTATGGATCCCTGAACAAAATATTATTTTACTTACCTGTCAATGAATTTTCTATACATGGAATCACACTATAGATATTCTCCTATGACTGCCTACTTTCACTCAAAATGGAGTGAAATTCATCCTAGCTGATACACATAGTACTAATATATTCATTTTTACTTCTAAATAGGATTCCACTATATAAGTTAACACAATTTCTTTATCCATTATTCTGTACAGAGGCATTTTGGCTATGTAGAAATGCCTTTGTTACTATAGAAAATGATACTATGAACTTTTTTTTGAGATAGCATCTCACTTGTTGCTCAGGCTGAGTGCAGTGGCACAGTCTCAGGTCACTGAAGCCTCCACCTCCTGAACTCAAGTGATCCTCCCATCTCAGCCTCCTGGGTAGCTGGGACTACAAGCACCCACCACCATGCTCCACTAATTTTTCTATTTTTCTGTAAAGGCAGAGTTTCGCCATGTTACCCAGGCTGGTCTCAAATTCCTGGGCTCAAGCAATCCACCCACCTCGGCTTCCCAAAGTGCTGGGATTATGGGCATGAGTCACCACAACTGGCCAACCATGAACATTTTTGTACACATCTTCTGGTACCCACATATAAGACACCCTTTAGAGTATATTCTGTTAATGGAATTGTTGGCTCATTTCCATTAATATTCTGTTAATGGAATTGCTGGCTCATAGCATATGTGTGTACGTTCAACTTTGCAGACAATTCCAAAAAGTTTTCCGAAATGGTTGTACAAATGTACACACCCTACAGTAGTAGATGAGAGTTTCTGTTACTCCATATTCCTCCTAGTGCTTGGTATTGCCATCTTTTCCATTTTCAGCAATCTGATGGACATATAATGGTATCTCGCTGTGGTTTTAATGTGTAATTTCCTGATTGTCAGTGAAATTGAGCATCTTTTCATGTGTTTCTTCCCCATTTGTGTTTCCTCTTCTGTAAAATACCTGCATATGTCTTTTGCCCACTATTTTATTACAAATATATTGTACTTACACATTTGCGGTCATTCTTTATATATTCTGGATATTAATCCTTAGTTGATTATATATGTTACAAATATCTCCTCCTAGGGTGTGGCTTGTCTTTTCACTCTACAGTGTCTTGGGAGGAACAAGTTCTTAATTCTAATAGGGTCAAATTTATTGAACTTTTTCTTTATAGTGTGCATGTTTCATGACCTCAAGGTTATGAAGGTATGCTCACATATTGTGTCATAAAAGTTTTCTAGGTTAGGCGTGGTGGCTCACACCTGTAATCCCAGCACTTTGGGAGGCTGCGGCAGGCAAATCTCTTGAGGTCAGGAGTTAGAGACCAGCCTGGCCAATGTGGTAAAACCCCGTCTCTACTAAAAATACAAAAATTAGCCGGGCATGCTGGCGTGCACCTATAGTCCCAGCTACTCGAGAGGCTGAGGCATGAGAATGGCTTTAACCTGGAAGGTGGAGGTTGCAATGAGCTAAGATTGTGCCACTGCATTCCAGCCTGGACAACAGAGTGAGAGAGTGTCCCCCGCCAAAAAAAAAAAAAAAAAAAAAAAGTTTTCTAGTTTTTCCCATTATTTTTAGTTTTTTAACTCACATGAAAATTATCTTTGTGTAGATCATGAGGTAAGAACCAAATTCCTTTTTTTTTTTTTTCGGTATAGATAACTAATTTTCCCAGCACTATCAATTGACTATTCCATTCCTTCCCCATCTACCTCATTAAGAATCAAGTTTCCAGACACACATAATTTGTTTCTGGGCTCTTTCTTCTGTCCTATTCATTGATCACCACCCTAATTACTACAGCTTTATGATAAGCCTTGTTATCTGGTGGATGAAAATCCCCCCAGCTTCTTCTTATTCTTTAAGAGGATCTTGGCCCCTTGTTATACTATATAAGAATTACCTTGTCAAGTTCCAACTCTGTTGTAAATCTAATTGGAATTATATTGAATCAAAAGTCTTGTTTGGGGAATTTACATCTTTATAATACAGGGTATTTTGTCCAAGAACATCATCTATCCACTTATTTAGGTCTTAATGTATTTCAATAAAATTTTATAATTTTCTCCATAAAAAGCTTTCATAGCTTATTTTATATTTACTCCTAGATACTTTCATATTTTGTTCCTAATGTGAATGGTTTATTTTAAATTAAATTTTCCAACTGACTGCTATTGGTGTATAAAAATTGAATTGATTTTTGTATATTGATTTCATATCCAGCAACCTTGCTAATGTCTCATTTTTTCTTCTAGTAATTTATCTATAGTTTCTTTCGGGTTTTATACGTAGTCAATCATAGATCTGCAAATAATAACTTGTGTTTCTTTCCCTCTAATCTTTATATTTCATATTTTTAGGCATATATCTTGGCATAACCATTATTTCCATTTTTATAAATGAGGAAACTGAACCTCAGAGATGTTAAGTAATTTGCCCAAGGTCTCATAGTTAGAAACAAACAAAGCCAAGACTCAAATCCCATTCCAAAATCCATGTTTTTATTCCCTGTACTATGGATTGCTTTTCCTTTCTCCACTTCAAAAATACATTTGAGGTTTGTAATAGAAAATCTTGGTACATAAAAACAATGATCCGCCAGTAAGGGAAATGATTTTTATTTGTTTCTTTTAAAGGAAAAGAAAATTATTTCGACTTGATCAATACATCAGCATCATCTCAGAGCCAGAAAAAAACAGTAAAGGGGGAAAATAACTGACACATTGGCCAGGCACAGTGACTCATGCCTGTAATCCCAGCACTTTGGGAGGCCGAGGCTGGGGAATCACTTGAGGCCAGGGGTTTGAGACAAGCCTGGCCAACATGGTGAAACCCCGTCTCTATTAAAATACAAAAATTAGCTGGGTGTGGTGGTGCGTGCCTGTAGCCCCAGCTACTCAGGAGGCTGAGGCAGGAGAATCACTTGAACCCGGGAGGCAGAGGTTGCAGTGAGCCAAGATTGCACCACTGCACTCTGGCCTGGGCAACAGTACAAGACACTGCCTCAAGAAAAAAGCGAAAAAAAAAAAAAGAACCAACACATTGTTTTGTACGTGTTTGCTCATTCCATCCAAACAGCAACCAGCAAGTTAGGTATTAGCGTCTTGACTTGGCAGCTGAGGAAACTGAGGCTGAGATGAATATAAAAAAGTAACAACCAGAAAAAAGGAAGTTTCAGTGTCAAGCAGATAGCACGATGTGTATAACGCATCAAAACAAAGTACCTGAAATAGCCTCCAAGTATAAGTTGCAAATCAGTTTTACAGCCTCAGGTGAATACTGAAAGCTGAAGCCTTGGAAAGGCTCCTTGTGTGCTCTCTTGCAGTCCATGGAGGTAAAGACCCCCCTGTGGGGGTTGGGAAGGAGAATAACTGGGAAGTGATTTGTTCTTCTGCATTCATTCATTCATTTAATAAATACAGTATTTATGATGGACCACCTATCTGAGTTCTGGCGTTAATGTTAGGAATATAGCTGGGAACAAGCCAGGCACAGTCCCTGCCCTCATGGAGTTTTCCATCCAGCAGAAGACTCAGGCATGAAACCAGTATTCACTGGTTAGCATCCATGGTACCCAAGCCCAGCCCCCACCATCAGGCAAACAGAAATCCCATGTGTGACTCAAGCAGGTCGCAATGTGCTCCAGAGCATCCCCAGGTCCCATCTGGAAGCTGCCGCAGCTCTGCAGCAGACTGGCGAACCCTCTCTCCCCCCTCCTGAGCTTCCAACAGCCCTCATGTTGCTGGGAGCCTGTCCATCAGAGTGCCAATCGCAGGGGAAATTGAATCCAGGGGCTCTTTCTAGTCGTGTTTGCTCACTTTTTTTCTTAGCATGATCTTTGGTTTCATTATATTTAGGTATTTCTTTTATTTATCCATGCACCAGGAAAGAAAAAAAAAAAAAAAGGAAGGGTGCCCCTTTAAACCAAACATGAAATGTATTAGGAACCTAAAGTTGAGAATAATGGGCTTTTTTTCCCTCCTGGAAAGCTAGCCTACAGGAGGAAAAAAAATCCATTCAAATAATTTCGTTTAGTCCTAAGTATAAAATAACTGAAGTCAAGGTGTCTCTGCTGTTATTATTTTTTCTGATGTTTTTGACACCCGCGTGTGGAGTTCTCCGGCGTTCACAGCTTCCAGAGCTGTGAGCTTCCACTTGGTATATTCGTAATACTCCTTAATATTTTCATTTTGATGTAATTTGCGGCCCCAGCTTTTTAAATATCCGCTCTGTAATAATGTTTAATTTCAGGGGTCACTCCGCCAAGGAGTATATTAAAGCTTATAAAACTCATTTCCAAAGCTCAAATATCAAGCTGTGATCAGGTTAGGAGGGCAGCATCTGTGAATATTTCATCTTTTATCATGCTGATAATAAGGAGATGACAGAGGCACATTATTACAATGAGAGAATTGCTCATTTCAGGCCTGGTGCTGGAAGCTGGGGTCTGCAGTGTGTATTACTCAATAAGAGCAATTCTGATATGAAAAGCAAGTTTACTGAGGCACCACTGTGTCTTATTTGATTGGAATGAATAATATATGGAGCTGCTGTTCGTGCGGCTGCTGGCCGGGGGAGGGGAGGCTTGCATGGAGAGGTGCACTTGGGGATAGACGGCAAAATAATTTATCAAAGGATGTGTTTTATGGCCTGAAAATAAAGTTAAGATAACCACTGTTTATTAGAATCATTATTTCGGAAATCTGTATTCTGGAAATCTTAAACATGTGCCAGCTTACGCATGAGAAGAATCTTGATCCACTCGACTGGCAGAGATGCCTCGTAATTATCTATTTGCACATAGGGGCTGAGTGAATTTGACACCCGGGCTGATTCCTGCCACATTCTCCGTCGGCGACTTTCATTATTGTTTTGCATCAAGCCAACTTCATCAAGCAGGAACCTTAAAACCCTGGTCCTTCTGGTAGTGAGATGATGAAACATCATCAAGCATGAAAATCAAGCATGAACCACCTCTAATTATTGCCCCCCACCCTATAGTGCCTCTGAATCCACATCCACCCTCTCCTCCTTCTCCCCATCATAGGGGAAGAGGGTCATCTTTTCTAGGACTGTCCTCTTACTGCCATGGATATCGTCCCTCCCTACCAGTTCTGACCCCATGTGGTGCCATTCTCCCCCTCTCCAGTGTCCTTGACAGCCCTCTTTCAGCTAGCTCCTTCCCCTCAGCCTATGAACGTGATCCAATCACTTCCATCCTAGTAAAAAATTCCCTTCCTTACCCTTGCATCTCCCTCCAGCTATCACCCAAGTTATTTTCCTAACTTCTCATCCAAGTGTCTCATAAGGACACACTTACAAATACACTTACTGCCCCACCAACTCACGCTGTCACATTCACCCCTCAGTTCATTTCATTTTGACTTCTGTACCCCCCATTCCCATGAGACCACCCCAGCAAAGTCAGGGGTGGCCCCCTAATTACCAGATCCACCGGGCACTTTTCATTCCACACTTAGCTTGCCTTCTCAGCTGCATTAGTCCCCATTATTTCAGAACAGCTCTCTGCTGTTTCTCCTTCTTCCCAAGTCCCTGTTCCTCCTCTGGTTCCTTTCCTGGAAACTCTTCCTGCCCTCTCTGAAGGTAGTGGTATTTAACAGGACTTCCCCCTTACCCTCTCCTTACACAGCCATCTATGCTGGGCAGCAGCATTCATTTTTATGATTGAAACTACCACACTTTGACTTATAGCTTATTAATGGTAATTGATTTGTAATCTAGCATCTCTCCTGGAGCTCCAAATCCATATATCCAACTGGGTACCTTGCTGGAAGTCCAAATGCAACAGGTGGGGAAAAAATTATTTTAACTTTTACTTTAGGTTCAAGGGTACATGTGCAGGTTTGTTATGTAGGTAAACTCATGTCATGGGGGTTTGTTGTACAGATAATTTCATCACCCGGTACTGAGCTTAGTACCCAATAGTTATTTTTTCTGCTCCTCTCCCTCCTCCTACCCTCCGCCTTCAGGTAGGCGCTAGTGTCTGTTACTCCCCTGTTTGTATCTGTGTGTTCTCATCATTTAGCTCCCACTTATAAGTCAAAACATGCAATATTTGGTTTTCTGGAAAATTTAACAACCAACACAAACATACCCACACCCCCTGCTACTCCTCCTCCTCCTGATTTCCTTATTTTGAGTGAAGACAGAACTCTAAAAGCAGTCACCCAAGCTGAGATACAGACCAGCATCCTCAACACCTCCTTTTCCCTCAAGTCCTGCTTGTAATCCATCATCAGGACCTATTGATTCTTTCCATATTTTTAGAAAACAAATAGATCTACTGTTATTTCTGATTATAAAAGTAATACTTGCTTATTTAAAAATGTTCATGATGGATATCTCAATTACCCTGATTTGATCACTACACATGTACACATGTATTGAAAATATGACATGTATCCCAAAAATATGTTAAATTTTCAAACTACACAGAAATCAACAGAGAAGATAAAAATCACCTGAACTCCCTCCATCCACAAATAACCATTGTTAACATTTTATATAAACACATCTAACCTTTTTTTAAAAAAATTGTACAGTTAGTCATTATTTACTGAATGCCTACTCTGTGTCAATTATTGTGTTAGGCACATATATACACACTTCCTTTATTATACAAAAAAATGTGATCTAGCTAGATACACAATATCTTCCATTTAACAAGGGACATATTTTCATTTCAATATAGATCCACATACTCCATTTAAATAGTTACATAGTATTCCACTGAGTGGCTATAGCAAAATTTGTTTTCTTAATCAGGTCCTTACAGATGGGTATTTAGGTTGTATCCAGAATTTGACTTTTTGTTGTTTTTGTTGAGACAGTCTCACTCAGTCACCCAGACTGGAGTGCAGTGGATGATCTTGGCTCACTGCAACCTCCGCCTCCTGGGTTCAAGCAATTCTCGTGCCACAGCCTCCCACCTGGCTGGTATTACAAGTGTATACCACCATGCCCGGCTAATTTTTGTATTTTTAGTAGAGACGGGGTTTCACCATATTGGCCAAGCTGGTCTCAAACTCCTGACCTCAAGTGATCCGCCTGCCTTGGCCTCCCAAAATGCTGGGATAACAGGCGTGAGCCACCGTGCCTGGCCCCAAAAGTTGATATTATCTATAATTTACATCCTTATATATAACGTTTTCTCACCTTTTCAATTGTGCTTTAGAACAAATTCCTGGAAATGAAACTGTGGGCTGAAGAGTATGCACATTTTTAAGGCCTTTGATAGCTATTAACAAATATGGTCCAATGATGTCAAACCAATTGCTCTGTCACCAATATGAAAATTTTCTTACACCTTCCTTTACACTGAATATTATCAACTTTGTTAATCTTTGCCAATCTGCTAAGTAATATTTGTTATTGTTTAATTTGTGTTTATTTTAACACTGTTGATGTTGAGCATCTTTTCATACTTTTGTTAGATATTTGTATTTCTTTTTAAACTACTTGTTCATGCCTTTTGCCCGTTTATTTAAGAGATTGTTCTAATTTTTCCTATTGATGTATGTGAACTCTTCATATATTATAAATAATCCTTTATCTATCATATATGTTGCATACATTTTTTATCAGTGGTAATTAGTCTATGTTTATGACATCTTTAGAATATCAATTTACAATTTTTATGTAGTATAATCTAATAACTTTTTTATTTATGGTTTCTGCTTTTGGGGTCACACTTGGAGAAGACTTCCATACTACTAAGTTATAAAAGGTATAAAGATAATTTCCCAGATATTTTCTTTCAGTAATCCTAAAGTTTTAATTTTTACATTTTAAAACTTTTCCTTCCAACATTTCTATTAGTGTAAAATTTATTAATTTTAACATACAGGAAAATACCTAAATCAATACAAATGTGGGATTGTAACTGCAAAAATCTATAACCAAAAAAAGGAATTCCCAGCAAACTAAGAATGTAAGGAAATGCTTCAAACTGATAAAGGGCATGTATGAAAACAAACAAGCAAACAAAAAAACTACAGTTTAATTATACTGAATGCTCTTCACCTCAGATCAGGAATAAAACAAGGATGTCTACTCTTACCATTTTTATATAACATTGCATGGGAGGTCCTGGCCAGTAAAATAAGAAAAAATAAAAAAGGAGCAGAAATAAAAGGCATAAAGATTAGAAAGGAAGTTACATGGGGTTTTTTTGCAAACAATGAAATTGCAGGAAATTCTAAGGAATCTGTCAAAAAAATTAATAGAACAAATAAGAAAATTTAGCAAAATCACAGAATAAAGATCAATATAGAGAAACCCACTGTACTTCTGGATCCTAACAACAAACAATAGGAAAATAAAAAATGTTAAGTGATAGGATTTGCAACAGTATCAAATTAGAAAACAAAATGCTCAGAATACATTTAAGGAAAGATTGCAGTATCTCTAACCTGAACACTACACATATTACTGGGAGAAATTGAGCATGATCTAAATAAATGGAGAGTTACACCATATGCATAGATTAGAAGATTCAGCATTGTTAAATGTCTGTTCTCCCCAAATCAATCTATAAATTCCAATCAAAATCCTAGAGAGGTTTTTTTTTTGTATAAATTGGTAAACTGACTTTAAAACTAAATGAAAATGCAAAGAATACAGACTAGCTCAAGGAAATCTGAAAAAAGAACAAAATTGGAGGATCTACACTACTTACATAGTAGTATCCCATTATCCACAGGGGTTACATTCCAAGACCCGTAGTGGAAGCCTGGAACCATGAATAGTACCAAAACTTATATATACTATGATTTTTTCTATATGTACACACATGCCTGTGATAAAGTCTAATGTATTAGACACAGTAAAAAATTAACAATAACTAGTAATAAAATGGAACAATTATAACAATATGCCAGAATCACCGCTGGTGCTTTGGAGCCATTGTTAAGTAAAATAAGGGTTAATTGAACACAAGCATTGCAATACCAACAGTCGATCTGACAACCAGATGGCTGGCTACTAAATGATGCAGGCAGCATCTACAGCGTGGATACACTGGACAAAGGGATGAGTCATGTCCAGGGCAGGATAGAGCAGGACAGAGTGAGACAGAGCAAGATTCCATCATGATACTCAGAACAGCAGACAATTTTAAATTTATGAATTGCTTCTTTCTGGAAACTTCCATTTAATATTTTTGAACTGCAGTTGGCTCTAGGTAACTGAAACCATGGAAAATGAAACTGCAGGTAAGGAAGAACTACTGTACTATGAAGCTACAGTATGATGATGTTACAGAATTACACAGGCATAAGGGTAAAAATGTAGATCAATGGAAGAGACTAGAGAGTCCAGAAAGAGGCCAACATATACATGGCCAATTGATTTTTAATAACATAGGCACCAGCATAATTCAATGGGGAAGGGGTAATGATTTTTTAAAAATAGGGCTAGAACAACTGGATTGTCATATGAAAGAAAAGTAAACTCAATCCCCGTCTCACACCATACACAAATATTGATTTGAAATCAGTCATAGACATAAACATAAAACCTAAAACTATAAAATTTCTAGAAGAAATAATAGAAAAAAGAACCCTTTGTAGTTTGGGGTTAGACAAGAATTTCTTTGATAGACAAAAGTATTAGTCATAAAAGAAAAAATTAATAAACTAGACTTCATCAAAATAAAACACTTCTGCTCTCTAAAAGACATAATCAAAAAGTGAAAAGGCAAGTCACAAATTGGGAGAAAATATGTGCATCACATATATCTGTCAAGAAGCATGCATAAAAAAGCCAGAATACAAAAAGAACTCTTATTACTCAATAAGAAAAAGACAAAACACTCAATTTTTTAAATGGGCAAAATTTGAATGGTGCTTTATGAAAGAAGCTATACAAAAAGGTCAATAAACTCAAGAAAAAAAATGTTCAACAACATGAGTCACCAGAGCAAATTAAAACTGCAGTGAGATTCCACTTCACACCCACTGAATGGTTAAAGTTTGAAGACAATTCCAAGATCAGATGATGAAGATATGGAGGAACTGGACTTCTCATACACCATTGAGAATATAAAATGGTACAACCACTTTGAAAAACAATTTGGCAGTTTCCTATACAGTTAAGCATATATAGCCCAGCAATTCCATTCCTATGTATTTATCCAGAATAAATTGTGTGTGATACACACACACAGACTTGTATACATATGTTCATACCACTTGTATTTATAATAGCCCCTGTCAAATATTCATCAACAGGTGAATGGATAAGCAATTGTGTCATACCCAGATAATACTACACTCCAATAAAAATGAACTATTGATACACAAGATGAATGAATCTTGAAACAATTATGCTGAGTAAAAAAAAGGTAAAAAGGAATACATATTATATGCTTCCATTTATGTGATATCCTAAAACAGGCAAAACTAAGCTATAGTGATAGAAATCAGAAGAGTGGTTGAACAGAGGCAATTGTGCACAGGGACACCAGGAAACTTTGTGGGAAGATAGAAATGTTCTGTATCTTCATTGAGGTGGTAGTTACATGGGTGTATACATTTATCAAAACTTATCAACCTGTATGCTTTAAAACACTGAGTTTTATTGTACATATGTTTACACCTCAAAAAAAGTTGATTTAGGCTGGGCATGGTGACTCACACCTGTAATCCTAGCACTTTGGGAGGCCAAGGTGGGCAGACCATTTGAGCTCAGGGGTTTGAGACCAGCCGGGACAACAGGGCGAAACCCCGTCTCTACTAAAAATATAAAAAATTAGCTGGGTGTGGTGGCACACACCTGTAGTCCCAGCTACTTGGAAGGCTGAGACACAAGAATCGCTTGAACCCAGGAGGCGGAGGTTGCAGTGAGCTGAAATTGCACCAGTGCATTCCAGCCTGAGTGACAGAACGAGAGTCCGTCTCAACAACAACAACAACAATAACAGTTTATTTAAAAGAATTAGAATAGGATTTTGACAATATCTCAAAGCCAGTACATTCTCCTTACATTGCTGGCTCTTTCCTGCTTTTTTTCCTTACATTGTTTAGTAAAAGAAAAATATTGAATAATACATGGCACGGCTACATTAATCATGATTCTTTGGGTAACATAACTGAAATTCAAACTAGTTTAAGAAAAACAGTTTGGCTGACTAGAACAAGTATCACGGGTGGAACTAACAGTGATGCCCTGCAGGACTCTTGAGTGCATTCCATTCCAAGACTACTGAAGTGCCTGGCTTGCCAGTGCCCCTGGTATGGACAGTGGCAGGTGCAGGAGAGGTGGTGCAGAGCTGTGGGTGGGAAGCCTGGGGACAAAGCTTGCCACTGTGGCCATCTGGGAGTACTTCGATTCAAGCCACTCTTTCCATTTGTCCTTTTCAGAAAATGGTGTCTGTGAAAGACATGAGGAAGAGCTTTTGGGTGACAGATGTCAGCAGCAGCCATTGGAATTGCTTTTCCTAATCATGAGGATTCTAATATCTTTCTTTCCCATTTGGGAAAACCAGGGAAAGGAGGGAATGCAATTCTTTGACCATTAGAGTTACCAGAAGAGACAGAAGATTCTGCTTTGCAACTTAATGCATCTAGATGAATATTGAAGTGTGCAAAGTAATTCCTTTCAAAGCCCATGGGTTGTTGGCTTTTGTTCTTGAGTCCAAGCATTCCAGGTTGAGGGGGTGGGGGGAATGGCAGTATGTCTGAATCTATATAAGAAGGAGACCAGAGTCTACCTCTTGGCATTCACAAAGATACCCAACTACTAATCTGCTGTGTGTACTCAGTACAGGGTCAAGTTCTTGGCAGTGCTGGGAGGAAAGATGGAGGGAGAGGGAGGGAGAGGGAGGGAGAGGGAGGTAAGGAGGAGGCAATACATGAAGCCAGGTTATTCTCCAGCCAAACTGACAACTCATTATTCCTTCACACCCACCTCCCATCCACCTCTGTGCCACATTCACTATGCCTTGAATAGTCTTCTCCCATTGCCCTCGCCTCTCCCAGCATCCTACATGTCCAAATACCACCCATTCTTCAAGATGCAGCTGTGGGGCTGGTCCTAAGATGTGGGATGAAGCCATTCTCCATTGCACTCTACTAGGGCACCCTCCCACCCACACAGACACTCCATTAAAAGACCAGCCCAGCCTTATTTGCAAGTCTATAGCCTCAGAAGCAGAAAAAGTGCTGCTCATCCCATTTATTGTGCATATTATTCCTGTCAGCGGCTTTTAGAGGATTTTGCTAATGGCTCAGGGACTCTATGCACCATCACAATTAAGACATTGCTAATAAATTAACTTTTATGGACATAAATCAGCAGGTATGCTTATTCAGCTGTTACACCTCACTTAGAAGTAGGCTTTGCACCTTAAGATGAAGTATATTTCTATTCAGGAGTTGTAATGGCCTTGTTAATGGAATATTAATTACCTTGGTTGTTGGACAGCAAGATGTCTGCTCCTGCTCTCTTGCCACAAGTGTTCTTACAGAAAAACATTTTTCCAACTTTGTGTCATGAAGGCTGTTGAATCACAGCCAAGCCCACTCCATCCTCCCCAACAGAGGGGCAGAATGAAGTTCACCCCTCCACACCCTGCATCCCAAAGTAGTTGGTTAAATAAAGCCTTAAGCCATCACGATGATCCAGTTCACCTCTGGCACTCTGTACCCCACAGGAGGGAGTTAAGCCAAACCTTAAGCCACCTAAGTGATAATGTACAGTCACCCTCTCCAAAAGACACTGGGTGGAGAGGAAAGCTACACTAAGAGTCAGGAGGCCTGGTTTCTCACCTCCTGTCTTAGTTCGGGCTGCCATACACTGGATGGCTTAGACAACAGACACTTATTTATCACGGTTCTAAGGGCTGGGAAGTACAAGATCAAGGTGCTGGTAGATTCAATGCTTGGTGAGGGCCTATCTCCTGGCTTGTAGACAGCCACCTTCTCACCGAATGTTCACGTGGCCTTTCCTCCGTGTGTGCTTATGGAGACAGTGAGAGAAAGATATATCCTGTCTCTTCCTCTTCTTATAAGGGCACAAATCTCATCGTGAGGGTATCACCCCCATGCCCTCATCTAAATCTAATTACTTCCCTAAGGACCTACCTCCTATTACCATCCCACTGGAGATTAGGGTTTCCACATATGAATTTTGGGGGACACAAACATTTACCCCATAACACCACCACTCCAACAATAGCCAGCAGTGTGACCTTAGGCTGGCCACTCATACACTCTCTGAATCTCAGTTTCCCATTTATTACATGAGTATAATAAAGCAATCATGGAAAAAATGAACAGGAAAATGCAATTCTTAGAAATAACATCAATCATGGACCATTTTGTGATTATCTTTCCAAGCCTACAGAAGAAACACCACTCCCCAAGGGTAGGAATGGAATTTACCTGTAAGGGAATAAATGTTCTGTCAATTATTCAATAAAGTTGTTAACCCAAGAGAAAGAAATGATCCAGGGTTGTGGATCATTGCTTTCTGGTGATGCATGAGGATTTCTCCAGCACGGACAGCCTGGAGAAGAGTGGGCTGCCCTGGTCATGCCAAGTTGGGCCAGAGAAAGCAGTGTAGCCAGCCTCCATGTTTTATCATCAGCTTCAGGGATTGCAGCAGTACAGGTACCCCCAGTGCAGGAAGAGAGCCACATTCAGAGAAGTCAACATCTGAGGCAACAGGGGCACAGCCCTATTATCAATGGTGCAAGCAAATAGCAGTGACTCTTTGGACACATGGACACTAGGGCCATGCCATGAGAAGAGCTGTAGCCTTGCAGAAGGATATTTTCCAGCAGGAAGATAGGTGATAGCTACTAAGTCTATAGAAAATTGATCCATGTGAGGTGGTTAATCCCGGCCCTGGTCTTGGACCAGGTTGGTCCTGAAAACCTGCTCAGCAAAGGAAAAGCCCAATCAGGATGTAGCCCACCTGCTACCAGTCCCTGCTCTGCCCCCAAATCACTGCCATCTTAGGCAGGTCCCCACCCCTATCTGGCTCTAGTTTCTTCCTCTCAACCCAATGACCTCAAAGTCAGATAGCCTCTGAGAGATGCCAGTTAAAAATGATTTAGCATGTGTATCACCTTTCTTTTCTTCATCTGGGGAAAAATTCTCAGACCAGAGGATCTGCTGGAAGAATTTCTTTCCCTGCATTCGTTTAGCATATCAATTCTCACATTTTCTGCTTGAACTTCAGAGCAAAGAACGTGGAAAGCTGAGCCTTTGCCTATTTGACGCACAGTTTTGCATATTCTCCTGGACTCTGTCAGGTCCTCTTTGCCCTTGAGTTACCCATCACAGACCTGCCCTGCTCCCCAGTTAAGGCAAAGCCCATTCTCTCCACAGCTGACTGGGGCAGCTGCCCTGCTCCCCAGTTAAGGCAAAGCCCATTCTCTCCACAGCTGACTGGGGCAGCTGCCCTGCTCATACATCTCCACTCCTCCTGCAGAGAGTAAAGGCCCACACCAAAGGGGGATGCAGAGAATGAGGAACAAGCAATGAAAGAACTCCAGAAGGGGGTTGTAGGTATAAGCCGGTTGTGGGAAAGCTATGGTTTGCAAGGCTGATCAAACAAAACCAAAGCAACCGATGTTCTGTTGGAGCCTGTGGCCTGCCACAGAGCCATATCTGAGTAAGAGGCTTGCTAGCTTTTGGATACTTCAATTTCAGCAGCATCCAGAGCCCCTAGGCTCCTTTCAGAGGTGGAAGAAGAAGGGAAAGCCAATCTATGACAAGATGCCCTTCCTCCCCTGTAGCACTTTGTCCTTTGCTCACTCCACAATAAAATTGCAGTCCCAGAAAGAGTTTCCAGAAACGGCCTTCGGAGGTCTCTCAGCCAGCTGGGGGGGGTCATCTGATCCAGGCTGGGCTTAGCTGGGCAACTCCCAGCTGTGGGTTTGGCCTGAGTCAGCTATACATTTGCCTCACTCTCCTGGATCCAGCCAACTAACTGGATATGTTCTTCTCATGGCAGTGGCAGCCTCTTGAGGCCTAGCTCAAGCTGGCACCACATGATTTCTGCCTTTTTCCACTGGCCAGTGCAAATCACCTGACCAAGCTCAAAGTTAAAGGCCAGGGAAATATACTTTGCCTTAGGAGGAAGAACTACAAAGCCATGTGGAAAGCACATACATACAGGGAGAGGTAAAGTGAGGCCAATAGTGCAATCTACAAAAGGAATGAGTCTCACAGGGTTTCATAGTTGATGGGACCCTTTCTCACACTTTCTTAATTTACTCTTCATAATAACCCTGAGACATGGTGATTACATCTCCATTTTATAAGTGAAGAAATTAGAACTCAGAAAGAAGAGACATGCCAAGATCACACGATCATTAAACATAAAAGTGGGTACACCAAGCTCTTCATCCAACCTTAAGTCCAGAATCTTTGTCATAACCCCAATTCTGGCTTTCCTTAAGGAGATCCTATGAAACTTGGGATTTGTGAAAGAGTCCCCCATTACTGGTGTCCAGTGACAAATTTTATGGAAGGCAAAAAGAGCCTTGGTTTTCTTAACCATAAAATAAAAGATCTGGAAGAAATCAGGAGCAGCAAAATTCTGGCACACATGCTGCCAACAGCCACTCCCACATTCATGGCAGGCATCACCAATCAATGACAGCACTCTTTCCTCATAAGCCTCAGAATCTTTCTCCATACAGCACTGCAAACAGCCACTGTTATTGAGCTAGAGAGGACACAGAAGATGAACACTATTTGTAAATGTTGTGTAAACCTTTTCTGAGTCCCATTCAGCCCCAAATGCCTATGATTCTGAAACTAACAACACTGTGGAACGACAGTGTGGAGAGGACACTGGATGGGATCAGAATTGATTCTAGTCCAAGCTCTGCTATAGCTGTGACCTAGAAAAGACATTAGACTTCTCTGAGCACGGTTGCATCAGTTTTGTGACCTCAAAAACCGTTTACTTTAATTCCATAAACATCAACTGAGTGCCTATTGTGTGCCAAACACTGCTATCAAGGGACTAAAGAAATAAATGAGACATCTATTATGAATGAGACTGCCTCCCTTGGAAGGAAGGCAGGGGAATCAGGGGATGCTCTGATTTCTGAGGTCCAGTTCAATGCCAATATTTCACCAACATTAAAAAGCGCAAGATATTACCATGGGACTCATAGATCCTGCAGGCTCCCCAAGCTTGAAGATCTCCTCCCAGGAAGGAGCATGGGGTTTTTGATGAGAGGATCTGACCTCAGAGCAGGGATTACCATGTTCTACTGTTCTCCATGGCTCCCAGAGTAAAAGGCAAATGCTTTTCTAAGCCAAACCTTTCCAGGTTCATCTTTCAGATTTTAGGGTCCGATAGACCTGAGTATGAATCCCATCTCTGTTGCTTACTCTTCTTATAACCTTGGGTCATCTAGTTACTTGCTGATCATCTGGTTTTCTTACAAGAAAATGGGGAGAACAATCATCACTGCCACGTGTGGTTGTCTTGTATATTATTAAACAAGCAACTCTATGCAAATAACTGCAACACACAGATGTTCTAAAAGAGTTCACATCTCTTTCCTTCCTCTTCTTCACACGTCCCATGCCCCAGCTCAGAGCTTCCCACCCTAGTTGCACAAGAGTCTCTGGTGGGCTTTTAAAAAATAGAGATGCCCAAGATCCCCACCCAGACCAAGGGAATCAGAACTTGTGGGGATGGAGATCAGGGAATTATGTTTATTGAACCTACACGCACCCTGCCCCTGTCAGATGATGTTAAGTGCAGTCACAGTTGAGAACCACTGCTCTAACTGCATTAGTCCAGAGAAACAGAACCAATAGAATATACATATACATATACATATACATATACATATACATATACATATACATACACATATACATGTAAGTTACAGGTAAGTATATATGTGTACATATATACAAAGAGATTTATTATAAGGAATTGGCCCACACATTTATGAATGCTGAGAAGTCTCAAGATCTGCAGTTAGCAAGCTGGAGACCCAGAAGAGCCGATGGTGTAAGTTCCAGTCCAGGTCTGAAGGCAAGAGGAGACCAATGTCCCAGCTCAAAGACAGGAAGAGAGAAAGCATTCTTTCTTACTCAGACTTTTTGTTAGATTAAGGCCTTCAGTGGACTGGATGAGGCCCACCCACATAGGGAAGGGCCACCTGCTTTACGCAGTCCACCCATCATGTATTACCTCACGCAGAAACACCCTCACACACATTCCCGGAACAACATTTGACAGGACATCTGGGCGCCCCATGGCCTGTCAAGTTGACACAAAATTAACTGTCACATTGGTTCAGCCAGCTTTTCCTCACTCCCCAGATAAAAGCAGCATTTCCCTACTTCCCTGGCTTTGCTCACAGAGTTCTTTCTGCCTAAGGAAAGTTTCCCAGCCCCATCTTTGCTAACCAAACTCAACTCAACCCAACACAAATGGTCCAGTTCCCTCCTCCAGGGATCCTCTCATGAGCCTCTTCTGGATTTCTGGAGGAGGAGCCGCTCCAGAATGACCCAGATGGTGCCATCCCTTCCACACAAGCACTTACCCTTTGAGGGCACCTGTGCAAAGCTTCCCCCACCCCCACGAGGCAGGATGAGCAAACGGGGCAAACCATGGGGGAACTCTAGGAAAGGGTCCATCCAGGGAGTGCTGTTTGAGTTACCTGCTACTGTTGTTCAGTGACAAATACAGTTTGAGTAAACTAACAAAATAACTGGAATGTCTCCCAACAGTCCTGTAGAATTGACTGAAGTCACATAATGCAATTACAGAAATTTTTGTTGTTCACACCTCCACCCTTGTCCACCTACTGCAAACTCCAGGCCCCTCGAATGTGACCCCTTTGCCTTATGGAAATGTCCAACGGTCATGCAGACTAACATGTGCTCCCAAGTAGTGTTCCTATGTTTTCTGTTCCTGTCCCCTTCAGAGGCATCTCGGTTGGAACCCCAACATGTCCCTGTTGCCAGTGCCCTCAGGAAGAACATCCTTCACTTTGCAGAATGCTGTATTCAGAGAATCCAAACACCACAGTCCCGGCAGTCCCTCCTAATCCAAAGCCATTTTGCTCCCAGGAAAGGTGGGAGGGAGGCTTTTGTACTCCACTCTGTTCTGCACAGGCCTCTGGGCTACAAAACCATGCTGTCTGTGTCTTCGGTCCCTGGGCCACTAGAAAACCCAGCTCGCCCCCTGGGACTCCAGTTCCCTGAGCTGGGCAGCGCTGGACTCCAGCTGCCTTCTCAGTTCCTTACCTCTGCCTCTACAGTTCTGCATACAAACCTTGCCCCAGGTCAATAAACCCATGCAACTGGATGAATCCCCAAGATGTGGCCTGCCCAGGTTCAGACATGACTGAATTTCCATTTAGGCTTACTGGCACCACAATAATCATTCTTCAAAATCTAGGCAGGGGGAAGAAGCACTTTGGACAAAATAGCCCAGTTGCTGCAAGATGCTATGAGTCTGATCCCCACCAGCCTTGGGTTTATTCCCCAGTAGATACCCTCTTCCAGCTCTGTGCATTATCCTTAGAGGAACAGGAGGGTCCTCATCTTTGGGAACTTTCTCCCATTCATGCTTTGCTTTATTCAAATATCTAAAATTAGGCCAGGCACAGTGGCTCACACCTGTAATCCCAGCACTTTGGGAGGCTGAGGCGGGCAGATCGCTTGAGGTCAGGAGTTCGAGACCAGCCTGGTCAACATGGTGAAACTCCATCTCTACTAAAAACACAAAAATTAATCAGGCATAATGGTAGGCGCCTGTAATCCCAGCTGCTCAGGAGACTGAGGCAGGAGAATGACTTGAATCTGGGAGGCAGAGGTTGCAGTGAGTTGAGATTGTGCCACTGCACTCCAGCCTAGGCAACAGAGCAAAACTCTGTCTCAAAAAAAAAAAAAAAAGAAATATCTAAAGTGAGTCCCATTCACATTTTCTCTGTTTCATCCTCTGGATTATGATCACTCATTTGCTACATTCCTCAGAGGACTCAGTAGCCCCCCTTTTTTTTCAGTGTATTGGCCACATCGCCAAGACCCACTCCCATAAAAATAGTATTGTTGATTTCTATCAGGAGCGGGCGACCTTGTTTGCCCACAGCTGTGCTAGTGCCTGTTAAGCTCACTTCAGCTCCAGCTTCTCCCCCTTTTCTTCCATACACCCCTTGGAGCATGTCAGGACACCTGGAAGATGAGTAGTGCAAGGAAATTTTCACCCTGCCTCAACTACCCACCACAGCAAATGGCCATCCATCAGCAGGGATGTGGATACGTGTGCGCACATGCCCCAGGCGTACTTCGTGGTTGCTGTGCCTATACATGCGTGTGGTATGTGTCTTGACTGTGTGGATGGTGTTTGGGTGCCTGTGTACATGTTATGTAGAGCGTACACTGCATGTTTGTGGAATAGTGTGTGTGGATGACTCACATGTATTTGACGTGTGGCTCGCTTGCATGTATGGTGTTTTGGGAGCCTGGGTACACATGTATGTGGAGCATATACTGCATGTGTGTGGAAACCAATGGCTCATCTGTGCATGGTGTGGGTCTCTGCCATATAATACATTCGCTGTTTGAGCTTGTGTGCTGTGTATGCTGTGTCTGTCTTTGGGGAGGTGGCATGCATGTATTTGGGTGGTGTGTGTGTGTGTGTTTGAGAGGATGAGAGATGGGATCTATAAGGAAACCACACTGACCTGGAAGGAGGTAATTGGGTCCTTTCTAGGATGAGTCTCTCAGGCCTGCCCAAATGCAGAGAAATGCTAGGAGCAGGAGCTATTCGGAAAGGGGGCCCGAGGTGAAGATGGACTATAGACTGATCCCAAGAGGATAACATATGAGTCAGGGCAAGGCTCAGGAGACCTGGAGGAAGGGGTGGGGGCTCAGAGTGGGGGTCTGGCCCTCCACTGGAACAGACAAAAGCAAGGGGTGGCTCAAAACAGAAAGACAAGGAAGGCAGTCACCCAGCATAGCCTTTAGGAAGTGTGGCATACAAAGACTTGGGTTCAAATCCTGGCCTCTACCACTTCCTAGTTGTGTGACCACAGGCAATTGATTTAACTTCACTCAGCCTCAGTGTCCTCATCCACAAAATGGACTGCTATAAAGATGAAAATAACAATATATAAAAGGCTTAACACAGTGCCTGGTACACAGAAAGCACCAAGGAGGTACTCATTGCTGTTGCTTGTGACTGTTATTTTCCTCCCAGCCCCATCATTGCTGGTATCTCAGCCCTACCAGACCAGGAGCCCATGGAGGGTTGCACCACCATCTCCACCAGTCATGCAATCTTAGTCCTGGGATGCATGTCCCTCAGGGAGCACCCACAGTCTCCCTCCTGCTCCCCTGTCTGTCTTGGAGCCTGCCTGCTAGAGCAGCTGTTGTCTGGGGGGGATGACATGTGTGTATGGGTTGATGGGGGAGCTTGAGGACAGCTGCCTACCCTGGGGATGGACCTTCACCCAGCCTCTTCCCACAGCCAAATCCTGGGGAGCATTTGTTCATTCATGTATTCATCCATGGATTGAGAACCTGCCAGGAGCTCTTCTAGGAGCTGGGAACATGACGGTGATTGCAATAGAGGCTGTAGGTGTTTGGGCATTCCAGTATCACATACCAGTTTTAAGTATCAAAATATTAATATTTTTGTTGATTTAATACCATTATTTCCATTTTTTAAAAAACTTGAAATCTGAATTACTTATATTTTGGAAGCTGCCCAAAAAGTTATACACAGATCAAGATTTCTAATCAGCTCCAGGAGCACTCCTTTAGAAACCCATCTGTCCATATTTCTCCCCTGCTGTTGTTATATCCCAAGACCTGGATGGTTAGTTGGTTTGTTGGTCATTGCATTTTCCTTTGGTGGGTTGCTTTTGAGTGTTATTACTAATTTAAACTTCAAAAGCTAGTCTGGGTTCTGCTGTTCCTCCAAGGACCCTGGTGGAGTCTCCTTAGAATGAGAAGGAGCGGTCAATTATGGCGAACAAGAGGAGGATATGGTAGCAGGACTGGGGGGCAAAGAGAGGAGAGGGAATGGTATTTCCAGGTCTTCCCACCTTCCTTTCCCGTGGGCTAGATTGTCTCTGCTCCCCTCCCAGAAAAGGGCCAGATCCCCTGTCAGTGTCATGGCCCGTAGGTGGTTTATTTTAGTTTATTTTAACCATCATGCTCCTCAAAGAACAAAATTGCCTCAGTTCTTTACCTCTGGCTTTCTCTCGGGAGGAAGTTAGGACAAAGTATAGAAGACCTTGGTGTCCATATCTTACCTTTGTAATAAAATGCCAATATTTTGATCTTTCTCAAAATGTCATGTCATTTTGATCCATTGCAATACCCACTGTAGTACAATAAAGAGAAAGATACCTACCCTTGAGGAATTTATATTTTAGTTGGGGAGACACAATAAAGAAATGAGCATATACATAAAATAATTTCAGATTGTGATATAGGCTAGATCATTTCGCTTTTGCCGCATAACCAACCTGCTAATGTTTTATGATTTCTTAAATTTATTCTTACTGATCAGTTAGCTTTTGCTGTATAACCAGCCATGCTAATATTTTATGATTTCTTAAAATGATAATTCATTTTTGCTCATGAGTCTATAGATGACTTCACAGTTTTATTGGTCTAGTCTGGGCTCCTTCATGTGTCTGCAATTGGTCTGTATCTGGAGAAAGCTGGCTATTGGCTAGAGGATCTCAGTTTTCCTCCACGTGTTCTCCCATCCTCCACCAAGCTAGCTCAGGCTCCTTCACATGGCAGTTGCAGGGATCCAAGAGTAAGTGTGAAAGACTGTGAGGCTCTAGAGCTGACATGCCTTTACTTCTAAAACATTCTTTTGGCCAAAGTAAGTCATAAGTCCAGCTCAGATCAAGGAATAGGGAAACCAACCCCATCTCTTGATGGAAAGTGCTACAAAGTCACATCAATGCTGCAAAGAGACACCAATAAAGGGAAGGATGGAAAATTGTGGCCATTTTTGCAATTAACAAACATGGTTTATTAAAAAAAAAAGTTGGGGGGAGTAATGGGATGTGAAAGCAACATGGGTCAGACGCCTCTTCATATTAGGTGGTCAGAGAAGACCTCTCTCAAGAAATAATATTTGAGGTGAGACCTAAGTGATAAGAAAGAAAAGCCCTGCTTTAAAGATTAGGTTGATGAGCACAAAAAGCAGAGAGAGTAGCATGGGCAAAAGTCCTCAGCAGAAAAAAAAAAATCATAATTGTGTTCAGGATTTAGAAAGAAGCTGGGTCTTACAGGAGTAGATGGATGGAAGTGAGAATACTAGGGGATTAAGTTACGGAGAGAGGCAGAGAACAATCATATTTGGTCTTATGGATTATGGTGAGATATTTATATTCATTTTAAATGTGATCAGAAGCCACTGGAGGGTTTTAAGCAAAGAAATAAAATTATGTGATTGAAAATTTGAGAAGGTCACTTTGGCTGCTGTGAGAAGAATAGGCTAAAGTAGAAACAGACAAGCGTAGAAGCAGAAAAATCGTGTAGGAGACTATTGTAATAGTGCAGGCGAGAAATGATCATGGCAGAGACTAAAGTGGTAGCAGTGAAGGTGGTAAGAGGTGAGATGCTCTGGAATATATTTTTGAAGCCAAACCTTCAGGACTTATGAACAGACTTGCTGTTAGAGGAAAAGGAAAAAAAAAATGGAAAAGATGACTCCAAAGATCTTGTCTTGAGTTTCTGAGTAAACGATGAGTGCTATGGTCTAAATGTTTATGTGCCCAAAATTCCTATGTTGACATCTTTACCCCCCAAAAGTGATGGTATTAGGAGGTGGGGCATTTTGGAAATTGATTAGGTTATGACGACAGAGTCCTCATAAATGAGATTAGTGCCCTTTTGTTAATATTATAAAAGAGGCCCAAGGGAGCTTCTTTGTGCCTTCTGCCATGTAAGATTACAATGAGAAGATGTCCATCTGTGAAGGAAACAGACCCTTAGCAGACACCAAATCTTCTGATACCTTGATCAGGGACTTCCTATCCTCCAAAACTGTGAAAAATAAATTTCTGTTATTTATAAGCCACCCAGTCTGCGGTATTTTATTACAGCAGCCCAAACAGACTAAGACAATGAGTTACTGGATAAACCACATTACTGGGCTAAAAAAGACTGTGGGAGGAACATGAGAAAGATGAGGGTAATTCTGAAGCTTTCCTGTGGGCTTGTTAGGTAGCATAGTGGACATCCCAGAAACATCAAATAGAAAGTCAGATGTGTGAGACTGGAGCTCAGCGGGAGGTTGGGCTGTAGATATCCATTTAAGAGTCAATCATATCCAGCAAAAGGCTAGATGAATCTACCAATGGAGAGAATGAATAGAAAATAGAAGGGGGCCTAAGACTGAGGCACAGGGAATGCTAATATTTATAAGTAGATTATTAAGAGAATTTTTAAAATGAGATGGAGTGGCCAGCAAAGTGAGAGAACAAAAAAGAAAAATAAGGTGTTCCAAGAAGGAAGGAGTGATCACTTGTGCTTCCAGCCAAGATGGAGTAACAGAGACCAGACATCCTCACACCGTAAGCAATAAGAATACCAGAGCATTGTTTCACAGCTTTTTATTCACGCAATAAGCAGCACAGAAATTCCATCCCTGAGAGAAGGGAAACAAGGCACCAGCTCACTGCATAGAGGCAGTTTTCAGGTCTTAGCAAAGAGAATGGGGACCAAAACAGAACCCAGCAGTCTGACTGAGTTGAGAGGTTAGAGATGAAAGTTCAGGAAGCCAAGGAAGCTACTGTAATGCAGAGTACCAGATAGGAGGGACCTACACAGAGGGAGAGTTTCAGAGGTCTGTAGAAATGTCCTTGCAAGTCTATGACTGAGTACTGATCTATACATGCATAAGAGGAAACTACCCAAAGATGCAGAAAGAACCATAAGCAAAAAACAGGCTGACTAATTCTAATTCCCAGAGCTCACACAGAACTGGGAATAGACATCCTAATACCTGGAGCATTGGGTAGAAGCCACAGAAGGGAATTGCCTTAGTATTGGTGCTTAATTATGCCTAGACTAAAAGTTGCTTTGGACCTACCATAACAAACGTAAAAGGGTTGAAAAGATCCAATTCATTTCAAGTAACCAAGCACCAGAAAAAAAAAACCAACACTATTTAATTAAGTAAAAATAAAACCAGCAATCAACAAACAATATCTTTGTTTGATCTTCTTGGAATCCCATTAGAAGATCAAATAATAATACCTAGCATTGAATAAAAAATTACCAGGTATGCAAAAAAAAAAAGAAAATTTTTTCTCCATAACCAGAAGAAAAATCAATCAATAGAAACAGACCCACAAATGGTGAAACTAGCAGACAAGGAAAGTAAAACAGCTATTACAAATATACTACGTTTTTCAGTTAGGTAGAGAAAAATATGACCATGATAAGAAGAAAAATAGAAGATAGAAAAAAGAAGCAAATGGAAATTCTAGAGATTAAAAAATACAGTGTATTAAATGAAAAATGACAGATTTGACACTGCAGAAGAAAAAGACCAATGACCCTGAACACCCTAGCAATATAAACTATCCAAAATGAAGCACTAAAAGAAAAGAGATTGGGAAAAAAAATCCATTGGTGACCTTTAGAACAATATCAAGCAGTCTAATATATGTGTAATTGGAGTCCCGAGGTGGGAAAAAAGGAGGAGCAGAAAGGCTATTCGAAAAAAAAAGACAAAATTTTTTTCAAATTTGGTGAAAACTATAAAACCACCAACGTAGGAAGCATAATGAACTCCAAGCTGAAGAAATCTAAAGGAAACCATTCCAAGGTACATCATAACCAAAATGCTGAAAATCATGATTAAAAACAAAAAATCTTAAAGGCAGGCAGGCATTTTATGCACAGAAAAGCAAAGATTAAACTGATAGCAAATTTTATGTCGGAAAGGCATGCAAGCCAGAAGAAAATAGAAAGACATCATTAAGGTACTGAAAGAAAAAGAAAAAAAAATCTGTCAATGTAGAATTTTTCTTTTTTTTTTTTCTTGAGACAGAGTTTTGCTCTTGTTGCCCAAGCTGGAGTACAATGGCATGATCTCGGCTCACTGCAACCTCCGTCTCTTGGGTTCAAGCGATTCTCCTGCCTCAACCTCCCGAGTAGCTGGGATTACAGGCATGCACCACCACACCCAGCTAATTTTTTTGTATTTTTAGAAAAGGGGTTTCACCATGTTAGCCAGGCTGGTCTTGAACTCTCGACCTCAGGTGATCCACCCGCCTCAGCCTCCCAAAGTGCTGGGATTACAGGCATGAGCCACTGTGCCTGGCCAAACTAGAATTTTTTACCGAGCAAAAAAATCTTTCAAATCTAAAGGTGAAATAAAACTGTTTAGACAACCAAAAACTAAAACAAGTTATCGCCTGCAGAGCTGTTCTACAAGAAATGGTCCAAGAAGTTCTGCAGGCAGAAAGAAATAATACCAGATGGAAATTTGGATCAACACAAAAGAATGAAAGAGCAGCAGAAATGGTAAATATGTGGGTAAATATAAAAGGCTTTCTTTTTTCTCATTTTGAATCTCGTTAGAAGAGTATTTGTGTTTTAATAAAAAGTAACAACAATGTACTGTGGAAGTTATAGCATGTGTACAAGTAACATGTATTAAAACAATAGCAAAAAAAAAAGGATGAGGGAAATAAGAGTATACTGTTGTAAACTTCTTACATTGTATAAAGTGGTATAATATTATTTGAAACATTTGACTGTGATGAGAGAAAGATGCATATATATAAACCTTGGAGTCACCACTTAAAACTATTAGGTTGGTGCAAAAGGTTGTGGCAAAAACCGCAATTACTTTCACACCAACCTAATACAACAAAGAGAAGATAAGCCAATACTGAAGATTAAAATGAAATTTTTTTAACTCATTTATTACAAAAGAATGCAAGGAAAGAGGGGAAAAAGGAACAAGGAACAAATGAGGAAATAAAAAAGAAATAGGAAGATGGTAGAGTTAAACCCATTTATATCAGTAACTTTATTAAATAGAAAGTCCTATGGCCAGGCACGGTGGCTCACGCCTCCCAGCACTTTGGGAGGCTGAGGCAGGTGGACCACCAGAGGTTAGGAGTTTGAGACCAGCCTGGCCAACGTGGTGAAACCCCATCTCTACTAAATAAACAAAAATTAGCTGGATGTGGTGGCAGGCACCTGTAATCACAGCTACCCGGGAGGCTGGGGCAGAAGAATCACTTGAACCCAGGAGGTGGAGGTTGCAGTGAGCTAAGATCGCACCACTGCACTCCAGCCTGGGTGACAGAGTAAGACTCCATCTCAAAAAAAAAAAAAAAAAAAAGTCTAAACAGCCCAAAAGGCAAAGAGTATCAGATGGGATCCATCTGTATCTTTATCCACAAGAAACCAACTTTAAATATAAGGACACATATAGGTTAAAAGTGCAAGGATGTAAAAAATACACCATGTTAACACTAATTCAAAAAATTTATAAGAAGTAGATTTTCAGAAAAATCTCACACTTAGAGAATACACCACTCAACAACAGAAGAATACATATTCTTTTTAAGTTCACATGAAACATTCACCAAGATCATATCTGGGTACAAAATAAGTCTCAAACTTAATATGATTAAACTCAAGCAAAGTATGCTTGCTGACCACAATGAATTTAAACTAGAAGTCAATAACAAAGACATCTTTTAACTGAAAATCCCTCAAATGTTTGAAAATTAAACAATAGAGACGCCGGCCGAGACAGCGCAGACAGACCGACCGACTGGGGTGTTTCGTGAATGTGAGAGGTAAGCGCCGCGGCCTGCATTTCCAGAGCTGCCCTTCGCCTGGTTCGTGGCGCCTTGTGACCCCTGCCACCTGCAAGTCGGTAACCGCGCTGTGCTCCTGTGCTGCGGCCTGTGGCTGGACTGCCTGGGATGCCCTGCCTGCTGCTGCCCGACTGGCTGGCAAGATGAAGCTCTCCCTGGTGGCCGCGATGCTGCTGCTGCTGCTCAGCGCGGCGCGGGCCAAGGAGGAGGACATGGGCACGGTGGTCGCCATCCACCTGGGGACAACCTACCCCTGTGTCGGCGTGTTCAAGAACGGCCGCATGGAGATCATCGCCAACGATCAGGGCAACCGCATCATGCCGTCCTATGTGGCCTTCACTCCTGAAGGGGAATGTCTGATCGGCGATGCAGCTAAGAACCAGCTCACCTCCAACCCCAAGAACACGGTCTTTGACGCCAAGCGGCTCATCGGCCGCAGGTGGCACGACCCGTCTGTGCAGCAGGACATCGAGTTCCTGCCGTTCAAGGTGGTTGAAAAGAACACTAAATCATACATTCAAATTGATGTTGGAGGTGGGCAAACAAAGACATTTGCTCCTAAAGAAATTTCTGCAATGGTTCTCACTAAAATGAAAGAAAACGCTGAGGCTTATTTGGGAAAGGTTACCCATGCAGTTGTTACTGCACCAGCCTATTTCAATGATGCCCAATGCCAAGCAACCAAGGACGCTGGAACTATTGCTGACCTAAATGTTATGAGGATCATCAATAAGCCTACAGCAGCTGCTATTGCTTATGGCCTGGATAAGAGGGAGGGGGAGAAGAACATCCTGGTGTTTGACCTGGGTGGTGGAACCTTTGATGTGTCTCTTCTCACCATTGACAATGGTGTCTTCAAAGTTGTGGCCACTAATGGAGATACTTATCTGGGTGGAGAAGACTTTGACCAGCGTGTCATGGAACACTTCATCAAACTGTACAAAAAGAAGACTGGCAAAGATGTCAGGAAAGACAATAGAGCTGTGCAGAAACTCTGGCGCAAGGTAGAAAAGGCCAAACGGGCCCTGTCTTCTCAACATCAAGCAAGCAGTAATTGAAATTGAGTCCTTCTATGAAGGAGAAGACTTTTCTGAGACCCTGACTCAGGCCAAATTTGAAGAGCTCAACTGGATCTGTTCCAGTCTACTATGAAGCCTAGCCAGAGAAGTGTTGGAAAGTGTTGGAAGACTCTGATTTGAAGAAGTCTGACATTGATGAAACTGTTCTTGTTGGTGGCTTTACTCAAATTCCAAAGATTCAGCAACTGGTTAAAGAGTTCTTCAATGGCAAGGAACTATCCCGCGGCATAAGCCCATATGAAGCTGTAGCATATGGTGCTGCTGTCCAGGCTGGTGTGCTCTCTGGTGATCAAGATACAGGTGACTTGGTGCTGCTTGATATATGTCCCCTTACACTTGGTATTGAAACTGTGGGAGGTGTCATGACCAAACTGATTCCAAGGAACACAGTGGTGCCAACCAAGAAGTCTCAGATATTTTCTACAGCTTTTGATAATCAACCGTTACAATCAAGGTCTATGAAGGTAAACAACCCCTGACAAAAGACAATCATCTTCTGGGTACATTTGATCTGACTGGAATTCCTCCTGCTCCTTGTGGGGTCCCACAGATTGAAGTCACCTTTGAGATGGATGTGAGTGATATTCTTCAAGTGACAGCTAAAGACAAGGGTACAAGGTACAAAAATAAGATCACAATTACCAACGACCAGAATCACCTGACACCTGAAGATATTGAAAGGATGGTTAATGATGCTGAGAAGTTTGCTGAGGAAGACAAAAAGCTCAAGGAGTGCACTGATACTAGAAATGAGTTGGAAAGCTATGCCTATTCTCTAAAGAATCAGATTGGAGATAAAGAAAAGCTGGGAGGTAAACTTTCCTCTGAAGATAAGGAGACCATGGAAAAAACTGTAGAAGAAAAGACTGAATGGCTGGAAAGCCACCAAGATGCTGACACTGAAGACTTCAAAGCTAAGAAGAAGGAACTGGAAGAAATTGTTCAACCAATTATCAGCAAACTCTATGGAAGCGCAGGCCCTCCCCCAACTGGGGAAGAGGATACAGCAGAAAAAGATGAGTTGTAGACACTGATCTGCTAGTGCTGTAATATTGTAAATACTGGACTCAGGAACTTTCGTTAGGAAAAAATAGAGAGAACTTAAGTCTCAAATGTAATTGGAATCTTCACCTCAGAGTGGAGTTGAAAATGCTATAGCCCAAGCGGCTGTTTACTGCTTTTCATTAGCAGTTGCTCACATGTCTTTGGACGGGTCAGGAGAAGAAGAATTGGCCATCTTAAAAAGTGGGTAAAAAGCCTGGGTTAGGGTGTGTATTCACCTTCAAAATGTTCTATTTAACAATTGGGTCATGTGCATCTGGTGTAGGAAGTTTTTTCTACCATAAGTGACACCAATAAATGTTTGTTATTTACAAAAAGAAAAGAAAAGAAAAGAAAATTAAACAACAACACACTTCTAAATAACATATAGATCTAAAAAAACCATGACAGAAATTATAAATATTTTGAACCAAATGAAAACTAAACCACAACACATCAAAATGTGTGAAGTGTAGCTAAATCAATGCTTAGAAATTTATAGCATTAAATGTTTATATTAGAAAATCATAAAATTCTGAAATCAATTCTCTAGTGTTCACCTTAAGTAATTTAAAAAGGAAGAACAAGTTAAACCCAAAATAAGCAGAAAAGGTAAATAAGAACATAAATCAATAAAATAGAAAACAAAAATAGTGGAGTAAATCAATGAAACCAAAAGCTGACTCTTTGAAAAGATCCATAAAATCGATAAACCTTTAGTCAAACGGAAAGAAACAAAAGATAAAATACCAATTACCAATACCAAGAATTAAAGTGGGTACATCACTATAGATCCTGCAGATTCTAAAAGGACAGCAAGGGAATGATATGGTATGAATAATTTTATTCTAATAAGTTATATAAGCTAGATAAAATGGACACGTCTTGAAACCCACAGGCTACCAAAGCTCACTCAAGAAGAAACAGATAACCTGAATAGTCCTATATCTATTAAAGAAATGAACTCATAACTAAAAACCTTCCACAAACTCCAGTCCCAAATGGCTTCACTGCTAAATTCTAATGAACATTAAATGAAGAGATAATAACTATTCTGCACAAACTCTTCCAGAAAATAGAAGGAACATTTCCCAACTCATTTTATGAAATTAGCATTACCTTGATACCAAAACCAGATAAATAAATTAAGAGGAAAAAGACCCCACTGACCAATCCCTCTCATGAACATTAGATACAAACATCTTTAACAAGCAAGGGACTTGCTAGCTGTGTGGAATTCTGCTGACAGGGGTTACACGAGGATAGAGAGGTTATTTGAATTCAGCAACATGGAGCTCCAGTGTTCCTACCTTCCAGACTCAGGACCTCTCTGCCACCTGGACATTCCTGTGGTTCCTTCAAAACCTCTCAGGCCACATACCCCTGCTTACCAATTTCAGCCAGTTGGCCACTTCACTCAGCTCCTGTCTACCACAACCATCATTCAGGTCACAGCCTACCCTAAGGCTGTGGCAGATATTGATCAGTGCCTACCTCCAAATTAGAACCACAGACTTTCCTAAAATTTGATGATGGGGGTGCAGGACACGCGATTAGCATATTCTCAGGGTATGAAGATTGGCAGGTTCTCAGGCCACAGGGGTCAGGAAGCTAAAACTGAGACTGGCAGATTATTCTTGAGGATCCCTCTTGAGGTCCAGTGGTCCCTAAACAGCATGCAGGCAACCACTTTAATATCAATGATTGGCACAGTCCTTGGTGATAACAACACAGGAAAGGAAGCTGAGCAAGGCAGCCCAAAGCAACACCTTCTGGCTTCTCAATTCTGCCCCTGGACACAACAGACTCACACTATGTGCAGTCAGGCTAGAAGAGTCCTGGTGTCCCTTACTCACTGAGCCCCAGCCAAAAGCTGGGCCCATGCTGGACACTACAAAGAATACCAAGGTACTGCTTAGCACTCCGTCCTTCACAGAGTCCCTATCCTGGTTCCTTGAAGCCATCTTAAATGTATATATGATGTATGAATATATTGTTGTTTGCTTCTCTCTGAGCATGTGTGTCAGGTTAGGCCCTCCTAGAAGCAGATGCCGGAACAGAATCAGAAGCGCAAGGTATGAATTGCAGGAAATGTTTGTGAGAGTTAAAGGGCAGGGAGAATCTGCAATCTGCAATACCAACCTGATAGCTGTGAAAGGGGAGGGGGAAGGAAAGAGGATTGGACAGGAAGACCCTCAAACTGCAGTGCGGCTCTGAGGAGCCCCAGAGCACTGATTGCCCATTAGAGGAGTCCTGCATCAAGCAGAAAGTGGTCCAGTTCCATTACCCCCACAGTGCTTGGTGGTTGGCCAGGCACAGCCTAGGGAGAATGAGCCTCAGCTGAACATCTCAGAGATCCAAAAGTACAGCACCTGGAGGCTGTCAGCCACTCCCTGGTCCTTTTGAAAGGAAAGCTGGGCCAGGCGCAGAGGCTCGCGACTATAATCCCAGCACTTTGAGAGGCCAAAGCAGGTGGATTGCCCAAGCTCAGAAGTTCAAGACCAAGCTGGGCAACATGGCAAAACCCCATCTTTATAAAAAATACAAAAGTTAACCAGGCATGGTGGTGTGTGCCTGTAGTCCCAGCTACTCAGGGGGTTGAGGTGGGAGGATCACCTAAGCCTGCAGTGAAACTCGTTGGTGCCCCTGCACTCCAGCCTGGGCAACAGAGTGAGACCTTGTCTCTAAAAATAATAATAATAATGAAAGGAAAGCTGTGTGACCCATCTCCATGGCCAACATCACATTGACGATTTCATTATAAAAAAAAGGCTTTGTCCTCATAAGGTTTGTTAAATGGATAACAAAGGGATTAAAGAGTCAAAAGGATTACGAGTCTGAAATATTTGAGAATAAACTAGGAGAGACCAGGTCAGAACAAAGCTCTTACAACTCAAATAAGAATTAGGACACTTCTCTTTGTTTTCTTTTCTGTGGTGTTTGGTTTTATCAATTTATAGCTGATTAAAGTGAGTTGACTTTATTTACAGTGGTTTATGAGGAATGCTGCAGAGGTATTTTCCTGAAGTGAATTGTTCAGTCTTAAGATGCCAGTCTAAATCAATTCAGCCTTGATCAATGAAAACTCAGGCCCAGGCCCCATTTCAGTCTGAGGACAGTGGCTGGGGGCAGAGGAGAGGGAGAACTGTACTCAGCATAGCTCATGGCACTCATGCTTGGCTTCAGGCTTCCGTGAACTCATTATGGATCCTAAGGAGCTAAGTGTATGGTCAAGAGCCAGTCAAGTAAAACAAGCATTAGCAGCAGATTCCTCAGGAAACAAAGAAACAAGACTATGCAGCTCTGAAACTGAAATATGGAGGTGAGCAAGGAGGGGTTCAGTCTTGAGGAAAACATCATTCTGATGTAGGACATGGTCTAAATCCTCTTTGAATATCCAGCCACTAGAAGGTACACATAAGTTTTGTTGGATTAACAAGTGAATGTGAAAAATGGCAACCTACCCCACCCTCCCCCATTTCACTGGGGACCTTAGGGGAACAAAAGAGAAGTCACTCCCAGTCAAGAGGAACTAAGGACAACCTCCAGAGACCCAGCACCAAGAAACCAGTGTCAGAGGAGGAGAAAAGGCCAACACTAAACTGGGAGCCACCCAATGGGTCCAGGAGCTAGACTGAAGGAGTCATGGAGGCTGCCTGGAAGCAACAGAAGGTGCCAGCAAGATAAGCACCCCAGCAATCCTCAAAGATCACAAGGGGAAGGATTGAGAATAAGCCTACAGTGGAGTCTGAGACAGGAAGACACTGTTTTTATTATTATTATTATTATTATTATTATTATTATTATTATTATTCCTGCAGCTTTCCCTTACGCCTAAGCTGATGGGACTAGAAGAATCTTGGATTAGCACAGGTTGACAAATTATCCTCACAACAGTAGTGAGAAGTAGTGATTATCCCATTAAGGAGGCCAAGGTGAATGGCAGAAGGCATATCATGGAAGACACAAGGAGAGCTTTCCAAAGGAGGGAGTAGCCTGCTGGCCCACCATACGCCGGGGCAATAACTAACTCTCTAGGATCCAGAGCCCAAAGGGAATGGGATCAAGAGAACAGATGAAGACATGTTCAAGCCTTTTTGTCTGGGAGGGAAGGTGATAAAAGGCAAAGAGTTCAGAATTCATATCAGAAGCCTGGAATTTGAATCCAGGACCCCCTCTTCCTATTTCTGTGTGCAAGCCATTTAACCCCTCTGATTCTCAGTTTTCTGATATGTAAAACAGGGCACAAATGTTAACACCCATTTCAAAACCAGAAGTGGATATCAAATGCAATAGTGCCACGACAGGAGCTTCACAGGCCCACCTTATGCTATCCCCAGACCCCACCATTAGCTAGCACAGAACTCTGGGCACTGCTGGTACTCAAACTGTGCTGCTTGACAAGGCCTGATGAGAAAACGAACACACCCTGGGATCAGGCCTCAGAGGGGAGCTGACTTGAGGTCTATGTTCTCATACATTGACCAAGGCAGAGGCCAAAACCATCTCTCTAGAGCAGGTTTTCTCCTGGGGGTATCTTGTTCCCTCTTGGTGCAATACAAGAAAATAGGCCATGTGTTCACCACACCAACTGCAGACTGGCAAAGCAGGTATGAGATTAATGGCTTTTCTGTACAACAAAGGCCTTCCTGCACAGCAGCAGAATTCAATATGCAAACCCCGCCACCCTGGCTTCAGACCCACCCTCCCAGCTTGGTGGACAGCGGCAGCTCGAACCCCATAATATATGCACGCTCCGGCTGCTGGGCCCAAGTTATTATTCATTACAGTTTTCTATTACCCAGTGATAAATGATGCCCCCAGGCTGGCGTTGCCCCCAGAATGCTTATTACGGCTCACTTAAGTAGGCGTTGATTTAGCTTAAATCGGTTGTTCTGTTCAGCCCAGACACGGGCCTGCCCCAGCTCTGCCTGGAAGACTCTCTTCACCAGGGTGTAATTGAATTCTAACTACTCCTGGCCTCTTATTAGGAAGGGGTGGGATAGGAGGCCCCATGTAGGGCCACAGGATGGTCCAAGCCCCAGTGGTCTCTCCAGCCCTGTAGAATCCTAATTTAATAAGGGTCTTCCCTTTGACTCTAGCCAATAAATTTGACAAGCAACTCCAATTAGGCCTGGACGGACTTTCCTCACAGGAAAAATGATGAAATCTCAGGTAGAAGCAACTCAAGGGGTGCCAATATGACTGTTCTTAGGTCTTGCCTCTGGATCAGGCCACTCAAGTCATGGTATCTAGTTGCTGTCCAGATCCATTCATCAAATTATTTGCCACTGACAGAGCCAGGCTTGTCATCCATAAAAATCCAACACAGCTGATGTCCCTGGAAAGAGAATGGCCACACTGGAGACATTATGGCTACAAAAACTAGGACCTTCACCATGCATTCATGCAGCAGAGACTGACTGAGCACATAGTACGTGCCAGGTGCTGGTCACAAATAATTAACAAAGCAGCCAGTACTCTCTGCCAGTGTGGAGTTCACATTCTAGAGTTTACTTATTGTCGATTATGTGCCAGACATTGTTTTAAGGGCTTACCAAATTTAACTGTCATCATAACCCCATCCTGTTTTATAGAAAAAAAAATAAACTGAATCTTAGAAACACTCAGTGTTTTACCAAAGGTCACTCAATGATTAAGGGTTAATAAGTGACAGAGTAGATTTGAACACAAGCTTATAACCACAAGTTGCACTTCTTGTTTATGTTGTTATACATTATTACACCATTGTATTTGCCTAGCACATTAGAAGTTACAATGTACTTTTTCATATTCATTAATAATCCCTACTACAACCTCCTGGGCAGTAGGTATTAATTTTAATATCTCACAGCTGTGATGATTAAGAACATGGGATCATGATCATCTGGGCCTAGATAAGAATCTTTGCTCTGCCTCTTACTAGCAATGTGACTTTGGGAAAGTTCTTTATCTACTCTGAGCCTCCCTTTCTTTGAAATAAAAATAATAATACTACCTCAAAGACTGTGAGAATTCAATTAGAAATGGTATGTATTGCACTTAGAGTGACTTGTGTGTAATACATTTTGGTCTTGAGACCTTGGCAGGAAGGGGGCAATGCCAGGGATCAACTATTCTGGGTGGGAAATAAGAAAGTATCTTTAATATGAAGACAGTCCAGGAGGGTAGCAACAGAAGCCAGATCAAAGTTCTGGAAAAACCTAGTGATTTGGGGAAAGAGAATTTCTTCAGGGACAAGGTCTGAGGCTCAGAAACATAAAGGGCATAGGAAGTCTTTGGATCATTTTGTATCTTCTGCTACCATTTCCTTTTCTTTCTCCCTTAGTAAAGTTTTGGTTTTTTTTGTTTTTGTTTTTGTTTTTTATCTCAGCTCATTGCAACCTCCACCTCCTGGATTCAAGCGATTCTCCTGCCTCAGCTTCCTGAGTAGCTGGGACTACAGGCATGCGCCACCATGCCCAGCTAATTTTTGTATTTTTAGTAGAGACAGGGTTTCACCATGTTGGCCAGGCTGTTCTCAAACTCCTGACCTCAGGTGATCCACCCACCTCAGCCTCCCAAAGTGCTAGGATTACAGTCGGTAAAGTTCTTAGTAAAGGAAAAGCCCATCTGTCTCAGCTGGGAACCCAAGGGAAGGAATGATCATGAAACAATAATAACAAGGGCTAGCATTATCAAGCACTAAGAAGCACACTCAAGCCAACTCTGCACTATGTGTTTGATACATCTCAATTCATTTAACTTCACCACAAACCTCTGAAGCAGGAATTATCCTTCTCATCCACTTTACAGATAAGGAAACTGAGGCTCAAAAAAGATGAAAGAATCTGCCCAAATAATTTAGCCACAATTAGTAAGTAGCTACAACAGGATTCAAACCAGAGAGGAGCATAGGTCCCAGCCCCACTCAGTGAGGAATGGTCAACAACCTCACACCTGATGGCAATCAGAGGCAGTTTTCATAAACCCATTTCCTTCACCTTGTTCTTAACTATTCAAGGAGCTTGCACGCTGAGGAAGAACTGAGAACAGCTGAAAGCGAGAAACAACACAGCCCAAACTAGCCTGGAAGGCAGTCAAAACCCACAGAGCAAGCATCAACTAACTGGGCAGATTAAAAAATGTTCCAAACCATCCATCACATCCTTAGTGTCATCTCTCACCTGTTGTTTTTGTTTGTAATCAAAAAGAGGGGGTTTTACTACCTGAAGATGCTTTATCCAGCTTTTTGCATCCCTGAGCTTCTGAACTTGCTCCTCAGCTCTTGGCTACAACAATCGAAGCGTGGGAGACACAGCAATGCGTGGAGCAGGGATGCCTCCAGCGGAAAAGGAGGTCTGAGTGCTTATGTTACCCGGAAAGCTAGGTTAGCCCCCTGGTAGGCAGCATCTTCAGGACCCTAGGTCAGCCCCATGTTAGCAGTTCTCCAGCGTAACAGGACACATATGCAGGTGTCCACCGTCTCCACAACCCCAGGGTGTGAGCCACATGCTGCCCTGCGCCCCTGGCATTGATCTAAGGCCTGGAGGACATCTTCTTTAGACAAGGTCGCCTTTGGCTGCTAATAAAGTTCAGCTGTAGAATTATTCATCAGCTTTTTTTAAAAAAAATACATCATTTTCATAATAAAAATATATAACTATGTTACAGAAAATTTGAAAAATAGGGGAAAAAAGAAACAAAAACAAGCCATAATTCATTCATCCTGACACAATTGCTATTAGCATTCTTGGTGTGTTTCTTCTCCCCGAAGCTCTAGCTTTCACCTCATTGTAACCATGGCACACTCACAATTGTATATCCAATTTTTTGTGGCCTAATATTATATCCTAAACTTTTTTTGGCATCATACACAACCTAAATAACTATGATTTTAATCCTGCCTAATATTCCATGGATTTTGGCCATAATTTACTTAGGTGTTCTATTAACGAGTATTTCACTATCATAAGTAATGCTGCAATGAACATCTTTGTATTTACTGTTTTCTTCCCCAATATTTGGGATTTTTCCTTAAGGTAAATTTTCAACATATATGCCATATTTGGGTCAAAGGGAGTGACTGGTTTTTTTGACTAAGCATCAATGCCGCAAGCATAGGAGAGTATCCGGTTCAATGCAACACTGTCAACATTGATGATCTCTTTTTATCCTCATTTCATAGCCTAATTTTAAAAAGACCTCTTTGTTGTTCTAATTTGCTTTTTTGTGGGTTCTTAGAGAAGGGAGTCAGTATCATCATTTTTAAGAGTTAAAAGCTTTGGATTTAGGCTGGAGTTGAAAATAAAATTCTGCTATTCCATGAGCTATGGTGCCTTACTTAATTCTCTCTAGCCCCATCCAGTCTTCTCATCTGTAAAGTGGGGATAATACCACCTACCTACAGGACTGGCATTAGAATTCCATGAAATCATTTATCTTAGTCCAATTCCTGGCAAATGATTAGCACCACATGTTTCTGGTTGTAGTTTATCAATAACTTTAAAGCATTAAGAAGTGTTATTACACAGTCAATAAACATTTATGGAGGTTCTGGGGATGCAAGAAAGAATAAACCATGGGTCTTGTCCTTGAAGAGGTCCCAGTCTGGGAGGGGATAAATAAGTAAGAATAAAACAAGTGCTTAGTGTTACAGTAAAACCCAGACTGAGGCCGGGCGCGGTGGCTCACGCCTGTAATCCCAGCACTTTGGGAGGCTGAGGCGGGCGGATCACGACGTCAGGAGATCGAGACCATCCTGGCTAACACGGTGAAACCCCGCCTCTACTTAAAATACAAAAAATTAGCCGGGCATGATGGCGGGCTCCTGTAGTCCCAGCTACTCGGGAGGCTGAGGCGGGAGAATGGCGTGAACCGAGGAGGCGGAGCTTGCAGTGAGCCGAGATTGCGCCACTGCACTCCAGCCTGGGCGACAGAGGGAGACTCCTTCTCAAAAAAAAAAAAAAACAAAAAACAAAAAAACAAACAAACAAACAAAAACTCAGAATGAGGTAATGCTGCCCAAGAGGTCCAAACTGAGGGAGCTCAGGGCAGAGCCAAACCACATCTGGGAATCAGGAGAGCAAAAAAAAACCATTATGGAAAATGCACATTATGGAGGAGGCCCATTCACCATGGGCATTGAAGAACGGGTTGTGTTCTGGTGGTAGACATATGGGGGAGGAGGACAGGGTAGCGGGAACAGCACAGGCAAACGTCCGGAAGTGGGAAGTTTCACTCAGAATGGATACGGGAAACAGCAACTTGTCCCACTGGGTTCATGAACTGTCAGTCTGGCCACACCGGGTGGCTGATCTGACTGCAGGATGAGCTTGCTTCACGGAACTCTCTGCTGGCTCCCCAGGCCTTCTCATTAAACTTAATACTCAAAATGTCAGGGTAGGTGGAGAGAGTGTTTAAATTATAAAGTTTCCCTCTTAGAGCATACTCTTAACACTCTTTGAGATTAAAAAAAAAAAAAAGATGCTAATAAAAATAAGACCACCTCCATCCAGAACCCCAGAATGCTAATCAGTGCCTTGTCAGATTGAAGAGCCCTAACACACTGTGGGGCAGGGGATGCTGTGCCTCGCCAGGAAATCTTACTTTGAGAATCTTTCTCAGGGTCTAGCTGTTTCCCATCCAAAGCCCCAATAGGGTGTTGTGGCTGGAAGCCATAGTCATGGCTTAGCTCCATGAGGGGAGTTTAGACAAAATTCATCCTCCAAGACCTAATGCCATGATTCGCTCCTCTGACAAGCCGTCTGCCATCCAGCCCTAATAGATGACTTCCCTGATTGCCATAGTCCTTCATTCTCTCACAGCCCCATCCACACTCATTTTCTGGTCAGCTGCAAACTTGTCTTATCTCCCATACTCACTTGCTAGATGGCAAATTCCTTGAGGGCAGGCATATGATCTGCTTGCCTTACCTTTGTTTCCTTCACTCCTGCTCAGAAATCCACTCCAAAGTACATGAAGCAAAAAGCAATTAAGCAAATGGGGATTTACCTGGATGCAGGTGAGCCCTGACCACTATGAGCAGGACCAAGATCAGGAACCCAAGCACTTAAGCATCCTTAAGCCTCTCTCCTCTCCTCTTTCCTCTCCTCCTTTTCCTCTTCCTCCTTTTCTCTCTTTGCCTCCCTATCCCCTCTCTCCCTTCCTCATACCCCTGCCCACTTCTATCTCCCATCTAGACATTCATTTTTCTTTCTCCTCTGCAGAACAACATCTTTGAGCCTGGAACAACCTCCCTACAAGATCTATTCAAGTCTGCAGTTTTGAGTGACCCAGCCTCACTCCAGTCTTGATTCCAAATTTCAGGGAGAAGAGAGAGAATCGAATTGACCCAGCTGGTGTCAGATGTCCACTTGGGTCCATGGGTATTTACAATAGCAAACATTTGTGGAGCCCTTCCTAAGTACAAGCTCTAAAAGCTTACGTGTATTAACTCATTTTAATCCTTACCAGCCTTTGAGGTAGGTGCTGCTAACAGCCTCATTTTACAGATAAGGTAAACACCATAACAAAACTCGGATTTGTGTGGCTAAATTGACACAGCTGGTAAGTGATGAAGCCAGGACATTGAACCCAGGGAGTCTGACTCCACAGCCCAGGTTTTTTGGTTTTGTTGTTTTTTGTTGTTTTTGTGTGTGTGTTTGTTAGTTTTTTTGAGACGGAGTCTTGCTCTGTCGCCAGGCTGGAATGCAATGGCGTGATCTTGGCTCAGGCTCACTGCAACCTCCACCTCCGGGTTCAAGCAATTCCCCTGCCTCAGCCTCCCAAGCAGCTGGGACTACAGGTACGCACCACCATGCCTGGTGAACTCTTTGTATTTTAGTAGAGACGGGGTTTCACCATGTTGGCCAAGATGGTCTCGATCTCCTAACCTCGTGATCCACCCGTCTAGGCCTCCCAAAGTGCTGGGATTACAGGCGTAAGCCACCACGCCCGGCACAGAGCCCAGGTTTTTAACATTATAGTATGTTGGTTTGGGACATTGTTTTTTTTCAGACAATAGACAGCCTAGTGGGGAAACAGGGCCGTGGTAGCCCATTCTCAGAAGTGGGCAGTTGTCAAAGAAACACTATCCTTAAAAGCCCTTTGCTTCTGCTCAAAGTGGTGGGTGGATGGGTGGGTGGATAGATGAATGGAAATTTAATGCCATCTCCTTGTTGCTCAGCTCATTTCACAGCAAAGTACTCTATCAGCTAAAAAACAACTCTAGAGTATCCTTGAAGTCAAAAGAGAAGAAGGGAGAGGAAGGCCAGGGCTTTGGGCTCTCTTATCTCAATGGCTTGAAGGTTTTGGTGTTGAAGGGATGAAAGCTGAAATTCCTAGGCAGGAAAAGATAACCCACTCCTCCTTTTATTCACTAAATTATCTCAGAAAGGATGGAAGCGAATGCTTAGAATGGAATGAATCAAAATGACCAAGCCATTAGGGAGAAGAGGAAGTGGAAGGATAGGGTTCTTGGAAGTTTCCAAGTGGGACAGAGACCAAATGGCACATGGTACCCATGATGAGGACTTGCTGTGATGGGGCAGGGGGAGAAGGTAATTAAATACTACTATCTGCCGCCTTCAGATCTACATGAAAAGACCCCTGTGGCCAAGCGTAGCACAAGGGCTGAGGGGTTCCCCACCTTCTAAACACGGTGACCGGCATGGACTCAGACCAGAGCGGACTGGGTAAGACCCTCCAGAATGTTTCTAGTACTCAGTAGTGGAGGGAAGGCAAGGAACAGAAACCCATTTGAAGACTTGATCTTGCCAGCTTAGAAAGATGGACACTCAGAAGAGGTGAATTCGGACTTACAGAATCAAAAAGACATGTGCTATCTCTTAACTCTAGCGTTGTCATCTAAGCGCCTCTTGTTGAAGTACCTCCTAAAGCCCAGTAAGCCAATGCTTGTCCCCGGATGGGCACAGGTTGTGTAAGTCACCTTTTCCCACCAGCATTCCCCGTGACACAGCTGTCTTTTCAGTCTCATATTGCTTTGCCTCCTGTATTAGTCAGGGTTCTCTAGAGGGACAGGACTAATAGGATAGATGTATATATGAATGGGAGGTTATTAAGGAGTATTGACTCACAAGGTGAAGTCCCACAATAGGCCGTCTGCAAGCTGAGGAGCAAAGAAGCCAGTCCAAGTCCCAAAACCTCAAAAGTAGGGAAGCCAACAGCACAGCCTTCATTCTGTGACTGAAGACCCAGGAGCCCCTGGCAAACCACTGGTGTAAGTACAAGAGTTCAAAAGCTGAAGAGTCTGATGTTCAAAGCTTGGAGTTTGATGTTCGAAGGCAGGAAGCATCCAGCACAGGAGAAAGATGGAGGCCAAAAGACTCAGCCAGCCTAGTCCTTCCACATTCCTCTGCCCGCTTTTATCCTAACCACGCTGGCAGCTGATTAGATGGTGCCCACCCAGATTGAGGGTGGGTCTGCGTCTCCCAGTTCACTGATCCGAATGTTAATCTCCTGTGGCAACACCCGCACAGACAAACCCAGGAACAATACTTTGCATCCTTCAATCCAATCAAGTTGACACTTGATATTAACCATCACACCTCCTATGTACCCTAAATACAGAATATATTGATCTACTGTTTAAAACCTTTCTGAGGAATTTATTGTCCTCAGAATAAATCTAAACTCTTTAGCCAGGCTGTAAGGTCCTTCATGTGATGTACCCTGCTGACCCCCAGCTTTATCTCTCCACACCCCTTACCCCCAAAGTCACACTGGCCTTCTTTCAGTTTTTTGAGCAAGTCTTCTTGTCTCAATATCTTCGGGCATGCTAGTCTCTCTGCCTGAATACTCTTCCTCCCAGCTACTTAGATATCTCTCTCACACACACACCCTGACCATCTCTTCCCATCCTTCAGATCTCAATCTCCCTAGAATGCCTCCTAGGACCACAACATTGGGTCTTAAAATCAATGTGCACATTGAAAGTGGTTGTGTTTCATTCCTCCTGCCCCCCAGTAAGTTTTCATATTAAATCAACAGTGTATTGTCTAATCAGTGTGCATGTTAGATTTTTAAAACTACAGTCATTGTTGAATGAATGAAATACAAGTCCTCTGCCCCTTCACCCACAGTGCATTCTTCTCTGCTTCTGAGGCCAGCCCACTCACTTCCTTGTCCTGAAATCATTCAGTCTGTCCCCTCTGCCTGCTCTGGCTTCTACTGTAGATCTACAGCCATACTCAGAAAACTCCAGACAGGTCTGCCTTCTTTACAAAGTAGAGGGGCGATGCTGCCTGCCATTTCATCATGGGGCCCCTCAGATCTCATGGGTTTAAGGTGCCAATGCCTTAACCCAGGTGAGAGTCTCTGATCCCCAACAATCTAAGCAGCCAAGCATGCGGTGGAGTTTCCTGCAGAAGAACCAAGTTGGTACTTTTTTCAATGTTCTAGACTGAATTATTATAGCCAGAGGGAGCCATTCATCAGCTCTGACACTGCAGGAAGCTTCCTAGGCAAACAGCTTTATTGCTGCGTGAGATTAACCCAGACTGTAGTAATTTGTAACAAAGATAAGAAAATTGCACTGGTCTCTCAGAAATAAATCTGAATTCCAGAGTGGACAAAGGGGACTTCAACTTGAAATCTGCTATTTCAGATATAATCAAATTTATAACAGCCCCTGAAGAGTATAAAAAGCCAAGGGCAGCTTCCTGTTGGAGGTGTCACTTCAGGACCCACCATTATGAAATCAATTTAGCTGGAATTCCTAACAAGCCAGGAGCCCAAGCCTCACCTAACTTTTATGGAAGACTATTTGGACTACTTGAGCGTCATTCCCTCATCTGTCTACCTTCACGATATGAGCAGATGTCATGGGGTAAGAAATGCAGGCTGGGATGTGAGGTCAGGCGACCTACCTCTTACCAGCTGTAAAATCTTGGAGAAACAGAGACGATAACGGAGGCCCCTCCCAGAGCTGTTGTGAGGATTAAATGAGATAAGAATGTGAGAGTGGAATACAGATGTCAGTTATTAATGAGAGTCTGGTAACCTGATAGACATGATGGGTTGAACTCTTACAGGTGCTCTGAGCAAGACTTCACTTTACCAGCTTGGCCTCATTTCACTCTCCCAATAATTGCACAGTCAGGGAACTGTAATTATGCCCATTTACAAATGAAGAAACAGAAGGCCAGAGAGGTCATGGAACCTACCCAAGGTCACACAGCCAGTAGGTGGCATAAAATGGCCAAGTGTTCTTGGCCACTATAGAGTGCTTTCTGCTATGCAGCAGTTGCTGTGCTAGACACAGGGATATAAAGGTGACACTCCTGTGGTACCAGACCTGGCAGAGCACACAGCCTGGCTGGAACGCACACCTATCAATAAGAACCTTTACTATATTAATAATAAGTGTAAAAAGTAAAGTAGAGGTTCCTCTTCAAAGACTTTCCTCCCCATTTAATGAGGAATAAATAGTAACTTCTTTTAGAAGCAAAATGTATTCAAAGACCTGTGCTAACAGTCTTAAATATCTGCCAGCCGTGATAAAGAAATCAATGTACTTTACGTTCTTAGCTCCCACAATTTAGCCTAAATATTTGCCCTGGCATGCTTATACTGGTCCAAGCAAACATTAGGTCGTAGCCTGTTCCTCTTCCTTATTTGAAGGTGTTTTTTTTTTACCTTTCCCAGCATTGCACAAGTTACTTCCTCCTTCCTTTGTTCTCCTCTGCCTTTGCCTCTCTTAAAAAGTTCAAGTTGCTAGCCAATCGGGACAAACACAGAATGTGAGGTCCTGTTCCAGCCAATGGAAACTGGACACAGCAGTAGGGTGGACGCGTCAGGTTATAAATTACCCTGTCTCCTTTGTTAGGGGTACTCTCATGGCAAAACTGCTGGCGAGTGTATCCTTTCTGCAGGAAGCAAAAATGGCCTTGCTGAGTAACATTAAATTTATGTTCAAGTGCCATTTCTTTAGGGCACCGGGGAACAAGCATTTCAAACATAAGTAATGCTTTGTAAGCACAGTTCTAGGAGCTTTATACAACTCTCATTTAGGACTTACACAACCAGAGAGAAAGATAGACACCATTATCACTGTACTGCATGGACAAGGAAACAGGCCCTGAGATCATACACTGGTAAGCAGTGGGGCCAGGAATCTAAACAAGGCTATATACTTATTTCTCTATTGCAGGAGTAGATGCTATAAGAGAAAGACTAGAAGGGTCATGGGAATCTGGGCTTGAAAAGGAGCCAAAACATCTCCCCAGAAGAAGTAACTCTTGAGCTGCTTATTTAAAAAGAAGTAGGAGTTTGTCCAGCAAACAAAGGGAAAATCAAGTGAAATCTCAGATTGTCCTGCAGCCCTAAAGGACTCTACCCTTGCTGTGCAGGGTGCCATCACAATTGTCCAGCCTGACCACACATACAGAAGGACAGCTGGCAATATTGAGCTGGCAGTGCTGGCGTTCATCTAGAAGACAGGGACCCATTTCACCATCTCTGCACGCCCAAGGCCCACACAGTGCTCAGTGCCATTCTGTAGACTTGAACTGAATCCAGAGGACCTTGGACCTAGAAAAGCTCTTGAAGACTGGGTCATCCAAGTTCCTAATTTTATGGGTAGGAAACTGAGTCCCAAAGAGGGAAAGAATGGTGAGACTTTTCAAATTCCATGTGTACATGGGTCCAGAGGGCCCCAAGGCAAAGGTGGCAGCAAGGAAGTAGCATGGAGCCAGGGGAGCTGTCTGGAACCGGATTTGGACTGGAGGCCAGAGTTAAGGTGGTCTCTGGAAGCAGAAATGGGTAGGAGGCAGCATAGCACGGAGGTTATAGCCAGATAGATCTCAGATTAATTGGGGTTCTGCCTCCTGCTGGCCACATAAGCTTGGACAAATTAACCGCTGTGGGTGTCAGTTTCCAAATTTGGAAAATGGAGGCAATATCCCCCCACCATAAGACTGTTGTGAAGATTAAGGGAAATTATGCATTTAAAAAACTCAACATAGTGCCTGGTGTACAGCGAGTGCTCAACAAGCAGTACTGATTACCAGGGTCACAGTTACACTTTAACCCATGTTAAAAGGTGAACCCACTTAGAAGTGAACAGGCTGCTCTTCTCCGCATGAAATTCCCCCTCTTTACCGGCCTCCATGTTCGCAGGGTCTCTGAAAAACAAAAATACACATTCTAGCATTTTGCAGGGAGCCACAGATGCTTCCCATTGATGCCTATTAAAAAGGGGATTGGTGAGGTTTGCTTCAGAAACTTTCATGGGAAAAGTTCCCCAAAATGCATCCAATCCAGAGGTGAGCACTGTACCTGGGTCACTCTGCCAGCAACTCCCTACAAAGCATTCACCTCCCTCAAATCTGTTCCTCCTTGAGGGTCCAGCAAGACGTCTCTTTTATACTTCACCCAGAAATAAAGTAAATATTTTTCAATGAAATTCAGCGATTAATTAAACACCGTCCCTCTTTAATAAGAACGTTGAACCAACAGCCGGCTGCATATTCCGACAAGAATATTTAAAGCAATTAAACTTTAGCTACTTTTAAAACAAATTCTTTTAAATGCTAATGACCATTGTTTTCACATTTGATAAGTAAAATTTTGTGTCGAGCAAGGTTAGATGATTGCAATGATTTAATTGTACTTCTCAAAGAAAGGAAAATGTTAAGAAAAAAGCTAAGATGGACCTCTTACCACATTCCTACCGCAAAATGTCCTGTAACAATAGAAGCGTGATTTGCTGAAATTAAAATGCTATTATGGTGAAATTAGGGCTTCAATATTTTTAGCAGCTTTAATAGGCCTTGCATTTTAAGGGACATCTGATAATAGATAATTACATTTCATCTTAAAGAAACTGAGTTGTTTTCTTAAGGAAAATACTTTTCTTTCTTCCAGAGAGGTTAAAGCCGAGCCATCATTAGAAGCAGCACCAAGCTCGAGGTTCCTGCTTCAGCTTGGGAAATAAAGATTAGCATATAAATAGCCTTCGGTGCCTGCTTGATTCCAGCTATTTTGCGTTTCAATGTGGCATCAGAATGCACTTAGCAAGAAATGTTCGAGAGGAGAAAGAGGTTTGTAATATGTCGCTTTTATAGAGGGGGGAACTTTAAGTATAAAAGATCATCCACTCCTCTGCGGGCTTGTTTTTTTTTCTTTTCTTTTCTTTTCTTTTTTTTTTTTCCTTTCAATGTCCCAATTACAGACTCCAAGGAGCCAACAGGCCCCCTAGAATGGAGCCTTAGTTTATGCTACAGCTCTTTCTCCAGACCAGGAAAATAAATCAAAATGGTGTACAGGAAATAAGATAAATAAGCGGACTTCCTCCCGGATTCAGCTGGAGTCCTTGGGGGGCACAGCCATGCCCTTTCTCCTCACCCCCACGCTACCCATCAGCAGCAGGGACGTGGGATGACTCCTCCAGGACCCATTTGCTGGAGCAATGAGGGACACTCCTGGCTTTCTGCCTGGAGGCCTGCTTCCCTCCTGGGAAATCGTGGAGACTGGGCATGGAGCCCGCGGTTCTTTCTGCCTCCCCTCCAGCCCCCACTCCCACCCCTACACACACACATACCACATTCACGCTGACTGGTTCAGGCTGAGTCTCCGGCTGTAGCAGGATGACTCGCAGACCTCACACTTTTTCTGCTTGGCACGGGGCAGAGGGCAGTTCTGAATGGTGCTACACGGCTGTTCTACGGGACCTTGTTTTTCCTGGGTGTGGCAGTGGTAAAGGGGTGTGGGCCAAACAGTGGTAGCCTCTAGTCTAGTTCCTGGGGTGGCTTGGGCCAATCCAGAGCCCTGGGTTCTAATCCAGACTCCCCTGAGAACTTGGAGACAAGTCCTGCCAGCTCTGAGCCTGAGTTCCTTCACTTGTAAAAAGAGAATTATAAACCCTGCCCTGCCCACTCATGAGGCTGTTATAAGAACCGAGGAATGGATGTGAAAGAACTTTGTAAGCTCCCTCCCATGTTAGCATCATGTGATTAGGACATTGCTGAGGTTTTTTTTCCTGGATTGTCCTTTTGTCCCAAGACCCCAGGTTTCCTTCTGTCCACCCTAGCACCTCATCTATGCTCCCTGGACTCTGCCTTCCCACCCAGAGTGAGAGGGTGAGGAATAGATAGTGTTTAGGAAATTAGCTAGGAGGTAACAGCTCTCAGCTATCACGGCAAATGCACCCACTTGGGTTGTCTGAAGATGACTGTGTGAAGACAAGGCTGGGGCTTAAGAGGTGGAGTACAAAGGGACCTGGGCGTCAAGTCCGAGCCCGTAGCACCCTGGACAGGTCATCCTGCTCTTGGAGCCTCTTTTCCCCCCTCAGATAGGAATGTTGATAATTTGAGGTGCCTTTCATGGCTATTCTAAGGCTCAACATAGAAAACAGGCCAGAACAGCTGGGCGCAGTGGCTCCTATCTGTAATCCCAGCACTTTGGGAGGCCGAGGCGGGCAGGTCACCTGAGGTCAGGAGTTAGAGACCAGAACATGGCAAAACCCCGTCTCTACTAAAAATACAAAAATTAGCCGGGCATGGTGGCACACGCATGTAATCCCGGCTACATGGGAGGCCAAGGCAGGAGAATCGCTTGAACCCAGGAGGCAGAAGTTGCAGTGAGCTGAGATCACGCCACTGCATTCCAGTCTGGGCAACAGAGTGAGACTCCGTCTCAAGAAAAAAAAGAAAGACAGAGAGAGAGAGAGAGGGAGGGAGGGAGGGAGGAAGGAAGGAAGAAAGAAAGAAAAAGAAAGAAAGAAAGAAAAAAGAAAGAAAGAAAGAGAAAGAAAGAAAGAAAGAAAGAAAGAAAGAAAGAAAGAAAGAAAGAAAGAAAAAAAGAAAACGGGCTAGAGAAGTGCGGGGCATTCATTTGCTTCTCATCCTTTTAGCCTGCATTCAGAGGGGGTAAGGACCAGGCTGGGGTTCCGGCAGCCAGTCCCCTCCCACCTCTCACCTGGCAGCAGCTTCCTGCTCCCAAACCCAGCAGGCTTTGCCACAGGAAAAGTGCCCTGGTGGGCTGGGGGCACTCCCTAGTCTCTGCAAGATTGGCCCTGACTCTGCAGGATCTCTTCGGGCTGCACCACATCCTGCAGATGCCACAGGCACTGTCTCTGTAGGAGGGTCACCACCGCTTCCACAGAAGCCCTGGTAATCCCAAGGATTCTAACCAGGCTGTGATGGGGATGCCGTGCCTGGCTCCTCCAGGGGAAAGGTGCTGATGCACAAAACCTTTGCTCCTTTTCCTGCTATGTCCCACAGCTTCAAACACAGTGCTGACAGAAGAACCACGTGAATTCTGGACTTCATGCATGAAGATTGTTTTCATCCCAAAAAGCTGTGTTTGGAACAAAGGTAGCTCCTTACAGGAAACCTGAGGGGGTTCTTTGGGTGACTTGGTGAGGCTCTGGCAAGGTGGATTGGAGGGCAGTGGGCTCAGACCAGGGTTCTGGGTCCTGGTCTGCTCTCTGCTGCTTGGGTGAATTGGTCCTTGGTCTTGGGTGAATTCTTCCCACTGTGCAGTGAAGTTAATCTATAATTAAGGGTTCTGCATCAGTCTCCAGGGATCATTCCTGCTCAAACTTCTGTTCTTCATATATTACTATTCTCCTGGGTTTCTTCTGGCCTGAGTACTTTTCACTCTAGCCAAGATGCTCAATATCATCTGTTTTGCTAATCCAGGCAACTATAGTAACAGTGTCCATGTACAGGGTCTTTTATTATGCCCATTTTATACAGTAGAAAATCAAGGCTCAGAGAAGTTGACTGACCCCAAATGGAGAGCCAAGACTCAACCTCAGGTTTTGACTCAGCTTCAGATCCCAAGCTTTTACTCATCACACACTGGCACTTTCCCAGGTGGCTGCCTTAGTCGAATACTGGCCCATTTACAATCAACATAGTTGTAGGACAATCTGTGTCTCTCGTGCTAAATTGTTTTCAAATTCTGATACACAGAAAACTAATTCCACTGAACATTAATAGGTTTTCCTTGGGAACAACAACAAAAATGTTTCATCATCAAATGAATTTGACCCTAAGTAAAACAAGTAAACAGTTTCTTTGTACCTGCAGGACTTCTCAGGGCCTTTAAGATGCCAGTAAGGTATGCCATTTACTCCTGACCTTTATCCATGGACCCTTTCCTCCTTCTTTTTTCTTGAGCAACCTGTGTTCTACTAACAGATTAGGCTTCTGCAACTTCACTACTAAAAGTGTGATTCCCAGACAAGCAGGATGCAGCATTGCCTGGCAGTTAGTCAGAAATGCAGACTCTCAGGCCCCACCCAGACCTGCTGAATCAGAGCCTGCACTTTAAGAAGATGTGCAGGTGGTTCACATTGAAATTTGAGAAGCACTGGCCTGTAGTAAACATATTGGGAAACATGGCTGATTCATCATGGACTGTGTCCGTGTACTAGCCATCAACCCGTAAAATCAAGCAGGGACAAAAGTATCAAGCATTATTTGGCATTACGTGGACCAAACAACTAGATTTGGAATTAAGTCGAGATGCTGTAACATCACATAGAAATAATCCAAGCTAGTTCCCACAATGGAAAGTTTCTTCCCATTCCTAGGGAGATGTAAAAATGGATGGAGATGAAGGGATGACCAATACCCTTTCCTACAGCCATTCCTAAAATGTAGACATGGAAAGTATTGCATACCTCTTCCTAAAATGTAGAGGTCTTTAAATTCTTAGAAAGAGTGCACCTCTGTTTCCCTGGATCCCCTCTCAATTACAGAAGTGGTCAAGGTTAGTGAGTGTCCCAGATATTTTCACCTGGGATGCTCTTGGGAAATGGCACATTGGCCCCTAACCTGGGAACTGAAAAGACAGCCTCAAGGGTACAGAAGCTTGTCTTAAGGTTTTAAAAATCACAGCTGAAATGACCCATTCATGCAAGATAAGACCTGTGCCTCAAGAAAAATGCCTTTGCTTTTGGCTGCAATTATTTCAATTCATGTGGTCACACTCTCTCAAGCTGACCTGACATTTCAAGCTGCAGCTTGATATATCTTTGCTCAACAAAAGATGGGAAACAAATTAGTTTTTACTTAATGACTTCAATGTTTTGGGGAGAAAAAATCTTTGAGTTTGTGTGCAGAGGTTCAGTAACTGGCCAGAAGACATACAGCTTGTAAGCGATGGTGTCTGACTTAGAACCCAGATCTGACTGACCCCCAAGTCAGGACTCTCTCTATTATGGAGGCAGTTCAAGGACACACACACATTTTGTCATCCTCTTCATATTACTTGTCCCTAAACCTCTCCTTTTATAATGCAAAGTACTTCTGCTAAACCCCATGTTCCTCCCCACCTTCCCATCCCTATTCTATCTTTGGTTTTAAAAACTTTCATTCATCTTTATTGAATTCCTTTTTTCAGGTGCTGCCAAATTTACCAGCTGGCCAAGATTTTTCCCCATTCTATATTGTCATGCATGCAAATCATTTTGCTAGTGCTCCCCACAAATAGGACGACTCTGCGTCCTTTAGTCAGGTACTGAGCTCCATAGTCCCCTCTGGAAATCAGGTAACTAGCAACCTGTCAATCAATTTGGATGCATCTCACAGACAAGGTACTCAAGATGGAACTCCTAATTCCTCCCCAAGTCTTCCCACCTGCAGCATGGTACCACCATCAATTCAGCTGGGGGAGGGAGGAATCTAATCCTCTGTATTCCTCGTCCCCCACATCTTATCTATCAGTAAGTTCTTTCCACTCAACCTCCAATAGAAGTGCTAAATCCACCACTTCTTGCCTTCACCACTGTCACCAGCAGTTCTAAATCACTATCGTCTCTCACCTGGACCCCTGCAAGTGTCCTAATTAGTCTTCCTGCAACTATTCATGCCCCTTCCAGCACCTGTTCCACAAGGCAGCCAGAGTAATCAGCCATTGGAAACAGCATCAGATCACACCACTCCCCTGCTTAAAACCCTTTTCTATCAGAATGCAAGTTCTGTAAGATTTGGAACCCAACTCTCATCTTCACCTCGTATCCCTAGTACCTACAGTACAACGGTGCCAGCACAAAGTAGGTACTCAGTAAATATTGCTTGCATGAATGAATCAAGTGATAACCTTAATTGCAAACATCCAAAATCTTCTATTATTTATAGAAAAGTGGCTCTATCTCTTTTCATTTTTATTCCAACATTGTAGTGGTTGTTCTCTAATTTCTGTGGAGATGTCAACATATGTAGACTCTAGGCAATTTATTTTTCCCCTTCCCTCCAGAAGTAAAGTAAAAGGAATATGTGACTCACACACACAGATGCATCTCACGCCAGTTGTGTTGCTTGAGAATAGATGGGAGATTATGCTGATTGAACTGGACAGTTTCCATTTTTATTATTTTAATTATAAACACAAACTATTGGGGGTAAAATCTTATGGAAATCTGCCTATCAATTTCACAATTAACATCTCATTTCAAGAGACCAATCAACTCAAATGAGGGCCAGTGACCTTAATCTTTCCCCAAATACAGTGTTTGATTCCTCTTATTAGTTGAAAATCTCCGAACTATGAAACATGTGGGTTAGACCGATGTTTGCTTCAACGATGCTATCAGCCACATTTCAGTAAGTCAAGGAATTTTTGTGACCTTTGCGTTACAGTTTGTATGGACAAAAGAAGGAAGGCTAAAGCTGTGCAAATCAAGTAGGAGAAATAACAAGGCCACTTAAGTAGGGTCTCTTTTTTTCATTTATTTTTCTAAGACTGTGGAAGGAAGTGTGATTTTAAGGCAACTTATTTTGCCACTGATTAGCTAAAATTAACCCAAGAAGAGAGTAAAGCCCAGAAGTGAAAGGCAGCTAATTTTAATCCTAAAGGTCTGTAAAAAATCCTATCAGAAAAATAAAATTCTCTTTGTGATATAGGAGAAAAAAAAACTTGGCTTTTAAAAAGAAATGCAACAGAAAAAGACAAATTTGACCTGGCAAACAATGCGTCTACTTAACATCAATACTCCTGCAAAGATTAGAACAAGACCATACACTCTGCAGGGTTAATCACTACTCCCAAAACACCAGAGGTTCCACCTAAGTAAACGCGGGACATGTACACACAGGTACCAACCAATCATTAGAACTAGACAGACCAATTACTAATAGCCTGTTAACAACCAGTTGGGCAATTTCACTTTGGAGTAGACTTGGGGCACACAAGATGCCAAAACTACCCCTGAAACATTTCAAGGTCAGCCAAGAAGCTGCCAGTCTTGTCTCTCTGACTGCATTGATTGATGTGCCTTGAGCAGCTCCATCCAAGCCTTTGCGGGGGTGAAGGATTTTTCTTCAACCTGCTCACATGGATGATTGGCTGTTTGGGATCTGTATGGCTAGAATTCTTAAGCTGCAAGAAATAGAAACCAACGTAAGCTAAGCTGAGGCAGCAAAGGGGAATTCATTAAAAGGATATAAGACTGTTTCTTGGAACTCAAGGGCACAAATGGCACCAGACCTCAAGAAAGAACTTGCTGCAGGTCTCTTTTCTGTTCCTTTCATCCATTTGCTTCTCAGTTCACAACAGAAAGAAATGGCCACCCCCTACTCCCAAGTCCCCATCTATTCTTTTCTACAGACCATCCCAGCCAGTCCTAGAATTTTTGAGTCTCAAATTTTGAGGAGAAAGAAACTGAATTGTCAAATTTGGATCAGGTATACCATACTATACCTTCAACCATGACCAAGTGGACTGTAACACAATGCAGACATGACTATAAGGGTTGGTGCACAAGGATGAGGAGGGAAATTCAGGAAGATTACCATGAGGTAGGCAGAATCTTCCAGAAAGTATCTAATAAAGGACTACATTATCACAACCAGAGCCAACTGAACTAGCCTAACACACAGAGCCGGGGTCAAGCCAAATGATTCCCATTGTACCTTTGGTCAGACCTTCTCCATAGGGCAAGAGGCCAGTACCCAGTAGAAACGAATAACCTGCAGCTGCTTCACAATGCTCTGGGAGAGGAGCCACAGCTATACTCTCTGAGAGCACCCTGTATTCTTCTTCATCCTGCTTATGACAGTTTGTAATCCTACATTTATTTTAAACTTGTTTAATGAGCATCTCTCTCCATCACTCAGTTTGAAGCTCTACAAACAAGGTCAGGTACCATATTGGTTTTACTTCCTGTCCTAGTCCATTTTTGCATTGCTATAAAGAAATATCTGGGACTGGGTAATTTATAAAGAAAAGAGGTTTAATTGGCTCATAGTTCTGCAGGCTGTACAGGAAGCATGATGCTGGCATCTTCTCGGCTTCTGGGGAGGCCTCAGGAAACTTATGATCATTGCATAAGGTGAAGGGAGAGGAGGCACGTAGGCACATTACATGGTGAAAGAAGGAATAAGAAAGAGAGCAGGGAGGTGCTACACATTTTTAAATGACCAGATCTCACAAGAACTTACTATCACAAGGACAGTACCAAGGGGAATGGTGCCAAACCATTCATGAAAAACTACCCCCATGATCCAATCACCTCCCACCAGGCCCCAACTCCAATACTGGGGATTACAGTTCAATATGAGTTTTGGGCAGGGACATAGATTCAAACCATATCACTTCCCTTCATCTTCCTGGCACCATGCCTGACACATACTGAATACTCATCAAAGAGTGAATAAAATGAATGGAGTGGAGGAGTCCAAGGAAGTTTTGCCAGATGATTTGGTACATGAGTTGAGTCTCAAAGGACAAACAGAGTCTTTTAGGAGAACAAGCTGGGAGAGCATCCCTGGCAGAGGGAATGACAGAGGGCCCAAAGGCACATAGTGCAAATACCACAGAAATGGTGAGGCAGCTTGCGGCAAGAGAGCTGGCCAGGAAGTAGAGGTGGAGGTCACCTCATCTTGCATAGAGACTGGAGGGCTCAGAGCTAGGAATGACGTGTCTAGATTGTAGACTAATCCATCTGATGGGAATGTGGGAGCTGGACTGGAGGCAGGAAGATGAGCTCGAAAGCTTATGTAATCATCCAAGAGAAAAAAGCAATGGTAGTGAGGATGGGGAGGAAAAGATTTTAAAAGTTAGTAAGGAAGTAGGATCAGCAGAAATTCAGGGAATACAATTTTGTCATTTGATGACCTAGTTATTTATGTACGTCTTATCGCCCATGCAAGACTGTGAGCTTCTGACTCAGTCTTCCTCATTCCTGTGATACCACGGCTGTTATGCAGTGCCCACCCAACACACAGCAAGTTTGTTGAGAAAATAAACTAATGAATGATTGAATCACTACCACCAACCAAAGTGGGGACAGCTGCCAGGATGGGGGGCCACACAGTGTCCTTTGAGGGTTTCATAGAAGTTTGCTGCTTGTATGTTTATCTTGCCTCCATAAAATGCTTAGAGGTGCTAAACTTCTTTTACAGTCCCCTCAACCCCCAACACAGGCCTGGACTCAGGGTAAAATGTCAGCCATACATCCCTGTTTAATGAGCTAGACTGGAGCAGACTGAAATGGAAATAGAAGGGGTCTCCTATTCTTTAGAAAGAACCTAATATGTAGACCCAAAGTGAGAGGAGAGACTGGTAGACCTTCCCCATTGTAGGTGTGGCAGGGATCCTCTGCCAGGGCTTCTGTGAAGATAACCTAACCTAACTGAGCTGCCCCTCATAGGCAAGCACTAGCAGAAGAGAGGATAAATCCCCTTCAATGGACCAAAAACACTGGAACCCCTTGGCAAAGACCAGAGTCCAAAAGCTTCAAAGAGCTGAGACTGAGCCTGAACAAATACCAGAAGCTTCTGACCTTAGGAAATGATGCAAGTGAATTAAGGGTGTTCCTAGCTCTGTTCTCAGTAACATGGTGAATGAATGAACAAGCGCATGAACAAACTAATAAGCAAATGTTTTCTACCTATTTATGATTTTTTTAAAAAAAGAGCTGACTGGAAATACATAATTTTTAATAAATAGAGATATTACGTTTTACCTAGGGGCCTCTATTATTATCTTGAAAACAGAGTTTGATTCAAACATTTGTTTCATTTCAAGAAAAGGTTCTATACAGAAATCATAAAGTAACCGGAGTGTGTTGTATAGCCTGATGGTCTCCCACACAGGGCAAGCCTGGCCTTTCAACTCTCACAGCAAACAACAATTTCACCTGCACATTCACCAGTGGCAGCTACCCAACGGGAGGCAAAAAAACCATGGGGGCGTAATTAGCCCACGATGATTTCAAGTATTTTGGTTGGCCTTAAAATTGTCGCTGTCCTATCAGTCAACATTTCCCCATAATTACCTCGATGGAAATTTTCTGTACACACAAACCAGTTTTACTGAATCACGCATTACGAAGAAGAAGGAAAAAAGGTGAATGCTGAATTTTGTAAAAAACAAAACTACACTGCAGGCCGGGCGCAGTGGCTCATGCCTGTAATCCCAGCACTTTGGGAGGCCGAGGTGGGCGGATCACGAGGTCTGGAGATCGAGACCATCCTGGCTAACACGGTGAAACCCCGTCTCTACTAAAAATACAAAAACAAAAAAATAGCCGGGCGTGGTGGCAGGCACCTGTAGTCCCAGCTACTCGGGACGCTGAGGTGGGAAAATGGCGTGAACCTGGGAGGCAGAGCTTGCAGTGAGCCGAGATTGCACCACTGCACTCCAGCCTGGGTGACAGAGCGCAAGACTCCGTCTCAAAAAAAAAAAAAAAAAAAAAACTACACTGCAAAAAAACCTGTACCAAAACCTATCTTGGTAGGTTTTCTTATATCTTTTTGGTTATGCATGTTTAACTTATAAATATTTTCTCATGTTACTAAAAACCTCTGCCCAAACACACTTTTAGCAGTTGCATAATATTCCTTCAAGTAGCTGAGCTGTGGCTTACTTAACCATTAGCCTCATTTTGGGCAATCAGACCTGTCTCCATATTGTTACATTATACACAGTGCTGTAAGGAATATCCCCTGTGCATAGAGTGGTTTCTATGTATCAAGTTAACCAGCTCGGAGGAACTCTGGGATGCGCAATTGAGAGGGATGATGCACACCTCTGTGTACATTTCCTAAAAGAAGACATTGCTTTTGTGCCCTGCACAGATTACAAGGCAGAACCAAGACTATGACTTCTGAGTGCCTTCCAGCTTGAAGAACCACACAGGCCAAAATTCCCCATGATTGGCAGCTTCAGAATCTCAGGACGGTATTAGGGCCCAGGTATTTGTATCTGAAGCTCTCCAGGGAAGGAAACACTGTGTCACATCCCACACACAGAAATACCCCCTCACAGGTGCACAGCCTACAAAGGAATCTGTGGACCAGAGCGCCTCATTGCAAACAGCTGAAGCTAATTGTAGCTGGCATAAGCAGCAAAGGCAAGATGATCCTTCAGCTCACAGCACCGAGGGGAGAACCCAGCTCCAAAGCAGGTAGAAACTCGGGAAGTCAGGAGGGGTCTGGGTAGGATACCACCTCCAGCTGCTGGCTCCACAGCCACTGGGAGGAATTCTAATACGCCCCCTACTCTGCGTGTCACTCAGCCAAGAGCCACTGCACAGGGTAAGAGCAGCTGATTGGCTGAGCATCACCACATGTCCATGCATACGAGTACCTGACCCCATTCCATTTCTGTATGAGAGGCAGAGCTTTCACTCCTACCTACTCCCCACATAAAAAGAGTATTTGGATACTAGGCAATCCCGGGAGACAAATATCTGCTGTGCACCTGTTTGGCCTCTATTACTTCATTCAACTTTCACAAGAACCCTAGGATGGTAGCAGAGCAGCAGTTATTCCCCGTCTTACCCATGAGGAAGTTGAGGCTCAGTGAGAGTAACTGACTGCCCAAACCAATGTCGGGGAAAAGAGGTAGACATGAGCCCTTTCTGCCTCTCAGAAGAACTGTTCATGGTCTAATCCTGTGAATTCTTGACAACAAATGTCTCTCATTTAAGCAATGAGTTATTGGAAGAGGATCAGCTATCACAATCGTTGGATACTGTACTTCATAAACTTACTGATCTGCGCATCATTTGTCTTATTTTTGTTGCTGTTAATACTTTTCGCCCCCAGAGAAAAGACTCTGAGCGGTGAGCTCATCTGTTCTGCCATTCAATGTATTAAATTAACACCTCAATGCGTGGACTAAAACTTAGAGGTGAAAAATCTAGTCCTTGCAGCCAAGACCGAATATCATTTATCTTAACCTTGCATATTAGGAGACTGTCTGAAAGGGCAACTTTGAAGTTCATGGAAACAAAGGTGTATGTTGCATCGTCTGGAGGACTAAATTTCAAAGAAAAAAGTTGGACCTGGTGAAATTTCACAATTTTGCTAAATCTCAGAGGCACCTTGCCTCTTTCTGCTTTGTCTTTTTCTGAGCTTTGGAAGCCGAATGGGAAGAGTCTAGGGTGGGGAGATCCAGGGGACCGCTCTGGAAGAGGTGACATTTGAGACAGATGGGCCTTGAGATGGAAAGTCACATGAGGCTATATGGAGAAAAAAGCATGTAGTAAGGTTGGTGCCCACAGGAGACAGAGGGAGCCCGTAGGAGGCAAGACGGGGTGAGGGGGACATTCCTGACTTGGCCTCTGGACAAAAGGATATTTTGACATGGACTAAAACCCAAGCCATTAATATGTCATCATTTTTATTATCAGCACAGTGGGTGGTGGGCATCCCTGCCCAATTCTTTTTTTTTTTTCATCAACTTTTATTTTAAGTTGTGAAGTATATGTGCAGGTTTGCTATATGGGTAAACATGTGCCATTGTGATTTGCCACACAGATCAACCCATCACCTAGGTATTAAGCCCAACATCCATTAGCTATTCTTCCTGATGCTCTCCGTCCCCCTCCCCCCTGACAGGCCCTAGCATGTGTTGTTCCCCCACATGTGTCCATGTGTTCTCATCCTTCAGCTCCCATTTATAAGTGGGAGAACATCCTGCCCAGTTCCCTTGAGTTTAGTGAGTTTAGTGAAACTGAGTGGTCATCCCTTGAGTTTAGTGAAACTGAGTGGTCAGAAATAAAGTGTGGATCCTAGATGTCTGTGGTTCGCATTATTTTATAACAAAATAACTGTATATAATTATATATTCTTACTCATATGTATATCTGTGTAGAAAAAAATCTAGGCTATAACCTACAGTATTGTCATCTCTAGGAGTAATAGGATAATAAAGGACATTCTACAAAATGTATAATTTTTGTAAGGTTTGAATTTTTTTCAATAAGCAAATATTTATTTTGTCTTCAGGAAAAACGAAGATAAATGACATCTTTAAATGATGGTTTTCTAATCCATATCACACTGATATGGCCACATTAAAACATCTCTTGCCACAAAAATGGCCACATCAACATGGCAGCATTCAAAAATCCTGCTTAGGGCCCCCAAAGGAGCTGAGTAACAAACATTCTGCCTCTTCCCACCCTCCCTCCAAGCTGTAGCCACTGGCCCATCCCACCGACCCATCCCAAATTCACTGGGACCCCAAGAACATGCCTTTTGGCAAATATTTAGAGTTGGAAGTTTTAAAACCCCAATGGATTAAATGGATCAGTGGATAAAGAAAAGAACATTTCCCAAGCTGTCATCAGGGGAGAAAGCCCATCCTCTGTGGCCACTTCACCATTTTCCAGGGACTCTGTAGAGAAATGTGTATAATATATAAATAATAGAATGCTGAGGTTGGGGGAAGCATCGGGGAGTTTCTAATGACCTGACCAGAAGATGAATGAGGGAAGAAATAAGGTGAATGTGAAGTGATCTAATTCTGGATGGTTATTAGAATTATGAGCAAACTGCCCGGGGCTTTTAAGTCAAGTCATATTGCTAGAGTTACTGTTTGGAGACGCACAACAGGAGAGGAGAAGCTTTGCATGCTCAGGCATCTCGGCTGAAATGTCAAGAATGTTGTCCAGTTTAGAAACTGACTTAATAACATTAGCATCTCCTGCCTGAGCCCGGCAGAGACCTTCGTGGTGCAAAATGTCAACACACCATTTCTCACACCTGGCCAAGGCATCTTTGTCCCCAAATCTCACAAGAGGTCTTTGCTGGCCAAAGGAGATGGCGAACCTCCTAAACATGTGTCAAGCCCCAGGTCTCCCCTCCAGGCCCCCCGTGAGGGGGTCCAGGGAAAAGGCCAGCTGTCTGAGCAAGTCAGGGGCCTGCCCTACCCTCCTCTGGCAGAGACAAAGAGGCCTGGGGATGTAGGGCGACTACCCGATCTACCTGTCAGCACAAGACCAACCTCCAGAGCCCAAGCTGTGGGCAAGAAGCTAAGACACAAAGGCCACAAAGAGGACCCCAGAGCCAGCAAGGACAGAACCACAGGTGCCAGGGACAAATGGGTAAACACATGTGGTGCCTCCTGTCCTAAGCACTGAATACAGCTATGAATAAAACCCCTCTGTCCCTGCCCTCCCAGACCTCACAGAATGCCAGGGGGGAGACTGACTCGATGCAAATCACCGCTAACAAACATATGTGATAACAGCTCCGAGGGAAAGAGAGGATGTTCTGAGAAGTCACAGCCAGCAGGCCCCATTCAGATTAGGAGTCTGCAAGACTCTGGGAAGTGACATTAGGCCAGAGCCTGCGGAATGGGGAAGAATCGAGTGTTGCAAGCCTAAGGAATGGCATGCGTCTAGGCCCTGGGCTGGAAAAGCCCTGCAGACAATCAGGGAGTGGAAAGGAAAGCAGCATGATTGCAGAGCTGTGAGCAAGGGCAAGAGCCACGCAGGCGGGGCCAGGGAGGCTGCACAGACAGCAGGCGGCAAGGGCCTGTGCTTTGGAGCGACCAGACTTGGTTTCAAATCCTGGCTCCACCACTTACTGTCTGATCTTCGGTGAGTGACTTGACCTCTCAGAGCCTATCTCTTCAAACACACAAAAGAAGAAATAGTAGGCCGGGCGCAGAGGCCCATGCCTGTAATCCCAGCACTTTGGGAGGCGGAGGCGGGTGGATCACCTGAGGTCATGAGTTCAAGACCAGCCTGGCCAACATGGTGAAACCCTGTCTCTACTAAAAATACAAAAATTAGCCGGGCATGGTGGCAGGCACCTGTATCCTCAGCTACTCAGGAGGCCGAGGCAGGAGAATTGCTGGAACCCTGGAGGCAGAGAATGCAGTGAGCCAAGATCCCACCACTGCACTCCAGCCTGGGCTACAGAATGAGACTCTGTCTCAAAAAAAAAAAAAAAAAGAAGGGATAGTAATCCTCTCCCTCTGTTACAGAGTCAATGCCAGGGTTAAGTGGTATCACACACACACACACAAAGTACTTTCTTGGCATAATAAAGGCTCATAGTAAATGTTAAATGGTTGAAAGTTAGTGTTGTTGAGAGCACCTGGTGGTCTGGGAGGGGCCACAATGATGTGGCTTGACCATTCTTCCCCCGGTGCCCCTGCCCTGGTGTAACTTTTCATTGCTAACTCTGACAGCCCTCACACAAGCCCTGTCTTTGATGGAAACTGTCACTTTAAGTTCTTCTGCAGCTGTCAGGGTCCCGTTCATTTCCTCTCCCTCTGCCTCACAGATGGGCCCACTGGGGCTCCCACTTCCACATCATCCCCATCTTGCTCCCAGGCACTGTGGCAGTCCTGGCTGGGATGGGTGTTTCAGGGCAGCCCCAACCCCTCTAGGAGCTGGAATGAAGCTGAAGCCCCCAGCCCTGGTCTCAGCTATCATCACTGGGCTCCACTGCCACTAAGAGTTCCAGGAGCAGGCCCCGGGACCCATGGAGCCCAGCCAGGCTGGCCCGGCTCTCAGGCCTCACAAACCTGACTCTTCCCTGACCGGGGACTCTAGAGTTTCCTGCCCCTGGCACTGTGATTACATCCTGTGGGCCTGGGCCTGTCCCCGGCTTAAATCATTCCTGCTTGCCTCCTGCCTAGGAGAGGCAGTCTTGCCCATGGGCCTCAGCACAGTCACATTTAGATAGAACTTCCAAGACCAACAGTCACCTATGGGAGTCCCAAGGGCCCCCATCACCTGCCTGCCTGCCAGCCAATCCACTGGGCCCTTTCAGGACCACAAGGGCCAGTGTCCTGTCAAACGTGCCACACTTTGGACCCAGGGCTTTGGGTCCACCCTAGGTACTCAGCCTGGCCCTAGTTGCCTCATCACTAGCTATGCCTTTGCCCACGTGCAATCCCCACAAGTCATCCTTGAGCCCAGTTGAGTTAGAAGAACACAATGGATTTCTCCACTGCCATCCTCCCATTCTCCCAGCTCTCTACGCAAATCTAAGTCTCACCCTCCAAAGTACATCACTGTTAAAACATAATCCCAAAATGTAGAATAGACTCCTGGGAAAAAGCCTTTAAAATGATAGGCATTTTTTGGTAGCTAAATTTGTGGAGCATTTGCTATTCATCAGCTACAGCTTAAATGGTTTACACGCATCATTTCAGTGAATTTTTTTTTAAATCTCTGAAGTAGACATCACTGTTATCCTCTATTATTCTCATTTTATGGATGAGGAATCTGCAACTCAGAGATGTCAAGTAACTTTCTCAAGATCACACAGCTAATAAGTGGGAAGATGAGATTCAGTAATCCCAGAGCTGTCTGACTTCAAATGAGCATGCTTGACCACTACACCACACTGCCCTCCCATCATCAGAGACACCAGACATCACCCCAGAGATGATGCCATTTGACCCATTTTTGTATAGCTGAGAAAACTGAGGCTCAGAGAGAGAACTGGGCTTGTTGAGGTCACACAGTGAACTAGAGGCAATGCCTAGGGGTTTCCAGGCTCACTAGCTTAGGGCTTCATCTTCCCCATCAATTACTACAACGCTTGCAAGGTAAGGAAAGAATATGCGGCCAACGACAGCGACCCCCAGTCTCTGGAGGATTATCCTGAGACTTTGGACAGAGTAACTGTTGTCCAACGCTATGCTGAGTTAAGAAAAGTGTTCAACTCTGGCTGCTCGGTAATACCCTGGGACGAGAGGGACATGACACAGTTTCTGCTTCCCGTCCATATCTCATGTTGAAATGGAATCCCCAAGGTTGGAGGTGGAGCCTGGTGGGAGGTTTGGATCACAGGGCTAGATCCCTCATGAAGGGCTTGGTGCCCTCCCCATGGTAATAAGTGAGTTCTCTCTCTCTGTTAGCTGGTTGCTTAAAAAGCCCGGAGCCTCCCCTGTCTCTTTCTTGTGCCTGCTCTTGCCATGTGACCTGCCTGCTCCCCTTCACCTTCCATCATGACTGGAAGTTCCTTGAGGCTTACAATCATCGGAAGCAGATGCCACTGTGCTTTCTGTACAGCCTGCAGAACCATAAGCCAATTAAACCTCTCTTCTTTATAAATTACCCAGTCTCAGGTATTTCACTCTAGCAGCACAAGAATAGACTAACACAGGACATTACTTCAGGAACGCTCCTGCACTGAAAGTCCAGCGGTGACCCACGAGAGGGTCACAAAGGCTGCAGTGGACTCCGAAAAGCTGCCGCGTGTCCTGTCGTGGGGCCCGGCTGGATCTGGAAGCCTGCCACTCTTGCTCTCCAGCTTTCCGAACCCAGGTCTTTCCTCTCTCACTCCATTTTTGAAGCCCAGGATTTGAAGTCCACTATGGCCTGAACATGTTCTCCGGAGGTGGGGCCTTTAGAATGTGCTGACTTTCGAGGTCATGAGGGCAGAGGTGAATGGAAATAATGCTCTTCCAAAAGGGCTGGAGGGAACTAGGCCCTTCCACCCTTCCATCTTCCACCCTCAGGCCATGTGTGGACATAGTGTCTCTCCACTCCAGAGGATTCAGTAACAAGGCGCCATCTTGGAAGCAGAAAGAGCCAGCCCTCCCCCGGACACCAAATCTACCAGCACCTTTATCTTGGACTTCCCAGCCTCCTGAACTGTGAGGAATAAATTCCTGTGGTTTGTAAATTATCTGTCTGTGGTATTTTGTTATAGCAGCCCAAACTGACTAAGACAGAGCCCAGAGGCCTATATTTGGGTCCATACAAGTGATGGCAATAAATGGCTCCTTCCCCCAGAGCCCCCTTTTCAAGAAATGGCCACACTCATAGCCCAGAAGGGCCATGTGTCCTGCACCACATCCATAGCTGACTGGCCACTGTTGGACACCTGACCCCAGCTGGGCCAATGAGATTATCTTCTCCTGTGATCTTGACATGAGCCTGTGGTGGTTCACCCTGGGGCATGGAGCTATGAGGTCAGGACACTCAAATGGTGGGGCTGATGCTCCCACCATTTTTTTTTCTTGTTTTTAGACGGAGTTTCACTCTTGTTGCCCAGGCTGGAGTCCAGTGGCGCAATCTCGGCTCACTGCAACGTCTGCCTCCTGAGTCCAAGAGATTCTCCTGCCTCAGCCTCTCAGGTAGCTGGGATTACAGGCGGCCGCCACCACGCCCAGCTAGTTTTTTATATTTTTAGTAGAGATAGGGTTTCACCATGTTGGCCAGGCTGGTCTTGAACTCATGACCTCAGGTGATCCACCTGCCTTGGCCTCCTACAGTTCTGGGATTACAGGTGTGAGCCACCATGCACAGCCCTCCCACCATTTTTCAAAGGATCACAATGTGAACAGAAGTCAGGCAAGAGAGAAAGAGGAGAATGAAGAAGTCCTGAGTAGATGGGAGGTCGTGAGGCCCCTCTCCTGGGGTGACGCTTGTCAGGACAACTGTATTCAAAAGCGACAGGCAATGCCTCGTACCCTTTCCGGTTCCCAGCACCCATGACCACTGTGGACATGCCTTCAATTCCAGGGTCGCTGCCTCTCACTTCCAAACCGTGCAACCATTAAAGCAAACATTCCTCCCACACCTCTAGTCACAAGCAGATAGGGTGAGTCACTTAGGTCATGATCCTCCCCACTGCATACACACACTTTCTTACCTGGCCAGACAGACAGCCTTCCTGGGACTTGGCAGTAAGGTCTTCTCGAGGTATCTGAGCCATTCTAGCCTGCTGGCTCACATTGGCCCAAGGAACAGCAGTTGTAATAGGCATTTTCAGCTTCTTAGAACCTTTTCTTTTCCAAAGCAAATCCATCCCCACTGGTGGGGACTGTCGATCATATGGCCCTACCTCCCCAGCCCAAGTTGGCCAATCAAAATACCCCAATGGTACTGGACTCAGAGTGATTGGCCAAGGCATGGGCACATGACCCAAGCTGGCAGACTGTCCCAATGGCTCCAGACACAACCACGTGTTGATCCAGAACTGATATCTCCAAGGTGCAGATGAAAACAGTAAGTTGAGGAAGAAAGTTTCTCTGTCTGACATTAGCTTTGCCCAGAGTGTCTCTGAGTGCAAATCTAACATAGTCATTTTCCTAGTGCTGATGACATTCACTGGGGCCATGAATTAGTCAGGACAGGCTACACTAGGCTGCAGGAAAAACTAAACCATGAAATCTCAGAGGCTTAACACAATAAAGGTTTACTTCTTAGAAAAAGTCAGATGTGAGTCAGGCTGGCCCCCTCTGTCTTGAATATTTGGCTCCTCTCAAAGTCTATTGGCCTGAACTAGTAATGTTACCCCAACCCAACCACAAGAGATACTGGGAAACATAAGAGTGTGTGTAGATACTGGGTGAGTATCAACTGCCATAAGTCGAATGATATTTTTTTTAAATCTCTAAATATTATTTGAGCCAGAGTTCTTACTTTCTCTGAGTTTTCTCTAGGGCCCCAAAGAGCCATGGCTTTTGGAGGGAAGCCCAGAACCCAGGAGAATAAGAACCATTTTCTTCATCCCGCCCTAAAGCTGTCCTGCCTGACAGAGCCCTCCAGACAAACCCCAGCTGGGCACCAAAGTTGTCCCACACTGAAACACCCCAGGATAGACAACCAGACCTCGGGCCTCCTCCTGCCCCCTGTCTGGGAGCCCTGGGGATTGGGCTGCAGAATTACACCAAACCATCTAGGCTGAAAACTCTGAAAAATGCTTCCTGAGCAATTAGGCCAACGCAAACAAAGTGGCCCAGAAAATCAAGGCTCCCACAAGCGCAGGGACTTGATCTTGAAGGAAAACAACATTTCCAGCCTTGTACCTCTTAATCAATGCAATTATGCAAGAGGCCTTTGCCGATAGTCCCCCTGCTAGTCTCTACCCAACCCCAGATATTGCTCAGTTGGTAAGAGCCTAATTAGAGGAAGGAGAGCAGGGAGGGTGGGGGCATCGTGTGGCTCCTTTTCAGGAGGCTGCCGTGCACCTTCAAAGGAGCCATTCCCCGCAAGTGGAGGGCTCTCCAGAGCCCGGAGCTCAAGGTGAGGGAAAAATGGCAGCTCCAAGCTTGTAAATCAGCACCACCTAATGTAAACAATGTACTCTTCCTGCTTCTAATGAGCCCATTTTCCCCCAGCTGGAAGGGGCTGGCCGTGGCAGAGAGGCCTTTGATGTGATTCACTGGAAGCTTGATGCTGGCGCGGAGGCATTCTGTAGCAGGCTGAGCCCTTTCATCTCAGCAAAGAGCGACAACTCCCTAATATCACCGGCTCACCTGGAAGACAGGTCTTTTACAACAATGATTCTGGACTCAGCTGTCGAAGAAAAACGGATGGTTTTGCTTTTACTCATCTTGATCAAATTAGCCCGGAAGCTGTCTGGCTTCTCGGAGGTGGAGAGGGGTGGGTGCGGGTGGGGCAGGTGCAGAGAGGCTGGGGAGACCACAATGGAATAGATTATGCGAACGTATTCATTTGTATAAACACAAACTTTCTTGAGGAAATCATCTGACTAAATTAGGAAAAATTGTTTATGATCCATGGGCAGAGTTAGACCAAACACCCCCAAAATAATCTGCGCTGTTTTCCCCAGTCATTGACAAGAATGCAGTTTTCTCTTAGGTGAAGACTTCAGGATGGGAGGGGCAGAAGGTGGGAGCAGACGAGACCCCTCCCCAAGATGACCCAGAAAACATAGCAGCCACCACAAGGACTGAGGTGGAGGTGCCATGGAACAGCCTGAGGCTTCCTGGCTTTCCCAGCCTCTGCGGAAGAAAGCAGCCTTCCATTTCTGCTTCCACCTCCCCTCTGCTTGAGCCGCAGTTATCAGTGCCACGATTCAGATGGGAGAACTGAAGCCAGACAGGGAAAGGCTTTACTCTACGTCACATGATGGTGTGGGGGCAGATCTGAGACTGGAACCCAGGACTCCAACTCCTGGTCGATGGACTCCCACTAACCAGCTCCATATCCCCTAGGTGCTATGGGTTGGAGTCTATCCTTTGACCATCACAGGCTCCCAGAACACAATTTGTTTACAATATAGTTATTAAAGGAAGGGGTGTCATTCTAGTCCCCCCAGTACAGACACACACATATTGGGCTACAGCATCCACCATTGTAACAGCAAAAATTATCATAGCCCCTGCTGGGTACCAAGCACTGGGCCAGTCCATTGCAGGCACTACCTCATGCCATTCTCATGGTACGCCTATGTCATGGAAGTGTTATGACTCCCACTTTCCAGATGAGGGAAATAAGGCTCAAGGTGGCTGAGCTGTCTCTGCACACAGTCAGCAGAACACTTACAAAGAAACACACTCTGGAATTACCAATTGGCACCATGTCCACTTAGTTCAACCTTAATGGTAAATATGGCCTCTGAGAAGTCACATTAACCCTTCACTCTACAGGAAGACCTGGGGGACCCTAATGCAGTGAATGGGTCCCAGAATCCAATGAGGGTTTCTAGGCCCAACAATTCAGCCGGACCTGCAAACTGCAGGCCAAGGAGAGAATGCTTCAAAAGTGATCTCTAATTCCAGTTCCACAGTTAGCAGACCAGTCTCACCATAATCCACCTGAACTCAGGTGGCATTTCAGCTGCCCCAATCCTAGGCCACATGCCTATCATTTCTCACTGGAACCACTGCAACAGCCATCTAGCTTCTCTCCCTTCCTCCTATCACCACTCGCTTCATCTATTCTCCATGAGGCAACCAGAATAAGTTGTGTTGAATGAATACATATCTGCTCATCTGCCTGCTTAAAACCCTTTAACGTTCCTCATCATTTAAAAATATAATTGAACTCCTTCATATGACCCAACGTCCTCCATGATTGAGTCTCCCGCCTCTCTCATGCTGCCATATTGGATTTCTTCCAGTTGGTCTAAGCATGTCCCACTCTTTCATCTCTGGAACTTTGCACATGCTGTTCCTTCTTCCCAGAACACCCTTCCCAACTCGAATAACTTAGGTAATCCTTTAGGACTCAGCTTAAACATCACTACCCCTAAGAGATCTTCCCTTACCATCACCCACCCTCCCTGGGTCCCAGATGAGCTCCCTGTTTTACCTCATCATGGCACAGCACCTACATTTCCCTCGTGGAACCCGTATTACCCTTGTTGTTGACCTTTATATATGGATCTGTAGATCTATCCATCATCCTTGCTAGACTGTAAACCCCAAGAGGCCGGAGCCCATGTCTGTCTTGTTCTTCCCTGTATTGTATTCCTAACTCCAAAGAATCAGGAATATTTTATTTTAAAGAAGCCTAAAAGACTTAGGAATTAAGAATATTTTATTTTAAAATAAGCCTAATTAAGACACTTATGAATGTCTCATTCACAAGAGAGGTCAGTAAATACTTGACGAAGAAAGAAGGAAAAGAAGGAGAGGAGGAGTGAAGGGGGAGGTCTTTGTCCTGTAAGAGCTGTCAACCCTTTCCCTACTGAGCCAATGTGAAAACTGCCTTCAGTAACCCTAAGGAGGAATGGCATTTACAGAGCAGTCCACATGCCAGGCACTTTCCAGCAACTCATTCAATCCTCACAACTACGTTGTCAGGTAGAGCCCACCTTTAGCCCCATTTGAGGAATCTGAGAGTCAGAGGGCTGAAGTAATATGTCCATCTTCACACAGCTAGTAAGTGACAATGACGGGATTTGCATTCCGGTCTGAGTTCAGAGGCTGGACTTTTAACCAATACAGTACAGTGCTTCCTGGGAAGATCTAAAATGGTCATATATTGGCCGTAAGGATCTTCCATGTGCAAGATCAAGTTTGCTGTGAAATAAAATAAGCATGAAGTTGCATCTCCAAAGAGAATTATATGGAGGAGGAAAAGTTTAATCTTGAAACCTTTAAAATATATTTTCATAAAGCCCCAATCAGTCACTCTTAAAGAAGCTGAGCCTCACATATCACCTGATATCTGAGCCACTGAAGGAAAGTAAAATCTTCCCTTGACAAGTGTGTAAACTGGGAAGATAAGGAAGGTAAGAGACAAGTGTGACTTTCAAGACTGCCAAGAAGAGTAAGGGGAGAATGAAAATTTCACTCTAAAATGTTTGGGCCTCAGAGAGGGAAGTGCTTCCTCTCTCCACACCCAGGAGGCACGCACGAAGGAGTGGCAGCTCGGTCCCCTTGGCCAGGCCAAACCAGGGATCCCTGAACACAGAAGGAAAGTGTAGAAGTAAGTAATGGGCTCTAACTGTGGGGATATTTTCTGTTCTTTCTCAAAGATGCAAGCTCTCTTAGGGTACATAACAAGTCTGGGCATTCTCTATGGGTTAATTACCTGATGTCATTTCCCTTCTCCTTGACTTACAGATTCCCGATTTTGTTCCAGTATCAGCAGGTCACAAGCTCATACAACTGTATTTTGATTGGTCTAAGCCAATTGAGGTCATTCTACCCCTCTGGCCAATGATTGTTTAGGAATGGGCATAGGATGTGATTCTAGCCAATGAGCCAAGGGGGAGTCTGCTAGGAAACTTTTGGAATCTTTTAAGATCTTTGATCTTTGATCTTAAAGAGAGCTGTCTGGAGCTGCTGCAGCCATCTTGTGACCATGAGGGAAACAGTTGACATACAGAGGATGTTAGAGAGGAAAAGTGGAAACAACCTGAGTCCCTGATGAGCTCACTGGATCGTGAAAATAACTGACCCTGGAATTGTCCTAACTCCAGGTTTCTTATTATGTGAGCATTAAATTGTCATTTTGTCTAAACTTCTTTGAGTTGGGTCTTCTGTTTCTCATACCCAAAAGCACCCTAATTGATATGTACTGTGGAAAAAGCACTGATCTTGGAGTTCAAACAGATACAAGTTTAAATTCCAGTTCTGCAGTGTGATCTTAGGCAAGAAGCATCACCTCTCTGGGCCTTGCCTTTTTCATCTTTTGCTATCTGGAAGTGGAATTAAACTCATTTACATGACAAATATTTTTGGATAAGAATAATTTGAAAGCAATAAAGATGAATGGCATGATTCCTTCCCTGGGGTGGGAGCTCAGTTTGGTGAGAGAATTCTGATGCTTGCACAGATAATTATATTTCCTTTAGAATATGATGGCATTGATTATTATTTAATAGCTACATTATTATTTTTTGTACTACTGAATAAAAAATGTGCCAGGTAAAGTGGCTCACGCCTGTAACCTCAACACTTTGGGAGGCCAAGGCAGGTAAATCGCTTGAGTCCAGGAGTTCAAGACCAGGCTGGGCAACATGGTAAAACCCTGTCTCCACAGGCATGTGCCTGTGTTCCTAGCTACTCAGGAGGCTGAGGCAGGAGGATCACCTGAGCCTGGGAGTTCCAGCCTCACTGGGAGCCTGCAGTGAGCCATGATCATGCCACTGTACTCTAGCCCAGGCAACAGAGTGAGACCCTGCCTCAAAAAAAAAAAAAAAAAAGCCACAAATGAAACTAAGATACAATGCTTTTTATCATGGGTTTTTTATTTTATTCTTATCCAAAAAGCTCTATTTGACACAATTAAACATGGGCTTTTTATTTATCACATCATTCTTGGGCATTCACATTAAAAAATGATAAGCAAAATTAATGTCTTAAGGGCTCTAAAACTCCTTCACATTCTGAATCCAAGTCTTCAGATTAACTTTTATATTCGGAGAGGTTTATGGCTGGATTTTTTTTTTACCTAACATTGTCCTCTGTGACAAGAGCATGGTGATGCTACATTTCTTCAAAAAGGGCTTCATTACCATCTCTTGGGGTTTTCCTCCAAGCTGCTGACATGCATTTGCAAGTTTTGATTCTAGACTTTCCTGCTCTTCTGTTGACATCAGAGGGTACCAACAGAAAACTTTCAGACAAAAACCCAGGCTCATCTTCCTTCCTTGAATGGCCCTTAACTGGTTTGCGACTGAAACACTGAGGGGCTGCAGTTGTCTGGTCAAGGCACCAGAAATAACAATCCACTTCCAGCATGCATAGGCTGTGGTCACCTGTTACCTATCCAACAGTAATTATGGTAATGGCACACTTTGTAAAAGTGCACCCCAATTTCAGAGAAATGAACAGGCAAAAAATCTTAGAAGTGGCGAAATACAGTAGTTTGGTCATTGCACTTTAGTGTGGTCTGGGCTAACTAGAATTGCACAGTACTAGAAGCTATAGGAAGAATTGACTTCTGCAGCTTTGCAGTACAGGTGACCTTTGAGCAGGACCCTGACGCATAAAGAGGAATGCACCATAAAATCAGAAGATCGTGTTCTAGGTTGAGAGAAGAGCCTGTCCCTCACGTGGAAGAATGAACAATCAGGGCACATTTGGCAATAGTCAATACTTTACTGAGGCTTAAGCAGGAGGAAATTAACAAAATATGTGGCTTGAAGGGTGCTTCAGGAGATACATATGTTAGGCTGAGGATCTTAGACTTATCTATGGGCAATAGGAGCCACAGAAGGATAACAAGATAGTTACATGGTCAGATTTGCATCCCTAAATGATGCCTCTGGCTGAAGAGAAGACACAGGAAGCAGCAGAACTGTTAGGAGGTTGTTACATAATAAAGCTGGACCTGAGGCAGAGGTGAGGGTAGATAGTCTCTAGCTAACACCATCCACAGTTCCTCCCATATCTCTACACATGAGCTGCTCTTCACTTCAAGAGGTGAAGACTATTTTCCCTCCCCTTGAATCTGGGTGGACCTGGGGGCACCTTCACAGATTCTGAACATGATTTGCAGCTCTGCTCACCACCATTACTTTTCCCTCTCACCTGGGGTTCTAAGGTAGCCTGGTATTAGAAATGCCAAGAGCCCGGCCCACCACACCCTGCCAACCTACTTCAGTTATTAGAAAGCCTTTCTAACTGATACAGAGAGGGGAACTGGGGGCCAGGAGCCACAGTTTCTAGCCCAGGGGTTGTCGCCCACTGGCTGTGTGACTATGGGTAGATCATGTAACATGTCTGAGCTTCGATCTTACCTGTAAAGTAGGAATTGATGGCATTACCTACCTCACAGGCTGGTTGTGAGAATTAAACAAGATAAGGTATATGACAGTATTTTGACTTTTTTACCTGATATTTTTTTTCTTTCCCACTCCTCTTGGATCTACAATGAGGAAGTTTGTCTAAATATTCCTGTCTTCTTGCCTGGCTTTTTTCCCTCCTCACCCTGACAGGTGAGTTTAGGAGAAGAACTGCTGCACGCATCCCCGTCTCTCCCTCTCTTCCTCATCAGCATCTGCCAGCACAGGGAACACACATTCTGCTTTGCTGTCTGCCATACCAGGGACCCACAGTGCTCTAGGTTAGGCACAGGAGCCAGCTGATGGGTCCCTGGACATCGAGAAAGGGTAGAAAAGGGTGAACAGTATATTTGAGGGGCAAACAGTAAAGATCTGGTACATCCCCAGCAGGAGACTGGGCAAATAGACCATAAGATCCTCATACAATTGAATAACATTCTGCCATTAAAAATCATGCTAAGAAAAAATATTTAATGACATGAATTGCTTCTTTCAAAGAAAGGGTAGCAATAAAACATACAACATAATACAACTTTGCTTTAAAATATATAGACACACAGAAACAGCTTAAGAAGGTTATTTCTGGGTGGCACAACACTAGGTAATTTTTATTTTCTTCTTTTTGCCTCTCTAAATTTTCAAAAAATGATCTCACAGAACGCTGTTGGGATTTGAGCAGACCCAATAAATATACTTCTGATACGGTTTGGATAGTTGTCCCTCCCAAATTTTATGTTGAAATGTGATCCCCAGTGTTGGAGGTGGAGCCTAGTAGGGGTCTTTTGGATCATGGGGGCGGATCCCTCATTGGTGATGAATGGGTTCTCACTCTATTAATTCACACAAGAGCTAGTTGTTTAAAAGAGCCTGGCACCTCCTCCTCTCTCTCTCTCTCTCATTCCCTCCCTTGCCATGTGACCCACCTGCACCCCCTTCACCTTCCACTGCAAGTAAAAGCTTCCTGAGGCCTCACCAGAAGCTGAGAAGATGCTGGTGCCATGCTTGTAAAGACTGCAGAACCATGAGTCAAATAAACCTCTTTTCTTTATAAATTACCCAGTCTCAGGTATTTCTTTATACCAACATGAAACAGACTAATACACCTTCTTTTCCCCAATCCAGGCTCTGAACTAACTGAAGAAAATACAAAAGAGCAAGACAGGTAGAGATCAAAGTATCCATTTTATTACTGATACTAGCGGTATTGCAGACAGGGCTCAGCCATGCAGCAACGATGAGCTTCCTAAAATTGAACCCATGGTGGGGTAAGTGGCCTTACCATCAACATTATCAACAATAATCACATCACTACTTGTTAAACAGTTACAACATCTGAGAGACTGTGTTAGGGGTTCTGTATACACAGGCACATTTAATCCGTACAACAACCCCAAGAGGTATGTTTTATTATCTTTGTTTTTCCGATGAGGAAATTAGGCACACAAAGTTAAGTAATTTTTCCAAAGTCACATAGTGGCCAAGCTGGAATTCACACCCAAGCTGTACAACCACATAGTTCATGCTCTTCTCATTTGGAGGGACAGCCTTGAAGGGTGTATCTATGAACCTGCCTGGGAGAGGGAAAGAAAGGTCTGGTCATATTGCAAAGATTTGAAACAGGCTCAAAGGCAGCCATAAAGTTCTCCAAAACTGCTTGTGATTAGATCCATATTAATGGAACAGCCACTCAGACATTTTGTCCTGGTACGGAGCATGGCATAATGCGAAATCAATTGACCTTGGATTCAGACCATCTCAGATCCCATTAAATGGTCAAACAACCCCAGAAAAATCTTCCTTTCTAGACAGGCTTCAACTTCAACCGTGAAGTAAGTGTGTTGGGTGGGGTGATTTGGCAGGTCCCTTCCAGCTCTGATATGCTGAGATTCTTGGGGGCTCTGAGAACTCAAGGCGAGGCCGAGATGTGGTCCTGCTGGACCTGTGTGGAGAGAGGCTGGAGCCCACCCAGCAGAGAACACCCCCAACCCACAGGCAGTAGGTCTGGCTCAGAAAAGAGATTTGGTTCTGCAAACACTTGTGTCAGCCAGCAGGCAATGCCGGGCTTAGTTCTCACAGTCAGCTACATCCAAGGAAAAGCCAGACAAAGAAAAGTGAATGCATAGACAACCCTTTCCCTAAAATCTCTAGGAGGCCTGAGAGTGAAACCAGATCCACCCCACTCTGAGGACCACATAAGGAAGAGCGGCAGGCGTGGGTATGGAAGGAACTCTCCCCATTCCTTGTGGCAGGGGAAACAGGAGGCGCTGTCACTACCGTGGCCATAGCACAAGCAGAAGGGAATGGCAGGACACTACATATGAGTGGTGCCCCAGAATAGAAAGAATCTTTTGAACACTGCCCCATGGCCTTCCCTTCTGCCCCCAAAGGCTGCATATCATGAACACCTGTGACTTCCTGCCCAAAAGCCTCTCCCTAGCTGGAAACAACCCTCAACCAATGACAGACAGAAAATTGGTGAAGAAACAATACCCCATCTTGGACGAGTAACTCTGAGACTCCATCAGAATGTCCCCCCAAAGTTCCCCAGAGGATCAAGCTCCAGGTGATCACAGTGGACCTGGCTGGTGCCCTCCCTTCCCTGGCTTTTTTTTTTTTTTTTAGACAGAGTCTCACTCTGTCGCCCAGGCTGGAGTGTAGTGGTGCAATCTCGGCTCACAGCAACCTCCGCTTCCCAGGTTCAAGCGATTCCCCTGCCTCAGCCTCCCAAGTAGCTGGGATCACAGGCATGCACCACTACGCCCAACTAATTTTTGTATTTTCAGTAGAGACAGGCTTCTGCCATGTTGGCCAGGCTGGTCTCGAACTCCTGACTTCAGGTGATCCTCCTGCCTCGGCCTCCCAAAGTGCTGGGATTACAGGTGTGAGCCACAGTGCCCAGCCTCTTTTTTCTTTTGAGACAGAGTCTCACTCTGTCACCCAGGCTGGAGCGCAGTGGTGCAATCTCAGCTTATTGCAATCTCCACCTCCCGGGTTCAAATGATTCTCCTGCCTCAGCCTCTTGAGTGTGCCACCGCGCCAGCTAATTTTTGCATTTTTGGTAGAGACAGGGTTTCACCATGTTGGCCAGGCTGGTCTCAAACTCCTGGCCTCAAATGATCCACCCCAGCCTCCCAAAGTGCTGGGATTACAGGCATGAGCCACCATGCCCCACCCTTGGCCTCTTTTCCATCCCTGTCCTACTTCCCTACTTGCCTACCAGTGTTTCCTGGGATCAGCTCGCAAATAAAGTCCTTGGACTTGAATCCTTCTTTGATGACTTTGTGATGCGTCAACTTGGCTAGGTTAAACTACATTTCCCAGAATTCCATTTCCTGTATTTTTCTGGTTAAGGTTGGCCCCAAAGGACTTACTGTGGGAGATGTGGAGGGCAGAAGGGAGGCAGCAGTCATTTTGTAGCTTGCACACCTTGCGGCTGAGGTCCAAGACTGCTCTACTTTCTCGTGGACCTCTCTTCAGTTTCTCTGACTTCCACTTCAAGCATATGTGTTTAGCTCTGTGGCCAAGGGCCTCGGCTTCTGCAGAACACCCCATACTATCAGAGGAAACAATAACAGACACAAGTTTCAGAGGGTTTTTATGGGGTCCCAGCTCATGCCTCTGGGTTCCAGCTTGTCCTTGCTCTCCCTCACTTTCCATCCATCTTTCCTTCACAATCTTCTGCCTTCCGGATCTCAACTCCAATATCAGGCATGATGGCACAATGACCACAGCCTTACAGAGACTCCACAAGGTGTAAAGTCAAATCCTGGTAATAAATCCCTCATATGTGGATATACATTCTCCCAGGAGAAACATCAGAGACAAAGTATAGCCATCAGGGTTCAGGCAAACCCCCAGTAGGAGAATCCTATGGTAGCTTTGCTGCTTCTGAGTGGTGGTTGCACTTCTCTGATTGAATCCTCATTGATATCCCTTGACTCAGACTCAGATTCTGCTTCTGAAAGAACCTAAAGCAAGCCAGCCATGAACTCTCAGGATCTACTTGGATGAATCAGCTGGAGCTGGAGCTCCCTCAGGTTGACCCCCTCCTCACCACTGGTGAGGCCCATATGCTTCACAATCAAGCTTGATACTCACACCCCACACTCCCTCCTGTGCTAAGAAAACAACATTGGCGTGCTCTCTAGCATGCAACAAGAAATATTTCTGTTAAAATGTCAACAACATTATCACTTTGTGTTTAAGTGGTGGCATATTCCTTGGTGCTCAAAATTGAGAACCTCAGTGCAGGCTCAGCCTATTTTACTATTCAGCCCCAGGGAATCAAGGGGCTGAATCAGAAACCAAGTTCTAACGAGTTACAAGAGAGCCATACAGCCCTTGTCCAATGAAAGGAGCTAAGGGGAGGCTGGCATCAGGCTGGGATTCTCTGGGGATTCTAAGAGGTTGGAAACCATGAAGTATGGGACTTCTTCAGCTTTATGATCACCATCTCTAAGCAAAGCTGTTTGTTCCCTCCTCTGCTTTCCCATAGCACTCTGAACAAATATCCATTGATTGGCCATTTACCACTAGGTCACGTGTATTTCTGCTCCAACTGATTCTGAGCTCCTTAACAGCAAGATCCTAACAGACTCATCCATGGCCCACAAGGCAGTGCTTGGGTGGAGTTTAGTGAATGAGATAAAAGAAATGGTCCCAGATATTGAGGCTTTTATGGTCCCAGGCACTAACTCTGGAAAACCACTCCAAGAACTTCTACACCAACCTCTGCTCCATATGGAAAGGGCCGTACAGGAAGGAGAAAGTCACAACAAGCTATGAACTCCTTGAAGCAAGAATGATGGCTTGTTTATCTCTGTGTTCTCAGAACCAGCAAAGGACCCAACACAGAGTGGGCATCAGTAGCTGCTGAATAAATGAAGGAAGGAAGGAATAAATGAATTCAGCTAGCTGTAATGAACCTAGAACTGGAAGTCAAACCTCCTGACTGCCAGTCCACTGGAATCTTACCTCTTCCTTTTTGCCTCCCCAATCCCACCCTCCAGCTAACGGCTGATTAAAAATACAATTGCCCGGCTGGGTATGTTGGCTCACATCTGTAATCCCAGCACATTGGGAGGCCAAGCTGGGCAGATCACCTGAGGTCAGGAGTCCCAGACCAGCCTGGCCAACATGGCAAAACCCTGTCTCCACTAAAAATACAAAAATTAGCCGGGCATGGTGGCACACGCCTGTAATCCCAGCTACTTGGGAGGCTGAGGCAGGAGAATCACTCGAACCCAGGAGGCAGAGGTTGCAGTTGGCTGAGACCGTGCCATTGTACTCCAGCCTGGGTGACAGAGTAAAACTGTGTCCAAAAAAAAAAAAAAAAAAAAACCCACAATTGCCCTTCCATCATTTACTCAGAATTCTCTTGAAATTTTCACCCAGAATCCCCTTGGGTTGCCAGAATCCTGGCTCCTCATCTTAGAAAGTAGAACTTTTGGAACACCAGTCAAAGGCATTTTGAGTGTAAAGATGTGAAAATCCTAGTTGCTAGGGCATCTTTTTCAAGTCCATCGAATGAGGGTCTCCAGCTGTGTAAAGGAACATAGAATTAAGACAGCTTTCAGTCCTCCTCATCACTACCTCCAGCCTGCATTCTCCATATGATGGTCACTGGGAGATATTAGCATCTAAATTATTTTAAAGAGATATAATAAGATTCACCCAGCAGGCCATTAATGACAAAAGAGATTATTACTGGAAAAAATCCAAGACTGACTTTGAGCAGAGCTGGTTCATCTAAATGACCCTTTCCTTGCACCCCAGATCATCCTGATCCCCAGAGATTATACAGATTTGAAAAAGTAACTGCCATGGAGCATGTTCACATTTATGCAAGAGGATCTTACGGAAGGAATCCCTTGAGAATCTAGGTCAGGAGTGCATCGCAGTGAGATAAATGAGACGTTCCCTGAATCGTAAGAATCCTCTGTGGCAGAATTTACAGGAAGCATCTCTAGTCTCCATATTTGGCAGGCATCCAGCCAGAGTTGTCAAGTATTAGATTAATTTTAATTCAATGCAAAAAACCACATTAGTATAGTGTTGCAATCGAGAGTTGAAACACAAAAGCCAAGAGTCCTTGAAGTGGATCATTCCAAAGCCTGAGCATCCCTTCAAGTGTCCATCAAAAAAGGCACATCCTCAGCACAATCCCCAGCTGGCTGCTGCCTTCACATCGTACCACTCAGCCAGGTAAGTGAGCCTTGTGGCAGTGACCTGAAGGTATGGAGCTGTTAATTAATATTATTTCCCAGGTCCTGGACACAGGAGTTAAGGTTCAAACTCCATGACGTGGCATTCAAAATCCTCCACAATCTAGCTTCCAATGCCCTTCACAACCTCATCTTTTGGTACAACGCTCCATGTTTTCCAGGCTGCAGCCTCACTGGCCCTTTGATTACCACTGGTTACCTTCCTGCCACACTTAACTTGCACCTAGCTCAGTCTGCACCTCTTACAGCCCTAGGAGGGAGCAGTCCAAAATACTACGTATTACCAAGGTACCTACTCCTCCAAGCCCCAGCTCATTGTTGAGAGAGGAGCAACTGACCCAAGGGAGGCAGTCAATCAGATTCCTAGCCACAAGCCAATCAGATTTCTCTTGAAATTTTGAACTAAAGATACAAATGGTAATGGGTAGTAGTCTTGAGCCCATGAATGGAGAAGACATTTGAGGCAATACACAATGATGAGCAAGCAAAGAGAGTCACCCCACAGAGAGGACAACACAAGAGACCACAGGATGGAGATGGAGAGAGGATGGGCCTGCATTGCTGCCAGCTCTCCCATTCCCAGTTCCTGCCTCTCTCTTGAGATGCCTCGCTGTACTTAATGTTCTTGCGGACTGTGAGATATTCCTACATCCTGATGAGCTATTTCTTTCACAAAAACCACTATGAGTGACCAGCTCACGTGGGTTCCTTGGAAATACCCCCACTGGAAACACACATCAGCAACCCTCTTGATGCAGGCAATGCCTGCCATCCAACTGGCCCCCCAGTAGATGCCATATGGATGGCCCATATGACTGCCCCCCAAATCCACATCCAGCAGGACCCCTCCAGCCTCTTTCTGCTAAGGCTGCCTCACCCCAGGAAGGAAGCCCTTTGGGATGTATTAGTCAGGGTTCTCCAGAGAAACAAAACCAACAGGATATGTACAGAGAGAGAAAGAGGTTTTTTTGTTTGTTTGTTCATTTGTTTGTTTTTTCAAGACAGAGTCTTGCTCTGTCACCCAGGCTGGAGTGCAATGGCACAATCTTGGCTCACTGCAACCTCCGCCTCCTGGGTTCAAACGATTCTTCTGCCTCAGCCTCCCGAGTAGCTGGGATTACAGGCCCATGCCACCACGCCTGGCTAATTTTTTGAATTTTTAGCAGAGACAGGATTTCACCATGTTGGCCAGGCTGGTCTCAAACTCCTGACCTCAGGTGATCCACCTGCCTCGGCCTCCCAAAGTGCTGGAATTACAGGCGTGGGCCACCACACCTGGCCAAGAGATTTATTTTTAATGAATTGGTTCACACCATTAAAGAGGCTGGCAAGTCCAAAATCTGCAAGTGGGCTGGTGGGCTGGAGATGAAGGAAGAGCTGAGGTGGCAGTTCAAATCCAAAGGCCATCTACTGCAGAGGAGGTCCTCTTGCCCAGGGGAGGTCAGTCTTTTGTTCTATTTAATCCTTCAACTGTTTGGATGAGGCCCACCCACATGATAAAGGGCAATCTGCTTTACTCAAAGCCTACCAATGTAAATGTTAATCTCATCCAAAAACACCCTCGCCAAAACATCCAAGGTCATGTTTGATGAATTATCTGGGCACCACGTGGCCCAGCCAAGTTGACACATTAATTAACCAACACAGGCAGTATCTGTGTTAAATGACCCTGTCCACACCCTCTGGCCTGTAGAAGTTCAATGTGGCCATAGCCACTTTCAGCAACCTCTCAACTGTAAACTGTGCTTGAACCCATCCTGGACGCCACCCCATTGTGTATCTCACATTCCAGCAGCAATGTAAGGCTCTCTCATTAGGCTTAGGATAAGACCCCTATCCCACTGCATGGATGGGTCCCGGGAGAGAAATGCCACAGCACTTCAACAACTTTTCCAGGAAAAGCTGCCTCCTCAGCTCTTCCTGCATCTCCAGCCCACCAGCCCACTTGCAGATTTTGGACTTGCCAGCCTCTTTAATGGTGTGAACCAATTCCTTAAAAATAAATCTCTTAGCCAGGCACTGTGGCTCACACCCGTAATCCCAGCACTTTGGGAGGCCGAAGCGGGCAGATCATGAGGTCAAGAGATAGAGATCATCCTGGCCAACACGGTGAAACCCCATCTCTGCTAAAAATACAAAAATTAGCTGGGCGTGCTGGCACACACCTGGAATCCTGGCTACTCGGGAGGCTGAGGCAGGAGAATTGCTTGAACCTGGGAGGCAGAGGTTGCAGTGAGCTGAGATCATGCCACTGCACTCCAGCCTGGTGCAGAGCTAGACTCTGAAAAAAAAAAAAAAAAAGGAAGAAGAAAAGGAAAGAAAAGAAAAAAGAATTTCTCAGTTGGTTTAGAGCCTAAGCCAAGACTGAGACAGAGAGTACCATACCTCTATCTTCTTACACTAGCTTGACTGTTTTTCCATCTACTGTGAGACTGGTTCCTTGTTGTACTTGGAATTGAGACCGACCACTCTCCTCTATTGCAATACCCCTATTGCAATAGTCTTGAATAAAGTCTTCCTTGCCATTTTAACAAGTGTCGGTTTAGTTTTTCCCTTAACACTGGTAAATTAGGATAATAACAATAATAATAATACCTGCTGTGTTCATTTGCTATGTCTACTGTAATAGATCACCACAAACTTAGTGGCTTAAAAGTGTATGATGTTACAGTTCTGAACGTCAGAAATTCAACATGGGATCTCACTGGGCTAAAACCAAGGAGTTGGCAGGGTTGCATTCCCTCTAGAGGCTCCGGGGGGGATCTGTTTTCTTGCCTTTTCCAGCTTCTTGAGGCCACCCACATTCCTTGCCTCATGGCCCCTTCCTCTACAGTGGCCAACAATGACTGCCTAAGTCTTTCTCACATGGCCCAGGGTCTCACTCTGGCTTTGACCCTCCTGCCTCCCTCTTTCTCTTATAAGGACCTCTATGATTCCATTGAGCCTACCCAGATAATTCAGAATATCACTCCATCGCAAGATCCTTAAATTAATCACACCCGTAAAGTCCCTATTGCCTTCTAAAGCAAAGTAGTCACAGGTTCCAGGGGTTAGAACACAGACATCTTTGGGGGAGCTATTCTGCCTACTACACCTACCTCGTGGGATTGTTTCTAAGGTTGAGATGAAATCATGCATGGGCTAGGCACAGTGGCTCACACCTGTAATCCCAGCACTTTGGAGGCCGAAGCAGGTGGATCATTTGAGGTCAGGAGTTCAAGACCAGCCTGGCCAACATGGCAAAAACCATCTCTACAAAAGTAGAAAAATTAGCTGGGCATGGTGGTGCATGCCTGTAATCCCAGCTACTTGGGAGGCTGAGGCTGGAGAATTGCTTGAACCCAGGAGACAGAGGTTGCAGTGAGCCAAGATCACGCCACTGCTCTCCAGTCTGGGCAACAGAGTGAGACTCCATCTCAAAAAAAAGAAAAGAAAAAAGAAATAATGCATGTAAACAGCTTGAACCCTACATCCAGCACTCAATAAATATAAACTGTTGTGTTCCCCACATCCAACCTGTACCGACTGCAAGTGAGTGTTCAATAAATATTAGATATTATTGTTGTTGTGGTGGTGGTGCTGGTGGTGGTGGTGGTTATTGTCACTGAGCCTCCATAGCACTGGGCCTCATCATTCCTCTGCTATGGCATTGGTCACACTAGATGTTACTTGTTTACACGTCTCTTCCCACCGCCTTCCTCAAGGACAGTGACATAGAGCGAGGCAGCACTGGCCTTACACAGGGCCTGGCATAAAGTGGGCCCCCAGGACATGTTCCAGGAAAGGCTACTGAGTAAAGGCCAGACCTGGTGGCACCTTAGGAGGGTGGGCATCATGTTGGGTGCAGACCCTAAGGTTCAACTCTCAGGACATGAGGGCCCCCCGCCCTGTCAAGCCTTCATGGGTAGCCAGGATTAGCCACTGCCAATCCGCTGGTTTGAGCTGGAGAAGCTCCTGCTCTGCTCCCCTCATTAAGAAGCCAGTCTCCTGGTAGAGGAAATGTTCAACATGAATGATTAACCTGTATGTGCTGGGAGCCACGCTTGGGGCAGGGCAGGAGCTTTGTCTGCATGTGTTTCTTTGCCCAAAAGCGTGACCAGGTTGTCCAGCCACTGGCCTAAAAAATTCTCATTTAGCAAACGTCACTCTCTTTTGGGGGAGAAGCGTCCTGGGGCTGAGACTTGACAACTTTGCTCCTGATGTAGTCTTTGTGAGACCTCTGAGGAAGGCAGATATTGGGAACTGGAAATACTTTGACCCTTTCCTCTTGCATTAATGGGGGTGGGGGGTAGGAAAACGTATTGAGTCATTAATTTACAGTCCTTCTTCCTTTGCTCTCCCCTCTGGCTGGTGCCATGAAAGTGTCAGGCCCTTCAGTGCTCCCTGTTTTGGGGGAAGGTGTGTTTGAGGACAAGAAATCCAGAAAGGGGGTAGAGGTTGCCTTCCAAATGCTTCTTTTCTGGCTTCTGCCTTTATTTCTTAAGCACTGAGCTCTCTGAAGAGAGTCTATGATTATCTCCCCTGACCACATTATCCAGTGTCATCTCTTTCTAGTCCCCTAACCCGACACACACACACACACACACACACACGCATGTACCCATAACTGAATTGCTTCCCGAACTCACCATGCTTTCTTCTGCTACATACTCCCCAACACCCACCAGGCCTTTGTACCTGCTGCAGCCTCTTTCTAGAACATCCTTTACTCTTTACCTTTTATACCCACTGCCTCTTAGTCCTTTTTTTTTTTTTTTTTTTTTTTTTTTTGAGACGGAGTCTTACTCTGTCGCCCAGGCTGGAGTGCAGTGGCGTGATCTTGGCTCACTGCAAGCTCTGCCTCCTGGGTTCACACCATTCTCCTGCCTCAGCCTCCCGAGTAGCTGGGACTACAGGCGCCCGCCACTACGCCCAGCTAATTGTTTGTATTTTTAGTAGAGATGGGGTTTCACCGTGTTAGCCAGGATGGTCTCGATCTCCTAACCTCGTGATCCGCCTCTTGGTCTTATACCAGGTCCACACTCAGTATGTAATTGCCTTGTTAGTGTCTGTCTGAGCAACAAAATATCCAAATCTGTTTTGTTCACCTTTATATTCCTAGGACCTGGCATAGGCCTGGTATGGCAACTTGTGAGCTGGCTGGTGGGTGGGTGGAAGGAAGTAGAATCAAATCACCACCACATGTCCACACTTACTCCAGGGAATATTTGGAGCCCTAGTCCCAAGACCTCACGGGGCCCCCAAGATATCTTGTCTATGCCCCAAAATAGCCCTGTGCAATGCCTCCTCCAGGGCTCTGGGGGCAACTTCAGGCTAAGGAATCAGGGGCACCCTACTGTTTGACTATGTACTAGGAGCATCCTTAAGTTCATCAAATAATAAACATTCCATCAGGCTGGCCTGGCCCTCTCATGGACATTTAGAAATGCTGTAACTCAAAGTGAAAGCCCATTGCTGATAGCGTATCAGGGAAATCTCCATGAGATACAGTCCCTTGTCCCAGTCCAAACTGATGGCCATGCCAAGTGGAGAGATAACAGGTGAGGGCTCCTGGGAGGAGCTGGAGGCTGAGGACAGGAATGAAAAATGGCTGCTTCGTGCTGGGCTTCAATGTTGGTTTGTTCTGAGAGAGAACAAATGAAGTTCTGGCCCTTAGGGGAAGCACTGTGCATTTCTCTCTGAGGAGAGACCAGGGGGTGGGGGGTATAATCTGGATCACTTGTGAAATTTACATCCCCCCCACATGCTGATGAATCTGGCACCTGAGAGATCTCAGTCTCAGCTTGTACAAAACCAGGCTGTCTATAGACTCCCTCTTATCTCCATCCTTCCATACCCCCACTTTCTCCTCCTCCTGAGGTCCATATCTTGGCGATGACACTGCCATCTAACCCTTCATAAGCCACAAAATTCAGTCTTCCCCAAATCCCCACTCTTTCTTATTCTCCACCTCACCCCCCAACCTCAAAGATCAAGAATCCCTGTCAATCCTCCTTCCTAAATTACTCTCTAAATGCTCCTTGCAGGCCACCTCAGTACCCCACCCAGCCAGCCTCCTCATTTCCAATCTGAACTATTGGAAAAGTGCCTCTTGAGCCTCTTCCCAACTCAATTCACTCCGCCAGGACCATCCTCCTAAGACACATTCATTCCTTGGTACAAAAGCACCTTTTGAGCACCTATTATGTACCACACACTTTGATGCTGAGAATTTGAAAACAAACAAGATCTGATTGTATCATTCTCATGTTCAAAAGCCTTAGCTAGCTCTCTGCTGCCTACAGAATAGAGTCCATTCTCCTTAGGACACTAGTTAGGGCTATCCACGATGAGGCCTCAAATTTTCCTTTTGGACCAAGGCTTCCTCCAAAAACCCTAGGGATCAAACAGTAAAAGACAACTCCCACTCCAAGCACCCTCCTGACTCCATGACTTCCTTTGCCCATTTCTTGCTTCCTTTTCTCCTTATCAAGATCGCCCTCATTCTTCAATGAGAAACAGCTCACATGACGTTTCTGCTGTGGAGTTGCCATAATCCTCCAAGTTGGAATTAATCACCCAATTCCCTTCGATTCCAAAGCACAGTTCTAATCCCAGCATTGCAACATTTGCCTCTTCCAGGTTCCTGATTTAGGTAATGAGGTGGGAAAATTATTATCTAACAGCTGACACAGAATTTCTCTTAGGGAGGAAAATGTCCTTTGGGAAAATACCTTAAACTCCAGTCCCCAATTCCCACTCTTGGGGTTTACTGACTCTGGTAGGAAAGCTGGGTTCTCATCTTTGTTCCCAGAGAGACCAGGTGAGGTCATCCAGGTACTGCCTCCCTCAGTGTGCTCTCTGAGGACATGACACCGGAGTAGACACACAAATGAAATGAGGGAACTCTGGGGACGGGCATCCCAGGCTGCTGGAACAGCAGGAGGAAGGCACGCTGGTGTGAACAGCATGATGCTCATGGGGAATGAATAGCAGTCATTCATGTGTAACCTTCACAGGGGCAAGGAGCCTGCTCAGGGTCTCCCGTGGCTCTTGTCCCCAAGAACACACCTGTTGCATACGCATGTACAACAAGTTTTGCCCTGAATTTCAAGAGGTTCTCGGGCCTTCTGAAACCTGACTATAAAAATCTGGGGAGGAGGAAACAAATCGGTACATGGACCTCAAGTTACAAATCACTGTATTAAAGCACAAAGAGCAGGGCAGGAAGAGGCAAGGAGATGCAGCTGAAACTACAGGCAGAGGTGCAGCTATAGCCACCCTTGGGTGTCACATCAAACTTGAGCTTAGTTCTATTTTTTTTTTTCTTGAGACAGGGTCTCACTCTGTCACCCAGGCTGGAGTGCAGTGGTGCAATCTCAGCTCACTGCAACCTCCGCCTCCAGGGCTCAAGGGATCCTCCCATCTCAGCCTCCTGAGTAGCTGGGACTATCGGCACATGCCACCATGCTGGGCTAATTTTTGTATTTTCGTAGAGACAAGGTTTCACCATGTTGCCCAGGCTGGTCTTGAACTCCTGGGCTCAAGTGATCCTTCCACCTCAGCCTCCACCAAGGCCTCACCCGGCCTTGAGCTTAGTTCAGAGTGTGATGGTTGTTGATAAGTGTTACAAAATCATCGTGAAGGCCAGGTGTGGTGGCTCATGCCTGCAATCCCAGCACTTTGGGAGGCCAAAGTGGGAGGATCACTTGAGCCCAGGAGTTTGAGACCAGCCTGGACAACATAGTGAGACCCCCATCTCTACAGAAAATAAAAAAATTAGCCAGGCATGGTGGCCGGCACCTGTAGTCCCAGCTACTCAGGAGGCTGAGGCAGGTGAATTGCATGAGCAATTGAGGGAGGTCAAGGCTGCAATGAGTCTTGATGGCACCACTGCACTCCAGCCTGGGCAACAGCGAGACCCTGTCTCAAAAAATAAAAAATAAAAATGAAATCATTATGAGATGCAGCTAGATTTAGGAAGCTGTTTCAAGCAAGAAACAAGGAGGGGCAGCAGGGATGGGGAGACAAAAGGACAGATTGGAGCAACATCGAAAGGGAGGGTGTATTCATTTTCTACAGCTGCTGTAACAAATTACCACAAACTCTGGTGATTTAGAACCATGCAGATTTATTCTCTCACAGTTCTGGAGGCCAGAAATCCAAAGTCCATTTCACTGAGCTAACGTCAAGGTGTGAATAGGGCAAGCTCCTTCTGAAAGCTCACAAGGAGAATCCATTTCCTTGTCTTTTCTAGTTCCTGGAGGTTGCCTGCATTCCTTGGCTCATGACTCCTTCCTCAAATCACTCCAACCTCTTTCTTCAATCCTCATTTGCCCGACTTCCTCTTCTGTAGTCAAATCTCCCTCTGCCTCCTTTTTTTTTTTTTTTTATTTTTATTGTTTTGATACCAAGTTTCACTCTTGTTGCCCAGGCTGGAGTTCAGTGGTGGGATCTCAGCTCACTGCAACCTCCGCCTCACAGGTTCAAGCGATTCTTCTGCCTCAGCCTCCGGAGGAGCTGGGAGCACAGGCTCCCGCCACCACGCCCAGCTAATTTTTGTATTTCTAGTAGAAACGGAGTTTCACCAGATTGGCAAGGCTGGTGTCGAACTCCTGACCTCGGGTGATCCGCCCGCCTTGGCCTCCCAAAGTGCTGGGATTATAGGTGTGAACCACCGTGCCCAGCTTCCCTCTGCCTCCCTTGTAGTTACATTTAGACACTTGTAGTTACATTTAGAACCCACTCAGATAATCCAGGATAATCTCTCCATTTTAAGATCCTTATTCCAATCACCTCTGCAAAGTCCCTTTTTGCTATATAAAGTAACATCCACTGGCTCCAGGGATTTGGACATATCTTTGGGAGCCATTACTCAGCCTACCACAGGAGCACACTGACAGAACTTGGCTGTTTATAAGACTGGGTAAGCTGAAAGGAAGGGAGACGCGCAGGAGGGCTTCATGGTTTCCAGCCTGGGCTGCCACCAATGCTGCCTCCATTAACCAGCACTGAGGGCAGAAAGGAGGGGTCCAATTTTGGATGCGTCCTGCAGGCCACCCAAGGTGGATATTCAAGTCTAGAGATCAGGGGAGCCTTCAGGAATGGTCGCAGAGACTGGAGAGCACCACACTTACAGGGTGCTTAGAAATGTGGGCTGGACAACAAAATTGATAGACCGCTAGCAAGACTAATAAAGAAGAAAAGAGAGAAGAATCAAATAGACACAATAAAAAATGATAAAGGGGATATCACCACCGATCCCACAGAAATACAAACTACCATCAGAGAATACTCTAAACACCTCTATACAAATAAACTAGAAAATCTAGAAGAAATGGATAAATTCCTCAACACATACACCCTCCCAAGACTAAACCAGGAAGAAGTTGAATCTCTGAATAGACCAATAACAGGCTCTGAAATTGAGGCAATAATTAATAGCTTACCAACCAAAAAAAGTCCAGGACCAGATGGATTCACAGCTGAATTCTACCAGAGGTACAAGGAGGAGCTGGTACCATTCCTTCTGAAACTATTCCAATCAATAGAAAAAGAGGGAATCCTCCCTAACTCATTTTATGAGGCCAGCATCATCCTGATACCAAAGCCTGGCAGAGACACAACAAAAAAAGAGAATTTTAGACCAATATCCCTGATGAACATCGATGCAAAAATCCTCAATAAAACACTGGCAAACCGAATCCAGCAGCACATCAAAAAGCTTATCCACCATGATCAAGTGGGCTTCGTCCCTGGGATGCAAGGCTGGTTCAACATAGGAAAATCAATAAATGTAATCCAGCATATAAACAGAACCAACAACAAAAACCATACGATTATCTCAATAGATGCAGAAAAGGCCTTTGACAAAATTCAACAACCTTTCATGCTAAAAACCCTCAATAAATTAGGTATTAATGGGACGTATCTCAAAATAATAAGAGCTATCTATGACAAACCCACAGCCAATATCATACTGAATGGGCAAAAACTGGAAGCATTCCCTTTGAAAACTGGCACAAGAGAGGGATGCCCTCTCTCACCACTCCTATTCAACATAGTGTTGGAAGTTCTGGCCAGGGCAATCAGGCAGGAGAAGGAAATAAAGGGTATTCAATTAGGAAAAGAGGAAGTCAACTTGTCCCTGTTTGCAGATGACATGATCGTATATCTAGAAAACCCCATCTTCTCAGCCCAAAATCTCCTTAAGCTGATAGGCAACTTCAGCAAAGTCTCAGGATACAAAATCAATGTGCAAAAATCACAAGCATTCTTATACAACAATAATAGATAAACAGAGAGCCAAATCATGAGTGAACTCCCATTCACAATTGCTACAAAGAGAATAAAATACCTAGGAATCCAACTTACAAGGGACGTGAAGGACCTCTTCAAGGAGAACTACAAACCACTGCTCAATGAAATAAAAGAGGATACAAACAAATGGAAGAACATTCCATGCTCATGGGTAGGAAGAATCAATATCGTGAAAATGGCCATACTGCCCAAGGTAATTTATAGATTCAATGCCATTCCCATCAAGTTACCAATGACTTTCTTCACAGAATTGGAAAAAACTACTTTATAGTTCATATGGAACCAAAAAAGAGCCCGCATTGCCAAGTCAATCCTAAGCCAAAAGAACAAAGCTGGAGGCATCACGCTACCTGACTTCAAACTATACTACAAGGCTACAGTAACCAAGACAGCATGGTACTGGTACCAAAACAGATACATAGACCAATGGAACAGAACAGAGGCCTCAGAAATAATGCCGCATATCTACAACCATCTGATCTTTGACAAACCTGACAAAAACAAGAAATGGGGAAACGATTCCCTATTTAATAAATGGTGCTGGGAAAGCTAGCTAGCCACATGTAGAAAGCTGAAACTGGATCCCTTCCTTACACCTTATACAAAAATTAATTCAAGATGGATGAAAGACTTAAATGTTAGACCTGAAACCATAAAAACCCTAGAAGAACACCTAGGCAATACCATTCAGGACATAGGCATGGGCAAGGACTTCATGGCTAAAACACCAAAAGCAATGGCAACAAAAGCCAAAATTGACAAATGGGATCTAATTAAACTAAAGAGCTTCTGCACAGCAAAAGTAACTACCATCAGAGTGAACAGGCAACCTACAGAATGGGAGAAAATGTTTGCAATCTACTCATCTGATAAAGGGCTAATATCCAGAATCTACAATGAACTCAAACAAATTTACAAGAAAAAAACAAACAACCCCATCAAAAAGTGGGCAAAGGATATGAACAGACACTTCTCAAAAGAAGACATTTATGCAGCCAAAAGACACATGAAAAAATGCTCATCATCACTGGCCATCAGAGAAACGCAAATCAAAACCACAATGAGATACCATCTCACACCAGTTAGAATGGCGATCATTAAAAAGTCAGGAAACAACAGGTGCTGGAGAGGATGTGGGGAAATAGGAACACTTTTACACTGTTGGTGGGACTGCAAACTAGTTCAACCCTTGTGGAAGTCAGTGTGGCGATTCCTCAGGGATCTAGAACTAGAAATACCATTTGACCCAGCAATCCCATTACTGGGTATATACCCAAAGGATTATAAATCATGCTGCTATAAAGACACATGCACACATATGTTTACTGAGGCACTATTCACAATAGAAAGACTTGGAAGCAAGCCAAATGTCCAACAATGATAGATTGGATTAAGAAAATGTGGCACATATACACCATGGAATACTATGCAGCCATAAAAAATGATGGGTTCAGGTCCTTTGTAGTGACATGGATGAAGCTGGAAACCATCAATCTCAGCAAACTATCGCAAGGACAAAAAACCAAACACCGCATGTTCTCACTCATAGGTAGGAATTGAACAATGAGAACACATGGACACAGGAAGGGGAACATCACACACCGGGGCCTGTTGTGGGGTGGGGGGAGGGAGGAGGGATAGCATTAGGAGATATACCTAATGTCAAATGACGAGTTAATGGGTGCAGCACACCAACATGGCACATGTATACATATGTAACTAACCTGCACGTTGTGCACATGTACACTAAAACTTAAAGTATAATTAAAAAAAAAAGAAATGTGGGCTGGAGCTGGGCATGGTGGTGAGTGGATGTAGTCCCAGTTACTCAGGAGGCTGAGGCCAGAGGATCGCCTGAGCCTGGGTATACAAGTGAGTTGTGATTGCATCACTGAACTTCAGCCTGAATGACAGACAGAGACACTGTCTTTTTGGAAGTTAAAAAAGAAAAGACAGAAATGTGGACTGGGAGAGTTGGGAATGTGTAGAGAAGGGAGGCGGCCACCACAGAGCCCTGAGGGGAAGGAGATCAGAACCCATGGAGGAAACCACAAAGCAGCACCCAGAGATGCTGGAGGAAAACCAAGGGGCTGCAGAGTCATGGACACCACGGGAATGTTCAAGGTGAGGGGAGTCGCTTCCAGTGTCCCAGGCAGTAGAGATGAGAAGCAAAGATGAAAGCAGAAGAGTGGCTGTTGGATGTGGCCATTAGCAGGTGAGTGGTGTCTCCAGAGACAGAGCAGTTCTGGGGTCACAGAGGAGCCAAAAGCCACACTGCAAAGAATCAAGAAGGGAATGCAAAACACGGAACCTGCTGAAAAACAGACAGTGACCTGAAACATCAATAAATAATAGCCAGGCACGGTGGCATGTGCCTGTATTCCCAGCTGCTTGGGAGGCTGATGCAGGAGGATCGCTTGAGCCCAGCAGTTCAAATCCAGCCTGGGCAACATAGCTTCATTATCTCACTTCTTATTCTGCACCACAGCCCTATGAGAAGGTACTATCGTCAGTGTCTCTGTTTTACAGAGAAGAAAACCGAGGCTCAGGAGGTAAATTAGCCTCCCCAGCATTATACAGCCAGGAAGTGGCAGAACCAGGTTTCAACCCTGGCTGTCTGGGCTGCAGAGCCCTTGTGCTAAGCCATTCAAATGCATTTCACACCCTCTCCACTGATCCCATGCTAAGGGACCCTCCGCTGGGTGACCCTGGCTTAGACACCAGACTTTAAGCAGCCATGGGTGGGGAGGGACTGTGCCTGACTCCCTTCTCTCCCTTCCCCTAGAAGTCTAGGGGGTCACTTTGTGTTTCTAGAGGCAAATCTAGCTTATGTGTACAAACTTCCACGTAAAAATCCGTCCTGTCCTGGGGTACTTGTAGAAATCTTCATGAGGCAGGGTCAAAAGCCGTGACTCTTGTCCCAGATGTCTGCTGAGCAAGAGACATGGCAACCTTTGCTAGTCTCCCTGGACACCCCTCTACAGCCTCACCTGACCTGCTCATGTCCTGGGACCGCTGAGCTCAGAGCACCTGCAGAACACAGTGAGGTCCATTCAAAACCCCAGCATTTGGGTCTAGGCCACCCACTACCTGGGATCACAGTGTTTTTGTGCGGCATGCTGCCACCTGCATGCCCTGGCTGGTCCCCTAATGCTCCAATCACACAGATGAGGCCCCCTCCCACTGTGGGCAGCCACCAGCGGAGAGTCCTTCCAGGACCAATCAGGTCCACTCTGACCCCAGCCTCCAGCCTAAGCCCTAACCCCAGCTCTGCCAGGCTGAGGTGGCAATGCCAGCCTGCCTGGCCAGGCTCCCACCAAAAGTCTGACAGTGAATGAGAATGGACAGAAGGAAAAGGAGAAGGAAAACTGTCTCTTTTTACCCTGTGTTCTTCTCAATTGTTTGGCTGTTACATCTTGACCATAAATAAATATATATAAATATTGAGAGACAGTACAGTGGTTAATAGCACAGGTGCTGACATCACCTGGGTTCAAATCTGCGTTCAAACCTGACTCCTTACTTGCAAACTAAGTGAGTTTGGGTGAATGACATCATCTCTCTGTAGCTCAGCTCCTTATCTGTAGAGATAGGATAATATAACAAAAGTATACCGAGTGCTTAGCACAGTGCCTAACAATTACACACGATGCCATAATTTAAAAACACAACCAATCTGGTTTTAAATTTTGGGTCCACTACCCATTTGCTGAATGGCCTTGAACAAGTTGCTAAACTTCTCTGTGCCTCAATTTCCTCCTCTATAAATGGGGTGAAGATCATAATTGCACATCCCTCATAGAGTTATTATCAGAATTAAATGAAGTAGTGTATCTAAATCACTTAGAAAAGCACCTGGCACAGAGTAAGCATTGTGTAAATATTAGCTACTATTATTGCTTAATAAACAAATGAAGCAGTTTAAAAAAAAAAAACAGGAAGGAAAGATGGGCACAGCCAAAAGAAAGAGGAGCCCCCAAAACCCCTGCCAGAGCAACTGCATTGGTAGGCAAGAGCCAAATGGGAATCAGATAACCACAAAGTAGAGACCAGTAATAGCACTGTGGGCCCAGCCAGCACTGATGACTTTAGTCCCTGAGAACACTCACCACCACCCCCTGCTACCCACAAGTCCTTGCTCCTGCACGTGGGCCACATTCCTCACCACCCCAGAAGCAAGAACCCTGGCTGTAGCAGGGGAGCAAGAGCAGGAAAAGGGAGTGGAGATCCAGGTGCTGGGCCAGAGTCTGTGCAGGCCGGGATAGGGCCTCCTCCAAACCCTGGGGGCAGCACCCTAAGGTGGGGGCTGGGCAGGGATGGGTAGCAGTGAAGGAGGTAGGTATGGAGGAGATGTTCCTACTTATGGAGGTTTGACGAGTTGGTGTGTAAAGCTGAAGGTACCTAGGCCCATAGTTTTCCAACTTTATGTGAGTTCAAATCACCCAAGAAGCAGATTTTTGTCTGTATTTTTATTTTTATTTTATTTTTTATTTTTATTCATTTATTGATTTATTTTTGAGATGGAGTCTTGCTCTGTCACCCAGACTGGAGTGCAATGGCATGATCTCGGCTCACTACAACCTCCGCCTCCTGGGTTCAAGCGATTCTCCTGCCTCAGGCCTCCCAAGTAGCTGGGACTAAAGGTGTGTGCCACCACGCCCAGCCAATTTTTGTATTTTTGGTAGAGACAGGCTTTCGCCATGTTGGTCAGGCTGGTCTCGAACTCCTGACCGCAAGTGATCCGCCTGCCTTGGCCTACCAAAGAGCTGGGATTACAGGCGTGAGCCACTATGCCTGGCCAAAATCTATATATTTAATAAACTCCACCCTCCCCACACCCCAACTTCCAGGGGATGAGAAATCCCAGCCTTTGCCAGAATCTTTCACAGGGTCATGCTTACCACATGTGTTATCTTCAGCAGGATTTGCAAGTTGGAAAGCATCATTTTCGACTGGCCCTTCTGTTAAGAGAAAGAGAAGAAGGAGGAGGCGGAAGAGAAGGAAAGGAAGAGAAAGGAATGAAAGAAAAAGACTTCAAAAAATTTTTCAAGTCAAACTGCGGCTCCAGTGACTATAACTTTTAACCCTCCAAAAAGCCCCATTGTAGCTTTCAAGTGTCAATCTAAGAGCTGAGCCTGAATTATCTAACCTTCGGCTTTAAAGAGCCACATTAAAAAGGTCAGCAGGACAACCGCAGTGTGTTGCGGGAAGCTTCTCTCCTTCAGACACTTGAAAGGTAGACTTTCAGAGAGGGGCATAGCCAAGAGAAGTCACCCATTTCGAATAAAACAGCCTTGGCTGAACAAGCTAGACCCTTACAACCGCTTACTTGTGATTGAATTTGGTCCCTTATTGTTTAAATAATTAGAGGGAATCTTTGCAAAACACAGAATTGACCCCTCACTTCCAACCTTTTGACAGCTCCCTAACACCTGTAACAGTAGCTCCCAAACTGTAACCGGCAATAATAGTTGTTAGGGGAATAACGGGTGTCTTGTGGTTGAATACGTTTATAAAACACTGGGTTAGGCCAAGTCAAACAGGTTTTGTTCCTATAGGACTTGGCAGGGCCCTTGCTGTGCTAAGGTTCATTAGCCATTTGGGGGCCTGGAATATCTGTGCAGCGTTTCCATCCCTGATTTGACCGCCACTGAACCTCTGCTTCAGGGAGCAACCCTCAGGTCTATAGTTTTACGGAACACCACTGGGACTCACAGCAAGCCCCTTAGTCTAGCATGCAAGGCCTTCCCTGCCTAGTCCTGGCCCATATTTCCAGGCTCTCCCTCATCCCACACACATGCACCCACACCTGAAGTTCTAAGCACACCAGCTACTTGCCCTTCACAAGGCACTTAAGACACTTAACTGGCTGCTCTCACTGCTGGAAATGACCTTCCTCCTCTTCTTTACCCTAAAACTTCCACTCACATTCAGAGCCCTTGCTCAAAGTCATTGCTTCTATGGAACCTTCAGCTGCTCCCTCCACAAAAGCTGACTGCTTCCTGCTCAAGGCTCTATCACAGCACGGATCAACCTGCACTGTGACTAGCCTGAGTCTCTCCATTATTAATTGAGAGTTTCAGAGGGCTGGGAGTATAAGCCGATCAAGGCAATGTGTGTTGGCAATACTAATAGCTTCCATCTGTCGGCACTTCCTAAGGCCAGGCATTATCGTAAGCTCTCAACGTGCATCAACACATGTCATCCTCAAAAACTTACTCACTGGGTAAATAACGACAATTAACAATTCTTATTATTCCTATTTTATAGATGAGGAAGCTGAAACTCAGACGGGTTACCATGCCTAAAGTCACACGAGCATTTTATGGCAGAGGCAGGATTCAACCCTACATCTTCAAACACTATATTGTAACACTTAAGAGCAGTAGAGGTGGCCGGGTGTGGTGGCTCACGCCTGTAATCCCAGCACTTTGGAAAACTGAGGCGGGTGGATCACGAGGTCAGGAGATCGAGACCATCCTGGTTAACATGGTGAAACCCCGTCTCTACTAAAAAATACAAAAAATTAGCCAGGCGTGGTGGTGGGCGCCTGTAGTCCCAGCTACTCAGGAGGCTGAGGCAGGAGAATGGCATGAACCCAGGAAGCAGAATTTGCAGTGAGCCGAGATTGCACCACTGCACTCCAGCCTGGGCGACAGAGTGAGACTCCGTCTCAAAAAAAAAAGAAGTAGAGGTGCACTTGACTCTAGGGCTGGCTGATTCAGAAGCTGCACAATGTCATCAAGAACTCAGACTCTTTCTGTCTCTCCACTCTGCATCCTCAGGAAATTAGCTCTGCCCTCAGGCTGGCTGTTCTCATGGTGCCAAGACAGTGGCAGCAGTTCCAAGCATCACATCCAGCCATAATGTCCAAGAGAAGAAAGGGAACAGAGTGGAAGCTAGGAGCATCATCTATGGAACCAGACCACCTTACTTCCTAGGTGTATGACCTTAGGCAAGTCAAGTGTATGCAAAGATAGAATGGGCTGTCTTGAAAGGAGCTCTCCATTGTCTCTCACTTCAGGTTTTGCCTAGAACAGTCCTCTACCCCTTCTTTGCCTAACACACACCTATTCTTTCTTTAGAAATCATCTCCAACCTCACCTCCTCCAGGAAGCCTTCCCTGATGGCCCCCATCCAGGCTAGTTTCAATGCTTTGCTGTGTGTCCCTGAGTAGTCTGTACTTGCCCCCATTGTTGTATACTCTCCACAATACTGTAATTACTTGTTTCATTGTCTGTCTTCCACACTAGAGCATGAGCTGAGAAAAGGCAGGAAACACCTGTCTTGTCACCATGGCATCCCTATAACTGGTGCAGTACCCAACACATATAAGGGGCTTAAAAAATATCTGCTAGATGTTCAAGCAGAAGACAAAAGATCATATAACTAAGGCATTGTAGCAAGGGCTTGGCAGTTCAATTAGATAATCTTTAGGTCTTGAGGTGGACAATTCTCAGGCACATCAGCTAGTCCTTGTTCAGAGACCTGGGGGAGCCTTGGCCACCATGCCCCAAGAGCCACATGAGCTACATGCAGGGAAAATGTCTCCTTAGGTTTTCCCCACAAGCTGGGATAATCCTCCAAAAGATGCAGTCAAGAGTCACGGTGTGATGGCCCACGTCTGTAATCCCAGGACTTTGGAAGGCTGAGGCGGGTGGATCCCTTGAGCCCAGGAGTTCGAGACCAGCCTAGGCAACATGGTGAAGCTCTGTCTCTACAAAAAATACAAAAATTAGCTGGGTGTAGTGGTATATGCCTGTAGTACCAGCTACTTGGGAGACTGAGGTGGGAGGATCGCGTGAGCCTGGGAGGCAGAGGTTGCAGTGAGCTGTGATCACACCAATGCACTCCAGCCTGAGTGACAGAGTGAGACCCTGTCACAAAAAAAAAAAAAAAAAAAAAGAGTCATGAGGGAAGCACAGAATCTTGAGTCATACAAACTCTAGAGGCTTAAGTTCTTGCTCTGCCACTTCCTGCCCATGTTCCTGAGCACATCTCATCATCTCCCTGGACCTTATTTTCTTCATCTGTAAAATGGGGTTAAAAGCAATACTTCCTCCAGAGAGTGATTGTAAAGATTAAATGAGACAAGTTATACAGAAAGCCAAGCACACAATAAACCCTCCAGTAAACGTTGGCTCCTCTTATCAGTGTACACATTTGCAGTGACAAAACTGCACAGAAGTGGCGACCTATTTTATAACCCTATCTCCAGGCTTAGTCTCTGGAGCTCAGAGAGGCTCGCTGTTGGGAATGGCATGATGCGCTAAGGGTGGAAGGTTCATTGGCTGAGCACGCTACTGTCCCTCAATAAAGATGAAGACAGAGATGAGGTCATCGACAGCCACTGAAAAATGCAGGGCAATGGGCAGGACTGAAGCCAAACTCTCCGAGTATTAATGGCTAATTGCATATTGAGTTGGGGAAGTGTTTTAGGAAAAAAAAAAAAACTTTCATCAATTTTTCTTCTGGGACAGTTTTAGGAATCACTGAAGAATAAGCTGCTCAATAGCTCTTAAGTGTGTTCGAAAGGGTGCTAGGCTAGGAGTGAGGACACTTGGATTCTTGTCCTGGACCTTCCAGCAGCTTGCTTTGGGACCTGCCCTGTTCTAACCTCCGCCTCAGTCACCTCTGAAGTGCCTCTGAGCCTCTGTGGCAGGTTGTATAGCATGGTGGCTGAATGGCAGCCTTTAGACCCCAAAGACCTGAGTTCAAGTTCCAGCTCTGCTACTTAGAAACTATTACCCTCTGCAAGTCCTTTAACCCCCTCTAAGCAAGACTAGAGTTTATTTTATGTGAATTGGAGATTCTAATTGTACTTACTTCACAGGACCTACCTACCTCTGTTCTCCCACCAGCTCTTCTGAGGATTAAACGAGGTAATTACACAAAGCTCTTAATGGGTTCAGCACAGGAGCACTCAAGAAGTGGTAGCTGTTGTGCTTATTTTGATTTGATAATTCTCTTGACATTGTTGATGGCAGTGACACCTGGGGAAAGCCCACGCAGACCATACATTTGACAGAGATGCATAAATCCTTCCAAACAGGCATGTCACCATGCAGAGGATGGTGAAGGCTTCTGTCCCAGGGCTTGATGGTGTTCTGCTTCATTCTGCTTCAAAATCTCTTTGAACCAGTCAAGCACCTTATCAAGGCCTTTAGCTCTAAACCTCAGTGGTGTTAAGTGCACTTTGTTACTTAACTGATGATTTCTATCCCCAGCAGGGGCTGACTTAACCTCAGAAAGAAAGAAATGTGCTGGTAGGTAGTGTTTGGGAAAGTGACAAGCTGTACTTTGTATCCAATCCTAATTTTTAAGTTTCTTTTTTTTTTTTTTTTGAGACGGAGTCTCACTCTGTCGCCCAGGCTGGAGCGTATGGCACAATCTCGGCTCACTGCAAGCTCTGCCTCCCGGGTTCACACCATTCTCCTGGCTCAGCCTCCCGAGTAGCTGGGACTACAGGCACCCACCACCACGCCTGGCTAATTTTTTGTATTTTTGGTAAAGACGGGGTTTCACCATGTTAGCCAGATGGTCTCGATCTCCTGACCTCATGATCCACCCACCTCAGCCTCCCAAAGTGCTGGGATTACAGGTGTGAGCCACCGCAACCGGCTGAAGTTTCTTTTTTAAAAGAAAAAAGAACTATTGCTCTTCCAGTGATTAAAATCCTGGGCTAGAGAATCAAACAGACTTGGATTTACATCTGGGCTCTCCAGCGCTCACTATCCAAGACCAAGGGTGAGTTTTTCATCCTCTAAAGCTCAGTTGTCTCCTTTGTAAAATGGGGATTAGAAATACCTCCTATCTCTTGGGGCTGCTGCTGCAATTAAGTATGTTGATACAGGTAAAGCTCTTGGTACAGTATCTAGCATCCAGTAACTGCTCGATAAGGGTGTGGTATGATTATTATTTTATTATTATTATCACCAAGGAAAACTAGTGGGGAGTTAAATTGGCAAACAAGCTGTTAAGAGGCCGTGAATATTCATTAGACAATCTAGTGTTTATCCAGTTGGTAGATGTTAGCCCAGCATAGACAATCTAAGTGGCTGCTGAATGGCTCAGACACACCACGGAGAGGTTTGATCCACTCACGCTGGTCCAGATTAACAGAATCCTAGCCTCCCTCCCAGCCCTGCCCTTTCTCCACTTGCTGAGTGACCATTCAAGTTCCTTCCCTTCTCTAGACGTCAATTTCCTCGCCTATCAGAGGCAAGGATTAGACTGGAGAGTCTTTAAATGTCTAAATCCCTATACTTTTAGGATTCCCATGAATTTGTAAGCAATTGTTGCCTAACCATGTCCCTAATTAAGTCTTTCATGGTTATTTTAATTAGCCACCTTTAAACCTTAAAGTAGGTTTGGGGAGAAATGATGTATTTAAATTTATTTATACTCTGCCTTGGAACTTCTTGTGGACACAACACAAGCTTAGGGACAGACAGCCTGGGCCTAGGTCCCAGGTCTGCCACTTTCTAAGTGTACAGCCCTGGGAAGCTCAGTCTTCCTCTCCTGGCCTCAGTCTTCCCCTCCTGGGAAATGGAAATGGCAGCTTCCCCACTGAGTGATTGCAAAGATTACAGGGGAGAAGACTAGCTCAGAGGAGGGCAAAGGACCTAAGCCAGTCCACTTGGAGTGTCTCTCAGGGCTTTTGCCAGCAAGGTGGGAGCAGACACTCACTCTGCTCTACTAGATATGCACCTGGGTGTTTGCTCAGCATCTCTGACCACCCACGAGGGTAGGATCTGCCTGATAATAGAATCAGCACAGAGGAAGCAGAGAATGAAACCAAACCTGAGGACAATGATGGAGCCCCAGGGCTCATACATGACGTCTCATATCACCTGAGACAAAACGCTTTTTTTTCTTCACAAAGAAAAGTTAAGTGAGATTTTATTTTTTCCAACGCAGTTATCACCTTCTAATATAAATTCATAATAAATTTATGAATGTATTATGTTTATTGCTCACTGTCTATCTCTCTTCACTACAATGGAAGCTTCATGAGAGTAGAGGTTTTTGTCCCTTTTGTTCACTGATACATCCCTAGCAGCCAACACAGTGCCTGACACATAGTAGATACTCAATAAATATCTGTTTTTATTTGTTTTTGTTTTTGTTATTTTTTTAGAGACTGGGTCTCGCTATGTTGCCCAAGCTGGTCTTGAACTCCTGGGCTCAAGCAATCCTCCTGCCGCAGCCTCCCAAAGTGCTGGGATTACAGGTGTGAGCCACCATGCCCAGCCTCAATAAATATCTGTTGAATGAATGGATGAAGATACTTTGAAATCTGGAGAGTGCTGCAAATGTCTTTAATAATAGCTATAGATACTTTCTCATAATTTTTTTTCATGTGCTGTTTGGATTTGCCATTTAGCTGATAACCTGAGACCAATCCAGACGCTCCTCAGACCTAAGACAGTGGCTAACCTTCACTGCCTCATCTCAAAAGGCAAAACATGGCAACAGGTAACTGGGTCTTTGCATTTGGAGGTCCCACCCTCTTAGAGGCTGATCCTAAAGTGCTGGGGATCTCAGGATCTTACCCGTGACTCTTTTCTCTTCTCATTCCTCATGCTGTCCCGCAGTGAGCCCATCCTCTCCCAGGGTTTTAAGTACCTCTCCTTATGCTGAAGCATCCCGGGCTTCTTTCTCCAGCCTTGACTGCCAGAACCAGATCCCAAGCTGCTTGCCTGACTTTTCCACTTGGCTGAACTGCACACAAACCCAGAAGAAAATGAGAACACAAGGCCCCTGATAAAAAAAAATGTATTAAGAATTTCAAGATGGTGATAGAAGAGCATACAAACACACTCAGAGCCCTCCTGAGCACAGGGCGACCACCCGGGTCACACACCCATGAAGCTGGCCTGGACTGCAGGCACTTCACACTCAACATGTCTGAAATTTTCATCTTCCTCCCACCCCAACATGCTCCTCCTCATAAGTTCCTCATCTTAAAGCACAGCCTCCCCATCCATCCAGTTACTCAAGTTAGACAGCAGGACCTCACTCGGTTGCGATTACTAAAGCCTGTGCCTCTCCTTGACGTCTTTTGCTCCCTGAACCCAGGTCATACCTGTAACAGCCTTCTAATCACACACTGCCTCCTGTCTCACATCCACTCCAAACCATTTTCCACACTGTAGCCAGAGTGATCCTCCTAAAGTACAGATTCTTAAGTCCAGGCTCCTTGGCATGGCAGAAAAGGCCTCAGTGATGTGACTTCAGCTTCTTCTTCAGCCTTCCACAGCAGCCACTTGAACTTTGGCTAGGTCCTTCCGACCAGCCATTTCTGATGCTTGAAACACCCTTGCTGTTCCCTGCACCCCAGTCCCTTTCATCAGGTTTCCTCTTAGAAAGATTTCTGGACCAGCTGAGTGCCTCTCCTGCAGGCTCCCTCAGCCACATTCTTCCCCCAAATCAGCATTAGTCATGAGACGGTATACTTCCTGTTTACTGATTCAATTTCTCAATAGATGGTACACTATTGAGGGTCTCTGTTTCCCATTGTGTCAGTGGGACTGGCACAGTGCCTGGCTGGCTATTTTGGTCATTGTAACCCTAACTGGGGCAGGTCCTAAGTAAGGAAATGGAGGGTGGTGACATTCTACCTGATGGTCCAAAAAACAAACAAATGAGCTGCATCCACACACCTTCTTCAAAGTCTCTCTAGAAAAGATATGAGCGAAAACAGCCACACACACTTGTACATGTGTTTCATGCCCTCTTGTTTATTGCAGGACACAGAGATGCACATTTAACAATGGGAGACAGGACAATTTTAACATTCTGGGGTAACACTGAGGCTGACTCACCCCTGGAGGGGTGGGCTAAGTTGCCACTAACATCGTATGTCCTTGTAAATTTCCTTGCTATAGAAACAAGAGGGAAAGCAGGTCCCTGGATGAGAAACAAACATTTGTGGTCCCTATGACTTCATTTTCTGGTATCCTGATCATTAAAAAACTTGAAAAAGAACAGGATGTCTTTTCTTTACCCGCATACCTAATTATCAAGAATCCTGAAACTGTTTATATCATTTTAGGGGAATAAGATAAGAAAACATCTTAAGAGGAAACATGACCCATACTTTAAAAGATGGACATCATATGCGGGAAAACATTCTGAATGAGATCAATATAAACAGGGTTCATTGTATTTTAAATAGCAGGATTTAAGTAGGCTTTTATTCATAACAGAGATGGACAGTCCTCTAAATTACGCTGAGGCATCAGGGGACGAAAGGAGAGAGGGGAGTAAGTGACGGCCCGGAAAGCATATCTGTGGGATCCTAAATGAAGCAAAATTAAAATGCATTTTTCCAGAAAGCCAAACAAATTATAAGTAGGAACAATTAGGTGACGACAATTCCTCTAGTAGAAATATATATGTTTCTGTTTTCCTATTTATAATGGAGCTAGAAGGTATCAGAGTCCTCCTGCTACTGGTTTGAAGCTAAGCCTTAATTTAGAATAAAAATATTCAGGAAAGAAATGGGGGCAAGGACTTTGGTCTAGATAGAACTGTAACCCACACTTAAGAGTTTCCAGCTAGTTAGTACCAGATTTTGACTATGAACCCACAAGAGAATAAACAGTTCATCCTGAGAACGCTGGGGTTCTGAATTGTCCAGGAATCCTTCTTATTGTCTAAAAACACGAATATCTTATGTCATCCAAAGGCACCCTCAGAGATATGTTATTTTCTTAGGGAATAAATAGTTCATAGTTCACTCTGGACTTTTGAGCCCAAGTTTACCAAGTAACACTCAATCCCTTTTACAGGGCTTCTGGTTAAAGATTCCATTTTGATTTTAATGGAAAGATCAGTTAAACCTGAAACCCCAAGCAAGCTCCTCGTCCTCTCCTGGATCTATCTAGAGAACAAACAAGAGGAAGGCTTGCATCCCAGGAAGTAGTCCGACATAGGTAGATATTTCTAATTTACCGATAGAAAACTCTCCAGTTAAAAAACAGGCTAGCTAGTAATCTATTTAAAGCCACGGCTGACATGATAAATGAAACAGAATAAATGTATACAGCGAGTGAGCCTCCTCGGGAACACAGGAGGGGGGTTGGGGGGGGGAACGGAGCGCTTCTGCTGACAGCGGCTTTCCCGTCAGTGGCCTGTCTCTCTTGGAGGCAGCTGTCAATCACGGGCCAGCCCGCGCTCCCGGGGGAGTTCATTGTGCCCGCAGACAGTTGTGGAATAACTGCTCCTAGGCGTCAGAGCAGCAGATGGAGTGTATCTGTCAATCATTGTCACTAATTATTAACTTCTGTCACTCAGAGCAAGGCAACATCTCGGCGCCTGATCCGCTGTGATTTGATCTGCCATGCCACCTCGGAGACAGACAGAGCAACCCTTCATTCCGGTCACACTCCCAGCACTTTGCTGGGTCAGCCGCCGTGACTCAGTGTTCGCGCCCCCGACCGGGCTGGCACACGTGAGTGTGCACACGCGCGCAAGCTTCCGGAAGCGCAGCCACCGCAAGGGGTCTCCTTCGGGGGATCCAGGCCAGGAGCGCAGGATCCTGCTCATTAATTATTGAAGGAGGACAGTTTTATCTTGGCCGTTGGCGGAAGCGGGGCCAAAGTGTAAGGGAAGACCAATTTGGAGGGTTTTCTTCTCTTCTCACCACCCTGGGACCAGCCATTATCAGCCAAGTTCACATTCATTGTATTCCTATGATCTTTTCTCAACCCTCTGATTTTGGAGGTGGAGATGTCAGCCTGAATAATTAATTAAGGCATCTGTAACATGCTTTGCAAACAGGAGCCGCAACCTAAAGGGATATTTGCTACCACAGACTCTGAGAGCCTCTCTGTGACAAGACTGGGAAGAGGGTTTACAGAGCTTCAAACCCAACCACCCAAAGAGATAGACATGACTTATCCAAGGTCACACACCCCACTGCTCTGGCACCTCAAGGCCTCCCACCCATGTACATACATGGAGCATCTTTGAGGCTGGGCAGCTCGGGGACTCCTGGGTGCTGTGCCATCTGTTCTCCACCAGACGGTTTGGAAAGATTGGTTCCCTTGGAGAGGCTGAATCATCATGATGACCCACTCCCACTCAGGCACTGGAGTCACACTGCTGGGTGACTTTGAACAAGTCACTTTACGCCTCTGACCCATGATCTCATCTGCAAAACAAGGATAATTACAGAATCTCCCTCAAAGGTTACATGAGAATGTTCCAGGTACAAACATCTAGCACAGCACTTGCCTGGCACATTTGAAGCTCTCAATAAATAATAGAAATTGGTCAGGCATGGTGACTCACACCTATAATCCAACCACTATGGGAGGCAGAAGCGACAGAATCACTTGAGCTCAGGAGTTCAAGACCAGCCTGAGCAACATAGTGAAGCCCCATGTCTACGAAAAATTAAAAAATTAGCTGGGTATGGTGGTGCACACCTGTAGTCTCAGCTACTCGGGAGGCTGAGGCAGGAGGAGTGCTTGAGCCCAGGAGCTCAAGCCTGCAGTAAGCTATGATTGTGCCACTGCATTCCAGCCTGGGTGACAGGGTGAGTCCCCATCTCTTAAAAAAACAAACAAACAAAAAAAGAAGTAGAAATGACTGTCCACATGAGACCAGCACAAGGGCTGGCTGGTCTCATCTCAAAAAGTAAAAATTGGATTTTAAGAGCCACTGGAGAATACTCATCAATTACTACTTTTTAAAGTACAAGTGACAAGATTGACATTAGCCAAGCTCTAAGTCTAACAAACCTAGTTGTAGTTTCCATAACTAGGTCCTTAGGGGCCTGCTTTGGTGAATAGACAAGGATTTGTGGTAAGCATATCAATCGTTTATGTGTAAATAGTGACGCACACTTGGCTGGGTCTCTTCAACATCAGTCCTCCTCTTAGGTAACTAAAGCCCTCCCCCCTCACTCAAGTTGCCATTCCTATTTGCTTTCAAAAATCCCTTCTTGATGGAAAGTGCTCTGGGGAGTTCTAGCCCAAGCCTGATTAGAAACTAAACCAAATCCAAATTCTAAGATTGCAAGGTCTGACTGCATTTGAAAAAGCACCCCTCTGCTTCCAGCACATGCCAGGGATGCTCTGGGCCACCCAAGATGAAAAGCTGTTACTTTCCCCAAGCTCCAAGGATCCCACCAGACTCACTGTTTCAGTGATGACGTCTGTGTAACAAATTATCTCAAAACTTAGTGGCATAAAACATTCACTTATTATGCTCATGGGAACTGGGACAGGGCACACAGCAGGGGTGGCTTATCTCTGTTCCATGATCTCTGGGGCCTCTGCTAGAAGCTGGAACCAGCTGGGGCTCCTCAGCCATCTCCCTCTTGCTCTACACAAGCTCTTCACATGATCTCTCCAGCATGTCAGCTTCCAGGTGGTCAGACTTCTCACACAGCAGCCCAGGGATCCCAATGGGAATGGAGAGGAAAGGGAAGGGAGGCGAGGAGTGGGGAAAGACATGCCACCTCTCATATTTTATGTCCTAACTTCCAAAGTCATGCAGCCTCACTTCCTCCATATTCTCTCGGCTGAAGCCATTAGAGAGGTGTGCCCAGGTTCAAGGAGAGGGTCAACCTCACATAGCAAGAAGAGCATGAGTCGGATTTATAACAGTGCGGCCATCTTCGGAAATTACAATCTGCCACACCCTACCCAGACACTCCCCTGGAAACTGGAAGCCAAACTGACATCATTTCCAGGAAAGGCTTGTGGCTCCAGCTCCAGGAGAGGGTGAGAAACCTGGGGCCTCTCTTGAAGGTCACATGTAGAACAGACCCTCTGAAGCCCTGAGTTGAAGGAATTCTGGAGGGTGCTACATTAACATCACGCTCGACCTCCACACTCAGTGGGTGCAATCACAGCCAATGCTTTTGCCTGGCATTTACCCTGCCAATTCCTTAGGATGACAGATGGTTTCCAGTTCCTGGAATATACTATTCTCCTTCCTACCTGGAGACATGAGCATATTTCATTCCCTTTGCTGGGAATATCCTCTGTCCCCTTCCCCGTATTCCTGAGGTCTCAAACTCATTACCACTTCTTTAGGGAATCCTTTCCTGACTATAGTCCCCCCCGAGTTTAGGTCATATCCCCAGCTATGCACTCTCCTAGCATCCTGTATTTCTCTCTTGTAGCACCTCCCACAATTGTCATTAAATAATTGTTTTATGGCCGGGCACGGTGACTCATGCCTGTAATCCCAGCACTTTGGGAGGCCAAGGCGGGCAGATCACGAGGTCAGGTGAAACCCTGCCTCTACTAAAAAATACAAAAAATTAGCAGGGCATGACGGCGGGCGCCTGTAGTCCCAGCTACTCGGGAGCCTGAGGCAGGAGAATGGCGTGAACCCAGGAGGCCGAGGTTGCAGTGAGCCGAGATCGTGCCACTGCACTCCAGCCTGGGTGACAGAGCGAGACTCCATCTCAAATAATAATAATAATAATAATAATAATAATTGTTTTATAATGTATCCAAAATTTTGTTATAACCAGATATGGCAAGATAACAAACGTAGAGACAGCTGCCTTGAAAGAAGGATTTATTACTTATAGCTCCTGAGGAAGAGGGCTCACCACACCACACACGGCCACCCAGTGAGGCACCAGCCTGAGTCAGGAGGCAGGGGAAGCCAGAGTAGAGCAGTCCCAGGGCCTTCACTGTGGTTTCCACAAGAAGGAACGGGCAAGGGAAGGCAGGCCAGGTGGAGCAAATTTGGGACTGGATAGTTTGAATAATTTGGGTGGGCTTTGGACTACAGGGGTGGTCTCTTAATTGTCTAGTCCCTGGCCTTGGGGGGATTTCCAGCAAGGGAAATACTGGCTTCATGTGTGATAGTTAGATAGAGGAGGTGGTTGGGGACATAAGATTTGGATTGCTTGGTTTGCATATGAAAGATGTACTCTCAGGCAAGTTTTTGCTACCACTAGGAATTAGCTAGCCCTGGAAGGGGCAGTCTTCTCTAGGATTCACAACGCCCCCAAGATGGCAAAGCAGCATAAAATACAGAAAATAAAAAACATGATAAATGTGATAATCAAGAGTGTAATTCCAGCTGGGCGCGGTGGCGCACACCTGTAACCCTAGCACCTTGGAAGGCCAGGGCGGATGGATCACTTAAGGCCAGGAGTTGGAGACCAGCCTGGACAACATCGCGAAACCCCGTCTCTACTAAAAATGCAAAAATTAGCCAGGTGTGGTGGCGCATGCCTGTAATCCCAGCTACTCGGGAGGCTGAGGCACGAGAATCGGTTGAACCCAGGAGGCGGAGGTTGCAGTGAGCCGAGATCACACCACTGCACTCCAGCCTGGTTGACAGAGCGAGACCCTGTCTCAAAAAAAAGAGTGAGACTTGCACAGAGCAAGACTCTGTCTCCAAAAAAAATTTTTTTAATTATAGTTTTATTTAATTCCTTAAATTTAAATAGATATGTGTGGCTAGTGGCTACCGTATGGGAGAGCACAGATTCCATTCTCAGGCCTAAGAGCAGTTCTAAATCCTAAGGCAAAAAAGAAACTTCGTTCAAGGACAACCCTATGGAAGACAGGCTTGCTTCTGTGCCTCCAACCCCCATGGGTCCTGACCAGCTTACAGCATCATTTAAAGAAGAAAGAAGAAATTACAAAAGGTGAGTTCAGAACCCTTGTCTACTGATTGCTCCATTCAATCCAGTCTTTTCTGAAAATTATATTCAGACGACTCTTCTCGCTAAATATTAGAATGCCAGGAAGCTGGGATCCAGCATCAGAAAACCACCAGGCTTGTGCCCTGAGCATCCTCTCCATCAGCCTGGCACCTCGTAGAGAGCAGAAAACATCCTGGGCCGATTTTTTTCTTTTAATTCTGAAAGACCAGCAATGAAGCCACGCTGCAGGTGGTAAAAGTGTATGCAGAGTATGCTCCTGAAGAAAGCTGAAAACACCGGGAACGGCCATCAACTTAATCTGGGGCTGACAGGGGCTTCAAGCAGAACTAATGGCTCAGTTACATACCTCATTAGCCGAGTGGGATTTTACCCTTTTCCTTATTGTGATTGTTAATTTCCCCCCTCTGCTATTGAGAGGAAGGAATTTTGTAACAATGTTAAATTATTTGCCATTTCCAAGAGGGAAAAAATCAATTAAAAAGAGAGTCTGGGAGAAGATAAAAATGAATTTCTTTATCACTTGTGCTGATCATTTAAGATGGGATTTTCCCCTGCGGGAATACTGCACAGAATAACAGTAGTTCTAGGGCATTTGATAAAGAAAAAGTTCTCTCTCAGTGGTGATTAACGTTACCATCTCCCATCTCTTTCCTGCAAAAGGAGCTTGGAATTCCATTCGATCCCCAGCTTTGTGTGGCTTTCCCTACTTCCCTATCAACTCAAAATTTGGGGTGCTTGGCAAAGGAGGTCCTGTGTGGAACCAGCTGGGTCACACACTCACGGAGGATGAATGCATACCCTTTACAAAACACAAATGCATTTTGTCTCTTCTGCAGACCTTTCTGGGGAAAACCTAGCTGTGCTTCCTTCTGATTTCTCCTAGCAAGTGGAGAAATGAACTCCTCCACACCACGCCCCCTTGCCTGCCCCTGGAGGAACATATGTGGCCAGAAGCTGCCAGCAAGCCTCTATGTGTCCTCTCATAACCCTGACAACTCGAGTCGCTAACAATATTTCCGTTGGAGAAACTTTTATAAAATATTACAATCAATTCAATTGCATTAACACGTTTGAACCTCTAAGTTCAACACAGTGGAAAACACAATACTTCTCTATTACATCAAGTGTCTGGTCAGATATATATCACACAAAACTGAAACCAGAGGCACTGAGGGGACCCTGTTTATCCCAACTTAGCAAAAGGAATTATCTGACAGTTGGAAATGAAAAACTACTAATAAACATTACAGTTTATTGAAAAGTTTAAACAATAAGATTAAGAAAACTTCTGCAATATTAAGAAATGTATATTATCCTACTTTACCTTGCTTGGGGAATTCCTTAAGGATTTATTATTCTGTTACACCACCAAAAACACTGTGTTATGTTAAGGAATTCTGCCTTCCTGCCTGCATTCCGCATGAATCTAAAATTAAGAGGCAATCTTTCTTCAGCATATCGTACTTCCCTAAATTAGGTTTGGTTTCCAGAGCAGAATTTGGAAGTCAGTGTTTTTTTCCCCGGGTACCATTGGCCCCTTATAATAAATGCTCTAGAGAAAAGAGCTTCCTTTTCTCTAGTGCTTTTGTTGTTGGTGCTGAAATGCATGCATTTAATGCCAGTGAGGATGCTGGGATGGGAAGCTGTCGGTCCTCCAGGGCCTGGGGCACAAGGCACTGGAAAGGAGCCAAGAACTGCTGCAGGGAGTGGTCTGGCCTTTGGCCAAGTAGGAACAAAGAGGTCTAGAAAACAGCCTCCAAAACCCACATAGATTTTGGATTGAGTGGCCTTGAGCATAGCAAAGTCCCGCTTCCTGCCTGCCTTGTCCATGTCTTTACAGCTTATCTCTCCACAGGCCACCACTTAGCTCCCAACAGCAAACCACTTCTCTCCCTGGGCATGAGGGTTTTCAGGAGAAGCAGCCTAGAGTGTGGCTGTCAGAATCTAAAGCTCCAGATGGGGAAAGAACGGGGCTCAGATTCCTCCACTGTAAATTGGAGGTATTGATAATGTGATCCAGATGTAATCGCAGCCTGGGAGACAGAAATAGGGGCTGTTCAAGCCTTCCCAGGATGTGGGTTGAGACCCCAGCCTCACACCTGTGATCTAGATTCTGCTCTTCTGCTCCCCTCAATGTCTCTGTCCTGCCCCCACATCCCCCAAGTGCAGAGCTCAGCCTCTTGAACCAGCTTCCACTGGAAATCCATTCACACCGAGGGTTTGGTGAGTTCCAATAGAACTTAGGAACATTTGGTAGAGGCAGGGGAGAGGAGACAGGCCACATCAAACAGTATAAAGCACGCCACCAACTTGTCCCTCAGCCCCAGCTTACTGAGGATCCCACAGCTGATAAGTAGCAATGGGCGTTCCACCACCCCAGAGACATTTCCCCTACCAGGCGACTTTGTCTTTGAATTGTTTCTGCAATGAGGGAGGACGGAGCACCCTGAGTCATCTAGAGTCAGCCTCCTAAGAGGGCCAGCTGCAGGCATCAGGACAGATGACCTCTCTCGCATGCAATTCATGGGATATAGCCTTTGGCTAGGATTTGATGGATTCTCTCCTCCACATTGCTCATTAGCACTTGCAGAAGGTGAGTCTGTAATTCTGGTAGTGTTCATGCCAACACAGACAAAACACTAGGGTATGTCTGGTACCTAGATGGAGAAATCCATATAGAAGACCAAGAAGAAGATGTGCATTATTGTCTCAAGTATACTTGACTTGTTTGGTAGCCTCTAGAAATCTTGTGTTTCCAAGCCTCAGTTTGCTGTCACTGCAGAATGGGCATCATTCTATGTCCCTAATGCACTGATTAGATCTTCACTGGTCCTGGCATGTTTTATAATCTGAAACTCCAAACCCAAACTACCTTCCTGTTCCAGATTTGCTTTATCTCACTAACCTGCTGCTGTAGCTGTTTAACTCTTGCCCCTCCCCTTACAATCTGATCATCCAGAGACCCTAGAGGCAGCCATCAGTCTCTTGAATCCCCCCTTTAGTTGGAGATGTGAAGGCAGAGCTCAGTTCCCACAGGTTAGTTCATTTAGGACTTGCTTTCATCCATTATGTTCATGTATGTTGGAAATTTCCCCAAATGCATTTTAATCTCCATCTGCCATTATAGGGAAATTTTCCCAAATTTTTTTATTGTTACATCTTGTAGTTCTAGAATATAATGTTTAACCATCAAACCTCAAGACAGGCTTGTGCTTTAAACTCCAAATCTTTCCTGTCTTGGAAATTTCTGCATCATAAATTGTTAGCCAAACACTCAAAAATGTAATGGTTTGCACTGGCATTCACCTATATTGTCCCTCTCCCCACCCACCCTCTCAGCACAATGGAATTCACAATCAAGCCTGACCTTCCACAGGTCCATGGGAGGCCACAAGGCAGCCACAAATCTAGTCCAAGGAAAGTCATTTTGCCAAAATGGACATCCAAATGATGCCAACATATCTAATTTACAAAATTTGGGGAAAGTAGCCAATGAGACCAAATATAACAGGAACCATCCAAGTACACAGCAGTATCTACTCATATTGACATCTGTCCCTGACCCTGTAGATGCAGTCTCCATGAAATATAAACCCTCTAATGTGGAAACCTCTAAACTGAGGCACAATCTGTGCTTGTGGAAAGGATGGGGTTAGGCTGAGCAAAGGGGCAGATGCTAAAAACAACTTACTAAACATTAGGGAAAATCCTCTGTTTCACAGAATCTCCAGATAACAAGAAACAGCATTTTATCCCCATTATCCCAGTTGCTCTTCACAACCTCTTAGGGGCACATATTATTGTGCCATTTCATAGATGGGAAAACTAAGGCTCTGAAAAGCAGTAACTTGCTAGAGCTCACACTGCTGGGGATTTGCAGAGGTAGGATTCATACTCGGGTCTGTCTACCTTTAAAGCTCTTCCCAATAGTTATTCATAGTCCAGACTCACCCAGCCTGGTCTCCCATGCCCACCTCCACCATCTAATGCCTGAATCCCTGCTGCAGCATCTATACCTAGTGACCATCCTGTCTCTGCTCAAACACCTACAGGAACAGGGGACTTATTCCCCACTTAAGCAGCTTCTGTCTCCCATCAGTGCCCCTACCCTTTCTTACCTCTCCACTGGAGAGATCCGGGGAAACTTCCACTCCCACTGAGGTAGGATGATAAGAGCTTAGATAAGATAAGATAAGATAAACTTAGATAAGAGTTTAGCCTTAGAGCTAGCTTCTTTAAAAAATGAAAATTAGAAAAAATTATTCAAAAGAAGAAAAAGAGAAAAAAAAATGCAGCAACAGCCAGGAACCTAGTCTGCTCCCATCACTCATCTATTTCACTTATTTAACAAAAACAGGAGCAGGTGAAGGGAATGAGGGATAGAGGCAACATCACTCCTGGTGACCAATCTCTGTGGGTCCCAGTGGGTTGGGCTGGACCTACATAGGATGTGGCTTCTATCACCAGTCTAGCTGAACTCCCAGGGAAACTTGGGGTGACATTTCTCACATCCTTATACTCTCTTGGAAATAAATGTTGTCACCAGGAAAAGGATACCAATTTTGTGAATTGGCAGACGGCTGTGACAGTTTGACTGGTTCGACTTGACTGAAGGGTTGGAACCAGCTTTGCTGTAAGGCCTCCTGCATGCCTATTGTGCGCCAGGGTCTGTGCTAAGTATCTTTACCTATCACTGCATCTCTCAACTACTCTGGAAGGCAGACACTATTATTGTCCCTGTTTTATAGATGAGGATTTGGAAGCCTCATTTTTACCTCTATATTCTGACCCAGACATTTGCCTCTTTGAGTCTCAGTTGCTCCATGCTGCTAGAAAGTGGCAAGGCCAGAATTTGACCCCACTGGGTTTCAGAGCCTGTCCCCTTAACCACTAGCTATACTTCCTCAGTATGCTGTGGCTATAGACATGGTCCTCAAACAGCAACAGGTAGCATGGATCTGCCAATAACTGTATTAGGAGGACAAAAATCATCTAATCAACAAGCTGAAAAAGTCATACAGAAACCACATGTCCAAAATCACTGGGTCAGAGCAGAAGCTAAAAAGCTTCCAAAAGTTCTGATTTTTCAAAGCCAGTATAACACTAATACCAAAACCTTACAAAGAAATAATTCAAATGAAATTGGTTTGACTTATTTATGAATAGCAAATAATAATATAAGTAGACTATTAGCAACCAGAATCTTGCTACATGTTAAAAAACTAACATACCATGATAAAATAGAGCTCCTCCTTGGAATGCAAGGATGGTTCAATTTTAGGGTATCTATTACCATCAGTCATTGAAATAACAAATCAAAGCATGGGGACCATATGATCATCATACAGATGCTGGAAAATAATTCATAAATTTTAACATTAATTCCAGATTTTAAAAACAGAAACAAAAATGATTAATAAAATCAGAATAGATTGGTACTTTCTTAACATGATTATACATATTTAGCATCAAAACAAAAGCCAGGGCCAAGTGTGGTGGCTCATGCCTGTAATCCTAGCACTTTGGGAGGCCAAGGCAGGAGAATCTCTTGGGCTCAGGAGTTCAAAACAAGCCTGGGCAACTTAGTGAGAACTTGTCCCTATTTATGTATAAATATATTTTTAAAAATTAAAATTTAAAATTAAAAAAAATAAAAGCCAGACAACACTGAGTGCTGGTAAGGATATAGAGCTACCAGAGCTCTCATACATTGTTGTGAACATGGCAAGCACTTTGGGAAAAGTTCTTGTACTTTCTTATAAAACTAAACATATACCTACCCTGCAACTCGCAATTGTACTCCTAGCTATTCTCCCAAGAGAAATGAAGAAATATGTTCCTAAAAAGACTCATACACAAAAGTTCATAACACCCTTATTCACATTAGCCAAAAACTGGAAAGAATTCATGTATCCAGCAACAGAATAATGGTTAAACACAGTGTATTCACACAATGAATGTTTTCATCTGCTCAGGCTGCCATAACAAAATGCCATCAATTAGATGGCTTAAACAACTAAAATTTATTTTCTTACCATTCTGGAGACTGAGAAACCCAATATCAAAGTGCCAGCATGGTCAGGTTCTGATGAGAGCTCTCTCTTTGGGCTGCTGCTAAAGGCCACCTTCTTGCTATATACTCACATGGCAAGGAAAGAGAGCAAGATCTATGGTGTTCTTATAGAAGCACTAATCCCATTTGACCAGGGCTCCACCCTCATGACCTTATTTAACTCTAATTACCTCCCAAAGGCCCCATTTCCAAATATCATCACACTGGGGGTTAGGGCTCCAACATATTAATTTGGGAGAGACACAAACATGCAGGCCATAACAATGAAACGCTACTCAGCCATAAAAAGGATTCTGCAGCAATGTGGATTAACAGAGTATGATTCCTTTTATAGAAAGTTCTAGAATAGGTCAAACTAATCTGTGGCAGGGGAAAAAATCAGAAGTCTGGTTGCTGGGGGTGGAGGAATGGAAATTGAACTGGGAAGAAGCACAACAGAACTTTCTGGAATCATAGTAATAGTTTATGTCCTGATAGGAGTTTGGGTTACACAAGTATATTAATTTGTCAAAACTCATAGACTAGTATACTTGAGATCTGGGCATTGAATTGTGTGTACATTTTAACCTCAAAAGAAAAAAGAACTTTAAACAAACATTGAATTATGGTTAATAATAGGCGCACTAAACTTTTTTAGAGATAAAGTATACTGTTGTCTTCAATTCACTTTGAAATGCATCAAAAAAATAAGATGAATTGAGGGATGAATGAAGAGAAGGACAGATGGTTGGAAAATAATAAAAACAAGGATAGTAAAATGTTAATTATAGCAACTAGGTACTGAGTATAGGGGTATTCACTGTACAATTTTTTCAACTCATCTGTATGTTTGAAATTTTTCATAATAAAATGTTAGGGGGAAGAGCCTGCTTCATTCTTAACAGTAAAATACTAGAAGCATTTCCATTAAAATCGAAATAAGTCAGAGATACCTACCATCACCAATATCATTTAATGTCATTCTGAAAATACCAGCAAGATTTCAAACTCAAATGCCTTTAGGGACTATGCAGTAAGGTAAAAAAAAAAAAAAAAAAAAAAAAAAAAAGTAAAGAAATTTGGGTTTTAAAAAATAAGGACTGGTTAAACTCTACAGTCTAGAGCTCATGAGCTCCAGTGTATTCTCTCCTGCAGGAATACTACTCCAGCATTGTCAAATCAGCTAAAATTGCAAGATACGCTAGGATTTCAGCTTTAGTATATGTGTTAAAACTCAATTCTTTTCTTTCCTACTTTTCTGCTGAAATCAATTTTTTAAAAAAGATTTTTAATTGTTTTGAAAATACTGAAAATACACCTGGCCCAAGAGCAATTCATTTTCAGTCTCCATACTAGCAAATAGATAAGAAGAACAAGGAAAAAAAGAAAGGTTAAACTCAAGATAATCAACTGAAATTCTATTAGAAAATCTAACCGTTTCAGTAAGATGACTGATTATACATTTAATATATAAAAATTAATAGGTTTCTTATATATAAATTATAAGCCATTAGAAAATGTATAGGCAGTTTTTAAATCCCATTTATAATAGCATAAAAAAGAAAAAACCTATTAAGGATGTGCAGGAACCATATGAGTACAACTTTTAAATGTTACTGAGGGTGTATCAGGCAGTATAGGCTAAATGATGTTGCAGAAATAACTAGCACCAAAATCTCAGTGGCTTAATGCAATAAATGATTATTTATTCTCACCTGAAGTCAACTGTATATCTGGATCATTCCTCAGGGCAGCCAGCCTCAGCATGTGTCTCAGCAATAGTCTTGTCTTGCTTTGACTTTGTGCTTCCATGATTACCACAATATGGCAAGAAAACGTAAAGAATAACCCTTGGGCTTGTCATTGCTTCTATCACAAAGTGTCACGTGTCACTTTTGCCCACATTTTACTGGCCAGAACTAGTTATGCGGACCTGCCTAACTGCAAAAAACTGCAAAATGTAGGGGAACAAATAAAATATTTGGTGAGCATTTACTGCCTCTGTCTCAGAGGCAATCAAAGTCATGTTGTAATCTTGATTAAGACTCAATAAAGGCCGGTGCGGTGGCTCACGCCTGTAATCCCAGCACTTTAGGAGGCCAAGGCGGGCAGATCATGAGGTCAGGAGATCGAGACCACCCTGGCTAATACGGTGAAACGCCGTCTCTACTTAAATTACAAAAACAAAATTAGCCGGGCATGGTGGTGGGCGCCTGTAGTCCCAGCTACTCAAGAGGCTGAGGCAGGAGAATGGTGTGAACCCAGGAGGCGGAGCTTGCAGTGAGCCGAGATTCCACCACTGCACTCCAGCCTGGGCAACAGAGCCAAGCTCCGAATTAAAAAAAAAAAAAAAAAACTCAATAAAGATACCAATTTTCCCTAAACTATGCTATAAATTTAATGTGATCCCAATAAAGTACCAATAGAATATTCCTTGGAACAAAATGAGTAAATCTTAAGTTCACATGCAAAAATAAACATAAGTATAGCCAGAAACATTCTGGAAAAGAGAAGAGTTGGGCATAGAGACTAGCCCTACCACCTTTTAAAACACATTACAAAGCATCAATAATTAAAACAATTTGGTCCTGAAACATGAAATGACAGACCAATCAAGGGAAAAAATAGAAGGTCTAGAAAGAGATACAAACATGTATACAAATTTGGTATAAAATAGAAACGGCATTTCAAAACAGAGGAAATTTTATTATTTAATAAACATGTTGGGACAATTGGCTTAGTCATTTTGGTGGGGGGAGCTAAACTCCTACCTCACTTATTATACTAAAATATATTCTGGATAGATAAAAGATATAAGCATTGAAAAATACAATTATAAAAATACAAAAGAAAACATGAAAAATATTTTTTGAAATTTTGAAATTTTTTTTTCATATCAGACAGGTCATGTGCTGACACCAAAACAAGGCTTTTGAAGGTCTTTCTAAGTAAGACATATATCCCAGGAATTATGTTTAAACTAACAAATCTCATTACACAAAAAATTAGAGATATCTGCCAGACAAAACAAAAACAAAATCAAGACGACTGCAAACTAGGAAAAGACCAGCATCCATAATGTTATGTAAGAAGTTTCCAAAATCAAGAAAAAGTCCAACAACCCAGTAGAAAAAATGGTAAGAGACAAAAAAGAAAAAACAAGTGACTTTTAAACATTCAAAAAAGTGTTCATCAGCAGTTATAATTAAAATAAGGGATTGTTATTTTTCATCCATTTGATTGGCAAAGATGTAAAAATGTACTAACACCCAGTGTAGGTGAAGGTATGGAGACACTGGCACACTCATGTGCCATCAACAGGAGTAAAAATTGGTGCAACTTCTTTTTTGTTTGTTTGTTAGTTTTTGTGTTTGTGTTTGTTTTGAGATGGAGTTTCGCTCTTGTTGCCCAGGCTGGAGTGCAGTGGCACGATCTTGGCTCACTGCAACCTCCGCCTCCCAGGTTCAAGCTACTCTCTTGCCTCAGCCTCCCGAGTAGCTGGGGTTACAGGCATGCGCCACCACGCCCAGTTAATTTTTTGTATTTTTAGTAGAGATGGGGTTTTGCCATGCTGGCCAGGCTGGTCTTACACTCCTGACCTCAGGTGATCCACCTGCCTTGGCCTCTCAAAGTGCTGGGATTACAGGCATGAGCCACTGCACCCAGCCTGCTGCAGCTTCTTTGAAGGACAAATTGGCAGTAAGTTTCACCTTTTCCAACTTACGTGTCCTTCAACACAGCAATTTTACTGATAAGAATATTTCCTACAGATATGATCACATACATGTGCAAAAAGTATGTACAAGGATGTTTGATGCAGCTTTTTTATGTGATCACCAGAAAAATGAAAAGAAGGAAAACCTGAAAAACCTAAACATTCATCAATAAGATAATTAAATACATAAGAGGTATAATGAATATTGTATAAAAGACCCTGGCAAGACACACATATAAAAGCAAATGCATGAGGAACCCCCGACAGGGAAGCCAGCGGTGGAAGCAAGACTTCTCAATGCATTCATGTTTCTACTACTTTGATCTTTGAATTTTTGAATGTACATGCATATCTCAGAGATATTGCAGGTTTGGTTCCAGACCACCACAATAAAGCAAATATTACAATAAAGCAAATACTGCAATAAAACAAGTTGCACCAATTTTTTGGTTTCTCGGTGCATATCAAAGCTATGTTTACACTATCCTGTAGTCTATTAAGTGCAATAGGATTATGTCTATAAAACCAATGTCTAAACCTTAATTTTAAAATGGTTTGTTGCTAAAAAATGCTCGTGATCACCTGAGCCTTCAGCGAGTCGTCATCTTTTTGCTGGTGGAGGGTCTTGCCTCCATGCTGATGGCTGCTGACTGATTAGGGTGGTGGTTGCTGAAGGTTGGGTAGCTTTGGTAGTTTCTTAAAATAAGACAACAATGAAGTTTGCTGCATCTATTGACTCTTCCTTTCATGAAAGACTTCACTGTAGCATGTGATGCCATTTGATAGCATTTTGCCTACAGACGAACTTCTTTCAAAATTGGACTTAGTCCTCTCAAACCCTGCTGCTGCTTTATCAACTAAGTTTATCTGATATTCTAAATCTTTTGTCATCATTTCAACAATGTTCACAGCAACTTCACCAGCAGTAAATTCCATCTCAAGAAACCAAGAAATTATAAATGCTTGAGGTGATAGATACATTTACCCTTATGTGATTATTACACATTGTATACCTGTATCAAAATATCTCATATACCTCATAAATATATATACCTACTATGTATCCACAGCAGTTAAAAATAAAATTTTTAGAAAAGAAACCACTTTATTTGTTCATCCATAAGAAGCAACTCACCATTCATTAAAATTTTATCGTGAAATTGCAACAATGCAGCTACATCTTCAGGCTCTGTTTCTAATTCTAGTTCTCCTGCTGTTTCCACCACACCTGCAGTTACTTCCTCCACTGAAGTCTTGAAATCCTCAAAGTCATCCATGAGTGTTGGAATCAACTTCTTCCAAACTCACATTGATGTTAATATTTTGATCTCCTCCCATGAGTCACACACAAATGTTCTTAACAGCATCTAGAATGGTGAATCCTTTCCAGAAGGTTTTCAATTTACTTTGCCCAAATATACTGGGGAAATCACTATCTATGGCAGCATTCATCTCCTTGTATATTTCCATCAGAGCTCTTGAGTATCTAGGTGCATTGCTGGTTGGCATAATAATTTGAAAGGAATCTTTTTCTGAGCAGTAGGTCTCAATGATGGGCTTAAAATAGTCAGTAAACCACATGCTATAAACAGATGTGCTGTCATAAATAGAAAACATTTGTTTTGCTATTTCTAGAGCACAGGCAGAGTACATTTAGTAACTTTTAAGGGTCTTTGGATCTTTGGAAAGGTAAATGAGCATTGGCTTCCACTTAAAGTCGCCAACTGCATTAGCCCCTTGTAACAAGACAGTCTGTACTCGGAAGCTTTGATCCCACGCATTGACTTCTCTCTAGTTTTGAAAGTCCTATATGACAGCCTCTTCCAATAGAATGCTGTTTTGTCTACATTGAAAATCTGTTGCTTAGCATAGCTATCTTCATCAATTATCTTAGCTGCATCTTCTGGATAACTTACTGCAGCTTCTAACATCAGCACTTGCTTCACCTTGCACTTTAACGTTATGGAGAGAACTCCTTCCCTTAAACCTCATGAACCAACTTCTGCTAGCTTCTAACTTTTTTTCTGCAGCTTCCTCACCTCTCTCAGCCTTCACTGAATTGAAGAGGATTAGGGCCTTGCTCTGGATTAGGCTTTGGCTTAAGAAAATGTTGTGGCTGGTTTGATCTTCTACCCAAACCACGCCAACTTTCTGTGTGTCAGCAATAAGGCTGATTTATCATTCATGGAGTAGCACTTTTAATTTCCTCCAAGAACTTTTCCTTTGCACTTGCAACTTTGTCAACTGTTTAGACAAGAGGCCTAGCTTTTGACCTGTTTTGCCCTTTGACCTGCCTTCCTCACTAAGCTTAATCATTTCTAGCTTTTAATTTAAAGTGAGAAATGTGAGACTCTTCCTTTCACTTGAACATTTACAGGCCATTGTAGGGTTATTAATTGGCCTAATTTCTATATTTTCATATCTCAGGGGGTAAGAAGGCCCAAGGAGAGAGAGAGAGAGAGACCAGGGGATAGCTGGTTGGTGGAGGAATCAGAACACACACATTATTGGATTAGGTTCACAGTTCATAGTACCCCAAAACAATTATAATAGTAACATCAAAGATCACTGGTTACAGATTGCCATAACAGATATAATAATCATGAAAATTTTGAAACGTTGTAAGAATTACCAAAATGTGACACAGAGACACAAAGTGAGCACATGTTGGAAAAATGGTGCTGATAGACTTGCTCAACACAGGGTTGCCACAAACCTTCAATTTGTTAAAAAAAAAAAAAATGCATTTTCTGTGAAAGTGCAATAAAGCAAAGTGCAATAAAAGCTGGGGCAGGAGCTCCCCAGGTGCAGCTACAGCCATGCAAGCCACAGCTGCAGAACCCAGGCATCCCTGTGTTCTCAGGGCTTGGGAACAGGCGGGATCCCTGCCCTCCTGGGCACAGCTGCAGCTGCCCAAGTAGTGGCTATGGACCCAGGCCTCCCTGTGCTCTTGTTGGGGCTGGGAGCAAGCAGGAGCCCCACCTTCCCAAGCGCAGCTGTAGCTGCCCAAATGGAGACTGCAGACCCCGGCGTCTCTGCACTCTTAGGAGCCCAGGAAGGACCCCTCTGCTCTCACAGGCTTGGAAGTGCCTGTTCCCACTGCTTGGCTTCTCCCTGCTGTCAGTGCCCGCCCCAATCTCTGAGCAAAGTCGGGGTCGAGCTAGGGCGCTGTCGCAGCCTGGCCAGGTGTGCACACATTCAGGGCAATGCTGACATGCCAGCCCCCCTGCCGCCTCAGCCCGCTCCAGTCTGGGTATTGATGAGCACAGGAAGGAAGCCAAGGGGGTCCTGAGGGCAGCTTGATGCTGGCCTGTAGGTGACCCTTGGCACCTATAGTCTGGATGCCATGAATGGCAGAGAGGCAGATAGGTTCCTGGGTGGAAGGGGTGGATCCCCAGTGAGGCCCCACCTTCAGGCCAGGGAAGGCCTGAAGGCTGGGAGCTGGGCTACCAGTCCCGGGGACCAGGGAAACAGACTGGAAACTTGCGGTGCCTTTTCTGGGCCTGCCCATGGTGACCCATGGACCAATCGGCATGCATTTCCTTCCCTCTGAGGCCCATCGAAGCCCTAGGCTCAGCCAGAGCTGAGCAGACTTCCTGACCACCAGCTGCAGAGAGGAGCTACCCATTCCACAGCCTCCTCTCTGCTGACAGCTGGGCAGACATCGGGACTACCAGTTGCAGAGAGGAGCAACCCACACCAGGGCCTCCTCTCTGCTGGGAGCTGGGGAGACAATGGGAGTATCTGCCTACAGAGAGGAGCAACCCACTCTAGGGCCCCCTTTCTGCTGAGAGCTGCAGAGATGACAGGACGACCTGCCTGCAGAGAGGAGCTTCCCACTCTAGGGTCTCCTCTCTGATAGGAGCTGAATACTCGTTGGGACACCCTGGCTGTGGAAAAGAGCTACCCACTGAGGGTCTCCTCTGAGCTGTTCTATCACTCAATAAAGCTCCTCTTCATCTTACTCACTCTCTACTTGCCTGCATACCTCATTCTTCCTGGTCACAGGACAAGAACTCGGGACCCATCGAATGGCAAGGCTAAAAGAGCTGTAACACCAACAGGGCTGAAACACGCCCCTTGCTCACCACATTGCGGACAAAGAGAAGTACAGAGGAGCTGTGGCCCTTTGGGGAGCCCAGACCTGGGAGCTCCCTAAGCCAGGGCTGTGACTCCCTCTTTGGAGACCGGTGGTTCCTGGCATCTCCAAGCTTCCAGGTACCACCGCCTTCCCTGGTGCCAGCCATGGAAGCTGCTTGCAGTGTGCCTCGTCCAGCCATAGCCTCACAGAGAGCTGGTGCCCATGCTGGCACCTGGAGCTGCCCACCCCACTGCAGCAGCTGGCATGCCTGACTGCACAGTGGCCAGACCCCATGCTCACTCACAAACCCCTCACCACTCCACACTGACCCACCCTTGGCAAGTGTGGGATCCAGGCCAGTAGCATGAGGTGGCAGGCAGATCACCTGAGGTCAGTGCAGCCTGCCAGGCCAAGTGGGCAGAAAGAGCCCAGTGGGCCTGAGCAAAACTCAGGCAAAGGTGCCACCAGCCACAGAGGTTTCCAGCCAGAAAAGTGACACCCCAAGGATCCTGTAACAGTATGCCCGTATGACCTATCCCAAAACCAAAACTGAACTTAAAAATAAGAAGAAAAAGAATGGGATTGAGCTATATGTGCTGAGAGAATGATCTTTAGATACATTGTTAATTGGAAAAAGCAAGGTGTGAATGCTACCACTTATATGGAAAAGCATGTGCATTGAAAATATCTCAACAGATCCATAAGAAACTGATCATGAGGGTTTCCTCTGGAAAGGAAACTGGAAATCCAGAATGAAATAATTATTTCTCATTTTATACCCCTTAATACTTGTTTTCTACCAAGTAAATACAGTACAATTTCAATTATTTAATCCCTAGATCAATATCATTGGGCTAGAATCAGCAGGATGAAATCAGCAGACTCCCACGGAATCCCATAGAAACACAGTTGTGGGGCTCCTCTGAGGGATAGAGCTTGCAGGGTGGGGATAAGGAGCTTGCAGGGTAGGGAAAGTGCCTGCCTGCTAATATTCAGTGAACTGCATGACACATTTAGCTGGGCACTGAGCTTTGAGAAAAGAGCAAGATTCAAAGTCCACCTGGTTCTTAAATCCCACCTTTACAGTTTACTAGCTATGTGACCTCAGACAAGTTCCTTCACCTCTCTGTGCCTGTTTTTCCATTCCTTAAAAGGGGAATTATTACACTTGCCTTCTGGAACTGTGATGATGATTAAATGACATGATACAGGCCGGGCGCGGTGGCTCATGGCTGTAATCCCAACACTTTGGGAGGCCCAGGCGGACAGATCACCTGAGGTCAGGAGTTCGACGCCTGACTGGCCAACATGGCGAAACCCCATCTCTACTAAAAATACAAAAATTAGTCGGGCGCGCGCCTGTAGTCCCAGCTACTTGGGAGGCTGACAAGAGAATTGCTTGAACTCGGGAGGCGGAGCTTGCAGTGAGCCGGAATCACGCCACTGCACTCCAGCCTGGGCGACAGAGAAAGACTCTGTCAAAAAAAAAAAAAAAAAAAAGACATGATACAGGTAAGGTGCTTAAAGTCCTAGCATGCAGCAAGTGTTCAATTCGTAGTCGCTGGAAAAAGGAAAAAGGTTAAAGTCATCACTGTCCCCTAGTACTCTCAAATATGGCTTTTGGAAAGAATTGGGTAGGTCTATGCCTGCTAACGTGGAAAGATCTCCAGGCATTCTTACATGAAAAAAGCGAGTAAGAGGCCACAATGTATACCAGAATTCCATTTAGGAGTGAAAAACAAAAACAAAACTGTATTGTTTCGATTTTGAATTTTTTAAAAAATCAAATCGCTATCAGTAGGTAAAAGTCTGGAAGGCTACATACCAATCTGTAAACAGTGGTTTCCTCTAGAGAGATTTGGAGAAGGAAGGGTGGTGGTATTGTTTGAACTTTTTCCGACTAGCATTGATCGCTTTTTGATCTTAAAAGAAATACTTTTTAATTCGAAAGTTAATAGAAATGCGGAGTCAGGGGCAGGCCTCGGCGGCGTCCGGGCTGGGGGCGAGGCGCCCACGCCCCACCCTCCCGCTGTGGCCGCTGGCGCCGGCCCGAGCGCGCGCAGCCCGGTGCGCTTCGGCGCCCGCTGAGCCCGCGAACCTCTCCGCCGCGCCATCAGCGCAGCCATCAGCCGCGCCGCGTGCTGTCCCGCGCCCCGCTGCTCGCGGCCGCGGGCCACCGGCGGTAATAATGAGGCACAGCGCCATGACCGCGGCCCTCGGCTGCGCCGCCGGCAGCAGCGCGGGCGCCGCATTAGCATCTCCGAAGCCTTCCTGTGTGTTCTTTTGTGCTCATTTTCCAGCCCGAATGCTCGGCACATCCCGGACCGCGGACGGAGCCGCAGGAGCCACCGCGGCCGAACGTAGCTGCCCTGGTTTTAGAAAGAGCTGCGGGCTGCGGGCCCGGCTGTCCCCGAGACCTCTGCCTCCCGCACGGCCCAGCCAGATCTCTCGGGGGTTGTTGGGGTGGGGTGGGGCGGGGTGGGGTGGGGGGCGACGGAGGGGCGGGGAGGGCATGCCAGGAAGAAAGAAGAGCCTGGGAAGGGAAGGCGACAGGGCAGGCTTCGCCCCAAATTTTGCACAGAGCAGGATCTTCTAGAACCCAGAGAGGCCCCTTCCGTCCCTGCAACTCTGGCCCGAGCGCACAGGCCCTCCGCGGAGCCAGAAAGAGGTGGCCTTGAATGCTGGCTCTGCCACGGAATGATGTGAGGCCCTATCTACAACCTCATCTATGTGTGCCTCAGTTTCCCCGCCTTTATAAATGAGGCTGAGGCTACATATCTCAGGAGTAAACGCTTGTAAAGCACATATCTTAGTGCTTGACACATTATCTAATTTATTCTTCACCAACCCTGAGAGGTGGGTATTAATACTGTCAAAGTAAATGGTGTTCAGGGGGTGAAGTGACTTGGCAGAGACCTTGACAGCCAGGAAGCTATTGCACTGCTGGAGGGAGCAGCCAAGAGCAGCGGTCTTCATCTCTACCGTAGACTAAGGAATGCACTTTGTATATGAGTACAGTTTCCTGGCCCTGGAAGGATCTCAGGGACAAATGGATTCAAAGGAGGAGGCTGGAGAAGACGCCTGTACCTGGGGAGGCACCTGTTAAGGAGCTTAGAAGCCCTGAGATTCCCATGTGTGTGCACAAACTTGCTTCCCCAGCATCAGCCAAAGGGAGCCGCTGCCTCTTTCCGCCCCACAAACTCCTCCACAAACCCTCACACCCGTCATTCATGCGCCAAGCACCTGCAAAAACCTACTGCAAAGCTGCAATGGTCAGACAGTGTGGCACTAGCATAAGGACAGACACATAGATCAGTGGAAGAGATTTGAGAGTCCAGAAGTAAATCCTTAACGTGTATGGTCAATTAATTTTGACAAAGTTGCCAAAATAATTCAATGGGGAAAGACTACTCTTTTAAACAAACGGTGCTGCGACAACAGGACAGCCACATCATCCTATACAACAATTAACTCAAAATGGATCAAGGACCTAAATGTAAGAGCTAGAACTATAGATCTCTTGGAAAAAAACACGAGAGTAAATCTTTGTGACCTTTGGTTAGGCAGTGGTTTCTTAGATGTGACAGCAAAAGCACACGCACACACAAAAAGAAGACAAGAAAAACTACATCAAAATTTAAAATTTGTGTGCTGCAAAAAAGTTTAAGTGAAAAGATCACCTCCAAAATGGTGAAAAAAAAAACTTGCAAATCATATATCTAGTAAGAGGCTTATATCCAGAATATATAAAGAATTCTTACAACTCAATAATAAGACAAATAACTAAATTTTTACATGGGGAAAATTTTAAATAGATATTTCTCTGAAAGATACCATAAATGGCCCATAAACACATGAAAAGATGCTCAACATCATTAACCGTCAGGGAAATGCAAATCAAAACCACTTTGTAATCATTAGGAGGGCTACAACCAAAGAGACAGGATGTGGAAAAACTGGAGCCCTTGTACATTGCTGGTGGGGATGCAAAATGATGCAGCCATTGGGAAACAGGTTGGCAGTTCCTTAGAAAGTTAAACAGTGTTATCATCTGACCCAGCAATTCCACTCCCAGGTGTGGAATGAAAACATATTCACGCAAAAACTTGTACATGAGTTTCATAGCAGCATTATTCATAATAGCCAAAATGTAGAAACCCAAATGTCCATCAGTGATGAATGGATAAGTAAAATATGGAATATACAATGGAATATTACTCAGCCATAAAGAGGAATGAAGTACTGATACATGCTACAACATGATGAACCTTGAAAACATTACACTAAATGAAAGAAGCCAGTCATAAAAGGCCACAAATTATACAACTCTATTTATATAAAATGTCCAGAATAGGCAAATCCATAGAGATGAAAAGTAGATGTGTGGTTGTCAGGGGCTGAGGGGAATGGGGAGGTACTGCTCACAGATACACAGCTTTGTTTGGAGATGATGAAATTGTTCTGAAATTAGGTAGTGGTAATAGTTGTACAACTTTGTAAGTATACTAAAAACCATTGATTGCATTGTGCACTGTTAACAGGTGAATTGTATGGTATGTAAATGATATGTATATAAAATTTTCTAAAAAAAGAGAATGAGATCATGCATTACTTGTGCAAGTGAAAATTATTTTAAAAGTTAGGCCAGGAGCGGTGGCTCACACCTGTAATCCCAGCACTTTGGGAGGCTGAGGCAGGTGGATCATGAGGTCAGGAGATCGAGACCATCCTGTCTAACAAGGTGAAACCCCGTCTCTACTAAAAATACAAAAAAAAAAAAAATTAGCCAGGCGTGGTGACGGGTACCTGTAGTCCCAGCTACTCGGGAGGCTGAGGCAGGAGAACGGCATGAACCCGGGAGGCGGAGCTTGCAGTGAGCCAAGATCGTGCCACTGCTCTCCAGCCTGGGTGACAGAGCGAGACTCCGTCTCAAAAAAAAAAAAAAAAAAAAAAGTTAGGCAGGTTAGGGGCAAGGAAGAATTGAATTCCAGGCAGAGGGAACAGCATGTGTGACTCAAAGATCTGACAAGAGAAGAGGTGTTATGGGGGAACTGGAGAAGGTCAGAAGGCTGGAAAATAGAGTGTGAGGGGACAGGGTCATGCGATGGGGTCAGAGGGCAGATTACAGGGCCAGATCAGGAAGGGTCTTGTGGGCCATGGTCATGAATTGGAAATTTTTCCCAAGACAATGGTCAGCCACATCGTCCTTCTCCCTGACACACACACACCTGCACACCTGCACAGATCCGGATTCACAGCCTGCCATGCCTTGTCCCGTCCTGCTGTCTTCCACCTACAAGGCTGCCCTCACCCAGTCTCTTGGGATCCCTCAACCTACCCTGTCTTACCTCTACACTTTTCCTCCTGCCTGGAGCCCCCATCATCCTTCATCCACCTGGCTAACACTTACCTGTCCTCCAAGCTGCAGCTCAGATATCACAGCCTCTGGAAACCACCCCTCCAACCTCCCATCTCCAGCTCCCACCAACCTCCAGCCTAGGAGAATTTCACTCTTTCCCCGCCTCTGGGCTTCCAGAGCCCCCAGAGCAACCCCATCGATGTGGGGGAGGGTGCTCATGGAGGGCGGCAGAGGAGAGCTACAGTGCTCCGTGTTGAGGACCCAGCACTGTCCCCATGCATCATATCTGTGTTGAATGAGCGACTGCACTCCCCAGCCTCCGCCCCAGCTGTCCTCAGAAAGGCTGGCTCCTCACAGGTGTTTCGGCTACAGCCCTGGCCTGCGTCCTGACCTGCCAGCCCTTCGCAACAATGCCATCCACATTCCTCCTGGGTCTCTGGAACACATCTCTGGCTTGCACTTCTCCTCTGAGCACGCTTATTCACCTGTCAGGTGGTTATCAGTGCCTGCCCTACTTCCCTCTTGGGATTGTGTGGCTAAAATGGAGAGTCAGTGCAGCAGGTATTAAGTTGTAATCTTCAAACTCAAGTGTCCAAGGAATACTTTTATGTTTGTTAAGCTTAAGTCCAGCTCTGAGGACCCAGCCCTCTAAACCAGGGGAAATTTAATCTGTCATTAATAGGGGTCTTCTCTGCCTTGGGGTTGCTCTAGGATCCTGGAGTCTTCTGCCACATCAAGCCCCAGAGAGGGCTTCTGGTCACCCATCAGTCATCTGCCCTACTTGTTCCTGCAGAGATGCCTGGGGATCCCAGCCTTATAGTGCTAGCCAGCCAGTTGGCTCTGCTACTTCCACAAGACTCAGCCTGCCCTCTGAGGTCATGTCATCTCTCCTGGACATAGATCCCTGTGACTCCCTTGGAGGGACCATGAGGCTCTATCTTCTCTCTCTCAATGTTTTCCAAGGTGCTTCCCACTCTCTAAGACACTCAGCATCATTTATGCAAGGGGCTTTGACTTTTACAGAAGAGACTTAGCTCGTCAATCAACTCCTGCTTTGCCTCCTGTAAGAATCCCTGAGGCAGAGGAAGTGGAAGGGCCAGGCTATTGGCTTGGAGCACAGGGATTGAGGAATAGAAACAAAGCAAAATTCATTCATTTGTCAAAAACAGATCCTGCCACAGGCATGCACCACAACGCTTCCATAGATCGTGAAGGGCCATGCCTTGGGCAGGAGTTACACAATGCCAAGTCCAGCCTGTGCAGAGGTTCAGTTACTTCCACGTGCAGACAACATCATCTGGACAATGCCTGGCCATGGCAAGCCATTAATAATAATTTGTGGAATGGATGAAAGAACAGAAAGGTCTGACTTCAGTCCCAAGCAGCAAGCTTTTCAGACTTAACCATGGCCATCAAAATCCACACATCAAAGGCTTGATACCTGGCATTAGCCTTTGGGCCCTCTGATTTCTCTGTTGCTCTCAACCCAGGGCAGGCTCTGCAGCCTAAGAGCCAGTGCTGTGTGACTGCCCTGGGCTGTTCCTCAGGACAAAATATCTTCCCAAGCCATCTTGGAAATAACCACATGGAAAATGACCACTAACATTGAACATTGGTGTTTTCCAATGCCAGGCACCCTCCTGTCTTCAATGCAATATTTCAATTAATCTGCACGAGAGCCCTATTACATTTCTCTTTTTACACCAAGAAAACTATAGTATAGAGGTGGGTTCCAGCCTACATCATCTGACTCCAGAGCATGTGTTCCTAACCATCCTGGTATACACTGCCTCCAATATGCCTACTCATACATACAAACACTCAAAACGAGCTCTTTTTTTTTTTTTTCCCTAAGACAGAGTCTTGCTCTGTCACCCAGGCTGGAGTGCAGTGGTGCAATCACGGCTCACTGCAGCCTCAACCTCGTGGGCTCAATCGATCCTCCTGCCTCTGCCTCCTGAGTAGCTGAGGCTACAGGTGTGCACCACCCATACCTGGCTACTTTTTTTATTTTTTGTAGAGACAAGGTCTTACTATGTTGCCTAGGCCCATCTCAAACTCCTGGGCTTAAGTGAGCCTACCACTTCGGCTTCCCAACGTCCTGGGATTACACTGTAAGCCACCACACCTGGCCATTCATTTTTGTTTTATTTAAAAAAAATAAAAAAAAAAGTCTGGGCTAGGTGCAGTGGCTCATGCCTGTAATCCCAGTAGGCCAAAGCAGGTGGATCACTTGAGGCCAGGAGTTCAAGACCAGCCTAGCCAACATGGAGAAACCCCTCTCTACAAAAAATACAAAAATTAGCTGGGCATGGTGGTGCATGCCTATAGTCCCAGCTACTCAGAAGGCTGAGGCAGAGAATTGCTTGAACCTGGGAGGCAGAGGTTGCAGTGAGCTGAGTTCGCATCACTGCACTTCAGCCTGGGCAGCAGAGCAAGACTCTTTCTCAGAAAAAAAAAAAAATCTGGAAATTCACCCACTATGGAAGAAGCAAACCCAGTAGCTTTGTAGGGATACAATTCCTGGCTTCTAGCAGGAGTTTGTGGGGAGGGGCTATCCTGTCTACTCAGCACAGGCCCATGGCCAGAACCAGCAGGGCTCCTGAGTCGTAGCAGCCCTTGTTTCTATGTGACCGTGCCCAACCACCACCTTCACTTCTAGGACTGCCCTGTGGGTCCGAGGCTTAGAATACAGGATCCAAACTGCACCATCCCTCTGCTGCAACATCTTCAGGGCTTTCTCATCATCCACACAACCAGATCCTCAGCCTCTTCCGACCTGCTATGGAGCAAGCCCTGGACTGGAGTCTGGAGAGCTGAGCCTTGTTTTCCTGGGACCTCGGCAGGTGGCTCAGCCTCCCTACTGCTTGACTTCTTCTTCTGTAAAATAGAGTCTGCACCTCTCATTGCTTCCAGCTCAGAGGGTTTGACTTCATGAATATCTCTAGAGCTTTAGCTCCTAGCACGGGCTTTCAAACTCCGCCCAAACTGCTTGCCTTACCCTGGACTCCTCTCATACCTTTTCTCCCTGGGCGTTTGTTCGTGATATCCGTTCCTGCACAATCTTCTGCCTCCCCCACCCTCATCTCTGCCCACCCAAATCCTACTTATTCATTCTCCCAGCTCCAGCCCAAACATCAGTTCCCCCAAGAAGTCATCTCTGATCCCAAGAAGAAAGCCATCTCATCCTCCTCTGAACCCTCCTAGCACAATACCTGTGACTCTCCCAGGGGACACAGCTCCCTACCATTGTTTTTATGGGGTTTTGTGTCCTTGCAAGAGGCACTGTATTGTATTGTTTGGGTTAAGGGTACAGGTTTTGAATCAAGTAGACTGAGGTTCAAATCCAAGTTGCCCTGACTGTGATAATCTGGGGCAAGTGACTTAACAGTTCTGAACTTCACTTTACTCAGGTGTAAATGGGAATAACACAGCGTCTCCTTCAGAGGTTTTAGAAAAGATTAAATAGAACGATGCATTTAAAATTTTTCTTTTGTGTGTGTGTGACAGGGTCTTGCTCTGTCACCCAGGTTGGAGTCCAGTGGCACAATCATGGCTCATTGCAGCCCCCAGCTCCTGGGCTCAAGCGATCCTCACACCTCTGCCTCCTGAGTAGCTGGGACTACAGATGTGAGCCTCTGTGCCTGGCCCTCTGTTATCTTTCTTTTTATGCAAGCTCCCAGAGGGCAGAAAAAGCTTCCTTCTCATCTCCTTACAGAAGCTCAGCACAGGGTCTGTTCTCAGCATGGCTAAGCATTTTAGAATAAATAATCAAAAGTCATTTTGATACAGACAGGAGACAGGAAAACACAGGGTAGAAGAGGGTGGTTCCCCAGGAAAGGCCCCACCCTTAACCCTGGAGACCCTCATCCCTAAATGGGGACAGGCAGTCCTGTTTTTGTACCCAAAAAGTTGCCTTTTGGCCCACCACACACCCTATCCCATACCTGTTCGAGGTTAAATCCAGTTCAAGGTTTATCCCACCTGCTCCAGAAGCAGACGGGCAGACAAAAATACGAGGAGACAAGCAGATGAATGGTGGAACGATACAGCAGGGAAAGAGAGAAGAGAAGGAATGCCTGAATGCTGAGAGGAGTTTGACTGAAGGTGGTCAGGGAGGAGTTCGGCCGCTGGATGGCCAGGGTCCAGGGGAAGATCATCTTCCCACTCCATCCCCACTTCTGGCTCCCCATCCATCCCACTGAGAGCCACCTCCACCACTCAATAAAACCCCACATTCATCCTACAAGCCCATGTGTGACCTAATTCTTCTGGGTCCTCTGGGCAAGAGCTTGGGATACAGAAAGCTGTCACACAGCCCTCTGCCCTTGCAAAAAGGCAGACGGTCCACTGAGCTGGTTAACACTCAAGCCATCCATGGCAGGGCTAAAAGGGCACACTGTAACACATGCCCACTTGGGCTCCTGCACCTGTCTGTCTGCGTGCTCCCCCTCCCCTCAGGGGTTTGAGCAGCCACTGGTGACCAAACAGGTGAGCCACACCCCTGTCGCATGTCCTGCAAGGGGAGTCAGGGAACTCCCCCTTTTGATTTCAGACCGTACACAAATGTTCACAGCAGCATTATTCATAATAGGCAAAAGATGGAAGCAACCCAACTGCCCATCCACAGACGAATGGATAAACAAAGTGTGGTCTATACATACAAGGGAATATTATTCATCTTTTAAAAGGAAAGCAATTCTGACACATGCCACAACATGGGTGAAACTTGAGGACATGCTGAGAGGAGTTTGACTGAAGGTGGTCAGGGAGGAGTTCGGCCGCTGGATGGCCAGGGTCCAGGGGAAGATCATCTTCCCACTCCATCCCCACTTCTGGCTCCCCATCCATCCCACTGAGAGCCACCTCCACCACTCGATAAAACCCCACATTCATCCTACAAGCCCATGTGTGACCTTGAAATGTCAGTCATGAACAGACAAGTACTGTGTGATTCCACTTATATGAAGTACCAAATTAGTAGTCAAATTCATAGAAAGTAGAATGGTGGTTGCCAGGGCTTGTGGGGAGGTAGAAATGGGGAGCTGTCGAATGGGTGCAGAGCTTCAGTTTTGCAAGATGAAGAGTCCTGGAGATGGTTGGTGGTGAGAGTTGCACAACAATGCAAATATACTTAACACTAATGAACCTTTACAAAAAACTAGTTTCAGGCTGAACCCCTCAAGGGTCTTAGCAGGAACAGAAGCAGCTGAGAAAAAATATGCTTAAGGTTTTAAAATATTTGGATATAAATATTGTTTGTTTGTTTTCGTTTGTTTGTTTGTTTGTTTGTTTTTGAGACAGAGTCTCGTTCTGTGGCCAGGCTGGAGTGCAGTAGCGTGATCTCGGCTCACTGCACTCTCCACCTCCCAGGTTCAAGCGATTCTCCTGCCTCAGCCTCCCGAGTAGCTAGGATTACAGGCACATGCCACCACGCCCAGCTAATGTTTGTGTTTTTAGTAGAGACGGGTTTCACCATGTTGGCCAGGAATAAATATTGTTTTTAACAACTGTGAGACTACCCCTATATACATACACTCAAAGCAAGCGAGCTCATTTTTCTTCTCCTTACTGCTCTGAAGGGTGACATGGAGATCATCAGCACAGGAAGGATCTGAACGACCTGCTGATTACAGGATAATATTCATACAATGAGGTTAAAAGCACTGGCTGAAAAGTTCTTTCATAAAATCTGCTACATGAGAAGAGAAAATAATTTATGAGAACATGAACAATTAGCACTTTGTAAAAAAGAAATAATGCACTTAACTTGATCCCTATATTTAACATCAATTAAAGATTATCCTCATGAATGAAACTCGACCTGGAAATTAACAAGGGATTTAAATTGCATTATGCACACGAAAGAGAGAAGCCAGTGCACTGGTTCAGGGCTTCCAATATTCAGCTAGGACGGCATCTATATATACAGTGAGGCCTGGCCATTTCCTCACATTTCTCTGCACTGAAGACATTGCTGCAACACAGAGGAGCATTTGTTTCAGCAAAAAAAAAAACCCATGATAAAAATCTCTGGGTGGCTGCAAACATAAGGTTGGCACCTTTCACTTTTAAAAATAACTTCTGGGTCATTTTTTACCGGAGAACTAACCAAGAGATTCCCTTAAAAGGATGTCTTTGCTGCTCTGAGATTTGAATCTGGATCATTTTCCATAGGCCTATTTAAGTGAATCTACAGGGCTGGGCTAGGTCAAAAATTAGATTCCGGGTCACCTGGTTCCAAGTCACAGAATAATTTATTCCCTAAGATGCGCAGCTTGAAGGGCATGAAACAGGCCTTAGAAAACAAGTGTGGACTATAGCCATTTATGTGTGGTTTTTTGAAAGTGTTATCGTGTATTGAGTCAGACTCTGTGCTAAGCAACCCACAAGGCCAGTATTATTCTCTCCATTTTATATACGAGAAGACTAAGGATGGGAGAGGTAATTTACCGGGGTTCCCTCCAGCAGATCTGGGACTGGGACCCAGGTTCCTCTGCTTCTGGAGCTCACTGGGAGCCACTACCCTTTACCCTGGAGAGCAGCTACGATGGTGGAAACACAGACACCCCCAAAGAGGACAAGCCTGAGACTCCCTGGGTGCTCCAGAGCCTGCACCTAGAACCTGAGACAGCCCCTTCCGTTTGCCTCCTTCTGATAGAAAGCCTCCTGCCGCTTGCCAGGGGACATGTCAGAACCACAGCTCTGTTGCTGATTGCTAAGAATGTGCCCGACTGGGAGGAAGGAGAGTGCTTCGTGCCATCTTTCAGGCTCCCCGGAAGAAAAGGTCTTGTTCACAGTGCAGAAAGTGCCCCCGAGAGACTGGCTTTGGTTTTTTTTCCCTATCACTGTCACGCCTGCTTCATCCAAGTTTTCTGGTGATTGTGCCTAGTGCCAGATCTGCGAACAATGTATCTCTTTGCTGAGAGAGTGAGAGAGAAAGACAGAGAGACAGACTCAGCCCTCACAATCCTGGCTTGGTGTGTGCATATGCACACAGGTTTCCCTATTGTTATCTTGGGAAAAGAGAAAGCAGATGTTAACCATCACCCCTTGAGAATTCACCTTGCTGTACTGTAAAATTCTGCATTATTAACATTCCAAAATCCTTCCACTCTTGTACGTGTCTTAGATGGGAGTGAATATTTGAGAATTCAAAAATGTGGAGAGGATGGAGGTGGCAGAAGTTTATTAAATTGGCCCAGGGCAGTTTTGAAATTTGAAAGTTTCTCACACTCTCTGGCTCTGAGCCAACTCGCAGCCGACTCGGCTGAACAGCCTGTGTAAGGGTTTCTCATCAGGTACCCCTCTTTCCATCCTTATGGAAGCTGACAAGCAAGTGTGGTTGAGTACCAAGGGAGGACTCCAGACTTCTCCAGGTCCATCTGGACTCCGGGGCACACCAGAAACAAGGCACAGAAACATAAGGAAGATACTCAAGATGGCTTCACAGCAAGTGTATCAAATATTGGTTAAATTAATGAATAATTTTTAAGGCAAATAATTCCAACGCAACTTCTTTTTCACGTGAGTCAGCAATGAAAACTCAGCAGTTTCTTCCTCCTCTGATCTGGCTGATGTAAGCTAACTGACCCATTGGATAGCAAAAGATTTGGGGGTTTTGTTTTTGTTTTTCTCTGTTTTAGAAAAAAAAGAGAGAGAGAGAGAAAGAAGCAGCAAAACCAAACCAAACATCAACTCATTGTAAAACTGTAACAGAGTTTTAAAGGGTGTTTCCCCAAACTACAAATATGCTTTTCAACAAGATAACTGTAGGTTTCTGTAGCAATAGAGCAGACCAATTAAGTGCAAGGCTTTGAATCAAAAGGACTTGGGCTGAGTTCTGCCTCTGTCTCTTTCCAGCTGTGTCACTTCAGCAAGTTAATTAATCTCTCTGACCCTCAGTTTCTTCCACTGTAAAATGGGAATAACAGTAACACCTATTTTACAAGACTGATCTGAAGATTAAACGAAATAATAGAGATAAAGTACACAGTATCTGACACATACTAGGTGCCCAAGAAAAATGTAAACTGCTGCACATTATTATTTTCATCATCGTTATTGTTGGTGAGGTCATTTTTAAGCACCTTGGCCCCCAGAAGCAGAAGCATCCACAAGTCCTGCACTGAAGTCACAGCTGAGACTTGGTTTTCATCAAGAACTAAACTCAATGATCCCCTGACATGAGGCAAACTGCAAAATCAAGGCCCCTTCTGGTGGGGGCAGGGGGGTTCTCCTCCCCAACCCTCACTCCCCACACCCAGGTTTTGATTGCAGAATTCCCAGCTACGGAACACTTACTGAGAACATTTTGGAGTAGAAAGAAAAGAAAGACAAAATAGAACCTTATTCCCGTACTTAACGGATTAACTACAGCCCTCAATTAATGGAATTCTAAAATGTAACATCTTTTAAAGAAGAAATGACCCAATACCTACCCTCTGATCTCTGTCTTCGTCATGAGTAAATTGTTCCCTAACCCAAGTGCCACCCTCAGAAGACTCGGGTGAATCCTGGTACCTCCTAAGCCTCAGGGAGACACGCTTGGGTTTGCGGTAAAAGGGCGGAGCGGAGCCCAGAGGAGGCGACAGATGTTTGTGCGAGATTGTCACAGATCGGGGTGAAACTGAAAAGGACGGTCTCATTAACCCGAAATAACCAGCCAGGCTAACTGACCCAGAGCTCATACTCTCCGAGCACTGGGGGACATGGGAGTTTGCTGAAGCCTCTGCGCCAGGTGTGGGAGTCTGAGCGCGCACCCTGCAGAGCTGTGCAGGCGCTCCCCCGCCTGAGCAGACAGCCATCCATCACTCCAGGAGAGGCAGCGGTGGGGACGTGAACTCGGTCACCTCCTCCCCCTCGCTCCTCCCCGGCAGGCTCTGAGGAGCCGAGGCGGTGGCAGCAGCGCGAGGAACAGAACACGCTGCAAACTGCTTGGCTACCCCTTTACAAGACTGACGCCGCCGACACAAGTTTTTCCATTTCCCCAAACAGCCTCTCCGGCTGCCAATAAAGACGGCTGCTCTAGGCCCTTGCGTGCTGTCAAAGGGGTACTTCTCCAGCGGCTTCAGAGGCGGCTTGTTCGCCCAGAGCTGGAGCTGCAGGCCCCTAGAGAGAGCCACCTTCCCCCTTGGGCTGTTGGTGGGCTCCCTGCGACCCTGGCCAATTGCATGGCTGTGTGGAATAATTACCGGGTAATTAGATGGCAGGCATGATAGGTGCCGGGTACTGGTTTCCAAGGGGACTTCGAAAAGGTATTCTGCCGCCCTATGCCTCCTCCCAGTACAAGGCACAGTTAATGCCTCAGATCCCACACCGCCTCTCTCGTGGAAGTGTGCTCTGAGCCACTGGGGCCTAAGCCGAGTTGACAGGCTCCATTAGAGAGCGACTCTGTCATGGAAATTGTGATCTTAACAGAGGGACATGTGGCAGATACCAATTCCACTCACATCCTTGTACTACGTGGCTTTCCCAGGGGGCTACTGATGGGATCAAGGGATGTTCACACCACCAGTCCCCAACTGCCTTCATCTGACCTGACCTGTACGGCCCAGACCGGGGAAGACAAGGCCTGGAGAGCCATCCTGAGGAACAACACCCTTCAGTGCCCAACTCTACTCCTAGGACCTAATGGCCCATGCACTCGGACAAAGCTTCAGATGATTTTCAAAAGCAATGCAAAGTATAGAACTTTGCAAGGACTTTGGGATCTAGAGGATGTCTTTTGAGAAGGCCTGGCAGCAACAAGAGTCCTGGACTGGGAAAGCTGGATGCCCCAAGTGACCTTGGCAAAGGCCTTCCCCCTCTAGGCCTCAGTGTCCCCACCTCCAAGGGCCAAGACAAAGTCCAATTTCTCAGAATCTGAAGCACAGTTCAGGTCTGTTGCTGCCCAGTGCACAAAGATGACCTGTAGGCCAGGTCAAATTCACAAAATTGAGCCCCTTCCTCCTAGAAAAGAAAGAAGCCACATCCAGAGAAGAAGCATGAATAGAGAAGGGAGGTGAGAGGGTCCTTTGTAGACCTCCCCTGCACGTCAGGCAGATCCCAGCACTGTAATGTCAGACCTTAAAGGCAGAGAACCTACCACTCTGAGGCCCAAAGAAAGGGGCCAATGAAACGAACCTATGAATTCATATCGGTGCACACTCCAGAGACAACAGGACTGATCCCAGTCCCCTGAGTCCCACCTCCCCTCTGATGTAGGGAAGGCACGGTTTGCCCAGCACCACCACCTCCTCTGCCCACACAGATGTCTCTCTCCGATGAGGCCCAAATCATCCGTGTGCCAACCTCCGAGACATGCCAATCTCTGCTCGCCCACAGGTGCCGCCGCGGGGATGGGCGGGTGCCTCCACCTGCCATTGTGGGTTCTGGGTGGAGGTCGCTGGGGCTGAGGCAGGCAGGGACCGGCCCGCGGCCTCTCCCAGCTAGGGAGAGACTCCACATGCCTAGGTCTGGAGCAGGAGAGGGGAGATAGGTAGAAGGCTTGACCATGGGTCACGTCTAAAGGGACCGGATCAGGACACAGTCAGGCGGCCTCCTGCCGCGGATTTCACCCCACGCGGTCTCGCCCCGACCGTCCCCGGGCCCTGTGCGCGCGGCCGGCATTGCCCAAGAGGGGCTGAAGGCGCCCCCGCCCGGCGGAGCCTACCCCAACACGGAGCCCAGAGCGCCACGCCTCGGACCCCGCTCCGGGTAAGCCCGGAGCAAGCCCCCGCTCCGTTCCGGACAGGGGAGCCTGGGCTGCTTTCTGGAACTCTTTCCTTGCTTTGGTCACTGGGGCCCCGGAAGCGTGGGCTAGGGTGCCAGCGACAGCGCCTTCCGCGGAGCGGCGCGCTGGCCCCTCCGGACCCTGGGTGGGCGGCCGCCCGCCCGCCTCGGAGACCAAGGCTGCCATCTAGCGGCCACGCGGGGCGCCGTCGGGGACCGGAGCCGGGCCGAGCGCTGGGGGCTCCCGGGTCCGCGGCTGCGCGGCGGGGTTCCCAGACCCGGGACTTAGGCGCAAGCTTCAGAGCGAGCTGTGTGACCCTGGGCACGCCCAGCCCTCTTTGATCAACCGTCCTTTCTCGGTAAAACCGAGAGGATACAACTCCTCTGCTCGGGGTCGTCGGGAAACGCAGGACCGAGGGACGGCGCCCCCTCCTTCCCGAGACCACCCGCCCCATCCACTCCGCACCGCACTCCCGTCCAGGGAAGTCTTAAGGAACCCAGTCCCCCTAGACGAGAGGTGGAAGGAGGCGCTGGGGAAATCCTGCAAAGCAGGAATCCGCACTGAACAGCAGGATCCTTTTCCAGGAATTGTAAACCCAGAATTGTAAATAAAATGCTAATGATTTATTCGTGCTCAAACGCCGGGGGCTGCGTCGCCGCTTTTGAAGACAGCTCCAAGCGTGGCTTTCCAGGAAGGCAGGCCTCCCCGCGGCGCCTTCCAGGGCTCCCCGGGGCCTCCTCCCTGGCCGCGGGTCCGGGCTGGGGGACAGGCAGTGGTTCTTGTTGGAGCGCTCCCAACCCGTCCTTCACTGAGACCCGGGTGGTGGTGGAGGAGGTCTTTTTCCTTCCATCCACAGCCGAGTCAGACCCCTCAGCATTCACCCATCATGCATGCAACCAATGCTTCCCCATCGCCAAATACCTACTAAACCCTTAGCTGACCATTGGCAGTCAAAAAACAATCGTGAGAATCACATCTGGTGGGGAAGATTGACTCGATGAATAATCCTACAAATAAACGCGTGCTTCTAAATTACAGTGTCCGGGATAGGGGTAGGGGTGGGGCTGGGGAAGGTAAATACAGTTTTTTAGCTTCCGGGATGTTTTCCATCAAAGTTCTGAGAGCCTGAAGGGGCGCTGAAGGGGCGCTGAAGGGATCGAGTCTAGCCTTCTCTTGTGAGTCTTGACTACCCTACATATTTAAGGTATTTCATTAAAGGGTGAGCTTTAAAAAAATAATAAAATAAATAATTCAAGCAATATGCATTTGCATCTGTGGCTGCCATGGTAGCTCTCTGATGCCTGACCTGGCTGGGGAAGGTGGGAGCCCGGGGGGGGCGGGTCACTGATCTTAGGCAGGAGGAGGTAGAAAACAAGGACTTTCCTTCAAACTATGCAGCCTGTCCAGCTGACCAGAGCAGCAGAGATGGCTCAGTTTTCAGCTGCCTCTCCTGAGTTGACAGGAGGCATGCAAGAGACCCCAGAAGTGGGCTCAGAGCTACCTAGAGAAGCTTCCGTGGTCACAGGGCCTCCACCTCAGGGCCAGGAGACCTGGAGTGGCCCTACCCAGCTCTCCCACAACTCCCTGCAAAAGCACATTGCAGGCTTTGTTTGTTTTCAATAAAAGCTTCTCTTTCCCACACTCCCTTTATATAGTTTCTAGAGAAATAGCACGTCTGGTTAATACTGACCTTCCTAAGGTCTTTTTGAATGTAAGACACAAATGTATCAAGGATGATCAAGGTTCCTACCTCTACCAGCAAGCTGATTTTTTGCATTTGGTGGGCCTCCATCAGACCACCAAGGAAACAGTCATAGATTGTACTGTGGAGGAAATTCAGGCGTCCCGCGGAGGCCTAAGCTGAGTGACCTTTATTCTTGTGTTCACTGGACAAATGTTTATTGATCTCCGCCTATAGACTGACTCCATCCTGGGCCTTGGGGATTTAAGACAGATAAAACAACTCCTGCTCCCAGTGGGCTCACAACCTGAGTCAGGTGCCTCCTTTGCAAAGTAAGGAATTCTGGGATTGCCACCCCTTGCCCCTTGGACCTCCCACCACCTCCACACACACAATTATATGTCCCTTAAATTAGTGTATATTTTGAGGGAATTCATGAAACAATCAGGTCCCTGAAGCTTAAAAAAAAAAAAAGTGATATTTGGTCAGAGCAACCAGGAACAAAGTCCAAAAACAACCTCTTTGGGGTACCCTTGTTGCAATACCCATACCCTAGGCTGAGCTATGTTAAGGATCACACTTTACTTCACAGGGCAGTGTTCTAGTAGATTTCTTTAAAATAATTCACAGTGTTGGAATCTCACAATGTTGGATCAAAGAAATAAGACACAAAAGAGCACACACAGTATGACTCTATTTACATAAAGTTTAAAGCAGGCAGTAATATGCTATTTGGGTGTAAAATTATGAAGAAAGGCAAGGAAATGATCATCACAAAAATTAAGATCATGATCACTTCTAGGAGAGAGAGTGTTGAGATAAAGGACTCTTAGCTCATATGGTGGGTTTCTGTGAGGCTGGCAATACTCCATTTTTGACCTGGGTGGTGGTTACAAAGGTATTTGCTTATAAATTATTTGTCAGATTGTATCTATGTTTTATGCACTTTTACATATGTAATAGCCCCAAATTTTAAAAATGTTAATAAAAAGATAAAGGAAGAAAAAGAACATCCAGCCTATTTTTAAAATGCATTATAATTTTCTCAAACTGAATTCTTCAGTTTGGGTGTCTGTATCTTGCCTGAATTCTCTATCACTGCTTGTATCAACCATTTGATGGTTGCAACAGGTTCTGATCCTGACTCAGCCTTACAGACACTGGGAAGGCAAAAAGCTGAGCCCAGGAGACTTGCACTCTAGTTCTACAGTATTACTAATTCATTGTATGACCTTCCCTCTCTGGGCCTCAGTTTCCTCTACTGCACAATGGCAGGGGTTACAGGAGATGACTTCTCAGGTCTGTGGTCATGTGACAGGTGCCTCGGATCCCACACATCTTGCAGTGATGTCACTGCCAGAACAAGTGAACATCCCCAAAGCAAAGCCATCAAACACCCAAGGTGGCCCTCTGATACTGCCACAGACTGTTTCTGGGGGCTGGCACCCTGCCTTTCACCACCTCCAGAATCTACAGCTAGAGAATCACTCCATCAGTTCTCAGATTCCTCCCCTCTGCGGAGACAAGAAATGTCTTTGGGCCTGATGTCCCTCGGGGATGTGAACACCGCTAAAATCCCATTGATTAATCGGGTCCCACCCTTGGATCAATGGCTGGCATTAGAGGAGCTTAGCGCAGTTTTATTAGTCTGGCTGCCCTCTTGCAGATGTTATAGATGAAGAAATAAAATGAGGAGGAGAGGGAAAAAGGACAAAATCATTAGTCTGAAAGGAGCAAAAGAGCATCTTCTCTGTTTTGTATTCAGATTTAGAGCTGCGCTGTCCAAGCCAGGAGCACACACAACAATCCATTTGTATGCTGTTTCCAGGAGTTCAGCTAGGCCTCCTGCTTTCCCACTTTGCCTGATCGCTGAGATCCCAGGAGCATTTGGTCCGCAGCAATTGCCAGCCCAACCTCTGAAGCCATTTTGCAGGGCTACGAAAACACCTGAGGTCCCATTCATTCATTTATTCATTTCTCACAAGGGCAGAAGGCTTTTGCCTGACGTAGGGAAACAGGCCTAAGTATCTACCAGATAATCCATCTTGAAAATGTCATATTTGCTCTGAAGGGACTGGTCCTTCCACAGGCCTTGCAGAGAAGCCTGCTATAGCCCTCACCTTACCAAAGCTTTGGTTCCAACAGAGAAAACCCAAGGGCTCAGCTTGCTAAAGCTCTCCAGAGAGGCACTTTGAATTAAGACCAGAAATGCTTTTAAAAGACTCTGGTCTCTGGTCTTCTAATGATGACCTCTTCCTTAATTTTGTGATGGCTTCATCTGCCTCTTTCGATCATCTAGGTAGCTATAAAAAGCTGAACACCTCCTACTAACCCCATTAGGATGAAAGCGGAGGATTTTATTATTCATTTTTCATAGGAAGAAGCTCAAACTCCCCCAGGAAGTGTAAAAGGTAGGTTTTGATGTATCTGGTTATGGAGAGGTTGCAACAAAGCAGACCCTCCGAGAATGGGAATGTCTTGTGGAAGGACAGGCAGGAAAGGTTGGGGTAACCACGCTCTGCAGGCAGGGAAGGGAATCATCTCAGGCAGTTCCACTGACTCCAACAAGGCACGCACCACCGCTCTGTGACATGCACTGATTTCAGGACCTGCCTGGGAATCCAGGAATAACCCAAATCCCCTAGAACACTGCCTCTTGATAATTATCTGTTAAACATTTGCAACATACACACAAAGGTAACTAAACAGAATGGTTCCCTCCAGGACCATGCCGTTCATAACAGTAATAAAGCCCCTGCCACAGACAGTGTCATTATCCAAACGCCATTAACATCAATATTCGTATCAAATACCATCTGGCAAAGGAGCCTGCAAACCCAAGCTCTGGGGCTTCCCAGCCTGGTGGGAGGGGGCAGCCCACAGCCTCCTCCTTCTTCACCTAATGGCATGAGGGGGCCAGGCCTGCCTGCGAATTCAGAGCAGCAGGCCCACCCTGAGAGAATGCTAAGGGATAAGGGAAAAAAAGGACAGGGCGGGTGAAAAGCATCTAAGTCTAATTTATTCACTGTCATTGACTTCTCTTCAAGTCCTAATTACAAAGATGCAACCAACTTCTCCTTCACAATGTCATAATAGGAAACTGATTGAGTATTTGTATAAACCTCAGAGGAATCATTGTTTTGAAGAGAAACAGAACTTAACCTCCTGCCAGTACCCAGGGTTGCCTTGCAGACAGCGTCACATGCAGAACCCTATACTTAAGTTGAAAGAGCTTTCTGTGGGGAGTAATTATGTGACCCCAGAACACTAGTTCTTCCTGGAGAGAGAGAGGCTGGGCGCTTGGGGCACAGCTCAGCTCCTCCTCTGGGCTGGATCCTGCTTTCGGGCCACTGCATCAGTGTCAGGCATGTGGCCTGAGAGCCGGAGGTCACCCAGGCATGAGGCCCAGCATTGCTGAGCCTGGGCATGTGCAATAAAAGAAAAAGGCAGGAGCCTCATGGGTCTGGAGCTTGACAAAGTGGTGCTGGGCAAAGGCAGAAAGAAATACAGGAGCAGGTTTCAGGGAGATCCTAACAAACCATGCCAAGCCTCATCCTTCCCTTCTGTCAATTTTAACTATTATGATTATAAGTGTCCACATGTGAATAAGTGAGTACCTGCCACATGGGGTTACTGTGAGAGTCAAATGAATTCATGGTAATAATAATAAAAATAATAATAGCTACCATTTATTGGGTTTGATATGTACCAGGTATGAAGCTGGGTGACTCACATTTTATCTCATTTAATCCTCACCACTGGACAGGCGTGGTGGCTTCTCACCTGTAATCCTAGCACTTTGGGGGGCCTAGGTGGGTGGATCACTTGAGGTCTCGAGTTGGAGATCAGCCTGGCCACCATGGTGAAACCCCGTCTCTATTAAAAATACAAAAATTAGCCAGGCATGGTGGCGGGCACCTGTAATCCCAGCTACTTGGGAGGCTGAGCCAGGAGAATAGCTTGAACCTAGGAGGCGGAGGTCGCAGTGAGCCGAGATTGTGCCATTGCACTCCAGCCTGGGTGACAGTGAGACTCTGCTTAAAAAAAAAAAAAAAAAAAAAAAAATCAGGCCGGGTGCGGTGGCTCACGCCTGTAATCCCAGCACTTTGGGAGGCCGAGGCAGGTGGATCACGAGGTCAGGAGTTCAAGACCAGCCTGGCCAACATGGTGAAACCCCATCTCTACTAAAAAAAAAAAAAAAAAAAAAAAAATTAGCTGGGCATGGTGGCGTGTGCCTGTAATCCCAGCTACTCAGGAGGCTAAGACAGGAGAATTGCTTGAACTGGGACCTGGGAGGCGGAGGTCACAATGAGCCGAGATGGTGCCACTGCACTCCAGCCTGGGCTACAGAGCAAGACTCCATCTCAAAAAAAACAAAAAAAAAAAAAAAAGAAAATTCCTCAGCATAAACATGCGAGGTTAAAAAGCATTTTTCCCCATTGGTAAAGATGATAAGATGAAGCAGAGGGTCAGAGAAACTGGGTAATGCACTCGAGCTAAGGAATTTAGTAAGTGGAAGAGCTGGAGTTTGAGTCCAAATCTACCTTAACTCCAGTGCCCAAGCTCTTAACCATGATTCTGTTCCATGACCAAAGGCATTTTGGAATCTCTGATATACTGAACACGGGATGTTAACTTCTGGCTCTACTGCTCGCTGCAGAGCAGTTGTGTGACCTTGAGTTTGTCACTTTGCCTCTCTGGGTCATCTGCCTGCCTCACAGAGTGGTGGTGACGCTCTCAGAGGTAAAGGCTGAGACTGCTCTTCCTAATGAGTAAATGAAACTGTACAAATGGAAAAGGCAATCAAAATGAGCTTTACTATCAGGAACAGGATGGCACAGCAGTTAACATCTGGGAAGCAGCAGCAGCAACTGCAAAAAGGAATGGCTTTTGAGAAATGCCAGGGAAGCAGGCTGTATTTGAGCCCACGCTCTGGGACAGCTACAAAGCAGAGAGGGTGTTTCCAGCTGCTATGGGCTCTTTAGGGAGCACCCAGGGACTGGAGAGATGCTGCTTGGGCTATGGGCTAAGAATAGGCCTTTGGTCCCATATAATCCTGCTGGTGGACAACCACACTTCTAGAGTCAGGGACCTGGACATTGATAAGGAGATCATTATTACTCTTAACATCAGCTGCAGAATCTTTTGTACTGAGACATAGCTGGCTGCTCACAGCACTTTGAACAGCTCTGACTTGCACTGACTCTGTGGAAGTGAAGATGCTATAAGGCAGGAAACTCTTCTCTACCTCCACTTTAATCCCTTCTGGAAAGATACAGGGCTCCATACATTCAAAAAATACAAGGAAATGAGGATCCACGCACAGCCTGTTGGGTTGTTCCAGGGAGGAATTCCTGCAGTGAGAAGGGGGTCTTCGTATCCTAGAACTTTTTTCAATCATCCAGCACAAAGCCTTCTAATGGGAGATAGAGACAGGCTTGGAGAGGGGACATAGATATTGTCTGGAAGAATCTAAGTCTTTGACTCCAACATGGTTCTGTTCACACTCTGTGTGTCTCCTATGATAAAGCCTAATCATTCATGGTCTCTAGCTCCCTGCATGCCCGTTGGGGCTGATGCGGTAGATACTTGTGGAGGGGCTAGAACCGGGTAGGTTTGGAGGCCAAGACAGAGCTAGGGTTCGTTCACCTGGGAAAGCAAAAGACACCAACTGCCAGAGGGGATCAAAGTCAGAGCACAACTCAAAGAGTCCAGAGCAAGGAGACAAGGTCCAGCGAGGCAGGTCAAGATCTAATGGGAAGCCTGAGTAATTGCGTGAAATGCCAGCCAGCATCTAGAGCTCACCTTTACGGCCAATGAGGACGTGACTCATGGCTTCCTCAGCCCTGTTCCAAAAGCTCTGGGTTGATGAAGGGTTAGAGTGAAGGGGGCAGCTTCTGTCACTGAGTACACAGGTGCCAACACTCTGCCCTCAACCGCCCACGGTGCCCTCTGAAAACCCTGGGCACTGTCTTCTCTGACTCCGACCCACTAATATCACAATTAGCTGGCAGAGGGAACTTTCTTCTTTTCTACTTTTTCCTAAGTCATTCAGGCGGAAGAGTCATTAATACTTCACAAGCAATGAAAAATCAAAAGGGGAAAACTATTTTTTGCTGTATTTTTTAAACATTTGGGTAGGGAAAGTCAGATGTCAAAAAAATCCCCATTTACCTCTTTTAAAATATGAGCAATTGATATTTTCCATGAAGGTTCATGCTCCCTTTCTTCATTCTGTTTGCAGGGTATTGTTAAGCCGTGCTTTGTAATTTGTTGCATGTTTAAATATTCAGTCTGTATTTCATTTGGGCTACACATTTAATTCAGCCAACATGTTCATTTTAAGATCAATACTGTCATAACTATGTTGAAAAATTAAATTATTGTAACTTTATTTACATTTCTTAAAAGTACTGTGAAAATTATTCTTAACCAGGACCTAATCAATGTTAGAGTCTAAAAATATGCCACTCTGCATGAAGCTATAAAAAGATTAATGTACATTTTTTACAAGAAATTAGTAGCTTAATGAAGTGGATAAAAACGCTGTCACAATTTTTATTGGATCTAAATTGCATAGTAGTGGAGGTACAGTAAGTGCCTTCTACATAATGACATAATGAGTCATGACTGGTGCTGGAAGGCTAATTTGCCCTTAACTGACACAAAACCAGGGAATTAACATCCCAGTCGCTCTACGCCAATAGCAGATGCATTATTTCATTGCACAGCAGGGTTTTTAACTAAACTCTTAACTGTAGAAATATTGATCTATTCTTCTGTGAAATGATGAAATTGGAATTTTTTAAAAGGACTTCTTAAATTATGGCTGCTGCAGTGACATTTGCTTTCACAGAACCATGCCTGCCTCCAGAGCAGATGCAACAGGAGAAGTGAGGTTAGGCTCATACCTGTGTTTTAGGGTCTGCAGTCAGAGGAGAAAGAAAGAGGGGACTTTATATGAGAGTAAATGCTCGCATTAAGCCACTGTGAGGAAGTGACAGACCATCTACAGGTGCCCAATTTCTGCAGTGACAGTGGTTGAACATTGTCCCAGCCCATAAACTGGTTTACTTTGAAGATTATTTCATACTTGGAAGTTGTTTTGAATAGAGCATCACCAAAACAGTGATATTCAATCTAAGTCTCAAATAAAATTTTAGTGGTGAAAGGTAGAATGGAAAGTAGTTGAAGTAGCTAGAGACCCCTATAAGAGGCAAGTATAAAGTGAGAGATGCTGTCCTGTCCCAATTTCCATTTTGTCATTCATTCATTCATTCATTCATTCCTCTATTTATTGGGTACCTACAGAGTGCCAGGGATGGTTAAATACTATAACCTATGGTGACTAATTATTGCTTCTGTCAGATAGTGTAATGCAACATATTTCTCTGTTTAACCAATGAATCAAAATTCATTTGGCTTTGAAATTTTAACAATAACTAAATTTAAATTTGTACTAACCACAGATACTTTGAGCTGTCACAACCCAGGAATTTAGAAGAAAGAAGAACAATGTACTGACAAACAGCTATACATCTGCCACCTCTTCACCTCTTGTGTGTCTCTCTTTGACACTTTGGGTTAGCACACACACACACAAAAAGCAGCAGCAAAAATAATTCTTCGTGCTTGAGGAGCTGAGAAACCAAACCTATTTAAGTCAATTGAACAAGCCTGCAATATGTCACATGACCTAGGCGTAGGCACACAGAGTAGCTAGAGGTAGTTTGATCCAGCCTAGAAGCTGGTGGTTCTCAACACTAACTGACATTAAGCCACATGGGAACAGCCTTATTTACTTATAATCATGCACCACATAATGACAATTTGCTCAACCATGGACCACACATACTACAGTGGTACCATATGATTTTATTTTTACTGTACCTTTTCTATGTTTAGATACGCAAATACTTAACCATTGTGTTGTAATTGCCTACAGTATTCAGTAAGTAACATGCTGTACAGGTTTGTAGCCTAGGAGCAATAGGCTACCCCCTATAGCCTAGGTATGTAGGAAGCTGTACCATTTCGGTTTGTGCAAGCACATCCTGTGATGTTCACACAGTGCTGAAATTGCCTAACATCACATTTCTCCGAATGTATCCCTGTCACTAAGCGGCACATGGCTATAGTTTGGGATGGGCCTGGTATCACTATTTTTTTTTATACTCACCCCAAGTGGTTCTAGTGTGCAACTATGGTTAAGAACCACTATAGACACGTAATAAAACAACAACAGAAACTGCACAGACCACGCTCAGAGGACTGGAAGAGCTGATCAGGCTCTGACGGAGAGCTGCAGCCAGGCCAGGTGAGAGTGCACAAGATGGCACTTGGATACTTTGCAGACTGCAGTCAATAAACTCGGGTCCCTGCTCTCAGTCTAAGACCATTTTCTACGACATATTAAAACCAATAAACACCTCCTCCTCCTATCCCCTTCAATTTTTAAAGGATTTTTAAAAATGCATATATGTATATTGTTAATTATAAAAAGGATACATATTCATTCACTGTAGAAAAATTGGAAAACACTGTTAATATGGTTTTAAAAAAGTAATGAGATGTTTCGAATCTATATTATTTTAAAGTACAAGAATCAATCTATTTAAGAACATCCTAAAATTGATGGCTAAAACATGTATGAAAGATCCCGTTCTTGTATTCTTATCAACATTGAATATCATCCTTTGAAAAAAATACCCATTTGATAAAGAGAAAGGGAAGCTTATTATTTTAGTGTTCATTTCTTCTATTATTAGTGAGGTTTTATGGGTTTTCATGGTTTTGGCCTCTTCTACTTCGTGTCACACACTAATATCTTTCCCTCATTTTGTTTTAGAATGTATTTTTTACTGATTTGTAAAATTGTATAAAAAATATTAACTTTCAGGCTGGGCGCAGTGGCTCATGCCTGTAATCCCAGCACTTTGGGAGGCCAAGGTGGGTGGATCATGAGGTCAGGAGTTTGAGACCAGCCTGGCCAGCATGGTGAAACCCCGTCTCTACTAAAAATACAAAAAATTAGCCAGGCATGGTGGCGGGTGCCTGTAATCCCAGCTACTTGGGAGGCTGAGGCAAAAAAATCACTTGAACCCGGGAGGTGGAGGTTGCAGTGAGCTGAGATCGTGCCATTGCACTCTAGCCTGGGCAATGAGAGTGAAACTCCATCTCAAAAAAAAAAAATTAACTTTCTCTATTATACATAATAAGCATATTTCCTAGTTTCTCTTGTTTAATTTAATAGTACGTTTTGACATAAACAATCTGTTCATTCTAGGTGTGTAAAGTCACACACACACCAGAATTTGTTGTTAAATCACCTCTAATGTTTATCCTCCTTATTCTCTTGATGTGTTGATATGTGTAGGGCTTGGAGTCAGAAGGTCAGCACTCATTGGCTTACCAGCTGCGTGATTTAGGGCAAGCCACTTCACTTCTCTGAGACTCCGTTCTCCCCCATCTGCATCCTAACTTTTGTCAGGTTGAAATTCAGTCAGCACTATAATGGCAAGGACTTTGCTCTCTTGTTCACTGATAGATCCTGGGAACCTAGAACACAGCCTTGCATCCAGCAAGCACTCACTAAGGATTTGTTGAATGAATGAATAAGCATCTGGCTTGGACCCCAGCCTCACTGTCACCCACAGCAAGCCCAGCAACCACTGCCCCTGAGCAGCCTTAAACGGATCACAAGTTGTGTCTCCCAGTCATGTTGTTTACATTTTTCCCATTCTTACCCAGCACAGTGAAGCCTGTACTGAGTGTATACTATGAAGCCAGCCCTGTGCCAGGCACCCCTACTGCATAAAAAAGAGGACTGGCAAATACACAGACTCTGCCCTTCAGCCTAGTGATTGCCCTTGCAGAATTTCATTAAATATACAGGATAATTGAAAAAGAAATTAGATGGGCCAAAATGTGGGCCAGGAATCTTCAAAATGTTGGGGCTCAGAACACAGTACCCTAAAGTGTGATGCCTGGACGTGCTGAATACTTTGAACTGAAGGAAAGGGGCTCAGAAGTCTCTTTCTGATCTTCTCCTGCTCTTCTTTCTCCTGCTCCCATTTTTACCTAAAGGCAGGCCATAAAACTGAAATTCTGGCTGGGCATGGTAGCTCACATCCATAATCCTAGCATTTTGATCCCAGGAGTTTGAGACCAGCCTGGGCAACATGGGAAAACCCTGTCTCTACTAAAAATACAAAAGAAAATTAGCTGGGCGTAGTGGCACTACCTATAGTTCCAGCTACTCAGGAGGCTGAGGTGGGAGGCTCCCTTGAGCACGGGAGGCAGAGGTTGCAATGAGCTGAGATCGCGCCACTGCACACCAGCCTGGGTGACAGAGCGAGTCTCTGTCTTAAAAAAAAAAAAAAAAAGCCAAGAAACAAAAAACTAGAATCCCTCTTCCCCAAGGTAGGTCATAGCAACTAGAACCCCTCTCTCCCAAAGCCAGCCATAAAATCTATAATGTTACTCTAACATTTTCCCACCTTTCTGTGTAAGAGCTAACCATAAGGAAATTCTCTGACCTACCTTGTCTGATAGTAGGTCTTAAGACCCTCATTCCAGGAGGTGTCCTGCCCTATACCCTGGAGGAAGGAATGTTGCATAGAAAGGCCAAGAAGAATCTGGACAGACCTTGCAGGGTGTCCCCCTTCAGTCTGTTACCACGAGGTCTTACCCTCTGTGTCCAATCCCATTTCTACACGGCTGTCCGTTCTTCATCTAATTGAAGCATAAAAATGGACAGTTTTCCCTGTGTCTCTGGTTTTCGTTTCTAAAGGCTCCCGTGTCATGTAAAACATTATTTCATTTTCTTTCCTTTTTTCTTTTTTTGAGATGAAGTTTCGTTCTTGTTGCCCAGGCTTGAGTGCAATGGTGCAATCTTGGCTCACTGCAACCTCTGCCTCCTGGCTTCAAGCGATTCTCCTGCCTCAGCCTCCCGAGTTGCTGGGATTACAGGCGCCCGCCATCATGCCCGGCTAATTTTTTTGTATTTTTAGTAGAAATGGGGTTTCACCACGTTGGCAGGCTGGTCTTGAACTCCTGACCTCAGGTGATCTACCCCCTTCAGCCTCCCAAAGTGTTGGGATTACAGGCGTGAGCCACCACGCCCGGCCCATGTCATGTAAAACTTTAAATAAATCTATTATGCTTTTCTCCTGTTAACCTGTCTTTTTTTTCTTTCTTTTCTTGCCTTGTCTTATGGTGCTGATCCTGTTAACCTGTCTTTGTCTGTTTTACTAGACCTGGCCAGGAACCCTCAGTGGGTTGAGGAAACTCTTCCTCCCCTCCACTGAGGAATGCCATCAAGAAGGGAGATGCCGAATCGAGGAAGCCTCGTTACAGAAGGGACCCGTCAGGGGACACGAAGGGCAGTGACCCTCGGACACACAGAGAAGAGGAAGCTGGCAGGCCAGAAGGGGGGAACTAATGAGCTAGGCTTATTTTTCCTCCCAAAATGATTGGCTTCATGTTCTACTTGACCACAAGACAATTACGTTTTATATTCATGATTTCCCTCACCCAGACTATTTTACTTGCTCATTGACACTTGTACCATATGCCAATGTATCAGTTTCAAGAAAAGCTCTCCTTTTATAGTTTTTACATATATAAGGGGCAGAATTGGAAATCCTAGGGAAAAAAATGTGAAATCCAGAACATGCAGCCAAGTCCAATTTTGCATTTCTGTTCTAAATAAGCCTCCTAAGTGGCTTATGCTCAGATTCACAACTGGTTCCTCACCTTTTTGGAGACTGAAAAGGCCAGGTTCTCTCTGTCCAGTTGGTACATATAATTTTGCACACAAATTCAGGGGCTCCTAAAGCCTCTGTAACCCATCCACGGACTCCTAAGATAGTTCGGTGATCTCCTCGCATGAGAAGTTCACTCTGATGAGTATCCAATAAACCCGACTTCAAATTCTAGTAATCACTATAATCTCTTTTGCCTAAGAAACATTATTTCTTTCTGGCATTTTGTAACTGGTCACAAAAACTGGATCTTTCTGGTTCATTCACCCACTATCTGCCTGAGCTCATAGCCAAGAATCATGACCCATACAGTATGTTAGTGTGTAAGTTAGGGTAACACTAGCTGTTATAATAGATAAAGCCCATAATCTCAAAAGCTTAACAGCAGAGACATCTATGTACTGCTCATCAGTCCAATGCAAGTGTTTCTGGTCAGCAGATGAGCCTTCCACTGTGTGATCCAGGAATCCAGATTCCTTCCGTGTCAAGGCTCTGCATTTTCAACAGTGTTTCTGTGCTCATCTGCAGTGATCTAGTAGAAGGGAAAAGAACATGGAGGATCATGCCTGAGATGATTACATGGGCTACGCCTAGAAATGGAATATGTCACCTCCACTCACATTCCATTGGTAGAACTCACATAGCCATCCCTAATTGCAAGAGTGGCTGGAAATATTATCTCTATGCAAAAGGAGAAGAAAGCTTATTCTGCCTCTGCCACAACGGGTGTGTACAGCTGCTCTCAGAAAGTCCCGGGATAAGCTGCTCGGAGTCCCAATGTAGCATTTTCCCTCGTTCCTTCTTCCTTCCTTCCTGGCAGCCTCTAAGAAGCTCTGTTACTATCAGGAAGGCAGATCTTTGCTCTGGCATCAGACAGATGGGACTTCAATTCCAAGCTATGCCAATAAAACTAGCAATATGTTCCTGCAGGTTCTCTGTGCCTCAGTTTTCTCATCTGTAAAATGGACCACAACAATAGCTCCAACCTCATTACACTGGATGGATTAGAGGAGAAGGCACAAGTAAGGCTCTTAGCACAACGGCTGGCAAGCTGTAAGCTCTCAAATATTAAGATACGCATGCTACTGCTAATCATAATTTTAATTAAACTAGTACAATTATTAGTATAGGCTAGCCCAAATTTTTTAAAAGAAGAAAAGGATCTAAGAGATAAGCATTGAGGCTCCTGTGAGAATTGAGATAAACTGTGGTAAGGGATAACATGAAAATAATACCAGCTAAACAGCACTTTTTTGACCATTATTTTGGATCTGAAAGAAATCAAGAATAAATGAAGGACTTGATACATTGGAAGAGGAGAGTCAAGGACCTACAGAGGCAGGTCGAGATCTCCACTGTGTGGCCCAGATCTCCATTTGGAAGGCCTCTCAAGGTCACTAACATTCCTAGGCAAAATCTAGGAGAATCTGTCTCCTTTTCCAGATTCCAGGCACAGAAACCTGAAGGATAAGAACAAATTAGAGACCTTAATTTCATTTCAACAAATAAGAGACATTTCAGTGGTGAGCATTCCTCCCTTTCTACCTGGTTTCCTTCTCACTGCATGAATCATTCTAACTTCTGTTCCAGCTGTCTTCCTTCCATTGACTGACCAAGGCCCTCCCTAAGGCCCAGTTCTGCCTCCCACCCCACCCTGCTCCCACTCAGTATGCCAATTCGATCTCTAGCTCAGCCCTCTTCCCCTTCATCCAGCCTCAACACTCTAGTAGTCCAGAGAACATCTCCATGGAGATCCTGTGGCCCCTGACCCTAATGAGTTTCTTTTTGCCAGACAGCCTGCCTGCCTTTCTCAATTGTCCCGTTCCCATCAATAGACTGCCACAGGGGTCATGTGAGGAACTAGTCCAAGGAGCCTCCGTGCTAGACATCTAGCCAGGAAGAACTACAGTGCAGTAGAAGAAAAGAATCCTCCAAGCATGGAAATGGCCAATAGCTCCCTTTCCAAAGTCAAGACAGATATTCGAGAAATGTTTGGTAGGGTTATAAGCGTTATTTCTCAGTTCATCTTCCAAAGCTGTAGAGGCAGTACATTTTCTGGGAAAAAGCCTCAGTACAGAACATGCCAGCACTGCTTTTCAGAGAAAGATAGGCCCTGTCTGGAGCCTCATTACCTGGAACACAAAGTTTGCATGCCAATTTGCATGGAGATAAGAGAGAGGCCATGGAAAGAAAGGAAGGAATATTCACAATTTGCTAAAATGTGTGTGCCAGCACCTCTTTTTTAAAGAAAAGCAAAAAGAATATTGTAGAAAATTAATATTCCATTTCTCTAAGTCAAGTTCCTGTCTGTTCGGCAGGTTACTTTGTAATAAACCAAATTAATTGTCTCCCACATGCCTTCTAATATTTTATCAGTCCAGGCTGGGTGTGGTGGCTCACGCCTGTAATCCCAGCACTCTGGGAGGCCGAGGCGAGCAGATCACTTGAAGTTAAGAGTTCGAGACCAGCCTGGCCAACATGGTGAAACCCCATCTCTACTAAAAGCACAAAACATTAGCCAGGCCTGGTGGTGCACGCCTGTAATCCCAGCTACTCAGAAGGCTGAGGCAGGAGAACTACTTGAATCCAGGAGGTGGAGGTTGCAGTGAGCCGAGATCACGCCACTGCACTCCAGCCTGGGCAACAGAGTGAGACTCCATCTCAAAACAAAACACACAATAACAAATATATATATTTGATCAGTTCAAAAGATGCATTTTAAAGTGTAAGAATCTTAAAGTGGAAGTTGCAGCACTTTGCGGGCAACACGTTGGTAGTAACTGGCATTTTCAAGTGTGGGGAGGAACAACTAGTTTCCTGCCATTCAGTTCCTCATTATAACAGTCCTTTGCAATTTTCTCAATTATATTTTAAACAGGTCTGAAGATGCACTGGTGTATCTAGTTCTTTTTACACTAAAATTTGTCTTTGCAGAGCAAAGTCACAGCTGGGGATTGTGAAGCAATTACATGGCTCTAGAAGAAAGAAAAACAAGCTGGGAGCAATGACTCACACCTGTAATCCCAGCACTTTGGGAAGCTGAGGCAGTGGAGGATTGCCTGATCCCAGGAGTCTGAGACCAGCCTGGGCAACATGGAGAGACCCTCATCTCTACATTAAAAAGAAAATTAGCCAGGCATGGTGGTGCATGCCTGTAGTCCCAGCTATTCGGGAGGCTGAGGCAGGAGGATCGCTTGAGCCTGGGAGGTTGAGGTCGCAGGGAGCTATGATCGTGCCACTGCACTCCAGCCTGTATGACAGAGCAAGACCTTGTCTCAAAAAAAAAAAAAAAAGGAAAAATAAGTACCCATGGAAGGATAAGGTTCTGCAGCCTTTTCCTTTGCCATATTTTATCTCTCAAGCATAAGTGTGAAATAATTTCAACAAACCTCATTTGACACAAAGAAAAGTGGTGAAAACAGATATTTTAATTCAAATATGTGGCATTTCTTTCCATGGAGTCTTGAAGACCACACACATTTACAACAGATGGATTAGAAGAGGAAGCAAGAAGTTCTGCCTGCTATAGGAATGTGGCTACAGCTGTCTTAAGGCCCTTTTGTAACTAGTAATACATAAAGCAAATGATGTTAATGACCTTCGTTTTACCCAACCCCTCACTAAAAAGTGGAAATCATCAACTGCTCCACTTCCAATAAGATGTCTCAAATCAGTCCTGAATGTTATCCTAGGGAAAATACTTCAGGAATTTTTTGGATCTCTAAGTTAGGTGTGCACTTAGGTGATACGGGCAATACAAACTTTCAGGACAGAGCACACATGCAGAAGCCAGAAAGCAAGAAGCTGTGTTTAGATAATACAACACTGCCACCTAGAGGCCATACACTAAGGACTTGGACACCATCACCAAACAGGCTGAAAAGGTAGACAAGCTGCCTGTGCTTCGCAGCACATCTGGCTTAAATGAGTAAAGATACTGAGGAAATGTTACAGAGTAGTTAAATATGCTTCCTGCTCACTACCTACAAAGACAGGTGTTGAACTAGCCATCCAAGAAACCAGTTTGGTGATGGTTGTATTAAGATACTTGGAAAACAGTGTAAAAATCATACTTCCAATCTCATGAAAACATTTCAAAACTGTGAATTTATTACACACTGATTGAATGAATATGCATTTCTTTAATGTGTCAAATAAACCTAGGAACATGGGATATAAACCAAGGTAAACAGGCTTCCTTATTGCAGGTCTTCTCAGAACCTTTCATATTTGACTGTATGTAGAAAATCTCCAAAGAGAGACTACAGATTGCAAGTTTCCAAAACTTAACTATAGAATCCTTTTGTTGTTGTTGTTGTTTTCTTTCTTTCAAAACACACCAGTGAGCAAACTCGCCCTCCCTACTAGGAAAGGAAGGTCGAGTGGTAGTTTGCGGCTGCAGGTTATGGAATCAAACTGCATGGGTTCCCATTCTAACTCTACCACTTTACAATTGAGCCGTTCTGTATCTATTTCCCCTTCTGTAACATAGGAATATAACACCTACTTCCCAAGGAGTTGTGAAGATTACAAGGTAATACACGTAAACCACCTAAAATAATTAGTGGTGGTTGGCTTTCCCTTCAAGTCCTTCTTGGATGTTATTTGTATCCAAAGTATCCTAATGTACCGTTCCGGGAAGTTACTATTAACAAATAACACTCACCTGGCACGGTGGCTCATGCCTGTAATCCCAGCACTTTGGGAGGCCGAGGCAGGTGGATCACCTGAGGTCGGGAGTTCAAGACCAGCCTGGCCAAAATGGAGAAACCCCATCTCTACCGAAAAAATACAAAATTAGCCGGGTGTGGTGGCGCATGCCTGTAATCCCAGCTACTCAGGAGCCTGAGGCAGGAGAATCGCTTGAATCCGGGAGGTGGATGTTGCGGTGAGCCAAGATTGCGCCATTGCACTCCAGCCGCCTGGGTGACAAGAGCGAAATTTTGTCTCAAAAAAAAAAAAAAAAAAAAAACCTCTCCAGTTATGCCCAGCTGCTGTCCACATTCCCCTTACAGACTATGTTCCTTTGGGACCCCCAAGAGGGACAGGGGGAGCATTTAAACTAACTAGCTTACTTACTAGCTTAGATGGAAAACAGTGGTACTAATAATCTCTTTTGAATAACTGGAAGGGCTTTCAGCATTTGCAAAACAAAGGATAGAGATCCTTACCAAAGTCCAAAATTCACACACAGTGCTTTCTCCAACAATGCTTGATTTTATCTTTTAAATCATTTCTCCACACAGAACTCAAGATGTAGAAGGTAAATTAACTCCCAAATACCTCCAGCATTCTATATTGAGATATTATATACATGCATATATGTATGTGTGTGTATATATGAATGTGAATGGGAGAGGTGGTGGTATGTGAAATAGCTAAAATACCTTGCTGCTTAAGACTTTAAGGTATTTTTTAACCATCTGTCCTAGTTCTCTTTGAAGTAGACTGGTAGAGATCAACATCCACTGGGATGCAAAACATTTCAAGCAAAACCCTGATCATTTTATTCTCCGTTTTCTTCATCCTGAGTTGTCTCCTTTCACATTTACTTTCTATTTCACAATTAAAGACTTCTCCTTAATCACTGACTGAATTTATAATTTTCAGTAACAGGAAAACATAACATTTATTGGGCATCTATGTACCACATGCATCTTGAAATATTCTCTCCATTTAACCAATGGGAGCCTAAGGCCGGAGGCTGCAAGTAAAGGCATGCCACGCTGGGCTGCCAGGCCTGGAGGACAAGCCCTGTTTTGCCACTAATTAGATCTATGATGAGGCTGGCCACCCTTAGTGTACCCTCAACAGTGCCAGTTCACACCTGCTGCTCAGGCATCCTTACTAATGGCATCCCTTCCACTCTCAACAGTATCTGGAATTTAAGTTATACAGTCTTCCTAGCTACAGCCTCAACAAGGCTCCTTATCCCTCTGCACCTGTTTCCAAAATCTGAAAAAGAAGACAGGATTAGATAGTTTCACAAGAGTTTTTTCAAGCTGTTTCTGTGATTTCCATTTCAGAATTAAAACAGCTTCTAAAGTAGTCCAATTACAAAATTTAAAGATCTTTCAATCTGTCTTCCTCCCACTGATAAACTAATGTCTATTTTTCTCTGATTAGTTTAGACCCAACCTGTTTGTATAGACAAACAATTATTTAACTGACATTTAAGAGTGAGTCAATGAGTATGTCAGCAACTGGAGGAAACAGAAAACAAGCTGGAATCGGTACAATTGTTTAAGTGTGTTTTACTTCACTCATCTCCTCACTCCTTCTTAGGTTGGATTAACACATTAATGATGCCAGGACCAGGATACTCCCCACCATGTGTGAGATTTGTGTATATGAAACACCCAACCAAAAACATTTTCACCTGAGCTTAGATTTACTACCCTAGAGCAGAAATGGGCCAGGGGAGATACCTAGACACAAGGCCATGAAATTCCCACATCGGGATAGAACCTGAAGCTCTGACACATAAGAAACATTAACCACAGGAAGCAGCAAAAGAAAAAGAAATGGATGAGAAAACGGCAAAGTGGGACAACCCAACGTTCCGCCACCACCCTCCATACCTCAGGCAAGGAGAAACGCTGATTTTGGAGTAAATACATTTATTGATACCCATTTCATATATAGTTCAATGAAATAATCTATAAATATAAAAAGCATTTTTCTTTTGGATATCACCATGGTCCATGTAAATACTCAAGTCAGAATCACCTGCAGGAAGCACTCCAAGTCACACTGTTAGCTTTACAGACCTGAATATACATATTGCATTAAACAGTGGCACTTATGTACTCAAGTGGTCCAGTGGCTTTGGAATATATGTCTACTGGGCATGTGGAATAGAAATAATGTGTTAGGTTTAAATCAATGGAAAGGGTATCAACCATCAACAAAAGCAACAATTATGAATTCATATCCTAGGCAAAGAAAGTACCACAGTTGACACTTGGTGTCAGAATACTAGAGACAAAGTATGTAAAACAATGCCTGTTGCAGCACCACGTGCTCACTCCAACTCCCAGTGGACAGTCCCCCAATGCCTTAGGGTCACTCGTGGTCAACCAAATGCAATCAAGAAGCTCGATAGCTTAGAATAAAAGGTCTGTAGAGGCTGATATCAAGATTAAAGTAAGCTAAACATTTCAGTGACACAATGAGTTTCTCCCCTAGAAGGGGACTGTGGGAAAACTTTTAATTCCCTTTGTTACACTGAGCATGATCATTTATCTAATGCAGAAGAAAGAACCCAGACATCTGGTACTCAGAACATAGGTGCAAAAATTTTCTTCCATTTCAAAGTTTTTTCAATACTTCCGAGGGAACTAATGCAACCACCGTTGAGCCTTGCTCTCCACCTGATGCAGCATAAAATTTTCTCTCATTTCTTCAATATAGGAATGTCTTGCTGCAGACTATGTGTCTTCCGAGTTAGCAAGCAAATGCATTTAAAAGGTCTTAGTTGTGCAATGTCCAAAACTGAAATCTGAGAGGCAGTGTTAGAACTTAAGCAAGGCAGAATTTTTAGAGTCTACTCAAATGAAAGCCTAAGTGAAGCATATAAAAATTCAGTCTTTTCTATTATTTTCAACTGGAATTGATGGCAACATTCCCTGGTAAGGATGGGTAACTGGTGTTATCTCCAGGTCCAAAATATCCCAACTACTTAAAGGGGACCCAAAAGAGGAGAAACACACACTTGAGTTCTGTGGTCTCCAGAATTTTTTTTTTTTTTTTTTGCCATTTTCAAAAAAGATATAGTAGCTTCAGTTGTACACCACCAGTTGAAGGGGTTTTCATCCAAATGAGAAACTCTACCCCTTGTCTCTAGTGGAACAGGCACCAGATTCCCACAAGCAGCAGCTCCCATGTCCTGTAGCACGTGGCATCCGACCCTGGAGTGAAGAGTAAGCTGGCACAGAGCCCCGACGCTGGGATTCAGACTAGATGGCGTTTCGTGGCGTGCCATTGTGTGTCAGCGCTTTCAGACTGGAGGCACTAGTCTGGTGACCACAGCTCCTGTGAGAAGTCACACCCACCTCAAAAACCTCATGAATAGCTTTTCGGAAACAGTGGAAGTTGTAGTCTATTAAACCTGCAGGAAGGAAAAAGAAAAGAATGCCTCCTGAATTGTCAATTGTGAAATTTTATATTTGGGTTTGCAGCCAAAAATAACTCGGATAAACACTGGTTGGAAATTCTTAAGCCTCCAAACTAGATAGCAACTTCTTCAATCGTAAGAACAGCTGGTCATCGGTCAGGTGCAGTGGCTCACGCCTGTAACCCCAGCACTTTGGGAGGCCGAGGCGGGCAGATCACAAGGTCAGGAGATCAAGACCATCCTGGCTAACACGGTGAAACCCCGTCTCTACTAAAAATACAAAAAAAATTAGCCGGGCATGGTGGCGGGCACCTGTAGTACCAGCTACTCAGGAGGCTGAGGCAAGAGAATGGCGTGAACCTGGGAGGCAAAGCTTGCAGTGAGCCAAGATTGCACCATTGCATTCCAGCCTGGGTGACAGAGCGAGACTCCAACTCAAAAAAAAAAAAAAAAAAAGAACAGCTGGTCATCATATATATCCACCATCATAACGTTCTGCTAGAAAACAAATGCGATTGCAATTAGACCATCACCTTGGCCAAATTAATACCTCTGGCATCCAAGTTTCAAATCACTCAATTCACATTCAAGAAAAGTAAAATATTCAAATACACTGTGTGGCCTGCTTGAACATAGTGTGATCTTTCAATAGTTTATATTTGATTTGATGAAAGTCAGTAAATACTTATTACACAGCACGATAGAGGGTACAATATGTCAAAGGAAACAGCAGATATGGTCCATGACTTCCAGACAGGATATGCTAGCTGAGGCATAAAGCCAAAATACAAGAAACAAACCAAAACAATCTGGTGTCAAATTGACTACAACTGTGAAGGAAATCCAAAGAAAAAGCCAAGTGCAGGGCAAAGTAATCAACTGAAAACTTCAGGGACAAGAAAGAACTTGGGGAATACAGACACGATTTAATTAGGCAGAAAAGGGGAACAAAATCACAAGAAAACTGCAGGGACCTGGCCATGAGAATACAGCACAGGTGGAAGACAGGAAAAAAAAATGGTCTGACTGGAGAGTGGGACATCAGAGAACTCTTGGTAGGAAATACTAAGAATCAGGTCTGAATAAGTAGGTTACAGCCAAATTAAGGTGGACCTTCAGACTCAGAAAAGAAACAAACTATAAAAGACAAGTTTTGATCAATTCAACTACATTAAAATTTATTTCTGTGCCAAATGTAAAATAAAAGACAATCAAGGAAATTTGAACACTGGCCAGATATTTGATATCATTAAGTCACTGTTAATTTTGTTGTTTATTGTTTTAAAAACCACTACCTTTTAGAGATACCTACTGAAATCTGCAGAGACAAAATGATTTCATGTCAGGCCTTTGCTTCAAAATAATCCAGTAGGGAAAGTGGTATAAATATGAAACATAATTGGCTATAATTTTGATAACTACTGAATCTGGGCAATGGATTAAAAAGCTTTTATTATACTGTTTTCTCTACTTTTTTATATATTTGACAGTTTCCACAATAAAATAAAAAAGCTTAATAATCTATAATAACTGAGAAGCTCTCCAGGAAACATGATTGAAGTGTGTGGGAATGAGGGCTGAACCCAGGAGCTGAATGCATAGGGACTCCTCGTGCTGCTCCACCTTTGTATACACCTGAAAATTTCCATAAACAAAAATTTTTTTTTTTTTTTATAGACAGGGTCTCACTCTGACACCCAGGCTAGAGTGCAGTGGTACAATCATAGCTCACTGTAACCTCAAACTCCTGTGCTCAAGCAATCCCGCCTCAGCCTCCTGAGTAGAGAGGACTATAGGTGCAAGCCACCACACCCAACTAACTTTTTAATTTTTTGGTAGAGACAGTGTCTTGCTATCTTGCCCAAGCTGGTCTTGAACTCCTGAGCTCAAGCGTCCTCCCACCTCAGCCTTCCAAAGCACTGAGATTACAGGTGTGAGCCACCACACCCACTCTAAAAAAAAAAATTTTTTTAAGATTAAAATGGTTAGGAGCCAGGCACAAGTGATGCACACCTGTAATCCCAGCTATGTGAGAGGCTGAGGTGTGAAGACTGCTTGAGCTCAGGAGTTCAAGACCACCCTGAGCAACACAGCAAGATTCCCATCTCAAAATAAAAACACAAATAAAAAAATAAACTAACATAGGCTGGGCGCGGTGGCTCACGCCTATAATCCCAGCGCTTTGGGAGGCCGAGGCAGGCAGATCACAAGGTCAGGAGATCAAGACCATCCTGGCTAACACAGTGAAACCCCATCTCTACTAAAAATACAAAAAATTAGCTGGGGGCGTGGTGGCGGGTGCCTGTAATTCCAGCACTTCAGGAGGCTGAGGCAGGTGGATCACGAGGTCAGGAGATCGAGACCATCCTGGCTAACACAGTGAAACCCCTTCTGTACTAAAAATACAAAAAATTAGCCAGGCGTGCAGGCGGGCGCCTGTAGTCCCAGCTACTTGGGAGGCTGAGGCAGGAGAATGGCATGAACCCGGGAGGCGGAGCTTGCAGTGAGCCGAGATCGCACCACTGCACTCCAGCCTGGGTGACAGAGCGAGACTCTATCTCAAAAAAATAAATAAACAAATAAACTAACATAGAGAAAAATAAGGAACTGCTAAGAATCAGTGCAAAAAAAGATAAATATATATGGAACAGGTAAAATGTGAAAGAAGAAACCTGAATAGCCATGAAAAGGTACTTGCCATGAAAAGACACTTGCTCTAACCAGTAATTTAAAAAGTAAAAATGAGAATCAAATAAGATACCCTTTCACACCTACCAGATTGACAATAATTAAACAGTCTAACAATACCAAGCATTATTAAGGACAAGAAGTGATAAGAACTTCCACAGACCGGTGCCAGCCAGGGATGAAAATAGTAAAGTCACTTTGGAGAGCTGTTTGGCAATCTCTTTATTAGTCAAAAGATATAGGTACTCTATAAATTCCACTCCTAAAGGCATACCCTAGAGAAATTCTCCACACGTGCAAAGGCAAACTTAAACTTGTTCATGAGCATTTGTTACAGATTTGAAATTTTTAAAATAATCCAAATGTCCAGCAACAAGAAAATAAAATGTGGTATAGTCAACCTGTAGAATACTATATGGCAGCGAAAAGGAATGAACTAGAACTACGTGTCATCAATCTGAATAAATCTCAAAAACCACCTGAAGGAAAAGAATCAAGCAAGTTGCAGAAGACTACTTATATTTTTATATCATTTATACAATACTCTATTGTTTAAGGATAGACATGAAGTGAAAAAATAAGAAAAATAAAATACACATAGCTCAAAGGAAGGGATTTCAATTGAGAAAAACACACAGAAGACTTCAGCTGGCCAGGCAGTTGGCTCTCATCTATAATCCCGGCACTTTGGAAGGCTGAAGGAAGAGGACTGCTTGAGGCAACGAGTTCAAGACCAGTCTGGGCAAGAGAGAGAGATCCTATCTCTACAAAATATTTTAAAATTAGCCAGTATCCTGTAGCATGAGCCTATAATCCCAGCTACTCAGGAGGCTGAGGTGGGAGGATCTCTTGAGCCCACGAGTTTGAGGCTACAGTGAATTATGATCATGTTGGGGCAATGGAGTAAGATTCTGTCTCTTAAAAAAAAAAAAAGATTTTAACTGTATTTGTCATTTTAGTTCTTAAGCTGAAAGGTGAAGATACATGTTTTGATTTACCCAAAAATTTGTGTATATCTGAACTATTCCATTAAAAATTCAGGCCGGGCGCAGTGGCTCACTCCTGCAATCCCAGCACTTTGGGAGGCCGAGGCAGGCAGATCACGAGGTCAGGAGATTGAGACCATCCTGGCTAACGCAGTGAAACCCCGCCTCTACTAAAAATACAAAAAAGTAGCCGGGCGTGGTGGCAGGCATGTGTAGTCCCAGCTACTCGGGAGGGTGAGGCAGGAGAATGATGTGAACCCGGGAGGCGGAGCTTGCAGTGAGCCGAGATTGCGCCACTGCACTCCAGCCTAGGCAACAGAGCGAGACTGTCTCAAAAAAAAAAAAAAAACTCAGGTAGAAGAGGAAGGACTTGTTGCAGTAAATAACAGAGCTACTGTAGATCCTTGAGTAGTTAAATAATATAAAATAAATTTTCTGAAAACTAATCTGCCTTTGGGATAAAAGATGACACATACTACACCCTCCACATATATGTCAACTACATGAATATTATCAAGTAAGAGACTACTGCAGCACCACTGGCCTGAAGCAATGAGAACCTGGAGTGGAATCACTGACAGTGAAAATGGAAAGGAAACCCAAGTAACAGTTACAAGAAACAAATGATCAGATTTGGTGAAAATTCAATATAAACAACATAGAAGAATAGAAAAAGGAGATCACGAAATCTCCTCTGTGAACCAATCTGCAAGGGCCCCTTCAGCAATCACACCACACAATTACCTAACTACAAGGTATCTACACTTGGACAGGAGAAACTCGCGTAACTAGTGACAGAAGTATGACAGCCACGAGAGTCACAAAACAGGGGAAATACTCATCAACCAATGATTGACATGACGTTGAAGGTAACATTCACAATATTTAAGAGAGAACGTCTTACTAATAGCTCCAAACATGGGACGAGAGCATGATCCCAAGTCATAGCTGGAGATGTGAATTTTTCAATCACATAGAGAAGATTAACTGAAGCCATGTATTTGATGAGCTGACCTAGAAAATACGCAAGCAGAAAGACTTGGCTCTGACAAACAGGACTGAGGAAAAAAAAAAAAAAAACAGAAGAAACAGGAGAGGTGGTCGGGAAAACAAACACACAAAATATCCCAAGAATTCAGCTTCAGAGAAGCAAAGAGAGAAGAAAGTTTTCAGAAAGGAGGGACTGACAAGATCACATGCTTAGAAGATTGAAAAGCCTGCAGAGTAAGAAAAGGCCACTGAATGCAGGAAGGAGGTAACCTGGTAACTTCCAAAAGTCTAGTTTCTATCATCAGAGTGAACAGGCAACCTACAGAATGGGAGAATATTTTTACAATCTACCCATCTGACAAACGGCTAATATCCAGAATCTACGAGGAACTTAAACAAATGTACAAGAAAAATACAACCCCATTAAAAAGTGGGCAAAGGATATGAACAGCCACTTCTCAAAAGAAGACATTTATGCAGCCAACGAATATATGAAAAAAAGCTCATCACCACTGGTCATTAGAGAAATCCAAATCAAAACCACAGTGAGATACCAGCTCATGCCAGTTAGGATGGCGATTATTAAAAAGTCAGGAAACAACAGATGCTGGAGAGGATGTGGAGAAATAGGAACACTTTTACACTGTTGGTAGCAGTGTAAATTATTTCAACCATTGTGGAAGACAGTGTGGTGATTCCTCAAAGATCTAGAACCAGAAATACCATTTGACTCAGCAATCCTGTTACTGGGTATATACCCAAGGGATTATAAACCATTCTACTATAAAGACACACGCACACGTATGCTTATTGCAGCACTCTTCACAATAGCAAAGACTCGGAACCAACCCAAATGCCCATCAATGACAGACTGGATAAAGAAAATGTGGCACATATACATCATGGAATATTATGCAGCCATAAAAAAGGATGAGTTCATGTCCTTTGCAGGGACATGGATGAAGCTGGAAACCATCATTCTCAGCAAACTAACACTGGAACAAAAAACCAAATACTGCATGTTCTCACTCATAAGTAGGGAGCTGAACAATGAGAACACATGGACACAGGAAGGGGGACATCACACACCAGGGCCTGTCAGGGGTGGGTGGCTGGGGGAGGGATAACATTAGGAGAAATACCTAATGTAGATGACGGGTTGATGAGTGCAGCAAACCACCATGGCACATATATACCTATGTAGCAAACCCGTGCGTTGTGCACATGTATCCCAGAACTTAAAGTATAAACAATAAATAAATAAAAGTCTAGTTTCAGTAGACTTGTTCAGATGGAAGCCAAACTGCATTCAGTTAAACAGGTAATGAAAGCATTTGAACGCAGAAAAGCTAGAATTAAAATCTTGATTTAAAATGAAAGATCAAAAAAAGAAAAGAGAAAGTCTGGACTATACATGGAAGGAAAGGGACAAAAGCAGTTTGAGCTTTTTTTTTCTGATAGCTATTTGTCTAACACTGCAATTATTATTTTCACTTGTTTTCAAGAACCTGAGAAGTTATGGCAAAGAAATTAACATAAAAACAGCTTTTTAAAATGCTATTACCTTTTCTTTCAAAGCTTTCTTCCCTTAGAATGCAGACCAGTGCCAAAAATTTAGTCACCTCCTTTAAATAAAGGACAGTTGTATTATTCAGCTTGATAATTGCCATAGATTCTTTGTCATAAGCACTTCCACTTCCATCTTCCTTTAACCTATTTTAAAAGAAAGTACTATTCATTACAGGTTTCCCATCTAGGCATCTGCCACATTTAATCTGCACAATGACATCCACCCAGTTTCCCAAATGTCTCTGGGAAAGAATACTGGCTTAAACATATTGGGAGAGAGTGTTGTTAAGGTATAGTGTTCCTAAACACAGAATTTCAGGGATACCTATTAAAAACAACAACTCCATACACATCCTTTAATATAGATAATCAGACATTTGGAGAAAAAGGTGCAAACATATGTATATCTTAACCAGGGAAATGACAACGTTACCAACATCTCACCAGGTGGGGCTACTCACCCCCTAGACTGTGTTCTGTAAACCCAGCTGAGGTGTCTCCTCTCTTTACTGCCCTAAGGTAACAGGGACCTCTGGGACCTGCCGCCTCACTTAGATGAGCTCCTTCGAGGCATATTCTATTTGCCAGGTCAATCACATTTTCACAGAAAACATATTTTTTGCTTCCTCACAAAAGCAAGAAAATACTTAGACTAAACAAGAACAGTCTCAGCTAGAGACTAGCAGGGACTATGTTGAAATCAACAACTTTTAAAAAGAGATACGGACTCAAGAGTCTTTTCTGATGTACTTGCCTATAAAAATCTAAAGGTTATCTAGCTATTGTTACGAATTAAGAGTTATTAAAAATGCTTTTTTAAAAGTATTTGCCTTCAAAAACAGAAAAGGTGAGGGAAATATACTAAAAAGAAAATGTCGGCTGGGTGCAATGGCTCACACTTGTAATCCCAGCACTTTGGGAGGTTGAGGCGGGCCACCTGTCTTGAGGTCAGGAGTTCGAGACCAGCCTGGCCGACATGGTGAAGCCCCATCTCTACTAAAAAATAAAAAATAAAAAGTAGCCGGGCATGGTGGCTCACACCTGTAGTCCCAGCTACTCGGGAGGCTAAGGCAGGAGAATCGCTTGAACCCAAGAGGCAGAGGTTGCAGTGAACTGAGACTGTGCCACTGCACTCCAGCCTGAGTGACAGAGCAAGACTCTGTCTCAGGGAAAAAAAAGAAAAAAAGGAAAAGAAAATGTCAGGAGTAACTGGTAATTTTCTTTGGCAGTAAAACAATGTATCTTTTTTCTCCTATTTTCACTTTTCTATATTTTCCATGCAGTTTTTAATGAATAGGGGTGAGGTTTACTTTTTAAACTATTCCAAGCCTTACAATTTGTGTTCTCATATGGTAGCATAAGCATAATGTCAAAAAAAATTTGGGGTCTGGCATGGTGGCCCATGCCTGTAATCCCAGCACTTTGGAAGGCTGAGGTGGGAGGAATGCTTGAGCTTTGGAATTCAAGACCAGCCTAGGCAACACAAGAACACACACACACACACACACACACACACACAATTTTAAGGTGACAGAAATAACACTAAAACAGTTGTTAGTGGTTGACTTGAGTAGTGGCTCTTTACTCCTATTTTCATTTCTCTATATTTTCCGTGTATTTTTTTTTTCATGAAGTGGGGGCTTATTTTTACTATTCTGAACCTTGCAGTTTACCTTCTCATACATTTCTTTGATCCTCACAACAACCCTGAGGACACGAATTATTACTATAGCCCTATTTAACCACATTATGTCCTTTCTGCAACAAGCGAAAGTAAACTACATAAATACAAGAGGACTATGCCCATTGAAAAGATACAGAGGCCAGGCACATGGCATACACCTGTAATCCCAACACTTTGGGAGGCCAAGGAGGATCACTTTAGCCCTGGAGTTCAAAACCAGTCTGGGCAACAAAGTGAGACTCCATCTCTACAAAAATATCCAAAAGTTAGCCAGGTGCAGTGGCACACGCCTGTGCTCCTGGCTACACAGGAGGCTGAAGGAGGACAGCTTGAGCCCAGGAGGTCGAGGCTGCAGTGAGCTGTGTTCACTACTGCACTCCAGCTTGGGCAACAGAGACCCTATCTCAAAAAAAAAAAAAAAAAAGGTAGGAACTGAAGTTCATTAAAAATGAAGTAATCTCCTGGCAAAGTCAGGACTCAAACTTAGGGTTTTTAACTCAATTCCATGCAGTTTCCAGTACCTTAACTAATATAAAGTTAATTTGGGACGGCAGAGTGGAGGGGAAGTTGGTGTCATTTGCTTTTAAGAGTATAGAAGAAAACTACTTCCTTCTAATTGGAGAAGAGGAAGTTATAAGTGCTACATGTTCTCAGCTTATAGTTAAGATGCCCCATGTAGATCTTTTTCTGTGCCACATGGAAAGTGAGAACAAGAACTAACTCTGACAACAGGTTCCAACATAGACAACCCTAAAGATGATTCCCTAAACCAGTACCCACAGCCAGCAACTGTAAAAAACTATAAAGCTCCTAATGTCAAGCCAGCATATGATCTTGAATCACACACTAACATGAGAAAGAAATAAGAAAGGCACATTCTATTCAAAGTCTGGAGATTAGAGTGACTTGATTTGGCTGTGATTAATAAAATTAAGAATAAAAATATGTTAATGACCTTAAAATGCTTGCTCAGAATCTGTAAAGCATAAGATCTGCTTTCTACATTTATCTGTTTTAACAGTTTTTAAGACTATTAGGAAAATATGCTAATCTTAATCAAAATAATGCCAAGGCAGGCCAAGAGTGGTGGCTCATGCCTGTAATCCCAGCACTTTGGGAGACTAAGACGGGAATATTGCTTAAGGCCAGGAGTTCGATACCAGCCTGGGTAACACTATGAGACCCTGTCTCTACAAAAAAGTAAAATTAAAAAAACAAAAAAGGCCAGCTGCAATGGTTCACACTTGTAATCCCAGCACTTTGGGAAACCAAGACAGGAGAATCACTTGAGTCCAGGAATTCAAGACCAGCCTAGGCAACATAGTGAGACCCCATCTCCACAAAAATCAAAACTCAGCCAGGCATGATGGCACACGCCTGTAGTCAGGAGCATCACTTGAGCCTGGGAGGCAGAGGCTGCAATGAGCTGTCATTGTACCACTACACTTCAGCCTTAGTGACAGACCATGTCTCAAAAAAAAAAAAGAAAAAAAAAAGGTTAGCTGGGTATGGTGTGGTGTGCGGCTGTAGTCCCAGCTACTCAGGAGGCTGAGGTGGGAGGATCACTTGAGTCCAGGAGATTGAGGCTGCAGTGACCCGTGGCTGGAGTGCAGTGATGCAATCATAGCTCACTGCAGCCTGGAACTCCTGGGATCAAGTAATTCTCCTGCCTCATCCTTCTGCTTAATCCCCCAAATTTAGCTAGGACTACAGGTGGACACTACCACATCCAGCTAATATAATGTACTTTATTATGTATAAGGTATTTTAAAATGTATTGGCTGGGAGTGGTAGCTCACGCCTGTAATCCCAGCACTTTGAGAGGCCAAGGCAGGTGGATTACCTGAGGCCAGGAGTTCGAGACCAGCCTGGCCAACATGGTAAAACCCTGTCTCTACTAAAAATACAAAATCAGCCAGGCGTGGTGGTGCACCCCTGTAATCCCAGCTACTCGGGAGGCTGAGGCAGGAGAACTGCTTGAATCCGGGAGGCAGAGGTTGCAGTGAGCCCAGATCACACCACTGCACTCCAGCCTGGGCGACAAGAGTGAGACTCTGTCTCAAAAAAATAAATAAATAAAATAAATAACATGTATCTAACATTGAAAATAAATTTTACAGTTAAATTTGATTTTTGTATTATGAAAAAGTTGGTTTATGAAATTTTGATTTGTTTTAAAGAAAAAGCAAACGTTCTACTCATCCATTGTTTAAATTAGAAGTGGGAAATATGAAACTATCCTAAAATATATAATAAACTGACAATGTCTCATTTTGATTATGTAAAGAATTAAAACAAGCCAGGCATGGTGGCTCATGCCTGTAATCCCAGCGCTTTGGGAGGCCACGGCGGGTGGATCACGAGGTCAGGAGTTCGAGACCAGCCTGGCCAACATGGTGAAACCCAATCTCTACCAAAAATATAAAAAATTAGCCGGGTATGGTGGCAGGCACCTATAATCCCAGCTACTCGGGAGGCTGACGCAGGAGAATCGTTTGAACCCAGGAGGCGGAGATTGCAGTGAGCTGAGATCTCACCACTGCACTCCAGTCTGGGCAACAGAGCGAGACTCTTTTTCAAAAAACAAAACAAAACAAAAAAGGCCAGGTGCGGTGGCTCACACCTGTAATCCCAGCACTTTGGGAGGCCGAGGCGGGTGGATCACAAGGTCAGGAAATCGATCGAGACCATCCTGGTTAACATGGTGGAATCCCGTCTCTACTAAAAATACAAAAAATTAGCCAGGCGTTGTGGCGGGCACCTGTAGTCCCAGCTACTCAGGAGGCTGAGGCAGGAAAGTGGCGTGAACCTGGGAGGTGGAGCTTGCAGTGAGCCAAGATCGCGCCACCACACTCCAGCCTGGGCGACGGAGCAAGACTCCGTTTAATAAATAAATAAATAAATAAATAAATAAATAACAAAAGAGAGCATATAATCATAAAAGTTAAAGGAATAGACAGATATAGAATAGGTAAGACAAATGTACTCTCCTACTCAGAGGCAGCTGGAGAAATTAAGCAAAAGACCAAAATGAAGGGCAGAGTCAGAGGTGAAAGAGATATTTAGACTAGATGGAGCAGAGAGAAGACACAGGTAGTAGAAAGCAAAGATAATGCTAAAACATCTGAAAAGCAACTTGAGAGTGCTGATGTTAATATACCAGGGGAATCTAGGAAGTCAGAGGGTACAGAGAATGTTATTAACTCTTTTTTTGTTGTTTTTTTTTGGTAAAGCTGAGGTCTATGTTGCCCAGACTGGTCTCCAACTCCTGGCCCCAAGCGATCCTCTCACCCCAGGCTTCCAAACATCTGGGATTATGGGCACAAGCCACCACACCTGGCCATTATCAGCTTTTGAAAAGCCAGTAATTCTCCAAAGTTTTCACCAGTCCTCTGGCCTATTCTACAAAATCACTTGCTGGCTGGCTTTCATAAATTTCTATAGCGAGTTTGGCAAATTTACATAAAGGAGGAGCTCAAATTTTAGAGATTTATTTTGGAAACTTGTATATATGGGTCAGATTTTTATAAGTTCTTCCAACATCCAAAATTCTAATTACTTTCTTTGCTCTCTGAAAGATTAAGAATCCCTAATTCCACAAAGCCTGAGGTTAAATCAGGAACCAGAACTTACTTTGTTATTCAGACCATTTTAAATTAATCTAGTTTTTCAATCTAACTAAGTTCCAGTAGTGAGAAGACACAGTGCAACCCTCCCCCATCCCCACAACAGTGGGAGAAACTTGCAGTGATAAACAAGTCCAGTTCTAGTCATGCTTTCCAACTTTTCTTAGCCATTCTCCGAAGGAGTAAGACCCAGCAGCCAACTTCCAGAGAAATCATGCTCCAAGTTAAAGCACTATGGTCAGAACAATCCCAGTTCATGTAGTACCACTTGCCAGGGGCCTCAGAAATTAGTCTTCTGAACAAATCAAGTTAATAGTTTTCCGCCTGTCTGAGATATTGCAGGAATATATACATAACTTACCCATATATACAAGACACATCAATTACAACATCGATCATGTCACAGCAAAGTTCATAAGATTGCATATCCACAGGGGAACTGTCTGTTGCAATGTAGATTTTGCTGACAACATCAAAGAGAAAAGCTTTTTCAATACCTGAATTCTTGGAAAAACAAATGGGAAACTGTTCAGTATTTTTTAAGAATCACAATTTACAACTTATCGAAGATCTAGAATTACTGAATAACATCCAAGGTCATTTTTAATTATATAACCCAATACCAAAAAACAAATAGCACTTGCTTGAGAGACTCTTCTATTATCCAAAGAATGAAAGAGGAATTATTTCTCTACTCTGATTTACTGACACAATTTCCTAAGTCAAATCTTCTTCTTCCTCTTTACTCAAATGAATTGTTTTCTAAGACATCACAAAAAATTTAACAAAAATCTCTAAAAATCAAGCAATGCTACATTTTCAATAATCCTCTTATTAATATAAACCATCTCTGATTTGAATTACTTTGCTATCAAGAAAGGCGTTATGTGGCAATTTACAAACCATAAAAGAATTACACGTTGACATCAACATCTATTTAAGAATTCAGAAAATAACTTGAATAATATGTTATCATTTATTTTACATGTTAAGTGGGTCACTAGTCTTTGTACTTGATACAGATTAATTCAAGACTTTTTTGGAAAATTTGAAAACACAAATATATTCCCAAAAATGGAATCAGAAGCTGCAGTGAATTAAATATAAATTGCTCACTTACTGATATAAAGATATTTAATAGGTTTTCCAAGGTCGGCAGTTGTGGAATGAGTTTCTGCACCACCTTACTAAAGGCTTCAAATATTGAATGGTCATAGATACTAGTCAGATAAAAGCTGAAAAACACAACATAGCTTGATTAATTTGAAAAATACCTTATGTTCTATGACAACTATTATAATACATAAAATTTTAAGTTTCTTAACATTTGATTTCAGTGAGTTCAATAAAGCCTCTTTATCTTGTCTACCATACCCATCACTCAAGATGACAAATACACTTTCCCACCTGGCTTCATCTCTTTACTGCATTTACACAGGGGGCAACTGAAGTAGTACTGAGAAAAGGATTTTCAGGTACATAAACTCCAATATTCACCGAAGTCTTTGCAATCTGATCCAAAAAGCTTTTTTTAAGCACATAACTGAGACCAAAAATAAGACTAAAACCGAGAAAACTAGAAGAGTTATGTGACATTTATTAAATAAGAACATAATTCAGGTTTCTACTAAAATGTCACCTCAAAAAGTTCTTTCCAGACCAGCCTACCTAAAATAGCACTCGTGTACCCAAGGCTTTCAACCCCTTTCCCCTAATTTGTTTTTCTTCACACCACTGGTAAGTACTTAAAACGATACTATACATTCATTTAGGTGCTTCTGAGCTGTGTCACTGAAAATGTTAAGTTCCAGGGGAAAGAGACTTTGTCAGTCTCGCTCCTAGCAGCAAGCCCACTTCCCTGAACAGTGCTCATAAGTATCTGCTGAATAAACAAATGAATACAATTGGTGTTTACAATTTATGTAAAGAGCATATTAAACAGGATGGGAGTCGGGACTCTACAGAGAATGGAGGAATCTACAGGAGTCTGGAGGCCTAAAAGGACTTACGGTGGAGAAGTAACACATGTAGATTCAATAAAACACGTATTTGAGAGGGAAGCCTTTAACAATTTAAACACTGTCAACAATTCTATCTGCTTTATAACTCAGGGAGTACAATCTTCATTATATAGTCGCATCCACCACACATTTATACGTATATATAACATCAGAGACACAGAACTTTATAGGTAATTTAAAGATACTTTCAGCTGGGCGCGATGGCTCACGCCTGTAATCCCAGCACTTTGGGAGGCCAAGGCAGGTGGACCACTTGAGGTCGGGAGTTCGAGATCAGCCGGACCAACATGGAGAAACCCCATGTCTACTAAAAATACAAAAAATTAGCCAGGCGTGGTGGCGCATGCCTGTAATCCCAGCTACTTGGGAGGCTCAGGCAGGAGAATCGCTTGAACCAGGGAGGCAGAGGTTGCGGTGAGCCGAGATGGCATCATTGCACTCCAGCCTGGGCAACAAGAGTGAAACTCCATCTCAAAAAAAAAAAAAAAAATACTTTCAAGGAGCTGACCTAAGAACCTAATCTAGCAAGACAGGGGTCTAATCTAGATGTAAGAGCACTGGAACAGGTAAGGCCAAGATGACCCCATAGATACTAGGGAGAAAGGAATATTTTAGTGTTTCCTGTAGGCCAAAAGGTGAGCAAAGAAAGAATGTCCCGCACCTTTGAGGCTTGAGGTAAATGGGGACAGGGAGAACCTGCAAGTCACAGGGCATTTTAGTAAACTGAGTTTCTAGAAACTGGAAATGAAAAGGAGCTTCATCCATAGGACTGCTAGTACTAAATAAAAGTCTTTTTTTTTTTTTTTTTTTTGAGACGGAGTCTTGCTCTGTCACCCAGGCTGGAGTCCAGTGGCACGATCTTGGCTCACTGCAACCTCCACCTCCTGGGTTCAAGCGATTCTCCTCTCTCAGCCTCCCAAGTAGCTGGGACTACAGGCACACACCACAATGCCCGGCTAATTTTTTGTATTTTTAGTAGAGACGGAGTTTCGCCATGTTGGCCAGGCTGGTCTCAAACTCCTGGCCTCAAGTGATCTGCCTGCCTCGGCCTCCCAAAGTGCTGGGATTATAGGCATAAGCCACTATGCCTGGCCTAAATAAAAGCTTGATGCAACATTCTACTGAAGTTAACAAGGTCTAGGACCCTACATGGTACTGAGGAAAGGGATGGCATGTACCACTAGGGTGGGATGCCCTGGAAAGGAACACAGACACGGAGTAAAGAGAATCAGAAGGATCCCCATGGAGCACTGGGGAACACAGGACAAGAACGGCTCAAAATCCAGGTAAAAAACTATTAGCAGTGGATTCCCAAAAAAATAAGACTGAATTTTTGTGGAGAGCCACTTACATTTTCTCCTACAAACATTGCTGAATTTTTATTTTTTTAACATGAATTATTTTCAAATTATTTAGAAATTTAATCCAGGCAAACTAGAGGTCAATGAGACTTTTCGACATGGTTTCCTAGAAGAATAACTGAAAGATCTTGGAGCCTGAGACCCAGAGAATTTTAGGGGGAGGGATAGCAGTTAGCTTGAGCCCATAAAGAAGTCACAACAATAGAACGGGGACAGAGAAATAACTTGCTGTCTCTCTCCCCTTCTCCCTCTTTAAGCTACTTCTATCGTCAAGAGAATATTTTCTTGGGTACTTTTTAATACTCATTTCTACCTATATCACCAAATAAAATAAGATGTACAAAAATATTCCTCATACACTTTTAGAATGCAAATACACAAATCAATCCTATCAAGTAGGTATTATTTAATAATAATTTCTTAACAGTAGTTACAAACCAATAGTCCTCTAAATTTAATAGCAGCCTTATGCACATTTATAAGATAAACCCACCTAAGCCAAACTTTATAGAGTTTCATAAAAGTATAAAGTGTTTTAAAAGCTAAGATATATTACAGTCAGTCCAGGGGGGAGGTGGAAGGGAGCCAGCAGGAAAAATAAAAATGAAAAATAAAAAGAGTCAGTCCAGATTTGAAAGTGCACTCTCTGTATAAGGCTGTTCCTACTGAGAAAGATACTGTCTAAGACTCAAGCTAAAGACTTCCACAACAAATGTGACAGATTCACTTCACTGATGCAAGGCGGGGAAAAGTAATGAAACCAAGAGGAAGGAGTCCCAAAGCAGATTTATGCCATGAAGAAACAGCCTGACTCCAGTCTCTTGAGATGAATTTGGAAAAGCACCAGTGGAAACACTTCACATGACTTCAATCTCCAGGAAAACGCAAAAAGTGGGTAATTTCTCAATATCAGGCTCCCCAGACAGCCTGGAATTCAACAACAAGATCAAAAACATAAAAGATGTGGCAAAGGGCACACAGGTAGCAGAAAGCTATGGTGTTTGTAATGACAGAGATGGGAATACATTTACACCTTGTTCAGGGCTTTCATATCAAACACACATGTTGTTACCTAAGATGGAGTTTTTCTAGCCCAGCATCTGCAAGGTCATCATTGGCCCTTTGATGAATGTCCCTCTGTGTTTCTATTTTGTGATCATCAGACAGACCATCAACTTTGTGAATAAAAACCTCAAAATTCATGTCTGGGTTAACTTTGTAGGCTTTAGAAACAGTAATGTGAAGTCTTGTTAAAGCCTCCATGTAGTCATCCTGTAAGTCAGAACAAAATATTTTTTAAAATAAATCTTACAAAAGCCAAGTAATGAGTTAAAGCCTCAAACCACCTCTTTCCCCAACCACAGAAAAATACTATCCTAATTATCATCAATATTCAAACATTCAAATATACTATACTACTAAATAACTCTTCAATTGTCTCAAGATAAAAAAATTCAATTACCAAGTTAATGCTTGTAATTTTTAATATTAATTTAAGAAAGAAAAAAATGATATGAACATTTTTTCCCAACATAATTTTTTTAAGTAATCCCAGCTCTGCCATTTATTCAGTGTGTCACTTTAAGCAAGCTGCTTAAACTCTGATCTCAGTTTTCTCATCTGTAAGATCAGAATTACAATACCTACCTAACAATATTGTGAAGCTTAAATTAATTAGGTCCTGTACGTGAAGGCACCCTCTGTAGAGCCTATCACTCAGAAAGCATTCTTAACTAATGCTTAAGCTTATAAAAAGTAAGCTTCTTAAAGGATAGGGACTTGCCCCATTCATCTCACTGACTGCCACATGCTAGGCCCTCCATAAATGTTTGTTGAGCTAAACTCAATTTTGACAATTAAGTAAACTATTCACTCTAATATCTACTGACTCAGTTCTCATATTCCTCTTTATGTTATGGGATGGGATATTTTCAGGGAATAACATCACTATTATTATAAAATTATTATAAAATATGGCAACCAATAAAAGTGGAAAGCCAATGTTAGCTGCTCATCAACTAGGACTCAAGGATGTAAACCATATCTCCTAATCATCTGATATTCTGTACCTGCACAATGCATGTCTGCTCCCAAAGCACTCTGCAACTGCATCTCTTACACTGTTAGGGAATCTACTGCCAAAGAGATAAGCTGCAACCACATGACAAAGAAGATAAACAACTTTCCTTTGTTTCTACATCTTTTTCCCACCAGGAAAGAGGAGTAAACACATTACTGACTACCTGTGCGTCAATGACGTATATCAATGCTCCTGTTCCCCTGAAGATCATCTCATAGTCAAAGGTTGGGTCAAAAAAGTCCATTTGCCCAGGAAAATCCCATATCTGGAAATTCACAAAGGAGCTATTGGAAATGTCATCCTTATAAATCTTGTTGGTACTTTCCAAAAAGAGGGTCTCGTTGGGTGACATCTTATGAAACACCACCTGTTAAAAGAAAACAGGCAATTTTATGACTATTAAACTTCAGAATTTAAATTTAAAATTCCACCCTGGTTTAACATTTAAACATTTGATCCCACAAAAAAAAATTTTTTTTGAAAAGTAGAAACTGAATGGTGAATCCATTGGTATTCACTATCCCTTTATTTTTGACAAAAGAAGACACCAAATTAATTTCCATTAAATCTATTTTGGAGCTAAATCTTTTCTCCTATGTTCTATGCACCATACTCAGTACTAATAGTAGCAATCTCTATCACCTCCATTAGTTTTTCTGGGGGAAAGCTAACATTAATTCTACCAAAATCTGCTTTAAGATTATAAAAGTCTTACAGCTAAAGCTTAAGAAGTCTGGTTTATTCAAAAATTACTTGAATGCCTACCTCAGGCTCTGAGGAGTAATTTAAAAAGTGAAACAGACTGGACTCTGCCCTCACTGACTTTGCAGTCTAAGAAGGGCAGTAACTATACCAAGTAGAAAGTGAAAACGTCCAGGGGGAGGCCACGGGGACTGACAGGGAAAAGATAGCTCTCATGAGAAAAGAAACGTAAAGGCAATTGTTAAGAGTCACAATAATCGGCCCGGGTGCGGTGGCTCACGCCTTCAATCCCAGCACTTTAGGCGGCCGAGGCGGGCGGATCACTTGAGGTCAGGAGTTCGAGACCAGCCTGACCAATATGGTGAAACCCCATCCCCACTAAAAATACCAAAATTAGTCGGGCGTGGTGGTGCACGCCTGTAGTCCCAGCTACTTGGGAAGCTGAGGCAGGAGAATCACTTGAACCCAGGAGGTGGAGGCTGCAGTGAGTGAAGATCACACCACTGCCCTCCAGCCTGGGCGATGAGCAAGACTCCATAACAAACAAACAAAAAAAAAAGGATCACAATAATCACAACCTACACAGTTCTAACATAAAACTACTTTGCCTCTTACTGTCTAGAAGAGAAAAGTGAACAATTACTCTCAAGGTTTTCTCAGTAACAAATGTGAATAACTGAAATTAGTTTACTAAAAACCTACAGTCAACGTACCCAAGTTTTGCTGTAGAGGTGAAAATCAAGGTAAATAAAACACAGTACTCCAGCAAACCTGGAAGAACGCTGCTTTTTAAAAAGATCCCATCTACAAAATATCACAGATTCAGAAAGAAAAAAAAATCACAGATTTATTTTGGATAGGCCTTTGCAACAGAGTGGAGAGGTGAAAAGACCAGGTGCCTGCTGATACTAGTTTTATTACCAGCTCACTCCGCGTATAATGGGTTTGGCTGATGGAGGAAGTCAACCTTGCCTCTATTTAACCCTCACTAAACAGTGTAGGCCAGCGTGGTGACTCACACCTGTAATCCCAGCACTTTGGGAGGCCAAGGCGGATGATCACTTGAGGTCAGCAGTTCGAGATGACCCTGGCCAACATGGTGAAACCCCGTCTCTACTAAAAATACAATAATTAGCCGGGCGTGGTGGCGCGCGCCTGTAATCCCAGCTATTCGGGAGGCTGAGGCGGGAGAATTACTTGAACCAGGGAGGTGGAGGTTGCAGTGAGCCGAGATTGCACCACTGCATTCTCCAGCCTGGGCGACAGAGCGAGAGACTCCGTCTCAAAAACATAAACAAACAAACGTGTACAGCCCTCCATTTGTTCATGAAGGCCCAAAAGTGAAAACAAACAGACTAGGTCTGCAAAATATTCTCAAAGTCTCAGATTTTTAAAAACACACCCCTACAGGGGGAACAGCACCAGTAATTACATTCACCAGGCCACAACTACTGAAATGGGTGCAATCTCACTACCCAATTCCCAGTAATGCTACAGCGAAGTCTCCTTCACATCAGTAGCGAGAATTACAACGCCCAGTGTCTTAGTCACAACTCTTCCTGACGCTGCTCCCTGGGGCTCTGCTGGGAATCCCGAAACACTCAGGTCACCTGAAGTGAGAACAAATCAAAACGGGCCAGGGGAGGGAGTCCACGAAGTTCTCCAAGTGAGAACTGGAGAGTACGTCTCAGTTTCGTAAATGACACAGGAGCTGGGTCCCAGGGGGCGGAGGTCTTGGGCGGTGCCACCGGGCACCTGCCTCCCGGCAACCAGTTTCGCCTTCAGCGCTCCACTTGGCTTCAGCTGACTTGGGCGTGGACACAGAGGTCGGGGTCCCCGCGCGGGCCGCGCCTGTGCGCTCGCAAGAGTGGAAGAGAAAGTGCGGAGGGACGGAGCGCAGGCGGGCCCCGGCCGCCGCCCTCCCGGGCGTCCCCGCTACCGGCCACCTGAGAACCGGGGAGGGGGCGGGGGACTGGGCGCAGCCCTGCTCACCTTCTGGATGGAGGACTTGCCGCTGCGCCGGAGTCCCATGAGCAGAATCCTCGGCTTGGAGCTGTCAGCGCCCCCCGGACCACAGCCACCGCCTGCCCCTGCCCCAACCCCTCCGCCCGCCGCCGCCGCCTCCTCTTCCTCCTCCTCCACGCCGTAGCCGAAGTCCTTTGGAAACGAATCGGCCGCGCCGTAACTGCCGGCGAGGGGCGTCTCCTCCGCCCCGTACTGCAGGGACATGGTGCTGGAGCCGCCGCCGCCCGCGCCCTGACAGGCCAGGCCAGGCCGAGCCAGGCCGCCGCCTCCCCAGTCCGCCTCCGCCGCCGCCGCCACCACCGCCACCGCCCCCGGCAGCCGCCACAGTCCGGCCCGCCCCCCGGAGCCCGGCTCTCATAGGCCCCGAGCCGAAGCCCAGCCGCTTATTGGCCGCCCGAGCTGCTACTCGAGAGCAGCAGGGTAGGTGGTGCCCCGTCACGTGCCGGAATCACCTGACTCAGAGCCGCGGAGGGGGGAGGAGGAGTCACGAGGAGGGCGGCCCGGCCGCGCCTCTAGCCCCGGCTCGGGCCCTCAGCCCTCCGCCCCGGCCCGCATACAACGCTGTCTGCACCGCTCCCCTGCCTTCTTCCGGGCTCCCAGAGCACCGCTATGGAGATGCTCTCCCGGCATTTGAGGAAGAATTGATTGTCCTCATCCTGCAACTGTACTTGCCCAACCGATATTTATTGATGCCTGCAGTGTCCTGGGTGCCTACCAAGGGGCACAGAACTGGATCCGACGCAGACCCTGCCTGCCTTCAGGTTGCTTGAAGATGAACAGAGAGATCGGACCTCTGCGTAAGTAACCTCGCTACGAAATATTATGTGGGAAGGTCACGGATAAATAATGCTCGGGAGTTGAATGAGAAAGCGTCTGAGCAGATCTAGGTGGATGGATAGATTGGGATGTGCAAAGGTATGGGGGAGCCAGCCACACTGAGGGCAAACCTCAACCAAGGCAGAGTCATGGGTCACCGTGATAGTTTGTTCTAGCAGGTAGCTGGACCCTGATGGGAAAGCAGATGCAGCCAAGCTAGAACATCTTATCTTCTTTCTTCAGTAAGTCGCCGATAGTGGATACTGCTGCCACTTCAAACCCAACGGGACTCAATTTGCCCTCCTTCCCGCCTTGTCAAAGTCTACTCTAGGAATTCCATCCCCCATAGAACACTGCCTCTTCTATGACCTCGTTCAGATTAGAGACCAAAGTATTGAATAATGAAAGCAAACAAAAGCAAATGCTTGTCACCAAATATGTCCGAGAAATCTAGAGGAATTTTTATTTTTGATAATCAGGCTCTAGAACTGGAAGTTTGAGAAGAGGATCCTCTTAAAGCACAGCCCTATACACTTTTTAAAGTACAGGAGTGGGGGTGCTCCCAGCCCTCCAAGGAGACTGACTTCTTGATTATGAAGGAAAAATTCGCACATGCGGGCAGGTCTGGGACTTTGGTTTTGTCTGAACCCAGAAGTTAGAGGTAGGATACACCCTTAGAGGTCATCTAGCCCAACCTCTCACCTAAAACGAACCAACTCTATAGTGTCTAATAGACATGCAGAATGCACTTAAATAGTTCGAAGGTAAAAGAGCTCACCATCTCGAAAGGCAGCCAACTCCACTGTGGTAAACCTTTGTTTAAAAATTGTTAAAGCCGGCCGCGCGGTGGCTCACGCTTGTAATCCCAGCACTTTGGGAGGCAGAGGCGGGCGGATCATGAGGTCAGGAGATCGAGACCATCCTGGCTAACATGGTGAAACCCCATCTCTACTTAAAAAAATACAAAAAATTAGCCGGGCGTGGTGGCGGGCGCCTGTAGTCCCAGCTACTCGGGAGGCTGAGGCAGGAGAATGGCTTGAACCCAGGAGGCGGAGCTTGCAGTGAGCCGAGATCGCGCCACCGCACTCCAGCCTTGGCGACAGAGCGAGACTCCGTCTCAAAAAAAAAAAAAAGTCTTAAAGCCAAACCACACTCCCTGAAGCCTATAATAGAATAAAATAGGAATAGTCTTCACCTTTTTCATGACAGCCCTTCAAATACCAGATTGCAGTATTCATTACCCACTAAGTCTTCTCTGTTCCTTGCTGAACATCCTCAGTTTCAACCATTCCTATCGTGCTGTTCAATACAACTGATATACATGATAGACATGTTCTTTATCTGCACTGTCAAACATGTAGCCGCTAGTCCTATGAGGAATAAGCACTTGAATTGTTGCTAGTGTAACTGAGGAATTTTTTTTTTTTTTTTTTTTTTTTTTTTTGAGATGGAGTCTCGCTCTGTCGCCAGGCTGGAGTGCAGTGGCGCGATCTCAGCTCACTGCAACCTCTACCTCCCGGGTTCAAGCGATTCTCCTGCCTCAGCCTCCTGAGTAGCTGGGACTACAGGTGCCCACCACCACACCCGGCTAATTTTTTTATTTTTAGTACAGACGGGGTTCCACCATGTTGGCCAGGATGGTTTCTATCTCTTGACCTCAAGATCCACCCTCCATGGCCTCCCAAAATGCTGAGATTACAGGTGTGAGCCACGGCACCCCACCAGGAACTTAAATTTTTAACTGCCACTTGCAGCTAGTGTGTACCAAATCGGAGAGCCCAGCCTTATATATTCAAATCCTCTATTGGTCACTCTTTATATGCATTCCAGCTTGTCAATATCCATCAAACATCTGACTCCTACAAAGCAATACTAAACAGTACAACTTTCAGAATGACCATTTAACACCTAGACAGTATTTCTATTCCTGCTTTCCAGAATGTAATTTTTTTTAAGCATCCATAGGGTGGGTCACATTGATAATCACTGTAACTAATACTTTGTCAGCAATCCTAGTGCCTAAATGTGTATAACTGCATTTTTTAACCTAAATGTAAGACTTGATACTTCAACTTTTTGGTTTAGGCCCAGCAGTTTGGGTATTCCACGTGGTTAATCATTTTAAAGCTTGTTTCAATATAGTCTTCCAACCAGACTTTCCAATTTGTGTCACTTACAGATTTGGCACTACCACCATCTGGTCTGTATGTAATCCTTTACAGTTTGCAAGGCACTTTTACATCCATTATATTTAATTTGATTCTTACAACCAACTTGTGAGATAGGCAAGATGTGAAGTCGATATTTTATAGACAAAGCAGCTGAAGCATAATAGGAGCTTAACTGGTGGGATCCATTTATCCATTTTCTCTTCCATGGAGCATCTTGTTGTATTCATCCAAATCCTTGACAGAAATGTTGAAGAGGACCTCTAGAGGCTAAGCTTATCCTGAATTCTTAAATAGCACTGACTGTTACAGTTTAAGCAAGTCAGTTTCACCTAAAAGTGTGATTATCCAACCCACATGTTGCCTTTCTGTTCAAAAAGGATGGTACCAAAGACAGTCACAGTCACCTGGCTTACTGACATAAATATTAATACTAATCAAATGAGTAAAAAGCCCATGAGGATTGGCTGCCACAAAAAATTTTCAACCTGTATCTACCAAGAAACTATCATACCAACTAAGGAAGCCAAGTCTCTCTCTCTTTCAAAACCCTCACGGGGCCATGCTTTATTATAATGGTCTGCCACAGGTCCTAACCCACACTGTATTTGATTATATACAGTCTCATAATTAAGTCATTCCTCTTTATCACACCCAGCACTTAGTCCACTGCTGCCCATGTAGGAGGCACTCAAATTGGTAAAAGAGAAATCTATGCAAGGGAATGATCTTCTGGACCCCCTCCAAAAACAAACTTGTGACTAGAAGAGGCACCAGCCATAGCCACATTCCTACTAACAGGGCTGATTTAAATGCCCTTTTTATTGGCTTGGTCATAGTCTCCAACAGGTGCCAAGGCTTTTGCTAGTTAAACCAGTTTTCATTGGATCATTTTGTTTTCTATGTGTGTTTTGACCAAAAACAAAGATAGGTTCTCTAACAACAGGGAGAGAATATATGAAATAGGAATATGTCTATAAAACGACAGTCTACCAGTAAGGAAAATAAGTGATCCATAAAACAAAACATCTGACTGTAGGTCTACCCAAAGAAAGGAAAAAGGACTAACAAACAAGAATATAGTGCTTTACCATTTACAAATCTTTCACATACATTCTCATTTGACCCTCACAACAACCCTGTGAGGTAGGCATCACGGACATTCTACTCATTAAACAGATGAAGACAGTAAATCTCAGAGTAGTTCACTGATAATGCCCAAGGCTCTACAGTTAGTGAGTGATTTGTATTAATATCAGTCTTTGGCCTAAAAATTCAGCACCCCTCTTCCCCTTATACTTGTCCCACCTACTTCACAGGGATAATGAAGATAAAATGAATTCAAGGCTAGAAAAATACTTTGAGGGAGAAAAGCACTATATAATTATACCTACAAACTATGATTTTCCCCAATATATGGCTCATTCCTCTTCTCATCTCAGCTTGTGTGTGAACCCAGAGTTGTATATTGCCTCTGTCCTGTGCTCAGTAAGCAAATAAGGCAGGCAGGGGGTACAGTGTGATCCTGTTTAAAGTTACATAAATTACAATCAGGGTAACTGCTATTATTAGGCAAATTGAAAAACAGCACAGAAAGGCCAGTGTGCAACTAGGACCCACTAAAGCTCAGAGGAAAGCAATGCAAGATTATCAGACAGGCATGATTGCATAGAAGGAAAATGTGGTGTCAGAGTTCAAACTGGCACACACACACACAGTTATCTAAGGCAAAGTGGTGGCAAAGAAGTTATTTGTTCCATGTCACACAAACAAGAGCAGAAGATTCATGGGAACCCGTACAAAAGCATCTTGTGTCACACAGATCTCTCCAGCTGCCTATAGGGAATATACAGAACAGTGTCACCTTCAAAGAATGACTGTACCTGTGTTCATATCCTGAACTGCACCAAGGAATAGCTCCATGCTAAACTGTCTTGGCTAAAATACAACCAGTGCCATCATTCCTAATCAGACTAATAAACAGAATGTCTTTTAAGGTAATGAGTTAGATGGCTGTGTTTAGGTTTTGTTCAGGATTTACTTTGGATTCTCCTGCTTTAAGACCCAAAGAAAGTTATATTGAGTTTTTATTGATGATTCTATGTGTTTTTAACAGAGTGTGATAGGTGAATTAAACATATTAAAAGAGTTCTATAGCATCTGTTCAGAAAAGATTATATACTATACAAACTATTCAAGTCATACAAAACCATTTTTCATTGTCTTTCAAACTGAGAAGAATCCTATTCAGCACGCTTCTCCTCCTGAGGTGGTTCATACTGAGCAAGCTATGGGGCAAAGACAGAGGAATTTAGGTGAATTTTATTCTAAATTGAGTAAAAAATAGTAAAACAAGGTAACTGTTATATTCAACTTAGTTACTGTCAGTAAATTGTATTAATATCAGTTTCTATAACTATCCATTTTAAATCATTCAGTGATTTAAGATTTAATACAATCAAATCTAATGAAAGCCCTTTTTATATAAACCTTTAAAATTGCTTTGAAACTAAAATTTCATTCCAGTTCATGACTGCACTGTTCAAATACTTGATATGCAATAAACTATATCTTCCCAAAGATTCATTTGCTTATAAGGAACTTTCTTCCTCTCCAGCAAAAGTTTACTGAAAATACCCACTGAAAAGTAGATAAAGAGTTAAGTGACATGTCTTAACTTAACCAGCCAATAAACAACTACTAATGTCTTTGAGTTAAAAGGTTCCAAAGAGTTAACTAGCACTACACATTGTGGAATCTTGGATAATTTAAAATAACTGCATTTTCTTTTATGCTAAGTGTGGTTCCTTGCAAGAACACTAGGCTAACATTAGGGTTCTGCCAACTACCTGTTGGAGTTGAGAAGCTTATTAGACTTCACTGTGCTTTCGTTTCCTCACCTATAAAGTGGCTTGTGTACTTGTTTCACTTATCTCACAAAGTTGTTGAGAAGATAAAATATATTATGAGAAATACTTAGAGTAATGTAAAATACATTATGTGATTAAGAATGTGGTAAGACCTGAAAGACTTAAGAGTTGACTAATTTGAAGTTCATGAAAATTCTCACAGGACTTTGAAAAAAGAAAAAACTGGCTGGGTGAGGTGGCTCATGCCTATAATCCCAACACTTCGGGAGGCCAGGCCAGGAGGAACGTTTGAGTCATGAGTTTGAGACCAGCCAGGGCAACATAATGGGACCCCATTTCTACAAAAAGTTTAAAAATTAGCCGAGCATGGTGGCAAATGCCTGCAGTCCCAGCTACTCAGGAGGCAGAGGTGGGGGGATTACTTGAGCCTGGGAAGTCAAGGCTGCAGTGAGACATGACTGCACCACTGCACACAAGCCTGGGTAACAGAGAACCTGTCTCAAAAAAAGAAAGAAAAAACTTTAGCACTAGATAAAATTAAGTCCTAACAAATTTACAGAGGGCCGCTACATATGGCCTTGCAAACTATGAACCATACAAATTCTAAGAAGTGCCATTTACAAAGCAGTCGCCCCATATTGGCCTACTTAAAATCAACTGCTTAAGAACCTCAGAACTGACCATTTACTTATAAAGAACATTAACCAATATTCTCATCCTTTTAGTAATACAGGTTCCTAAGAACCTCTTTTTTTTTTTTTTTTTTTTTGAGACAGAGTTTCATTCTTGTTGCCCAGGCTGGAGTGCAGTGGCACAGTCTCGGCTCACTGCAACTTCCACCTCCCGGGTTCAAGCAATTCTCCTGCCTCAGCCTCCCAAGTAGCTGAGATTACAGGCATGCACCACCAAGCCCGGCTAATTTTGTATTTTCAGTAGAGACGGGGTTTCTCCATGCTGGCCAGGCTGATCTGGAACACCTGACCGCAGGTGATCTGCCCACCTCAGCCTCCCAAAGTGCTGGGATTATAGGCGTGAGCCACCGCACCCAGCCAGAACCTCTTCTTGACCACACTTTGCTTCTTTGCTTGTCCTATTTCCAGTATGTCTTGCGGTTTTCTTTTTTTTTTTTTAACCCCCCTAGATGAAGTCTTGTTCTGTCACCCAGGCTGGAGCACAGTGGCACGATCTTGGCTCACTGGAACTTCCATCTGCCGGGTTCAAGCGATTCTCCTGCCTCAGCCTCCCGAGTAGCTGGGATTATGGGCACATGCCACCATGCCCGGCTAATTTTTGTATTCTTAGTAGAGACAGGGTTTCACCATGTTGACCAGGCTGGTCTCGAACTCTTGACCTCGTGATCTACCCACCTCGGCCTCCCAAAGTGCTGGGATTACAGGCGTAAGCCACCGTGCCAGGCCCGTCTTGTGGTTTTCTTGACAGGGCATAACTTTGGCCTTACATTGTAATTAATTCAAATTGATATTCACCCACCTCCCTCCCCTCCTGTCCATTTCAGTGAGGTTTTCATCATACAATTATTACAGGTAAAATTATTTGAATATGAATTCTTTTTAAAAATTTACCTTTGCTTTCAGTTTTTTATTTTCTTCTACAATAGCTTCATACTTCTCTTTCATTTCGGCCAGTTCTAGGCGAAGCAGCTCTATTTCTGGATTTTCTGGAGTAGCAGCTCCTAAGTGATGCTTTAAAAAACTATTATCAATGTTAAGAACTTACTTCTTAGACATGAATGAAACTAATGAAATAGCACAGAGTAGTATCAATATCCCTGACCAGAGTCACCCACTTTACCACCAATATCTACCCAGAGATCACCATCCAAAAACTCAAGTGAAACTAACTTTCTTGGCCAGGTGCGGTTGCTCACGCCTGTAATCCCAGCACTTTGGGAGGCTGAGGTGGGCACATCACGAGGTCAGGAGTTTGAGACCAACGTGATGAACATAGTGAAACCCCGTCTCTACTAAAAATAAAAAAAATTAGCTGGGTGTGATGGTGGGCACCTGTAATCCCAGCTACTTGGGAGACGTGAGGCAGGAGAATCGCTTGAAGCCAGGAGGCGGAGGTTGCAGTAAGCCAAGATTGCGCCACTGCATTCCCCACCAGGTGACAGTACAAGACTCCGTCTCAAAAAAAAAAAAAAAAAAGTAACTTTCTCAATATTCAGAAGTATTTTAAAGGTTATTATCTATCTAAAAAAATAAGAGTTTCAAAATAAAGCCTTTTTCTGACTTGAAAGGATACTCCAAAGCACTGTTAGGTTTCTCTGGTTCTTCATATAAGGCTACCAACACTGCAAATCAAAAAGCAGAAAAAGCAACAATTGACGTATTAAATTTGAATGGCTGAAATTATGTTCCATTACCCAGTAAATATTAGGTGCCAACTATACGCTGAGCACATTGCAAAGACTATACAATGCTGAACAAGACAGACAAGGTCCCTGTTCTCAACAAATTTACAGTCAAGCATAAAAGATATGCAAGGAACTAGACAGAGGGTATCAAGCAGGAATACTGGATAATGGGTTGCAGTAGCACACTGGAAGAACACCTAAGCAAACCTAGGACATCAGGGAAGGCTTCCTAAAGGAAGGCAAAGACCTGATACCTAGGGGTTGAGTGTTTCAGATAAAATGGGAAGGCCCAGGAGCAAGAAAACAATGTATTGAGGAACTGAAAATTCAAGTATGGCTGGAGATGTAATTTGGCAGGAAAGGAAGCTGGAAAGGTGGTCATGGCCAGATTAGGGAGAGTCATGCAAATTTGGTTGGCACATAATTAAACAGTTTAAAGGAAGGGAGTGACAGGATCCACTCTTAACTGCTATGTGGACCAGCTGGAGTGGGACAAGGATAAAGACAGGAAGAACAGTTAAAAGGCTGATGTGGTAATCCAGTTTAAAAAGACAGCAACCTGCAGTAGAGTGATGGGAGTGAGAGAACAGTGAGAAGAAAGAAATTCGAGAATTTAGGAAAGAATCAACAGGACTATGGTAATTACCGGAAGAAGCTCTGAATTCAAAAATGGTCTTAAAAATTAAGTTTGTTTTGCTAAATAACCACCAACCAAAAACTTTACCAGTAGTCAACATGCTCAAATCAACATTAAAATAAGATATACTTGAGTGGTTTCATATCTAATCACTCATATGAGCACTGCCTTGCTCTTCATCTATGGAACAAATTCCTCCTAGAATTTACTACTTAGATAAAAAACTCTAAATCAGTGGTTGGCCTTTTTGTGCATGGAACCCTTTGAAAAATCTAATAAAAGCAAAAAAAGTAAACACACACAAAAAAAATGTGGCTGGGCGCAGTGGCTCACACCTGTAATCCCAGCACTTTGGGAGGCCAAGGCGGGCAGATCACGAAGTCAGGAGATCAAGACCATCCTGGCTAACACAGTGAAACCCCGTCTCTACTAAAAAATACAAAAAATGAGCCAGGCGTGGTGGCGGGCGGCTGTAGTCCCAGCTACTCAGGAGGCTGAGGCAGGAGAATGGCGTCAACCCAGGAGGCGGAGCTTGCAGTGAGCCGAGATCGTGCCACTGCACTCCAGCCTGGGCGATGGAGCAAGACTCTGTCTCAAAAACAAAAAAACAAAACAAACAAACAAAAAAACAGTGATAGATATCTAGACCCCAAGTTAAGTCCTGTTGTAAACCAACTTACATACTTCCCTTTTGTTCTTTTAGAGTTTTAATAACTTACCAAAATAATATACAGTATGAAAAAATCACTATTTTTTGAGAAATTCATTTGGTTTTTTTTTTTTGTTTTTTTTTTTGAGATAGAGTTTTGCTCTTGTTGCCCAGGCTGGAGTGCAATGGCATAATCTTGGCTCACCACAACCCCCGCCTCCCAGGTTCAAGCGATTCTCCTGCCTCAGCCTCTCTAGTAGCTGGGATAACAGGCATGTGCCACCATGCCCGGCTAATTTTGTATTTTTAGTAGAGACGGGGTTTCTCTGTGTTGGTCAGGCTAGTCTCGAACTCCCAGCCTCAGGTGATCCACCCACCTCAGCCTCCCAAAGTTCTGGGATTACAGGTGTGAGCCACCACACCTGGCCAAATCCTCATTTTATAAGACATGAATATTAATACTCTACTCTCTCCTCCTCTTATTCCCCCACCCCATTTCTTTCAGCTTCTCATTTGTCACTGGTACTTGAAAGGTTGATAGTTGCAGAAGATACTGTAAATACAAAGTTTCCTGTGCTGTTCTATAGATGAAATGCACTTCCTTGTAATCAGACAAGAACTCTATACCCAATCATGCTCCCCTTTTTGCCTTCGCAGCCAGGATTTTTAGAGGTTGATATAGCGCTCAAAATAGCTAAAATGCTTCAGCTTCCAAATGATTTATCATCTTTAGCCATCCTTTCATAGTGTTTTAATGTTATAAACTATTTCAAATCATCTTGGAAATAAGCTGTAAAAATTTAGGCCAAAGTGGCTCATTCCTGAAATTCCAGCACTTTGAGAGGCCAAGACAGGAGGATTGCTTGAGCCCAGGAGTTTGAGATCAACCTGGGCAACACCCCAACTCTACAAAAAAAAAAAAAAATTGGCCAGGCATGATGGCTCACGCCTATAATCCCAGCACTTTGGTAGGCCGAGGCAGGCAGATCATGAGGTCAAGAGATTGAGACCATCCTGGCTAACATGGTGAAACCCCGTCTCTACTAAAAATACAAAAAAAATTAGCCGGGCATGGTGGCAGGCACCTGTAGTCCCAGCTACTTGGGAGGCTGAGGCAGGAGAATGGTGTGAACCCGGGAGGCGGAGCTTGCAGTGAGCAGAGATCGCACCACTGCACTCCAGCCTGGGTGACAGAGCAAGACTCCGTCTCAAAAAAAAAAAAAAAAAAAAATTAAAAATCAGCCGGACATGGTGGTGCGTGCCTGTAGTCTCAGCTACTTGGGTGCCTGAGGTGGGAGAATTGCTTGAACCTGGGAGATTAAGACTGCACTGAGACATGACTGCACCACTGCACTCCAGTCTGGGCGACAGAGACCTTGTCTCGAAAAAATATATATATGTAAATTAAATTTGTGAGGCTGGGCACAGTGGGTCACGCCTGTAACGTCAACACTTGGGGAAGCTAAGGCAGAAGGATCACTTGAGGCCAGGCATTCCTGGGTGACAGAGTGAGACTCTGTCTCAAAAAAAATAAAAAGTAAAAACAAATAGAGGCCGGGCGCGGTGGCTCACGCCTGTAATCCCAGCACTTTGGGAGGCCGAGGCGGGTGGATCATGAGGTCAGGAGATCGAGACCATCCTGGCTAACAAGGTGAAACCCCGTCTCTACTAAAAATACAAAAAATTAGCCGGGCGCGGTGGCGGGCGCCTGTAGTCCCAGCTACTCGGGAGGCTGAGGCAGGAGAATGGCGTGAACCCGGGAAGCGGAGCTTGCAGTGAGCCGAGATTGCGCCACTGCAGTCCGCAGTCCGGCCTGGGCGACAGAGCGAGACTCCGTCTCAAAAAAAAAAAAAAAAAAAAAAAAAAAAACAAATAGAATTGTGTAAAGCACCTATGTTTGGAGCTGAAAATCAAATTTTTAATAAATCACATCAATACTGTGTTGGCTGATGTTATTTAGGAGCCTGGAAATCTAAGGAGATTGAGAGGTTAAATTCTAGTGGAGGGCGGTGGCTCACACCTGTAATCCCAGCACTCTGCGGGGCTGAGGTGAGCGGATCACCTGAGGTAAGGAGTTCAAGACCAGCCTGGCCCATGTGGTGAAACCGCCTCTCTACTAAAAATACAAAAAATTAGCTAAGCATGGTGGCACATGCCTGTAATCCCAGCTACTTGGAAGGCTGAGGCAACACAATCGCTTGAACCCGGAGGTGGAGGTTGCAGTGAGCCGAGATCATGCCGCTGCACTCCAGCCTGGGCAACATCTTCTGTGTAGTCAGTTACCGCCTACAACTGTCATTTTTCTGCCTTTTACCATTCAGTCTTTCACTTGCTCCATCCAACCACTCTGGCCTCCTTAGACTTCCTGAAACTCTGTTTCTTTCAGGTTTCTGGTCAAAAATTACTTCTTAAGAAAGGCCTTCCCCCCATCACCCTATATAAAATGACACACACATCCCACCTGTCACTTTTTTTTTTTTTTTTTTTTGGAGACAGAGTGTCACTGTTGCCCAGTGGCACAATCACAACTCACTGCAGCCTTGACCTCCTGGGCTCAGGTGATTCTCTCACCTCAGCCTCCACAGTAGCTAGATTACAGGCACACACCATGCCCAGCAATTTTTTTTTTTTTTTAAGAGATGGGAGTTTTGCCATGTTGCCCAGGCTGGTCTTGAGCTCCTGGCCTCTAGCAGTCCACCCACCTCAGCCTCCCAAAGTGCTGAGATTACAGGCATGAGCCACGTGCCTGGCCTCACCTGTTACTCTTTATCCCTAACTTTGCTGTATTTTTATCTGTACCACTTACCACTAGCTGACACTACATATTTATTTATGTATTTCTCTCCCTCAACTAGGATATAAGCTTATGAGAGCCGAGACTTTTATCCTCCCCTGCTTATCTCCAGTGTGCAGAACAGACACCTGAGTAAAATTATTAAATGAAAGAAATGAACGTAAGGAGTTTTTAGACGGAATGACATTCAAAGCATCTGTGACACTTTCAGAGACAACATAGCACAGTACTTTCACAGAGTAGTCCCTTAAGACTTGCTGAAGTTTATTTGCAAAGAGGTAAACTATTATCTGAACCCCAAATAGGTAGCAATTCAAAATTACTAGCCTTCTTTCTTCTAAGACCCAGGAGTTATGCTCCTAGAATTTTCCTCTAAACTTTGCTTCTGTCCAAAGGGCAGTTACCAATTTATTTCCCACTTCCCAAACTTCCTAGTTTCATATGACCCAAGTCCTCATCCCTGCGAACAATTCCATTCTACACCCTTGAATATCCCAGTGAGTTGAGTGACACATAGCAGGCATTCAAATTAGTGCTAAGCCAATAAAGTAAACTGTACCCTACCCCTTGAAATCCTCCTGTTTCCAACACTTTACTCATCTACTTAACTTAGATCTTGAAGCCACGAATGAAGAGATACAGCGTTAACAGTAAGCTTTCATTTTAAAAAGTGAAAACAATGTAACCACCTTGATATGCCCTCGAGCTCTTTAAGCTGTAATTCTACTTTATGAAATATACACAAAATAAGAATTGACACAGACAGACTAAGGAATGGGGGCTGAAAAGCCACAGCCAAATTCGCTATGAATCTCCTACTTTGGGGATTAGGCTCACTCAGCTACTTCATAGCCCACTTGGAAATTCGGTCATTTTTCCAGTTGCTCTTTGTTGGAGGGAAACTTTCTTAACAAGATTCTGAGGACTCCATAAAAACCGTAAGGTGGGAGGAATTGGGATCTGAAGGTCCTTGGCAAACATGTCCACTGCGGCTGCTGGAGGCAAAGCAACGGAAGTTGAAGAGACTTTGCAACAGCTGCAAGAGTTTCACTCCCGGTGCGGAGAAGGGTAGCGGAGCTAGGCTACCCCACCCGGGCGGCGTCCAGCAGCCAGGTCCCTGCTGAACCCCGAGGCCCACCTCGCTGGACCCCGGACGGGCCCCATCTGTTTCCCCTCCTTCCCCACGCTACGGCCCGCTGGGGAACGGGGCAGCGCCGGGGAGCACGACGAGGGCACGAGGTACCCTCTCCTAGCCCAGGCTCACCCTTGGTCAGCGTGTCCAGCACCCCCGACTTCTCCAAGTACCTCCGGAACTGCTCACGCTTCGAGTCGGCGGCCTGAAGAGACACCGGGGGTCAGTGGCCAGAGCCCGGGAGCCGAGCAGGAAGAAGGCGCTGGGAGTCCGGCAACCCCGCCTCCGCCTCACTACCTCGGGGCCCTCCCGCCCAAACCTGCGCGCGCGACCCCACTCCCACCCAGAGCCGACCAGCGGCTTGCTACCGCCCGCATGCCCCCAGCCACGCCGCGCCCCCCTCACTTTGTAATGGGCCATAGTGACAGCGGCAGCGGCGTAGCTGGCGCCGGAGACCGCGACTGGCGGGTTGGGAGCAGCACTGCTCATGCGCGGAAGGGGGCGCGCGCCTGCGCACTTGCAAACCACCGGCCGGGATCGCCGAGGTGTGGCCTGTTTTCATGGCGACCAGGACGCTCTGCATCCCCAGTAGCAGGCTGAGCCGAGGGAGGCTGCGTATGCCCGCCCCTCTGGCTGTCGGAGCCGCACCTCTTCCTCTTCCGGCCCCCGTAGCAATTAGGTTTCTTTGCAGGAGGTGAGATTTTGGTACCTCTGTCCTGGCGTCCGGAGGCAGGGCCCGGGAGCATTGAGACTATTGCGAGAGAAAGGACCGCCGCACGGTGGTAGCGAGCGCATCTTTTTCATCTGGGACCTCGGAAACTGTGGTGACCCATAGGTGCTGGGCTTCTTGGCTCTCGTCCTGAGAAAGTGCTCACAGTGCTTTGCAGTAGCCGAGGAGGGTGTTTAGAATCATATATTTTGGCTTCAGCTTTTATCTTTGGAGTCTCCTTGAGTCGTGGCTGACTTGATGTGGGCCTCTGGAGGATGAGCAGTAACGAGCTTGCAGTAGCTTTTGAGCCAGGCACTGTAGAAAACACGGGTATTTTAAATTTTAATCCTTACAACACCCCTGTAGGGTGGGTATTGTTAATTAAGTGGAGTGGTTAGATGTCCAGTGAGTAGAGTCGAGTCCAATCCGGGCAATGAATCACGATGCTATGAACTGGTGAAGGAAAGCCACGGATCTTCTTAAGATTTTATTTACTAGGTAGCAACATGTGATTATACTCAAGACACATCAGGATGCCAGTCTAGAAGGAAACTTACGTGATTGTGTTCCAGGGGCAAACAGAATTAACCCAGTGTCCAAGGTGGAATTGTATAGATCAAGAACCATTTCCTAAGGCTGTGGTCTCTTCAAAGAGAAAACCTGATCAAACCATTTAGCCTCAATTCTGAACATGTGATTTTCCCAAAATCAGTTACATTCGAAAGGATATCATTTAAAAAAAAAAAAATCCTGATTTGACAACTCTATGTCTTTGAATTTAGAAGTGTTGCTTCACAATCTCGAATTAGAGCTGTTTTTCTCTTGCTTAAATGAGTTTGCAGTTGTCTGTCTTAACAGCTGGTCTTTAGAGCTGCCCCTATCTATTTTTTCTGTGCCCCACGACCACTAGGCTACTTCTCTGATAATATATATAATGTCTAAAAGCCAACCGCTGTTTAGATCTGAAGATCTGTGGGAACCCGCCTACCAATGAGATTGTTCGTTAGGGACACTACGTGATTTGGAGGACAAACAGGATTATTACAGGTTCTGACCAACCCTGGCTCAAAGGACAGCCCTCCCAAAGAATCAGCAGTGTTTGGAATGTCAAGTGATTGAGAATCTCCTTGTGAAGGAGGAAGGGTTCTGACTGTGCCCTTTCTGAACTGGCCCTTGAGGTTACCTTTAGGAGGTGACCCCCGGTTTTCATGTTCTGTAGAGGAACCCCATGTAGCTCTAAGCCACCGCGGTTTCCAATCGCAGTTAGCTGGCAAGGAGAAAACTGTTTGGGGTGACTGCCTCATGTTGTTCTCTCCATCTATAGCAACACCTGGAATAGAACGGTGACCTCTAGAGTAGTAGTTCCTTTTGCTGTCTTTGCCTTCAGTTTCTCTTTTTTCCATTAACTGGTTACCATTAAGTTCTTTTCCAAATATTTTATGAGTGTCTTTGTTATTGTTTGAACTGATGTGTTGAAAATGACTACAACTAGTACTAAGTGTGGAAATCTCATTAGAAAGTACAGTTTCCTGTTCATCCAAAATGCATTTCTCATCATTTACACTATGATTGTCAGGATTTGGCTGGAATACAGAAGATGAATTTAAACTAGGGTACACTGCAGTGTGTGTTTGCTTTTCCACTAACAGATTATAATCAGGGGCAGAAGGGAGTCGCTTCAGTGAATTTGCAGATGTGCTCTGGTATTTGGCTACATTTTGTTTTGCCTTGTTTGCATGGAATTCATTATGTTCCTTCTTCAACTTGTATTTTCCCCAAAGCCCTCTTTTAATCTTTTTAAAACCTAGGTGGAAAATTTCAAGAATGTTTAAGAAAAGTGAAATAGTGGCTATAGATTGCATAAATAATAGGAATATTGTCTTTTCTGTTGGTCTTGAGACAAAACAGTCGATTATATTTGGACACGGGTGGCCATGGCACTTAAATAGCGGCTCTAAGTGAAATCCATATAAAAGGTACTGTCCAATCATGAATCCAACTTCAACCACAGAGCGAGTGAAAATGTGTATCACATAAGTGCAAAGCAAGGTTCCTCTGAGTGGAGCTTTATTTAGTTTCCTTTTCTCCAGCTGACAAAGCTCTTGCTCCAATCTCCTCCGATCCCTAGGCATTTCAAACTCTACCTCCTCCAGTTCTACTCTTAACTGAGCTTTCATCCTTTGCCTCTCTTCCTCAAGAACTCTCAGTCGGTACAATGCATGGCCCATGTAGACCAGGGATGGTGAAGACACAAATATCACCTGCAGAACCCAGTATCTAATGAGGGAGATAGGAAAGGCCTGGTCGTAGCATACATTTCTGCAGCCTGGTTGTTCTGTATTGCAGATGAAGCCAGACTGCTCATCATTCCAGACATCTTCAGCTGCTACACCCAGAACAAGCATTCGAAATATGAACAGGATGGTGAGCCAGATCTTTCCAATCATGGTGGAGTGGATGTGAACTTCCTCCAGAGTATCTCCAAGGAGATTCCAGTCCCCCATGTTTATTTAGTCAGCCATCTTAGCTCTGATCCACATCAAATAAGAGGCAGATAAATTCTTCCATTCTGAAGGGAGCACTATTTCTTAAAGCAAACCTATGGTGAAAATATAACAATATGTCACTTCTATATGCTGGTTGCTTTACTTTTTCCCTAGATAGCTGTGGGGTTTTTTCTTTGTTTGTTTGTTTGTTGAGACAGAGTCTCCCTCTGTTGCCCAGGCTGGAGTACAGTGTTGCAACCACAACTCCCTGCAGCCTCAACCTCCCAGACTCAAGCGATCATCTCCCCTCTCAGCCTCCTGAGTAGCTGGGACTGCAGGTGTGTGCAACTACACCCAGATAATTTTTTTTATTTTTTTGTAGAGACAGGGTCTCACTCTATTGCTGCAGCTAGTCTTAAACTCCTAGACTCAAGTGATCCTCTTGCCTTCACCTCCCAAAGTGTGGGAATTACAGGTGTGGGTCACCACACCTGGCCAAAGTGTGAATCTGTTACCAATAATATACTTAAATGTCAGGAATTTAAAATCACTTATATTTAGACATCACAATACAATGAAAAAAACATGATACCTGGAGGAGGAGTGTATATATTCTCTATTAAGAATATAGGCTGGGCGGGGTGGCTCACACCTGTAATCCCAACACTTTGGGAGGCCAAGGTGGGTGGATCATTTGAGGTCAGGAGTTCCAGACCAGCCTGGCCAACATGGTAAAACCCCGCCTCTACTAAAAATACAAAAATTAGCCAGGCGTGGTGGCAGGCGCTTGTAGTCCCAGCTACTCGGGAGGCTGAGGCAAGAGAATCGCTTGAACCTGGAAGGCAGAGGTTGCAGTGAGCTGAGATCAAACCCTTGACCTCAGATGATCTGGCCACCTCGGCCTCCCAAAGTGCTGGGATTACAGGCATGAGCCAATGCGCATGGCCTAAAATTATATTCTTTTTTTTTTTTTTTTTGAGACGGAGTCTCACTCTGTAGCCCAGGCTGGAGTGCAATGGCATGATCTCAGCTCACCGCAACCTCCACCTCCTGGGTTCAAGCGATTCTCCTGCCTCAGCCTCCTGAGTAGCTGTGATTACAGGCATGCACCACCATGCCCGGATAATTTTGTATTTTTAGTAGAGATGATGTTTCTCCATGTTGGCCAGGCTGGTCTCGAACTCCTGACCTCAGGTGATCTGCCCACCTCGGCCTCCCAAAGTGCTGGGATTACAGGCGTGAGCCACCATGCCCAGCCTATTGTTGTTTTTCAACAGAACTTTTGGAAAGGTTTCTAAAACTAGTAACCTGATCTTAACCTTATTTATTAAGATTATTTGATATAAAAGTTATAACAAAGTCAATTTCTTTTTCCCCAACATGCCATTACTGGCTTGAAAAGTCAGTGATTTTTTTTTCTTTCTTTCTTTCTTTTGGGACAGAGTCTTGCTCTGTCGCCAGGCTGGAGTGCAGTGGCGCAATCTCGGCGCATTGCAACCTCCGCCTCCTGGGTTCAAGCGATTCCCCTGCCTCATCCTCCTGAGTAGCTGGGATTACAGGCGCCTGCCAACACCCCCCGGGATAATTTTTTGTATTTTAGTAGACACGGGGTTTCACCATGTTGGCCAGGATGATCTCGATCTCCTGACCTCGTGATCCACCCGCCTCAGCCTCCCAAAGTGCCAGGATTACAGGCATGAGCCACCGTGCCCGGTCAAAAAGTCAGTGATTTTTAAATCTCATTTATACACATAGGAAAACGAATATGCTTCATTTGATAATTCAGTAAGATATGGCATTCAGTGAAACCAGAGGAAACAGATCTGGCTGTCATAGGAATTTAGATTAGTTTTTTTAATCCAAATTGAAATAAATTTGAAATAAATTCTGGTTTCTTCCTGGCAATTGGTGAACATTTTCAGAAATTCATCTCAGTAATATTTATGAATATGTATAAAGTACTTATTATACTTTACTATGAAAAAGTATACTTTTTTTCTTTTTTTTTGGTGGGGGGAGACAGAGTCTCACTCTGTTGCCCAGACTAGAGTGCAGTGGCAGGATCTCAGCCCACTGCAACCTCCACTTCCCAGGTTCAAGTGATTCTCGTGCCTGAGCCTGCCAAGTAGCTGAGACTACAGGCAAGTGCCACCACGCTTGGCTAATTTTTGTATTGTTAGTAGAGACGGGGTTTCACCATGTTGGCCAGGCTGGTCTTGAACTCCTGAACCTTGAGTGATCCACCCGCCTCGGCCTCCCATAGTAAGCCACCGCGCCCAGCCCAAATTTTGTAAATTCTTACGTTAAAATGAACTTCAAGCCCAGCACAGTGGCTCACACCTGTAATCCCAGCACTTTGGGAGGCCGATGCGGATCACCTGAGGTCAGGAGTTCGAGACCAGCCTGGCCAACATGGTGAAACACTGTCTCTACAAAAATACAAAAAATTAGCTGGGTGTGGTGGCAGGCATCTGTAACCCCAGCTACTCAGGAGGCTGAGGCAGGAGAATCACTTGAACCTGGGAGGCAGAGGTTGCGGTGAGCCAAGATCGCGCCATTGCACTCCAGCCTTGGCGACAAGAGCAGAAACTCTGTCTCAGAAAACAAAAAGAACTCCAAAAATTCTCAACTATTTTATGGTACCAGAATCTTTTTTTTTTTTTTTTTTTTGAGACGAAGTTTCCCTCTTGTTGCCCAGGCTGGAGTGCAATGGCACAATCTCGGCTCACCGCAACCTCCACCTCCCAGGTTCAAGTGATTCTCCTGCCCCAGGCTCCAGAGTAGCTGGTATTACAGACATGCGCCACCATGCCCAGCTAATTTTGTATTTTTAGTAGAGATGGGGTTCCTCCATATTGGTCAGGCTAGTTTCGAACTCCCAACCTCAGGTGATCCACCTGCCTCGGCCTCCCAAAGTGCTGGGATTACAGGCGTGAGCCACTGCGCCCGGCCTTATGGTACCAGAATCTCATTATAGATATTACTTGCAATAGATTGTTCACTGGTATGGTGGCAGTATTATGGAAACTTTCACTGTAGCAGTATTTGACCTATTTAAGACATATAGCTGCTCTCTTGAAGGAAGCAGTGGGGCAAGTTATAATTTAGCTGCTTGGATTATTTGCCGGCAGATTGCATATTAAGGTTGGTATCCCAGGTTATCTCAGAGGAAATATACCCCAAAGGAAAGATTTTAAAAGTGAATATTTTCATTATTTTTCATTTAAAATATAAATGTATGTCCTGTCCCCTTTATATAAAGGGAACTGTTACACAATCAAACAAACTACTAAGATACAAGATGTGTTCATCACTAAAATCCTATGCGGTAAGTATGTTGTTTCCCCCATCTTACAGATGAGGAAACGGAAGCACACCTTAATTTACCTGAGGTCACACAGCTGGAGCTGGCATTCAAACCCAATCATTGTGGCTTTAGAGTCAGCTCCTTAAATTTTTTACTAAACTATTATTTTTCCTCTGTAAGCAAACTTCAAATTTGCCGGAAAGAAACATTAAGAGATTATCTGTTTTCTCTTAAGTTTAATCATTTAAATTTAGGAATGTAAAATAGTGATAGCTTTGGCTTTTTAAATAACTAGTTCTAGAGTCTTTAGTTCCTTTCTTCAGCCTTTGTTCTGTTTTTTTTGTTCGTTTGTTTTCTGAGACGGAGTCTCGCCCTGTCGCCCAGGCTGGGGTGCAGTGGCGCGATCTCGGCTCACTGCAAGCTCCGCCTCCCGGGTTCACGCCATTCTCCTGCCTCAGCCTCTCCGGGTAGCTGGGACTACAGGCGCCTGCCACCACGCCCGGCTAATTTTTTTGTTATTTTTAGTAGAGACGGGGTTTCACCGTGATCTCGATCTCCTGACCTCGTGATCCTCCCGCCTCGGCCTCCCAAAGTGCTGGGATTACAAGCGTGAGCCACCGCGCCCGGCTCTGTTAATACGATTTGCAAAAGCATCAACCTTCTAAAATATAGTTGTATTCCTGAAATAGAGAAACTTTCCATTGACTTTATTATGTTAATAATAGCATACTCTGGCCGGGCACGGTGGCTCACGCCTGTAATCCCAATACTTTAGGAGGCCGAGGCCAGCGGATCACTTGAGGTCAGGAGTTTGAGACCAGCCTGGCCAACATGGTTGAAACCCTTGCTCTACTAAAAATACAAAAATTAGTCGGGCGTGGTGGCGGGCGCCTGTAGTCCCAGCTACTCGGGAGGCTGAGGCAGAAGAATCACTTGAACCCAGAGGCAGAGGTTGCAGTGAGCCGAGATCACACCATTGCACTCCAGCCTGGGCGACAGAGCAAGACTCTGTCTCAAAAAAAAATAAATAATAATAATAATAATAATAATAATAATAATAATAATAGCATACTCTGACCCAACAACCCAAAGCACTTTAAAATGTAAGCAAGTTGGCCAGGCGCGGTGGCTCACGCCTGTAATCCCAGCACTTTGGGAGGCACAGGCGGGCGGATTACGAGGTCAGGAGTTCGAGACCAGCCTGAGCAACATGGTTGAACCCCATCTCTACTAAAAATACAAAAATTAGCCGGGCATGGTGGCACATGCCTGTAATCCCAGCTACTCAGGAGACTGAGGCAGGAGAATCGCTTGAACCTGGGAGGTGAAGGTTGCAGTGAGCCGAGATCTGGCCACTGCATTCCAGCCTGGGCAATAGAGTGAGACTCTGTCTCAAAAAATAAAAAAAAAGTAAGCAAGTTAAGTCTCATTTATGGTTCATAAATAATAATAATGTAAGCAAAGATGTAATTCATGTTGTTTATAATAGTCATAAGCTAAAAACATAAAATAATAATACAAGAAAAACTGGTTAAATAATCGACTACATCCACGGTGTGATACTATGCAACCAGTAGAAATGATAAACATACATAAAATGGCATTTGATATTTCATTTCAGTGAAATTGATGTTATAAAATAGAATAATATGGCCCCATTATTATAAGTTTAGTTACATTTACAGATGTATACAAAAAAGTCTAGAAGGATATTCATGAAAATATTAACGGTGATTAGCTCTGGATGTTGGGATTACAAATTATATACTTAATATATTGTAATTACATGTATTTTAATTTTTTACTATAAGCATTTTACTTTTATAATCATAAAAAGAAAGAAAATATTTTTTTCATAAAGGACAACACATAGTATTTCCTGAAAGAAGGAGCAGTAGTATTTAGCTACAAATTAAAGCTTTCATAGCAAATGACATAAAAACTGGTATACATATATACAGTACCATAGAATTCAAAAGAAAAAGATAAAAACATTTCAAACAACTCTTTCTTAATAAGCTAAAACAGAGAGATTAACACAAACCTTTCTTAGTTTAGGTAAATCTGAGAAGCAAACCATGTTTAGAAGTTACAGCATGGCCATCTTCAATTTATTTTCTGAATTTGTCCCTTTGCTGGTATAGAGCAGATTCAGTTCAGTTGAATGTAGTGAGTGAGTCATCCATCAACTAAAATCCATGTCCCTTTCTGCTTATCCTTGCTTTTAAAACAGCACCATCCAATAGAACTTTCTGCAACAATGGAAATATTCTATCTGTGCTAGCCAATAAGGCAGCCAGTAGCCAAATGTAGCTATTGAACACTTGCATTATGGTTTGTGTGTCAGAGCAATTGAATTTTTAATTTTAAATAATTTTAATAAAAATGTAAAGAGCTGCATCTACCTAATGGCTGCTTTTTTGGACAGCACAGATAAAGAATGCTTATAATAGTCCTGATAACACACTGCAATCTAGAAGACTAAAGTCATGAGCCCCAAATTAAGCTGAGTGAATGATTCCTCCATAATTCAGAGATGTCAAATTTAAAATGACAGGAGGTATTTGTGTGCTGTTTGTATGCAACTTTTGCCACTGGGGGAACCTAATAAAATGTCATTGTTTTTTGTGCAATAAACCATGTTTCTAGAACCAAAAAAGTCTTTCTTACTAGATAATAACTTCTTGGTCATCTGCCTTAATAAATGGGTCATGTCCGATTTCATAGATAGATCCTGATTCTGTCTCCCATGTTCTGTTATTAACAATTACATTGTATTTTAGGTCATTAAAGGTCCCTTCAGAGCTAGTGATCTGGCAGGTTGAGCATAACAGATAAATACTTCTTCCCTGGGCTTTTTTGCCAACAATAGCTACTTCTCAGATTAAATACAAACATTTCACCAGGGACAAATATATATATATATATATATATATATATATATATATATATATATATATATATTTACATATATATTTTTATATATATATTATTTATATATATATATATTTGTATAGGCACACATACATGCACAATATATTCATGTTTCTATATTATGTGTTATCTGAATTACATATGTGTAACTCATAAATTATTAATAAACTCGAAACTTCCTCAACCTCGGTAGTCAGAGAATACATATTTAAGTGAAATATTATTTTTTAACTATCAAAATGCAAAATTTTAAAGATTTATAATACCTTCTTTTGGCAAAGTAGGGAGACACTGTTACTCTCATATCCTGTAGGTAAGAATATAAATGGATACAGCTATTTAAAAGGCAGTTTAAACCTATCAATATTAGTATAGCATTTCTGCTTTTGGATACTTGAAATATTCATTCAGCATAGACATTCAGAGACACACTGCACATGCTAGGATGTTCACATAGCACTGTTGGTAATTATACAAAAGCAGCAATAATTTAAATGTCTGACAGAGGAATGGTTATCTATGGTACATCTATATCATTCAGCAATTCAGAGAATAAAGATTTCTATGAACTAATAGAGAAAGGTCCCTAGGTCATGTTGTAAAGCAAGTTATAGAACAATACATGTATCACATTTATCCTGTTAAAACCTACATTTCATAAAAATATCTAATTAGAGGCTGGGCTCATGTCTATAATCCTAGCACTTTGGGAGGAGGCTGAGACAGGCGGATCACCTGAAGTCAGGAGTTCAAGACCAGCCTGGCCAATGTGGTGAAACCCAGTCTCTATTAAAAATACCAAAAATTAGCCAGGCATGGTGGCACATGCCTATAATCCCAGCTACCCGGGAGGCTGAGGCAGGAGAATTGCTTGAACCCAGGAGGCAGAGGTTGCAGTGAGCCGAGATGGCGCCACTGCACTCCAGCCTGGGCGACACAGCAAGACCCTGTCTCAAGAAAAAAAAAAATATATATATACACACACACACACACACACACACACACACACACACACACACATATATATTTAGCTAAAATCGATTAACAAAAACTTTTCCTAGTTGAGATCAATCTGAGAAGCAAATGATGCTTAGGAGGAGTTATACCATGGACACCTCTAATTTGTTCTTCAGATTTGTCCCTTTGAGGGTGTAGAGCAGATTCAGTGAAGTTCAATACAGTGGATGAGTTGGACATTAACTTAAATCCATTTTCCTTTCTGCTCATCCTACATAGAAAAATGTCTGCAAGGATACAGACCATACTGTTGTGACCACTGATGATGGTCAGCACTAGGGAAAAACAGCAGGTTTGAAGTGAGAAGGCAAAAGGAGATTTTTTTTTTTTTTAAGACAGGGTCTCACTCTGTCACCCAGGCTGGAGGGCAGTGGCATGATCATAGCTCACTGTAACCTCGAACTCCTGGGTTCCAGTGATCCTCCCACCTCAGCCTCTGGAGTAGCTAGAACTACAGGCAAGCACCACCACACCTGGTTATTTTTTATGTTTTTGTAGAGTTCTTGAATGTTACCCAGGCTGTTCTCAAACTCCTGGGCTCAAGCAGTCCTCCCACATTGGCCTCCCAAAGTGCTGAGATTATAGGCATGAGCCACTGCACCTGGCTGAGATTTTATCTTTTAACTTCTTGTTTGAATCTTTGTTTAACCAAGAACACACTCATAAGGCCAGGCATGGTGGCTCACACCTGTAATCCCAGCACTTTGGGAGGCTGAGGTGGGTGGATCACTTGAGGTCAGGGGTTTGAGACCAGCCTGGCCAACATGGTGAAACACCGTCTCTACTAAAAAATACAAAAATTAGCCGAGTGCAGTGGTTCACACCTGTAATCCCAGCACTTTGGGAGGCCGAGGTGGGCGGATCACCTAAGGTCAGGAGTTCAAGACCAGCCTGGCCAACATGGTGAAACCCCGTCTCTACTAAAAATACAAAAATTAGCCAGGCGTGGTGGCAGGTGCCTGTAATCCCAGCTACTCAGGAGGCTGAGGCAGGAGAATCACTTGAACCCAGTGGGTGGAGGTGGCAGTGAGCCGAGATCGTACCATCGCACTCTAGCCTAGATGACAAGAGCGAAACTCCATCTCAAAAAAAAAAAAAAATTAGGGACCGGGCACAGTGGCTCACACCTGTAATCCCAGCACTTTGGGAGGCCAAGGCGGGCAGATCGCCTGAGGGCCTGAGGTCGGGAGTTCGAGACCAGCCTGGCCAGCATGGTGAAACCCCGTCTCTACTAAAAATAAATAAATAAATAAATAAATAAATAAATAAATAAATAAATAAATAAATTAGTCAGGTTTGGTGGCGGCCACCTGTAATCCCAGCTACTCAGGAAGCTGAGATAGGAGAATCACTTGAACCCAGGAGGCGGAGGTTTCAGTGAACCAAGATCCGGCCACTGCACTCCAGCCTGGGCGACAGAGCAAGACTCGGTCTCAAAAAAAAAAAAATAATAATTAGCCAGATGTGGTGGCGCATGCCTGTAATCCCAGCTACTCTGGAGGCTGAGGTAGGAGAATTGCTTGAACCCAGGAGGCAGAGGTTGCAGTGAGCCAAGATCAGCCCACTGCACTCCAGCCTGGGAAACAGAGCGAGACTCCATCTCAAAAAAAAACAAAACAAAAAAAAAAACACTCATATTCCCATGTTTATACTTAAATTTAACTTTTTAAACAAATTTCTGATCAGTTTTTCTCAAAATACTAAAGTATTAACTTTTCTCACTATATCTAACTAAGTGTATATGCCCCTTCCAGATACAGTGACATGTTTAGATGGGTGTTTAATAAATACATTGATGATAAAAGAAAAAATTATATTTCCTATATTCAGATGACCCAAAACTACCATTTCCAAAAACATAATAAACCACAGTCTGAATTCTATACAGGAAAATGACACATGCTTCTCAGCTTTCAGGTATGACATTTTACCTTCTGTAAATAAATCCTACCCACTCCTAGGAGAGCCATGACCCACATGAAGGATGACAGTCTGATCACAGATGAGAATCTGAAGTCTAGGTATATAGTGTGCACCAGAAAGCCAGTGCCCGGTTCCTTGGGATCTTAGACACGGTATCAGAATCTTAAACTAGCAGTCCAGAAAATCCTCAGTCTTCTTCTATGAGATATTTCCACCATTCATGGTGTACCCCGCATAGATGTTTGTTCCTGTACTCCTATGATACCCTTCAGTGTTTGGGGAACACAGCATTGTTGGACCTATAGGGGAGACTACAGGTTTCCAAGTCATTATCTATGTTTAAATTCTGCTCCCCTCAGACAAGTACTTAATTCTTTAAGGGTTCCTTTAAGGGATTCTTTAAGATTACTCTAAGATGCAGAGTAATAACTACCTTTCCGGGTTGTTGATAATATTATCAATAAAGTGTGTAAAACACCTCAAACAGTAGTGATCTATCTCCTCAAACAGTGATCTATTTTAAAGTGATTATCAGGAGTCTGACACAGGTATAAAAAGTTTTTATTATCAGCATTGTACAGTATTCATAGATTTTATGAAGCATTCTCCAAAATATATCCTCCAAGGAGAGTAAGTCTGTTTTATAGAATACCATATGCCTGGGAAAGACCCAATCTCTAATTTTGTTTTGTTTTGTTTTGTTTTTTGAGACCGAGTGTCGCTCTGTCACCCAGGCTGGAGTGCAGTGGCGCAATCTCGGCTCACTGCAACCTTCGCCTCCCAGGTTCAAGCAATTCTCCTGCCTCAGCCTCGCAAGTAGCTGGGACTACAGGCACACGCCACCACGCCCGGCTAATTTTTGTATTTTCTTTAGTAGAGACAGGGTTTCACCATATTGGTCAGGCTGGTCTTGAACTCATGACCTCAGGTGATTTCACCCGCCTCAGCCTCCCAAAGTGCTGGGATTACAGGCGTGAGCCACTGCGCCTGGCCCCAATCTCTAGTTTTTACTACCCTTCTTTTCTCTCTTCTTCTTCCCTTTCTACATTAAGAAGCCCCTTCCTTAAATCCTAAGGTCCTTTTATAGGCAATCTTTGCAACTGATGAGTTTAATGCTGTTTTGTCCTCTATATAAAATTGTTAGCCTTTTCTGAGACTTCTCTGTTTCTTCATAGAGTCTTCCTTTTTTTTTTATTTCCTCCAGATGGCTCTTTTTATTAATTGACTTACAATAGGGGCAGGTCAGTTTGCTGGAGATAGGAAAATGTTGAAAAACACAGCAAATAAGACACAAGCTAAATATGCAGCAATTGCTATCCAAAACCTTGGATCTTTCAGCAGTGCTTTATCAAAGCAGCTAAACACCGTGTAGCCAATGGACATTCCAGCAAATCCACCTGCAATGTGAGCTGCAAAAGACACCTTGGGAGAAAAGGAGGGAAAATGGAAATAAGTGAAGACAATGCTAATTGTGTATTTCAGTTGCATCTCTCTTATTCAAACACAAATACCGTCACAGTTAAACAAGAGTCTTAAAGGTCTAGAGAACTAGGGGTAAGGCAAAAGAGACACAAAACTCCATGTGCACAGAGAGAAGGAGATACTCTGAAAGATACAAAGCTTAAAAATGTCATTTTCACCCATTCTTAGAGTACAAAAGACAGAGAAATTGTTTCTCATTCTTAATCATCATTGCATTTAAAATAATTCTATATAATGCCAACTAAGAGAATGGTTGAGTTGCCATGAGGGATCTCTATAGCAGCATAATCTGATTCCACATACATGGGGTTTCAGATTTAAAACACAAGTAATAACATACACAAGAAATACCCAAACAGAAACTACCAAATTCAAAGACAAATCACAGCAAAACTGGAAAATTTTGTCAATTTTCTTTATTGTCAACTTATAGAACTCAATCTTTCATTGCTGTTTTCCAATCTGTTTTTTTGTTTTGTTTTGTTTTTTGAAATGGGGTCTCAACTCTGTCGCCCAGGCTGGAGTGCAGTCGCATGATCACAGCTCACTGTAGACTCAACCTCTAGGACTCAAGCAATCCTCCCATCTCAGCTCCCCAAGTAGCTGGGACTACAGGCACATGCCACCATGCCTGGCTAAACCAACTGCTTTTTATTCTATGTGGACAGGAAAATCCATTCTCTCCTGTTTTTTGTTTTTTTGAGACAGAGTCACTCTGTCACCCAGGCTGGAGTGCAGTGGTGCGATCTCGGCTCACTGCAACCTCCGCCTCCCAGATTCAAGCGATTCTCCTGCCTCAGCTTCCCGAGTAGCTGGGATTACAGGTGACTGCCACCACGCCCAGCTAATTTTTGTATTTTTAGTAGAGACGGGGTTTCATCATATTGGCCAGGCTGGTCTCAAACTCCTGACCCTGTGATCCGCCGATCTTGGCTTCCCAAAGTGCTGGGATTACAGGCATGAGCCACCACGCCTGGCCATTCTCTCCTGTTTTGGAATAGCTACCAATATGGCAGGTGCAGTGAAGTAGAGCCAGTGATCAGGGCTGTGAGAGAGTTAAGTGGGAAGGACAATTCAAAAGTCTGATTTCCTTAAAAATTTTCTTAACTTCCAAATGGAAATTTGGCTGCCCTAAATCACAGCGTTGTAACCCCTATTTGATAACCCTTTTTGACAGTAAACTAATTTCTATTTTATAAAAGAAAGAAACTGAACTCACCGGAGACCCATCTTCAGGAACAAAGAACCTTCTATAGAGAGCAAATCCCATGTCCAACACAACTAGAAGGAAAAACACCCTGATAAAGGCTCAGAATCTCCACAGTAGTACACCAAATGTTTTTGGTTCCCCTCTAATAATAATAATACTAGCTATCATTTATTGATACTTAACTCTGTGACAGGTGCTTTTCTAAGAGATCTTTTAACTCATTAATCTTCATCACAACCCTGTGAAGTAGGAACTATCATTATCCCATTTTACAGATTTATTCATCCAACAAGCATTCATTGTCCTCTATGTGTCAGGCATTATTCTAGCTGGTAGATAGGCAGCAATGGACAGATCTAACAGCCCTGACTCATGGAGCTGACAAACTGTTGGGGGGTATGTGGGGGGGTGATTGGTAGGGAGGCAAACAAATAAGTAAAACATACAGTATGTCAAATAGTGCTAAGTGCTATGGAGAAAATACAAAGAGAAGAAGAAATAGGAATGCCAGTTGTCGAGTGTGATTTCCAATAGGGGTGTCAAGGAGGATCTCTTTGAGAATATGACGCTGGACAGAGGTAAGGGTCCAAGTCATGCTGCTATTTGACATAAGAGTGTTTCAGAGAGAGGGAAGACCAAGTACAAAGTCCCTAAGCAGGAATGTGCCTGGTGTGTTTGAAAAATACCAAAGCAGTTGAGCTGGCTGGATCAGTAGTTTTCAAAGTGGTTTTTACCAAGACCAGCAGCATCAGCTTCACCTGGAAACTTACTAGATATGAAAACTCTTAAACCCACCCCAGACCTACTGAACCAGAAAACTTAAGGGTGGGACTCAGCTTTCTGTTTTTGTTTTTGTTTTTGTTTTCAGAAGGTGAGTTGTACTCTCCTTAGTAGATTCCTACTTCCATGGCTGTGTTTTCCAACTACCAACTGTGGTAAAGTTGTTTCCAACAACTTTGTTTTAACAAGACCTCCAGGTGATTCTGGACTAGAGTTAGGGATAAGGTTGTGGGTGATGAGGTCAGACAGGTAGCAGGGGACAGATTATGTAGGGTCTATATGGGCCATTGTAAGGACTTCAACCTTTACTGAGTGATAGGAAGTCTTTGAAAGCTCTTGAGCACAGGAGTGACATGATAGATTTTGTTTGTTTGTTTATGACAGAGTCTCAACTCTGTCGCCCAGGCTGGAATGCAGTAGTGCAATCTCGGCTCACTGCAACCTCCGCCTCCCAGGTTCAAGCAATTCTCGTGCCTCAGCCTCCTGATTAGCTGGGATTACAGACATGTGCCACTATGCCCGGTTAATTTTTGTATTTTTAGTAGAGACAGCATTTCACCGTGTTGACAAGGCTGGTCTCCAACTCTCGAACTCCTGACCTCAGGTGATCCACCCACCTCGACCTCCCAAAGTGCTGGGATTACAGGCTTGAGCAACCACACTGATGGTTTTACAAAGATTATTCTAGCTGCCATATAGGAAGTAGACTATAAGGGAGCAAGAACAGGAACTGGAAGACCAGCTGGAAAAATACTATTGTAGCAATCGAAGTGAAGAAGGATGGTGGCATTTTATACATAAAGAAACCAAGACACCAAGACTCCACTCTCAGCCACCACACTAATTGCCTGTAATTACCATCGGGAGTTCTGAAGGTGTCAGGCCATGAAAGGAAATCATTCCATATTCTCCAATAAAACTGTGAGAGCCAGAAGTTAGGCAGTCGTCAAGTAAGTCGGATCTGCACTGCAAAAGGAGCTTCCGACTTCTTGGCCTAGAAGAACTCTGCCCTATATGTGTAGTGCTTGGAAACATCTCTTGCAGCTATCACATTCCACACCCATCCCCTAATTCCCTATGCTCTACTTAGTGAGCCACTGTGTCCTAGGAGATGAAAAGACCTAGTCCTTGCCTTTGGGAAAATAGCATCAGGACATGTGCTCTGACTAGATTCCCTTTCAATACTGTATTGATTGATGTTGAAGTCACTGGACAGAAATTGAGGTCGAGGAAATATTCAATATTCATTTAGTTGTAAATGACTATTACACAAAGTGCTAGATTCATGAGGCTATATAATATTTTCTTTTTTTTTTTTTTTCAAGACGCAGTCTCACTCTGTCGCCTAGGCTGGAGTGCAGTGGTGCAATCTCAGCTCACTGCAACCTCCACCTCCTGGGTTCACGCCATTCTCCTGCCTCAGCCTCCTGAGCAGCTGGAACTACAGGCCCATGCCACCATGCCTGGTTAATTTTTGTATTTTTAGTAGAGACGGGGTTTCACCATGAGATCTCCTGACCTCGTGATCCACCCGCCTCGGCTTCCTAAAGTGCTGCGATTACAGGCGTGAGCTACCGTGCCTGGCCCATATTTTCAATCATCATTTGCATTTCCTGGTCCACATAAATAACATGCCCATGGGTCTAGGAAAGTGTTTTTAAAAAACACTGCCACATAACTGGAAACAGTTACTTTGGCTTAGTCTTCCACAATAGGAGACCTCCTCTCAGAAAGTCTTTGTAACCATTAGTATGTCAATTTCTCCAACCAGTTTCTCTCATCTTGCCCCTTCCTATATCTGAGTCTGGTTCTTTCCTCTTTCTGCTTCCTAGGGGACTTTTCTTCTGGGTTGCTGCAGCCTCTAAACTGAGATGTGTCTTCCCACCTGAAAATAAGCCCTTATTCCAAGAAGCCAAACCATTGTCCTCCTTAAAAATTTAACATTTACTTTAAAAGAGTTGCCTTCATATGGATTTTTTTTTTTTTGAGACAACCTCGCTCTGCTGCCCAGGCTAGACTACAGTGGCATGTTCACGGCTCACTGCAGCCTTGACCTCCCAGGCTCAAGCGAATTCTCCCACCTCAGCCTCCTGAGTAGCTGGAACCACAGGCCCACACCGCAACACCTGACCAATTTTTTTGTAGAGACAGAGTCTCCCTATGTTTCACAGGATGGTCTCAAACATAATGCTTGATGAAGGAATGTTTTTTAGGGCAATTGCCATTTACAATTAAGAAGAATATTTACAACTTGGCTGGGCTCAGTGGCTCACGGCTGTAATCTCATCACTTTGGGAGGCTGAGGTGAGTGGATCACCTGAGGTCAGGAGTTCGAGACCAGCCTGACCAATATGGTAAAACCCCATCTCTACTAAAAATACAATAATTAGCCAGGCATGGTGGCATGCACCTGTTGACAGGAGAGGCTGAGACAGGAGAATTGCTTGAACCCAGGAGGCGGAGGTTGCAGTAAGCCAAGATCACACCACTACACTCCAGCCTGGGCAACAGAGCGAGACTCCGTCTCAAAAAAAAAAAAAAAAAAAAAGAAGAATATTTACAACTTTATACACATTACATATTACATATTACAAAATTATATACATTTCCAAAGAAACACATTTCAAATACAGATGCACTTATATTTTATTAATCTGGTATGTGTTGTAACTCTTCCCATTTTCAATAGTAGGTAAACCAGGCCAAAGAACTTTTAGAAATGAAGCAGACTGACTGAAGACCCCGTATCTCAGGTGACAACAATTCTGTGCCCAAACAATGTGTCCTCTGATTCTGGGTGTGACCCTGAACAACTGAGGAGGCAGCTCAGCTCCTGCAGCAGCTCTGCTGCCTCCCAGATACTCACTCTCCCTTCTCTTAGGTTTTGAATTTGTTATGAAGAAAAAAGTTAAGAATAGTATAAACTATAAACAAGTGAATTATTTTATCTCAGAGTGAAATATTAGCGTTCTTATATTTAAATGGTCAATAAACTAAAGAGTCCCTTCCCACAGACATAGTTGCCTCTGTTCCTGTAATGGGGATAATCGAACCCTTCATAGAAATTGCAAAATCCTGTTTTCTTACTATGTGGACAGCCAAAAACATCTTAGGCTTTATCAGGTATAACCTCTGCCTTGGCTTTCAGGTCTGACCCCAGGGTCTGTCATTCTTCCACAGCCCTCCAGGTGGAGAGAACTTCAACTGGAGCAGGTCTGTCAACACCAGTTACCACCCCCACCTTTGCTCTTGTTTTCTTCCATGCTCTATGGCCTGCTGTCATCTGGAATCTACCTTTACTCTCAGACTCAGCTGCACTTCCATCCCCTCTCCAGACAGCATTCTTCCTAACCTCCTTTAGCATGTGATTCTAGAATGCTTGGAGATTTCAAAAGCCACATTAGTCACCCTCTTGGTCTGGGCTTCTTGAACGGTTGCCCGCTGCCACCTGCCCCCCGCTCCCCCAACTCTCTATCATTAATCCTCAACTATCAGCTATCACTCAATACTTACTGGATCAGTTTTTTTTTTAATCTGAAAATTTAGAAATTGAGGAAGAAAAGAGATTATATCAGTGGTTTCCAAGTTTTCCCTCTGCAGACAAAATCACATACAGCTTCCAATATATGAAAAAGTCCAGTATATAAAATATAAGTGAAGCTATTGTGGTTCAAGTAGAGGGGGTGCCTAGGGCTCTATTCTCTTGGCTTCCCCCACTCCATAAAGATACTAAAAGCCAAAATACATCACGTAGGCATGTCTAAGAACCACCCATGAGAGCCTGTAAAACTCCTTCGTTTACTTCTTTCTGCTTAGTGCTGTGAAGTGGACAATTTTTCTCTAACTGTAGGCTTGCAGTTATTCTCCATGTTAGTGTCTGGGAAATGTGGAAAGGCCTTCTGAAGCCTAAACCAATCACATGGTGAAAATATTATGTGAGATGATTATGTGAAATAGGTCATTGTTGTCAAACCCAGCTAAATCAGAGTTGAGGGGCCAGGGGACAAAAGCACTCAGAGCACATAGCACTGCTCCAACAATTGAATTCTCCACAAGCCCAGCTGCCGAAACTACCTGTTCTAACCATAAGACTAGTTTTACCTAATAGCTGCTGAAACAAATTGAGTCTAAGAATCAGGTCTAAACAACACAAGTCTAAGACTAGTTCTCCCCACTACCATCACTCACCAACCAGCTCCCAAAGGCTGCTCTAGTGCCAATGAGCTTTCTTTCAAAATAATATGTAAAATTTATCTTTCTAATAAAACCCCCAGCCTTTTCTTTTGTACTTCAGACATACCATAGACCTCCCAGGTCTGTGTGTATGCCCCAAATTGCAATCCTGTGATTCCCAAATAAAATGTTTAGAGATTTGTCTCTATATTTTATTTTCACTTGGACAGTATGAAGTATTCACAAAACACACTTACTTATCAGGATGATGATCAGCAGTCTGAAAATTCCAAAGGCAGGAATCATTTCTTGAAAATTCTTAAAAAGAGATAAATAATAATTATATAAGCTATCTATGGACAAATGAAACCTCAACTCTACTCCCTCTTCATCTGCTCTTCATTTGAAATAATCTTCCAGTATCAAATATTTGCAAAACAAAGCATGAGTGTCACAGCCGAGTTTTTAAATGTATTTGGGAAGTACAATGCACTTTGGAGAATAAAATGACAAGACATTTAATTTAATAATATAAATGACACAATTTTGCTAGCCAGAAACAATCTCAATAAAAGTAATATAAAATCAGCACTTAACATGTCAATAAATAAATAGATAAATAAATGCTGTTAAACTAAGATTGATGAAATATTCATAAGATTTTTGGTTAATATTCATTTGATGTTTCTTCATCCTCTTTCCCAGTAGTATTTAGCAAAGACTTAACTGAGATTTGAGTATTACCTTAATTTTTGAGGTAATTTCAAAAACATTGAAAATATTCGTCAAAAATTATTGCAGGGTCTTTTGGGGGCGCTCTTGGGGGGGTTCTGTGAGGGGAGGTAGAAGACAGGGAGGATCTCACTCTGTCACCCAAGTTGGAGTGCAGTGGTGCAATCTATAGCTCACTGCAGCCTCGAACTCCTGGACTCAAGCCTTCCTCCTGTCTCAGACTCCTGAGTAGCTGGGACTACAGGTGCATTCCAGTACACCTGGCTCATTGTTGGATTTTAGCTTTGGGTCCCTTATGCGTCAGTGGCGAACTGCTGAGCGAGACATTTCTAATATAATTTATTGAATTACTTGTCCCTTCACTTTCAAATTAGTAACTCTCTTCCCAAGGAGTAAAGATGCTGAAATAGGCATGTTTACTCTAAATCAATTATTTTCAAACTCTTGTGACCATGACCTACAGTAAGAAATAATTTACATAACAACCCAGTACACGCATAAATCAAACAATAACACTGACTTTTTTTTTCTTGGGTTTAACTTTTGGCCACAGTTCCTTAAAGTGAGTCTACAACCACTAATGGGTTGCAATCCAAAGTTGAAAAAACCACTTTTCTTAGTGATTTCTATATTTGGAACAGTTTTATAATTGCTTTACACTTTTCTACCTAGAATTTTGTTGTTGTTGTTGTTGTTGTTGTTTGAGTTGGAGTCTCACTCTGTCGCCAGGCTGGAGTGCAGTGGCACAATTTTGGCTCACTGCAACCTCCACCTCCCGGGTTCAAGCGATTCTCCTGCCTCAGCCTCCAGAGTAGCTGGGACTACAGGTGCGTGCCACCACACCCAGCTAATTTTTGTATTTTTAGTAGAGACGGGGTTTCACCACGTTGGCCAGGATGGTCCCGATCTCTTGACCTTGTGATCCGCCCACCTCAGCCTCCCAAAGTGCTGGGATTACAGGCATGAGCCACCATGCCTGGCCTAGAAATTTATCCTACAAAAAAAATTTACACAAATGCAAAAAGATAAATGTAAAAAGCATTTCTTTTCTTTTTTTTCTTTTTTTTTCTTTTTTTTTTTTTTTTTTGAGACAGAGTCTTGCTTTGTTGCCAGGCTGGAGTGCAGTGGCATGATCTCAGCTCACTGCAACCTCCGCCTTCCAGGTTCAAGCCATTCTTCTGCCTCAGTCTCTCGAGTAGCTGGGACTACAGGCACACACCACCACACCCAGCTAATTTTTGTATTTTTAGTAGAGACGGGGTTTCACCATATTGGCCTGGATGGTCTCGATCTCTTGACCTCATGATCCACTCACCTTGGCCTCCCACAGTGTTGGGATTACAGGCGTGAGCCACCGCACCCGGCCAAGGGCATTTCTTATAGCATTACTTGTAAACATGAAAAGCAGGAATCACCCCAAATTTTTTTCAGCGAGAGATTCATTAAATAAATCATGGTGCATCTATATAGAGGATGCTAGGGAGCAGCTCTAAGCTGGGAGGATTTCTAAGCACTGACATGGGTAGATGGTCAGGATGCTCTATGATAAAATGCAGAACAATATAAGGGTGGTGTCATTGTTATAAGATTAACATCGGTAGGATTTTGAATACATGTAGAAAAAGGTCTGGGCTGCTCTGCCTATGAAGTAGCCGTTCTTTTATTCCTTTACTTTCTTAATAAACTTGGTTTCCTTTAAAAAATAAAATAAAATAAAAAGGGCTGAAAAAAATATATAAAACTGTTAACAACGTCTTTCACCACCCACCCAACTGTTAACAGATACTATATTGAGGACCTTAACTTTCTACTTTTTTATTTAAAATTTTATGTTGTACTCATTACTTTTGAAATGAGAAAAAAAATGATAACATATGAAAGGAAGCTAGGTGCGGCAGCTCACGCCTGTAATCCCAGCACTTTGGGAGGCCAACGTGGGCAGATCGCTTGAGCCTAGGAGTTCGAGACCAGCCTGGGCAACATGGCGAAACCCTGGCTCTACAAACAATAAAAACATTAGTCAGGCATGGTGGCCCACACCTGTAGTCCCAGCTATTTAGGAGGCTGAGGTGGGAGGATTGCTTGAGCCCAGGAGGCAGAAGTGCAGTGAGCCATTATCACACCACTGCATTCCAGCCTGGGCAATGGTGCAAGACTCTGTCTCAAAAAAAAAGAAAGAAAAGAAAGGAAACAAAATGGCATTGCCATACAATTCTCAGAAAATTGAGTGCTCAGTAAATATTGATAAATGAAGGTTCGTTGAAACAAAGAAGAGTTACTGTTTTCTGTTTTTTTAAGAGACTCGTGGACTCCATCCCCATGGTTCTTACCACCAGAACATTCATAAAATAGCCTCCCATCAGAGCATAGACTCCTCCTGAAGCTCCCACAAGATATCTGAGTGGGTCAAAGATGGAGCTGGCAAGGGACCCTAAAGAAATAAAACACAAAGGATCAGACATGACTATACGGATCAGGAAAGATAAATCTTTCTAATCTAAGGTAGACATTTGGGAAGTCTGGTCTATTATCACATTAGCAAGCAACAAATCTATTTTGCCCCTTTCATACCATAGAAGCATAGCTGTATATGCTAACTACCACAGTGTTTCTGAAAACATGGAATGTTCATTAGAACAGCAACATAGCAGTGACAATGGCAGAATCGTCTGGAGCCAGAATTACCAGCAGTGTGACTTGAGGAAGTTAGTTGACTTCTCTATGTCTCAGTTTCCCTACCTGCAAAATGGGGCTATTAATAGAACTTACCTTAATGGATTGTCAGGGTAAATAATGAGTTGATGTGTGTTTTGTGCTTAGAATACTGCTTGATGTGTATTATATATTTGTTAGCTATTAGGTTGGTGCAAAAGTAATTGCGGTTTTGCCATTACTTTTAAGGGCAAAAACTGCAATTATTTTTGCATCAACCTAATATTATTGCAAAATATCCTATGTTCAGTCAAAATACCTGAGACAATCCAACATTTTATTATCTAATAGCTATCTTTCTCAATGAGCCATAATGTGCCCTCAGAATCCTTCTCAACATACGATCCAATCAGATTCCCCAAGCAAGATGAATCCTAATTGCTAACCTAATCCTAGATTTACTGGACCAAAACAAGGCTTTGCAAACCACCTTATGCAAAGACTAAAATATTCTCTCTATACTGCTTAGTTCTATTACTTGGTCTATTCCTTTCAAGGTCTTCTTTCATTTCCTTAGTGTATGATACAAAACAATACAGTACCTATTTTGTGCAAGAAAAAGTGTCTGTCCTCAGTAATTTTACAAAGAGATGAGCAAACAACTATTATAAAGTACAGAATATAACAACTACTATGACAAAAATAAATTTATTGTAGAAGCACTTAGGAAGGAGTGATTTTCTCAGCAGAAGGGTGGAGTCCTTGCTACTCTGAGGAGGAGGAGATAGCATTTTCATTAAACTTTGAAGAATCTTTTTTTTTTTTTTTGAGATGGAGTCCCACTCTGTCGCCCAGGCTGGAGTGCAGTGGCGTGATCTCAGCTCACTGCAAGCTCTGCCTCCCAGGTTCATGCTATTCTCCTGCCTCAGCCTCCCGAGCAGCTGGGACTACAGGCGCCCGCCACCACGCCTGGCTAATTTTTTGTGTTTTTAGTAGAGACGGGGTTTCACCATGTTAGCCAGGATGGTCTCGATCTCCTGACCTCGTGATCTGCCCACCTCGGCCTCCCAAAGTGCTGGGATTACAGGCGTGAGCCATTGCGCCCGGCCTAAACTTTGAAGAATCTTTAAGATTGGCCAGACACTGTGGTTCACTCCTATAATCTCAGTGCTTTGGGAGTCCCAGGCAGGAGATTGCTTGAGGCCAGAAAGTCAGGAGTCTGAGACCAACCCGGGCCACAGAGTGATATCCGTCTCCAAAAATATAAGAAAAATATTAGCCAAGCATGGTGGTACCCGCCTGTGGTCCTTGCTACTCAAGAGGCTGAGCCAATAGGATCACTTGAGCCCAGGAGTTTGAGGCTGCAGTGAGCTATCATCGTGCCACTGCGCTCCAGTCTGGGTGACAGAGGAAGACCTCTCCCCTCACCCCCACACACAAAAGGATTGGATAAGAAAAACAAAAGAGAAGAAGGTATTCAGGACTTAGAGAACTGGAAAAGCAATGGCATACAAACAGGTATATGGATGACTGAAGATCAGTGAGAAGTAGTCCAGTAGGCCGGGCACGGTGGCTCACGCCTGTAATCCCAGCACTTTGGGAGGCCATGGCAGGTGGATCAGCTGAGCTCAGGAGTTCGAGACCAGCCTGGGCAACATGGCGAAACCCCATCTCCACTAAAAATACAAAAATTAGCCGGGCATGGTGGCAGACACCTGTAATCCCAGCTATTTGGGAGGCTGAGGCAGGAGAATAGCTTGAACCCTGGAGGTGGAGGTTGCAGTGAGCTGAGATGGCGCCACTGCACCCCAGCCTGGGCAACAAGAGTGAGACTCTGTCTCAAAAAAATTGAAAAAAAATAAAATTAGCTGGCTGTGGTGGCACATGCCTATAATTCCAACTACTGGGGAGTCTGAGGCACGAGGATCACTTGAACCTGGGAGGCAGAGGTTGCAGGGAGCTGAGATCGCACCACTGCACTCCAGCCTGGTGACAGAATGAGACTCTGTCTCAAAAAACAAAGAAGTAGTCCAGAGCAACTTAGAGCAATGATTCTCAAATGCTAACCTATAGACTAGGGCTGGGGTGATTATATCATAATCATATGAGAAATTTATTTTTAAAATAGATACAAATGTCTACTTCTGACCATGATAAGGTCACAAGAATAGGATTTGCTGTCTCACTTGAAAAAGCCAAAAGCACTGGACAACATATAGGAAAGAATGGTCTTCAAGATACTAGACATCAGAAAACAAAACCAGTAAACCCTTAGAGACAGGGAATCAGTTATTAATAGATGAGTTATCTGATTGCCCAGGTACTACCTTGAGGGAGATTACAGAATACAGCGCATGAAGCAGGAACCCAGGCAGATCTCAGCAAACTTTAAGTTGATGAGATGAAGTTTAGAGTCCAGATAGATCTGGACTGCTAGAGTTTACAAGACAGGGTACCAGAGAGCAGAAAGCTGCATACAGAAAACTCCAGAAAGGAGCATGCAAGGAAATTACCCAAGCCAAGGAAAGAACCACCAAAAATGAAGTGGGAAGACTACCTGTTGCTTACACAGCACCAGAGAGGCTAAGTAACTTTCTGTACTGGAAAACTCTTTTGTTTCCACACATCATAAGTCTGGGCATTTTATGACAGGTGAGTTACATCTCAATCTTAAAATATATCAGGACAAAACCACACACTGCAGAGGGGCAGGGCTCCACCACCAGTTACTCACTTCCCTTGAAACAGAAGCTCAAGTATAGAGTAGTCTTCTGTGACTAAGCTTGTTTTCCCTCCTTTCTGACTTCTAGGGATAATCCTTGTTTGAACAGGATTTGAGGTAATGTAGGAAACTGCTCTCAATACAGAATTTTTAACTTGATGAAGAAATTGGAAAGAAATCACAGTAGGAAAATCAAGTTTGATCAGGATGAAGTTAGCATACAAAGGAAGTGCAGCAAGGCCCAGGTACCCCCAGAGAAGGGACTCAGACGACAACCAGAGGGGGGCCAGGCAATCAGGGGCATGTCGCTAAGGTCAAAGGTGGGGCAGACCTTGGTCCCCTGCCCTCGTGGCCACCTTACCCAGACCATCCCAATAGCATGAACTGTCCTACAAGGTCACCTTACCTAGGGAAGATGGGGGGCAGTTTCTCAATGCTGGTGTTTGGTGAGCCCAAGAGTGCTCAGCCTTCACTGTCCTCCCTAACAGGCATGTGGGGCATGGGGATGCTGACCCCTGAACTCCTAACTGGGGTTGGAATTCAGGTCCCTTGGGAACACTGGGCACCTAGGGATGTGGGAGCAGGACTGGCCACAGCCAGGTTTCCCTTAGAAACAGACTGGTTGAATTAATGAACTGAACAAATGAACCAATGTGTTTTGCCCCAGAGAAAAGTGAGCTTTGTCCTGGGTGGAGTGATTGCCTTTGAAAAGCCATCAAGGCCACCTGCCAACAGCCGAGAGCTGAGCTGCTGTGTTCCTGGCTGACTCTGGCCCTTCCAGTCCTCCTCTGGGTCTGCCCCAGTCCTGCAATCTCATGGCCAGGGTGATAATGATGGCAGCAACACCATGGTCCTCGCTGCCCTTCCTGGGGCAGGAGGGCCCCAAGGACTGATAAGCCAAATCCAGGGCCGTCCTCCTCTGCTTTTCTGCCCTGCGACTTTTCTCTAGGTCCTTTCCTGCAAGCAGTGTGGGGATGTGTACTGGAAAATGCCATAATTAATGGGGCAATGCTCAGAGTACACAAAAGGGTCCAGTGGTGGGAATAATTACCATCTTACCAAAAAGAATCAAACTGCTTTCAAGTAACATAACTGAGTTACAGAACAAATCTAAAAAGTATTTATGGCCTGGAGCAGTGGTTCAGGCCTGTAATCTCAGCACTTTGGAAGGCCAAGGCAGGTAGATCACTTGAGGTCAGGAGTTCAAAAGCAGCCTGGCCAACATGGTGAAGCCCCTTCTCTACTAAAAATACAAAAATTAGCCGGGTATGGTGGTGTGCACCTATAATCCCAGCTACTCGGGAGGCTGAGACACAAGAACCCCCTGGGCCGAGTGCAGTGGCTCATGCCTATAATCCCAGCACTTTGGGACGACAAGGCAGGTGGATCATTAAGGTCGGAAGTTTGAGACCAGCCTGGCCAACATGGCGAAACCCCATCTCCACTAAAAACACAAAAATTAGCCAGGCATGGTGGTGCATGCCTATAATCCCAGTTACTTGGGAGACTGAGGCAGGAGAATCGCTTGAGCCTGAGAGGCAGAGGTTGCAGTGAGCCAAGATCCACCACTGCACTCCAGCCTGGGCGACAAGAGTTAGACTCTGTCTAAAAAAAGAAAAAAAAGAGTCACTTGAACCTGGGAGACGGAGGTTGCAGTGAGCCAAGATCATGCCACCGCACTCCAGCCTGGATGACAGAGTGAGACTCTGTCTCAAAAAAAATAAGTAAATAAAAATAAAAAATAAAAAGCATTGGCCGGGCAAAGTGGCTCATGCCTGTAATCCCAGCACTTTGGGAGGCCAAGGCAGGAGGATCACTTGAGGTCAGGAGTTCAAGACCAGCCTGACCAACATAGCAAAACCCTGTCTCTACTAAAAATACAAAAATTAACCAGGCGTGGTGGCACACGTCTGTAGTCCCAGCTACTTGGGAGGCTCAGGCAGGAGCACCGCTTGAACCCAGGAGGCAGAGGCTACAGTGAGCCAAGATCACATCACTGCACTCCAATCTGGGTGACAGAGCAAGACTCCATCTCTAAATAGATAAATAAATAAATAAATAAATAAATAAAATTTTAAAAATTAAAAAAGTATTTACAGGAACACAAAAATATGCACCATCCAACTAGATAAAATGTGTAGCATCCAATCAAAAATTATCAGGCATATGGTCGGCTGCAGTGGCTCACACCTGTAATCCCAGCACTTTGGGAGGACAAGGCAGGCAGATCTCCTGAGGTCAGGAGTTCAAGACAACCTGGCCAAAGTGGCGAAACCCTGTCTCTACTAAAAATACAAAAATTAGCTGGGCTTGGTGGCAGGCACCTGTAATCCCAGCTACTCAGGAGGCCGAGACAGGAGAATTGCTTGAACCCAGGAGGCAGAGGTTGCAGTAACCCAAGATCGCACCATTGCACTCCAGCCTAGGTGATAGAGCAAGGCTCAGTCTCAAAAAAAAAAAAAAGAAAGAAAGAAAGAAAGAAGGAAAGAAAAAAAGAGAAAGAAAACAAAAGAAAGAAAAATTTAAAAATAAATAAATAAATAAATGGGCCAGTGGCTCACGCTTATAATCCCAGCACTTTGGGAGGCCGAGGCCAGTGGATCACCTGAGGTCAGGAGTCTGAGACCAGCCTGGCCAGCATGGTGAAACCCCGTCTCTACTAAAAATGCAAAAATTAGCCGGGCATGGTGGCACATGCCTGTAGTCCCAGCTACTCGAGAGGCTGAGGCAAGAGAATTGCTTGAACCCGGTGCAGGTTGCAGTGAGCTGAGATTGCACCACTGCACTCCAGCCTGGGTGACAGAGCGAGACTCCATCTCAAAAAAAATAAAATAAATAAATAAATAAATAAATAAATAAAACAAAAACTGATAGAACCACAGGAGAAACAAACAAATGCATTATTATAATCAGAGATTTCAATAATCCTTTCTCAATAATTTATAGAAAAAGTAGACAGAAAATCAGAAGACAAACAACACAATCAACCAAATGGACCTAATTGACATGTATACAATATTCTACCCAACAACAACTGATCTCACACATTATTTTCAAATGTACAAAGAACACTTACCAACATAGGCCATATTCTGGACCATAAAACAAATCTTAATACATTTAAAAGGATTCAAGTCATACAAAGTTTGTTCTCTAACCACAGTTTTGTTTTCTTCTTTTTTCTTTTTCTTTTTTTTTTTTTTTTTTTTTTGAGACAGAGTCTCACTCTGTCGCCCAGGCTGGAACGCAGTGGCATGATCACAGCTCACTGCAGCCTCGACTTCCTAGGCTCAGGTGATTTTTCTACCTCAGCCTCCCGAATAGCTGGGACTACAGGTGTGCACCACCAAGCTAATTTTTGTTTTTGTTTTGTTTTACTTTATTTCATTTTATTTTTTTATTTTTTTTATTATTTTTTTTTTTTTGAGATGGAGTCTCGCTTTGTCACCCAGGCTGGAGTACAGTGGCGCAATCTCAGGTCACTGTAACCTCTGCTTCCCAGGTTTAAGCGATTCTCCTGCCTTAGCCTCCTGAGTAGCTTGGATTACAGGTGCACACCACCATGCCCAGCTAATTTTTTTGTATTTTTAATAGAGACGGGGTTTCACCATGTTGGTCGGGCTGGTCTCGAACTCCTGACCTGATGATCCGCCCACCTCGGCCTCCCCAAGTGCTGGGATTACAGGCATAAGCCACCACACCCAGCCTTTGTTATTTTTTTTTAAAGATGGGGTTTAACCATGTTGCCCAGGCTGGTCTCAAACTCCTGGGCTCAATGATCTGCCCACCTCAACCTCCCAAAGTGCTGGGATTACAGGCGTGAGCCACCACGCCCAGCCCCTAACCACAGTTAAACTAGATATTAACAACAGAACATCTTTGGAAAAACACACAAATATTTAAAAACTAAATAACACATTTTAAATAACCCATGTGTCAAAGAAAACATCAAAAGGGAAATTAGCAAGTACAGACAACATAATAATCTATGTAGAAAATCTAATGGAATCTACAAAAAGCTTCTAGAAGTAATAAGTGAGTTTAGCAAGGTTGGAAAACACAAGATCTATATACAAAATATACCAAAAAGTATATATTTTCATGCTGTAACAATGAAGAATGAGAAATATAATTTTTTTTTTTTGAGACAGAGTTTTGCTCTTGTTGCCCAGGCTGGAGTGCAATGGCGCGATCTTGGCTCACTGCAACCTCCACCTCCTGGGTTCAAGCCTTTCTTCTACCTCAGCCTCCCAAGTAGCTGGGATTACAGGCGCCCACCACCACACCCAGCTAATTTTTGTATTTTTAGTAGAGACGGGGTTTCACTATGTTGCCCAGGCTGGTCTCGAGCTCCTGACCTCAGGCGATCCACCTGCCTCAGCCTCCCAAAGTGCTGGGATTACAGGCATGAGCTACCACCCCCGGCCGAGAAATAGAAATTTTAAAAACATTACCCTTTCTAATACATCAAAAATATGAAATACATAGAGATAAATCTGACCAAAAACTCTGCAAGACATAAACACTGAAAACTAAAAAACATGCTGAGAGGAATTTTGAAAGACCTAAATACACAGAAAGGTATACCTTGTTCAACATGGGTTGGAAGACTCAATATTGTTAAAATGTCCGTTTTCCCCAAGTTGATCTATAGATTCAATGCAATCCAAATCCCAGCAGATTTTTTTTTAGAAACGCACAAACCAAGTTATATGGAAATACAAAGGATTTAGAATAGCCAAAAAATTTGTGAAAAAGAATAAAGTTGGAGTGCTAGCCCTTCCTGATTTCATGACCAAAAGTCATGAAAACTACAGTAACCAAGATATGTGGTATTGGTGTAAAGATATACAAATACATAAGTGGAACAGAATAGAACCTCCAGAAATTAACACACTCATATATACAAACAACAACTTCAACAAAGATACAAAAGCAATTTGTATTTTCAACAGATACTAAAGCAATTCAATGGAGAAAGGACTGTCTTTTCAACAAATGATGTTAGAACAGACATCCATATGCAAAAAAATGACACTTCAGTCCTTCCCCTTGCAAAAATACCAGATGATACACCTAAATGGAAAGCCTAAAATAATAAAACTTCTAGGAGAAAACATGGTGATTCTAGGAGAAATCTTGGTGATTTTGTGTTAGGTAAAAATTATTTTATACAGGCTGGGCGCAGTGGCTCACGCCTGTAATCCCAGCGCTTTGGGAGGCCGAGGCAGGTGGATCACAAGGTCAGGAGTTTGAGACCAGTCTGGCCAACGTAGTGAAACCCCGTCTCTACTAAAAATACAAAAAAAAATTAGCCAGGTGTGGTGGTGTGCGCCTGTAATCTCAGCTACTCAGTAGGCTGAGGCAGGAGAATTGCGTGAACCCGGAGGCGGAATTTGCAGTGAGCCGAGATTGCGCCACTGCACTCCAGTCTGGGTGACAGAATGAGACTCCGTCTCAAAAAAAAAAGAAAAAAAAAATTATTTGATATGACACTAAAAGCCACAATTCCTAAAGTTTGAAAATGTATAAAAGGCCAGGCATCATGGCACACACCTGTAATCCTAGCATTTTGGGAGGCCAGTGCAGACGATCACTTGAGCTCAGGAGTTTGAGACTAGTCTAGGTAATATGGCAAAACACTGTCTCTACAGAAATAAAAAAATACATATATATTTATATATATATATAATATGTGTACTATATATATAGTAAAACATTTTTAAAAATAAAAATTGGCCGGGCGCGGTGGCTCACGCCTGTAATCCCAGCACTTTGGGAGGCCGAGGCGGGCGGATCACGAGGTCAGGATATCGAGACCATCCTGGCTAACACGGTGAAACCCCGTCTCTACTAAAAATACAAAAAATTAGCCGGGCGTGGTAGCGGGCGCCTGTAGTCCCAGCTACTCGGGAGGCTGAGGCAGGAGAATGGCGTGAACCCAGGAGGCGGAGCTTGCAGTGAGCCGAGATCGCGCCACTGCACTCCAGCCTGGGCAACAGAGCGAGACTCCGTCTCAAAAAAAATAAAAATAAAAATAAAAATTATAGATTTAATATTTATAACGTCTCCTCTCCAAAAGATATTAAGAGAATAAGGCCAGGCACGGTGGCTCACGCCTGTAATCTCAGCACTTTGGGAGGCCAAGGCAGGTGGATCACCTGAGATCAGGAGTTCGAGACCAGCCTGGCATTACAAGCATGAGCCACCATGCCTGGCCTAATTTTCTTTTGGTAGAGACAGAGTTTCATTATATTGCCCAGGCTGGTCTCAAACTACTGAACTCAGGCAATCCTCCTGCCTTGGCCTCCCATAGTGCTGGGATTATAGGCATGAGCCATTGTGCCCAGCCTTATTTTTCTTTTTGCCATCCACAGGACTCTGCTCGATAGATTTCTTGTTCATTTTTTAGAATAAATGGATTGGTAAAGAGCACCTACAAAAAACTTACAGTTGGCTGGGCATGGTGGCTCATGCCTGTAATCCCAGCACTTTGGGAGGCTGAGGCAAATGAATTACTTGAGGCCAGGAGTTTGAAATCAGCCTGGCCAACATGTTGAAACCCTGTCTCTACAGGAAAAAAAAAAAAAATTAGCTGGGTGTGGTACTGCATGCCTGTAATCCCAACTACTTTGAGGCTGAGACACAAGAATTGCTTGAACCTGGGAGGTGGAGGTTGCAGTGAGCCAAGATCATGCTACTTCACTCCAGCCTGGGTGACAGAGACTCTGTCTCAAGAAAAAAAAAAAAAAAAGGCCAGGCGCAGTGGCTCAGGCCAGGCATAGTTGCTCACACCTCTAATCCCAGCACTTTGGGAGGCCAAGGCAGGCAGATCATGAGGTCAGGAGTTTGAGACAAGCCTGGCCAACATAATGAAACCCCATCTCTACTAAAAATACAAAAAATTAGCTGGGCATGGTGGTGAGCACCTGTAATCCCAGCTACTTGGGAGGCTGAGGCAGGAGAATCGCTTGAACCTGGGAGGCAGAGGTTGCAGTGAGCCAAGATCGTGCCATTGCACTCCAGCTTGGGCAACAGTGCAAGACTCCAACTCAAAAAAAAAAAAAAAAACTTACAGCTAACATTACATTTTGTGGCGAAATACTCATTGCTTTCTGCCTAAGATTGGAAACAAGGCAAGAACATCTTTTCTCTTAACTCTTAATCAACATAGTGCTTGAAGTGCTAGCCAACACAATAAGGCAAGAAAAAGAAACAAAAGGCATATAGATTGGAAAGGAAGAAATAAAATATCCTTATTTATAGATGACATGATGATTTGCAGATGACATGAAAAATCCCAAGGAATCTAAAACAAAACAAAAACCCTACTACTAAGTGAGTTCAGCAAGGTTGCAAGGTATAAGAATAACATGCACAGGCCGGGCGCAGTGGCTCATCCCTGTAATCCCAGCACTTCGGGAGGCCAAGGCGGGCAGATCATGAGGTCAGGAGATCGAGACCATCCTGGCTAACACGGTGAAACCCTGCCCCTACTAAAAATACAAAAAATTAGCTGGGTGTGGTGGTGGGCACCTGTAGTCCCAGCTACTCGGGAGGCTGAGGCAGGAGAATGGCATGAACCTGGGAGGTGGAGCTTGCAGTGAGCGGAGATCGCACCACTGCACTCCAGCCTGGGCGACAGAGCGACACTCCATCTCAAAAAAAAAAAAGAATAACATGCACAAATCAATTGTGTTTCTATATACTAGCAATGAAATTATGGACACTGAAATTTAAAATACAACACCATTTAGGAGATATAAATAAAAGACACTGTTCATACATTGAAACACTCAATATAGAAAATATATCAGTTCTCCCCAAATTGATGTACAGATTTAAGGCAACTCCTATCAAAATTCCAGCAAGAATTTCTATAGCTATAAACAGAATTATTCTAACGCTTATATGGAAAGGCAAAGGAATTAAAACAGCTACAATTTTCAAAATGAAGAATAAAATGGGAGGAATCATTCTGATTTCAAAACTTATTATATAGCTACAGTAATCAAGCCTATGTAGTTTTGGTGGAGGGATAGACATAGAGATTGATAGAATAAAAAGAACCCAGAATAGCCCCCACAAAACTATAGGCAACTGATTTTTTATAATGGTGTAAAAGCAATTCAACAAAGGAGGAAAAATTCCTTTCAACGAATTATTCTAGCATAATTGGATATCTTCAGGCCAAACAAACAAAACAAACCTCAAACTCAAAATGGGTTGCATATTTAAAAGTAAAGGCCAGGTGCAGTGGCTCATGCCTGTAATCCCAGCACTTTGGGAGGCCGAGGCAGGCAGATCACCTGAGGTCAGGAGTTCGAGACCAGCCTGGCCAACATGGCGAAACCCCATCTCTAATAAAAATACAAAAATTAGCCAGGCATGGTGGTGGGCGCCTGTAATCCCAGCTACTCAGGAGGCTGAGGCTGGAGAATTGCTTGAACCTGGGAGGTGGAGGTTGCAGTGAGCCGAGATCGCGCCATCGCACTTCAGCCTGGGCGACAAAAGCGCAACTCTGTCTCAAAATAAATAAATACATAAAATTAAAGAAAAAAAGTAAAGCATAAGGCCTGGTGCAGTGGCTCATGCCTGTAATCCCAACATTTTAGGAGCCCAAGGCCGGAGGATCACTTGAGCACAGGAGTTCGAGGCTGCAGGCTGCAGTAAGCTATGATTGTGCCACTGCATTCCAGCCTAGGCAACCAAGTGAGACCCTGTCTCTAAAAGTGAACAAACAAATAAATGTAAAGCATAAAGCTATAATTTTTAGAAGATAACATTGGAAAAAATCCTCAGGACCTAAGGTTCAGTGAAAGGTTTTTAAGACATAACCCCAAAAGTACCATTCATAAATGGAAAAATTGATGTTAGACTTCATCAAAATTTAAAATTCATGTTCTCTGAAAGACCTTGGTAAGAGGATAAAAAGACAAGCTACAGACTGGGTGAAAATATTTATAAACTACATATTCAGCTAAGGGCTAGCATCTAGAATATATAAAGAACCCTCAAAATTCAACAGTTAAAAAAAGTTAGAAAATGGGCAAAAAACATAAAGAGACATTTCACTAAAGAAGATAGATGACAGATAAGCACATAAAAAGATATTCAACAATGCATCTCAGAATGTTCCTCCAAATTTGAAAAAAAAAAAAAAAAAAAGATATTCAACATCATTAGCCATTAGGGAAATGCAAATTAAGATCATGATCAGCTGGGTGCAGTGGCTCATGCCTGTAATCCCAGCACTTTGGGAGGCCGAGGCAGGTGGATCATCTGAGGTTAGGAGTTTGAGACCAGCCTGACCAACATGGAGAAACCCTGTCTCTACTAAAAATACAAAATTAGCCGGGTGTGGTGGTGCCCACCTGTAATCCCAGCTACTCGGGAGGCTGAGGCAGGAGAATCACTTGAACCCAGGAGGTGGAGGTTGCTGTGAGCTGAGACTGCACCATTGCACTCCAACCTGGGCAACAAGAGTGAAACTCCGTCTCCAAAAAAAAAAAAAAAAAAAAAAAACCATGATCATATATCACTACCCACTTAGGAGTGAAATGGGAAAAGTTCCCTTGTCCCCCTCGCAGGGCGTGCGATGGGGGTGTTGTTCGCTTCTTCAGTGCCCTGCTGCTCAAACCTCTGGGGGAGTATTCAGACGGGCAGGCTGTGGGGTTCTGACCCCACGGCAGTGATCTAGGGGTGAATTTACAGCTGAAGCCCCAGTGGGCATGTGTTACAGGGTACTCTTAGTTTAGTAGTCTGTAGGTGGCTTCTGTTAGTCAGCTCAATTATACTTGTGCCTTATCTCCAGGTCAGAGAGCTTTCTGTAATCCCAGGATTCTTGCCTGATGTACAGGAAGAATTGGATGGATAACACGTGGGCTTGGAGAATGAGTGCAAGGTTTTATTGAGTGGAAGTAGCTCTCAGCAGATGGGGTAGCCAGAAGGCGGATGGTTTTCCCCTGGAGTCAGGCCACTCGGCAGCCCGGGATCTCCTCTGACTGCCCCAGCCAAACTCCGCGTCCTCCGGCTGGTCAGTGGCCTGCTGGCGTGCTGGCGTCTGTCCTGTCATCTTCTGTCGATGTGTTCCTCTCGACATCCTGCTGCTTGTGTGTCTGCAGGCTAGGGTCTCGGGGTTTTTATAGGCACAGGATGGGGGCGTGGCAAGTCAGGGTGGTATTGGAAAATGCAACATTTGGGCAGGAAAACAAAAATGTCCGTCCTCACCTAGTTCCGTGGGCACAGGCCTGGGGGTGGAGCCCTAGCCAGGCACTATGCCCTCCTCTACCCAGCACTTCCCTTCCACCCTTCCGTATCACGAGCACAGGTAAAATAAAAAATCATGACAACACCAAATGCTGAATCTGAATCATTTATGCATTGCTACGGTGAATGTAAAATGGGAGAGGCATTCTAGAAAACATTCTTTAAATGTTTAATATTTAAAGAATTTTCTTTAAAAATTCACCTGTAATCTCAGCATTTTGGGAGGCCAAGGTGTGTGGATCACAAGGTCAGGAGTTCGAGACCAGCCTGGCCAACATGGTGAAACCCCATCTCTACTAAAAATACAAAAATTAGCTGGGTGTGGTGGCAGACACCTGTAATCCCAGCTACTCAGGAGGCTGAGGCGGGAGAATCATTTGAACCTGGGAAACGGAGGTTGCAGTGAGCCAAGATCGCACCATTGCACTCCAGCCTGGACGACAGGGCAAGACTCCATCTCAAAATAAATAAATTAATGAATTAAATTAAATTAAATTAAAAAATAAAATATGCCACTATCATATGTTCCAACAACTGTGCCTTTGGACATTTATCCTAGAAAACTGAAAACTCTGTTCACAAAACCCCATACTTATATTCATAAAAACATATACACAAGTGTTTGGAGTAGTGTTATTCCTAATAGCCAAAAACTGAAACAACTCAGATAACCTTCAATGAGTGAATGGTTAAACAAGCAGTGCTATATCCATTTTATGGAATGAATACTGGGCAATAAAAAGGAATAAACTATTGACACATGCAACAACCTAGATGAATCCCCGGAGAATTATGCTGAGTGAAGAAAATCAATCCCACAAGGGTATATACCGGATTATTCCATTTATATAATATTCTTCAAATGACAAAATTATAGAAATGGAGAACAGGTTAGTGGTTGCCAGAGGTAAAGGAGGGTGGGACAGAAGATGGTATAGCTATAAAAAGGCATCATAAGGGATCCATATGGTTTGAAAATGTTTTGTACCCTGACTATATCAACGTGGATATCCTAGTTGTGATACAGTACTAATGTTTTGCAAGATGTCACCATTGGGGATCGCTGGTTTAAAGGGTACATAAGACCTCTAGGCATTATTTCTAACAACTGCATGTAAATCTACAATTATCGCAAAATTAAAAGTTTAATTTTTTAAAAAAATGTTTCCAATAAATAAACAAATGGATGGATGGGAGTTCTAATATTTTCTTCCCATGCCATAATGGATCATCTTAGGCACACCCAGATTTAGGGATCACTGACGTATGCTACTTTTACCTACCCAGTCTTAGAGCCCCTTTGGTTATTCTCTACATTCTCTTAAAGTTGTCTTTCTTAAATGCAAATCTGATCATGTTACTTCTCAAAATCAGTAGTCTGACATATAAGGGCCTCCATGATCTGGCTTTAGACCTTTACTCAAATACGTACCTGTACACCAAACTACTTGCAGTTTTCTTTATTCCTTTTCTTTTTTTTTTTTTTTTTTTTGTTTGTTTGTTTGTTTGAGACAGAGTCTCGCTCTGTTGCCCAGGCTAGAGTGTGGAGTGCAGTGGCACAATCTTGGCTCACTGCAATCTCCGCCCCCTAGGTTCAAGTGATTCTGGTGCCTCAGCCCCCTGAGTAGCTGGGATTATAGGGGTGAGCCACCACCCCCAGCTAATTTTTGTATTTTTGGTGGAGAGAGGGTTTCACCATATTGGCCAGGCTGGTCTCGAACTCCTGGCCTCGTGTGATCTACCCACATCAGCCTCCCAAAGTGCTGGGATTACAGGCAGGAGCGCCAGGCATACTTGCAATTTCAATTATGCAAAACCCTGTCTTGAGTGTGAGATACCTGAGGACAGGCACAATGACTTGTCTTTGCTTGCTGATAGTATCTCTAATTCAATGATCTCTAAGGCTTAATGTGTTCCCGAGCACATATTAGGAGTGCAGTAAACCTTGACTTAAAGAAGCCTACTATAAGTGTGTATTTCATTTGCTTTTAATCCTAAGAGCCCAGAGGTATTGATTCTGTGTTACCTCAGAACACTGACCTGCAATCACTCCTGCCAGGTACACCAGCCCCACACGGAGGCCTTTGTGGACCATTTCCAAGGGAATACCCAAAACAAGCTGCATACAAAGATTCCCCAAGATGTGCTGAACTCTGCAAAGACAAACAATAGTTGTCAAATATTATGACTAAACCAAGCAGTTATTTCCCTGGGAGATGAACAGACTTTCATGTGTTTTCTCTAGTTAAGGATTTGCTTAACTAGAATTCCATTTTCTAATTTTTCTTCGCAGACAACTCTTTTTTTCTTTTTCTTTTTTCTGTGTGTGTGTGTGTGTGTGTGTGTGTGTGTGTGTGTGTGTGTGCGCGCGCGCGCGCGTGTGTGACTTGCTGTGTCTCCCAGCCAGGGGTGCAGTGGTGCAATCTCTGCTCACCAGAACCTCTGCCTCAAGGGTTCAAGTAATTCTCATGCCTCAGCCTCCCAAGTAGCTGGGACTACAGGCATGTGCCACCACTCCTGGCTAATTTTTTTTTCTTTTTTTTTGGACGAAGTCTCCCTCTGTCGCCCAGGCTGGAGTGCAATGGCATGATCTTGGCTCACTGCAATCTCTGCCTCCTGGGTTCAAGCGATTCTCCCGCTTCAGCCTCCCTAGTAGCTGAGATTACAGGTGCCTGCAACCACGCCCAGCTAATTTTTTTTTTTTTGGTAGACGGAGTTTTGCTCTTGTTGCCCAGGCTGCAGTACAATGGCATGATCTCGGCTCACTGCAACCTCCACCTTCTGAGTTCAAGCGATTCTCCTGCCTCAGCCTGCTGAGTAGCTGTGATTACAAGCATGCGCCACCATGCCCAGCTAATTTTGTATTTTTAGTAGAGACAGGGTTTCTTCATGTTGGTCAGGCTGGCCTCAAACTCCTGACCTCAGGTGATCTACCTGCCTCAGCCTCCCAAAGACTGGGATTACAGTAGTGAGCCACCATGCCCGGCCTAATTTTTGTATTTTTAGTAGAGATGGGGTTTCACCATGTTGGTCAGGCTGGTCTCGAACTCCTGACCTCATTGATCCACCCGCCTTGGCCTCCCAAAGTGCTGGGATTACACGCATGAGCCACCGCGCCTGGCCCGTTTTTTTTTTTTCTTGAGACAGGGTTTCACTCCCTTCACCCAAGCTAGAGTGCAGTGTCTCGATTTCGACTCACTACATTTCCATCTCCTGGGCCTGAGGATTCCTTAATCGTCCCACCTCAGCCTCCCCAGCAGCTGGGACTACAGGCACACACCCTGTGCAGATCTAATTTTTTATTTTATTTTATTTTTTTGTAGAGATGGGGTTTTCACCGTGTCACCCAGGCTGGTCTCAAACTCCTGGGTTCAAGCAATCCATCCACCTCAGCCCCTCAAAGGGCTGGGATTACAGGTGTGAGCCACTGCTCCTGGCCACAGATTCTTTTTAAGTGCCTTACTATGTGTTAGGCACAGTGAAAATTATAGCCATTATCTCATTTAATCACAACAACTTTATGAGGTAGGTACTATTCATATTACTCCATTTTACACCTGAGGAAACTAAAGGACAAGGAAGCTAAGTAACTACCATATACCATATATATATATATATATATATATATATGTGTGTGTGTGTGTGTGTGTGTGTGTGTGTGTGTGTGTATTTACATATACACGTGTGTGTGTGTGTGTGTGTATTTTTTTTTTTTTCTTGAGACAGAGTCTCACTCTGTCACCCAGGCTGGAGTGCGGTGGCGCGATCTCGGCTCACTGCAACCTCCACCTCCTGGGTTCAAACGATTCTCCTGCCTCAGCTTCCCAAGTAGCTGCGGTTACAGGCACCTGCCACCACGCCCAGCTAATTTTTGTATTTTTACTAGAGACGGGGTTTCACCATGTTGGCCAGGCTGGTCTCAAACTCCTGACCTCAGGTGACCACCTCAGCTTCCCAAACTGCTGGGATTACAAGGCATGAGCCACTGCACCCAGCCTACTATATACTATAATACTGTACTGCCTTACATTGCTATTTAACTGACATGTTCCTTCTTATCATCTTAAAGTCCTTGTGTGCGGGAGCCATGTTTGCTCAGAACATACTTGTTAAATGGAAACTGAGCAGTTGGTGATTTTGCCCCTGATTTGTCAAGCCTCTGAGCCATGTGTCCTGATGCCTATTTAGCCACTAAGCAAAAGTGTCATCCTTTCTATTTTATTTTTTATTTATTTTTAACTTTTTTTTTTTTTTGTAGAGCACTCTCTATGTTGCCCAGGCTGGTCTCAGACTCCTGGACTCAAAGCGATCCTCCTTCGTCAGCCTCCCAAGTAGCTGGGACTGCAGGTACACATCACCACACCCCAGCTACAAGTCGTTTTCAAGTCCAGAGTTGGGTAGACTGCACAGAAAAGGTTGGCCCCACCTGAGACCACAAGAGTCCACCGGATAGGTGGGGCCAACAGGAAGCTGCTCGCTGTCTGCAGTGGGCATGGTGGATCATGGATGCTGAGTGAGTTCATGAAAGGCCATCGGCATTTAAGAAACTATAGGCGGCCGGGCACAGTGGCTCACGCCTGTAATCCCAGCACTTTGGGAGGCCAAGGCAGGCGGATCACAAGGTCAGGAGATTGAGACCATCCTGGCCAACATGGTGAAACCCCGTCTCTACTAAAAATACAAAAATTAGCTGGGCGTGGTGGCACGTGCCTGTAATCCCAGCTACTCGGGAAGCTGAGGCAGGAGAATGGCTTAAACCAGGGAGCCAGAGGTTGCAGTGAGCCGAGATCGCACCACCGCACTCCAGCCTGGCGATAGAGCTAGACTCTATCTCAAAAAAAAAAAAGAAAGAAAGAAACTGTAGGCAAAACTAAATGGCGGGCACTGCATCTCCTATTACCAGTATTATTCCAGATGGATAACAGTATCCCACACTCATCAATATGTTCATGAACTAAATTTATTTTATTTTATTTTTGAGACAGAGTTTCACTCTGTCACCTACTCTAGAATGCAGTGGCGCGATCTCGGCACACTGCAACCTCCGCCTCCTGGGTTCAAGCAATTTTATTGTCTCAGCCTCCTGAGTAGCTGAGATTACAAGCGCATGCCACCACGCCCAGCTAGTTTTTGTATTTTTAGTAGAGACGGGGTTTTACCATATTGGTCAGGCTGGTCTTGAACTCCTGACCTCAGGTGATCTATCCACCTCAGCCTCCCAAAGTGCTGGGATTACAGGTGTGAGGCACTGTGCCCGGCCATGAACTAAATTTTGTTTGATGTATGATGGTGGAGGAGGAGACTGGTTATTCAGCACCACCATTTTCATAGCCTAAAGAGTATATTTAACAACATTAGACAACTAGGGGAACATGCTTTTGGTTTTGCAATGATTTGATCTCTTCTCATTAATATTCCTAAATACTAATATTGGGCAGTTATAATGCAATATAAAGTATACTGGCCTTAAGGGCACAGTGGCTCACACCTGTAATCCCAGCACTTTGGGAGGCCAAGGCGGATGGATCACCTGAGGTCAGAGTTCAAGACTAGCCTAGCCAACATGGTGAAACCCCGTCTCTACTAAAAGTATAAAAATTAGCCCGGCCTGGTGGCAGGTGCCTGTAATCCCAGCTACTCAGGAGGCTGAGGCAGGAGAATCGCTCCAACCCAGGAGGCGGAGGTTGCAGTGAGCCGAGATCACACCACTGCACTCTAGCCTGGTGACAAGAGCGAGACTCCATCTCAAAAAAAAAAAAAAGTAAGAAAGGATGCTGGCCTTAGAGTTAGCACTAGTGGGCTGAGGTCCTAGCTCTGCAACTTAGCTGTGTGACTTGGAACAAGTGACTACATCTTTTTTTTTTTTTTGAGATGGAGTCTCACTCTTGTCCCCCAGCCTGGAGTGCAATGGCACGATCTCGGCTTACTGCAACCTCCGCCTCCCAGGTTCAAGCAATTCTCCTGCCTCAGCCTCCCGGGACTACAGGTATGCATCACCATGCCTGTCTAATTTTTTTATTTTTAGTAGAGATGGGGTTTCACTATATCAGCCAGGCTGGTCTCGAATTCCTGACCTCAAGTGATCTGCCCACCTCAGCCTCCATGACTACATCTCCTATGCCTCAGACATAAAACAGTGGGAGCAATACCTACCCCTTAGGGTTGCTGTGAAGATTATGGACATGAAAGTGCCTTATCAATAATAAAGCACTCAACAAATGTTAGAGGTTACAATGATATAATCACCTCTGATACCAGGGGCTTAACTATCATTGCTTACCCAGCATGTACCAGCATGTATGAGATAAACCTCCAGGCTTCCTCCCTCTTCTCAGGACTGTAGATAAAGGGACTCTCCAAGATGCCTGTGTCCAACGTGATCCACTGTTTCTGAGGCTTCCACACAGCATAGTAAATAAACACTGCCAGCTGATGGAGGGAGCAGACATGAGTATTAACCACACCTTCTCCAGAGAGGGGCCCCATCCAAGCCCGTGGGCAGTAACTGTTTCAGATGATTCAGCTCTCAAGTGGGCCACACCATAGTGCCAGAAGGTGACATGAAATACACTTCTTCACCATCCCCTCTGTGATGGTTTCCACCGTACCCCACTTCCTCTGATGGTTGGGAGCAGTGCTAGCTCACATTGTAAGGAAGACTTTCTGAACCCCTTTTGCCCTGCTCTTGGACACCCTGCTCTCTGGCACTACGTTCTCTACTACCCTCTCCCTCTTAAATACCCACTGCCCTCATCGTCGCACCAACTGATCTTTCATTTACAACTTGCTATGAAAGTAGGTCAATGCTGGCTTCCGAATAATAGAGCAGGGAAAGGGAAAAATAGTCACTTGCCAGGGGAGAGACCTGGCAAACCCTGCCTTAACCAAGGGATGGAGGTGAATGTCCCAGTGATGCCACATGATGTCCTCAACCTTCTGAGGCTATGTGATGGGAAGGGCCCTTCACCTCCGTGGTATTCTTCTCCCAAACTCATAACTCCAGTTAAATCACGAGAAAAGCATCAGTCAAACCCCAGCTGGGGGACATTCTACAGGATCCCTAGCCAGTCCCCCTCAAGACTATCAGAGTCATGAAAAACAAAGACTGAGAAGTTGCCATAGATCAGAGGAGCCTGGGTAGACATGGCAGCTAAATGGAGTGGGTACCAGAGGAACAGAAAGAGGACATTAATGGAGAAACTGGTAAAAATCCAGGTAAATCTGGAGTTTAGTTAGGAATATGCCAATGTCAGTTTCTTAGTTTTGACAAATGTACTATGGGGCCAGACGCAGTGGCTCATGCCTATAGTCCCAGCCCTTTGGCGGGAGGCTGAGGCAGGTGGATCACCTGAGGTCAGGAGTTCAAGACCAGACTGGCCAACATGGCGAAACCACATCTCTACTAAAAATACAAAAAAAACAAACAAACAAAAAAAAAAACTAGCCAGGCGTGGTGGTGCACACCTGTAATCCCAGCTACTTGGGAGGCTGAGTCAGGAGAATCACTTGACCCTGGACAGCGGAGGTTGCAGTGAGCTGAGATCACACTACTGGCACTCCAGCCTGGGCGACAGAGCGACTCCATCTCAAAAAAAAAAAAAAATACTATGGAAATGTAATGTACTATATACAGAGATTATCCTGGGTTTGAAAAAAAAGAAAAAAATACAATGTACTATGGAAATGTAGGATATAAACAATGGGAGAAACTGGGTGAGAGGCATACAGGAACTTTCTTTTTTTTTTTTTTTTTTGAGATGGAGTCTTGCTCTGTAGCCCAGGCTGGAGTGCAGTGGCGTGATCTCAGCTCACTGCAAGTTCTGCCTCCTGGGTTCACGCTACTCTCCTGCCTCAGCCTCCCAAGTAGCTGGGACTACAGGTGCCCGCCACCATGCCCGGCTAATTTTTTGTATTTTTAGTAGAGACAGGGTTTCACCGTGTTAGCCAGGATGGTCTCAATCTCCTGACCTTGTGATCCGCCCACCTCAGCCTCCCAAAGTGCTGGGATTACAGGCGTGCACCACTGCGCCCGGCCTACAGGAACTTTCTGTTCTATCTTTACAATATCTCTATAGAGGTAAAATTATTCCAAAATTAAAATTTTTAATTTAAAAATTGGTCTTTCTGTGAGAGGCAGGTATCTCAGCATCTGCTCCATGAGCCTCCTATGGCAAACTGCCCTCCTCCATAGCACTCATTGCCTAGGCAATTGAGGTTTGTACCACGATACCTTATCTCATTGTTCCCCATTCACCTGGACAAGACACACACACAGCTGATTGAAACACAAGACAACCCATAGGCCAGAAGGATAACAGGAAGGAGAAGCAGAAAAAACAGATACAGATGTCTCAGATCCGGACGACTTCCCAGTTGCAAGCAGTCTCACAGTGAAATCCTGTGAAAAAAATTAGAACTGTGCCCCTTCACCCTAAACAGACTTGACCACAGCATCTCCCAGGATGCTTACACCTTAGCCTTACCTTTGTCTGAGCCATAAGAGGCTTGGTCCCTGCAACAGTTAATTTTATGTGTCAACTTAGCTAGGCTATGCTACCCAGACATTTGCTTAAACATTATCCTAGGTGTTTTTGTGAGGGTATGGTTTATACTAATATTTAAATCAGTAGTCTTTGAGTAAAGCCGATTTCCCACCATACTGTGGGTGAGCCTTGTCTAATCAGTTGAAGGCCTTGCTAGAGAAAAGATTGTCCTCTGTTAGGAAAAGGGAATTCTGCCAGCAGAACTCTACCTTTGGACTTGAATGGCAAGTCTTCCCTGGGCCTCCAGCCTGCCAGCCTTCCCTGAAGATTTTGGACTTGCCAAGTCTCCATAATCATTTGAGCTAATTCCTTAAAATAAATATTAATCTCTCTTCCCCCAGGGAACACACACCTATTGATTCTGTTTTTCTGAAGAACTCTTGACTAATACAGTTTGTGATAAGGAAGCTGAGGCATCAGTGCATCAGTGGGAACTAAAAGGGTTACATTAGGAACTTCCTAATGCCCCTGAAGTCACACTCCACAGGCAGCCATGGTTGGCCAGTTCCTTTATAGGACATCAAGTGTGGGGGAAAAAACTAGGTGCCACGAGGTACAGGGGAGCCTCATCCTGGCCCAGTGACTATGATGTGACCTTGGGATAGTCATCCCACCTCTCTGAGCCTTGCAGTCTTTTCTGGAAAACAAGAGGACTGACTAGATCAGAGCCTGAAAACACACCACGTGCTGCCTGAAGTAGACATTGTTAAAGGATCCCGTTTTTTTCCTACTGAAATTCAGAAGAATTCTATAACACTTCTAAACCTGGGGTCCCAGAAATGCCTTACCAACCAGCCTAAATCGGTTCATGAGAGAAAGCCCTTGTGCAACCCCAGAATGATTTGCTTCCTAAAGACCTCACAACTAAAATGAAAGGAAGCCACTGAAATTGCAGCCACAGCTGGGCAGATTTGTCTGACAAATGAAACTCCACCCTGGGTTGGCAGTGACCGTGAGTATAGGGAAAGCCTCAAAGGCAGCTGTGGGGAGAGCAGAGGCAGAGGTGAGGTGTGTGCTGTCCCCATCCCCACGAAGCTCTCTCCCATGTTCCCAGTCTCTTCTCTAGATCTAGATCTGACCCCTAGTTTGTTCCCAGCTTCCCCATGCCACTTACCCCGGTGCCCACCCCGCTCCCCATTCACCTCGGCCAGGCTGATGGAGATGATGAACACGGGAGGCGGGAAGCAGTTAGCTCTCTCCAAGTATGTTCCTCGGGACTTTTCGGGCAGCATCCATTTTGAGACAATCCTGTGGACCTTTTTACTCTTGGCCCGATCTTTACCTCCCCCATCCTCTCTCATTTTCTCCTCTTCCTCCAGCTCTTCTTTCATCTCTCTCCCCATATTCAGATTCATGCTCTCCATCTCCAGATCATGAACAGCAGCCATTGTCCTGGGTCCTCCCTCCTCCCCAGAAGGACATGAATCCCAGGGAACAGCAGGTGGCCCTAGGTCCTCAGGCTGCCGCTCTTCCCTGGGCTGTCTGGCGCAACGACTGCTTTCCAAGGCCTTTCCTGTATGTGAAGAGAAGACAGCTGAAGATGATCAAAATGATCTAAACCTCCTAAATGGCCCAAAATAAAGTTTTCTATGTAATTGTTTTAAAAAGAGCCAGATGACTGAGATTAAAATGCAGCTCTACCATGTATCAGCTGTAAGTTAACATCAGATAAATCACTTAATTAAATTCTCCAAGCCTCAAATTACATATTTCTTAAATTGTGGTGAAATACACATAACATAAAATTTACCATTTTCGCCATTTAATATATAATATATATTTTTTCTTTTTTTTTTTATGAGGTGGAGTCATCTTGCTCTTCTGCCCAGGCTGGAGTGCAATGGCGAGATCTCAGCTCACTGCAACCTCTGCCTCCTGGGTTCAAGCAATTCTTCTGCTTCACCCTCCCTGGCTAATTTTTGTATTTTTAGTAGAGACAGGGTTTCACCATGTTGGCCAGGCTGGTCTCGAACTCCTGACCTCAAGTGATTCACCCGCCTAGGCCTCCCAAAGTGCTGGGATTACAGGCGTGAGCCACCGAAGCCGGCCCTGTTTTTAACCATTTAGAGTGTACAATTCAGTGACATTGAGTACATTTGCAATGTTGTGCAGCCATCACCACTAGTTCCAAAACTTTTTCATCACAAACAAAAACCCCATACCCATACCTGTTAAGCAGTTAATTCCTATTCTCCTCTTACCACAGTCCCTGGCAACGACTAATCTGCTTTCTGTGTCTATAGATTGACCTATACTGGATATTTCACATAAATGAAATCATACAATACATATGTACCATCCAGTATGTGGCCTTTTGTGGTTGGCTTCCTTCACATGTTTTCTTTTTTTTTTTTTTTTTTTGAGATGTAGTCTCGCTCTGTCACCCAGGCTGGAGTCCAGTGGTGCGATCTCGGCTCACTGGAACCTCTGCCTCCCAGGTTCAAGCGATTCTCCTGCCTCAGCCTACCAAGTAGCTGGGATTATGGGCACCCGGCACCACACCCAGAAAATTTTTGTATTTTTAGTAGAGACAGGGTTTCACCATGTTGGCCAGGCTAGTCTCGAACTCCCAACCTCAAGTGATCCACCTGCCTCGGCCTCCCAAAGTGTTGGGATTACAGGCATGAGCCATTACACCTGGCCTAGAATTTCCTTTTTTTAATGGCTGAATGCTATTGCATTGTATAGACACGCCACATTTTGTTTATCCACTCGTCTGTTTATGGACATTTGGGTTGTTTCCACCTTTTCGCTATTGTGAACATCCCTGTACAAGTTTTCTCTTTTTTTTTTTTTTTTTGAGACAGAGTCTCGCTCTGTCGCCCAGGCTGGAGAGCAGTGGTGTGATCTCGGCTCACTGCAACCTCCGCCTCCCGGGTTCACACCATTTTCCTGCCTCAACCTCCTGAGTAGCTGGGACTACAGGTGCCCACCACCACACCTGGCTAATTTTTTTTTTTTTTTGTATTTTTAGTAGAGACAGGGTTTCACCATGTTAGCCAGGATGGTCTCGATCTCCTGACCTCGTGATCCGCCCGCCTCGGCCTCCCAAAGTGCTGGGATTACAGGCATGAGCCACCGCACCTGGCACAAGTTTTCTTTAAACATCAGTTTCCAGTTTGAGGGGGAGCATATACCTATGAGTGGAATTGCTGGGTCATATGGTAATTAATTCTATGTTTAACTTGTTGGGAAACCCTCAGATTCCATTTTAAACTGAGGATAATGATAGCACTTGCTTCATAACATTGCCGGGAAGCTTACTTGAGATAATGCATGTAAAGCACTTAAAACAGTATCTGGGCCGGGCGTGGTGGCTCACGCCTGTAATCCCATCACTTGAGGTCAGGAGTTTCAGAACAGACTGGCCAACCTGGTGAAACGCCATCTCTACTAAAAATACAAAAATTAGCTGGGCATAGTGGCACGTGCCTGTACTTCCAGCTGAAGGAAGGCTGAAGCAGGAGAATCGCTTGAACCTGGGAGGCAGAGGTTACAGTGAGCCAAATTCACACCACTGCACTCCAGACTGGGTGATGGAGCAAGACTGTGTCTCGAAGAAAAAGAAAAGAACTGTATCTGGCACGTAGTAAACACCCTATAATTATTAGTTGTTATTGGCTGTGGATGGATGAATGAGTTTTAGATGGATGGATGGATAGATGGAAGGCATGGAGCTGAGCCTGGCGCCTGTTTTCACACTGCATGTTACTGGGAATCAGATCAAATTCAACTGATTTTCAAATGAAACTCATTAGGCAAGTTTTCACATTAGAATAGGTTATATTCAATAAATTGAGGAAGAGACATCTTATTTTTCTTTTCCCCAGCAAATTTTCTGAAAATAAAGGCTTTTTCTCTCCCCTGCATTTTTCACCCACCCACTCACCCGCCTCCCAGAGTCAGACATTCAGTCCATAGATATAACTCTTTTATTAATTTCCCTTGAAGACTGATGATTTTTTTCTACTTTTTGCCACGTCTCATAATTGACAAAACTACAATGTGGATTTAAGATCAGCAGCTTTTAACCACAAATATTAAAGCATTTTAAAAATAAGTTCAATTAGGGACAGTTCACATTGTATAAATCAGCCTTTTTGTATCTAAATATCATACATAATCATTTTATGAGGAAATAAAATGTCACATTGTTAACAATACAACTGTATAAAAGGAGCTACAAAAATAAGGATTACATTTGCCCTTATCTTGGGATTTCAACAGTTCCAGAAATTTTACAACTTCAAGACCACCATTTTAAATATGTTAGTGCCTAAATATATTTCCTGTGCTGCAAAGATAGTTGACCCAACCGGTTTAGCCAAAACTCACTGCATGTCTGCTTTCTGCCTTGCCTTGTAAAGTAGACATGTAGTTCTAGCTACTTCAGGCTCTAGCACCAAATGAGCACATTACTAGCAATTAGAAACATTTGGGGTTTTTTTATTTAATTTTTTTGAGACAAGATCTCTCCCTGTCACCCAGGCTGGAGTACAGTGGCAGGATCACGGCTCATTGCAGCCTCTACCTCCCAGGCTCAAGTGAGCCTCCCACCTCAGCCTCCCAAGTAGCTGGGACTGCAAGCACACACACCACCATACCCAGCTATTTTTTTTTTCTTTGTTGAGATGGGGTCTTCTTGTGTTACCCAGGCTGGTCTCAAACTCCTGGGCTCAAGCGATCCTCCCGCCTCAGCCTCCCAAAGTGCTGGGATTACAAGTGTGAGCCACTGCATTTTGGTTTTACCTCTCTTCTCAATTACTATCATCCTCCAACTTCCATACCTCTCCACCCTGTTTCCTGAGAACAGGGGCCTCTCTCTGATTTATCTTATCTCCAATACCTGGTGCTATAATGCTCACAGGTGCTCCTTCCAGTCTCTAACATTTCCTCATCTCTCCCGCTCACGTTTATCTTCTGCCCCACTCCTGAATTTCTGAGGAAATATTACCTATTAGATTGGTAACAATGAAAAAGACTTAGGCCGGGCACAGTGGCTCATGCCTGTAATACCAGCACTTTGGGAGGCCGAGGTCGGTGGATCACCTGAGGTCAGGAGCTCAAGACCAGCCTGGCCAATATGGTGAAACCCATCTCCGTTAAAAATACAAAAATTAGCTGGGCATGGTAGCAAGACCTGTAATCCCAGCTACTCATGAGGCTGAGGCAGGAGAATCACTTGAAACCAGGAGGCAGAGGTTTCAGTGAGCTGATATCGTGTCATTGCACTCAACCCTGGGCGACAAGAGTGAAACTCCATCTCAAAAAAAAGAAAAAAAAAAGGCTGAGAATATCCCATATTTATGAGGTGTGTGGCAATGGGTGCAATGTATGAGGTATAAATTAATGCAGCCTTTTGGAAAGCAATTGGCCAATGTGTATAAACTATTAAAAGCATATACCTTTCAACAGAAACATCCAACCTCTAGAAATCCACCCTTCAAAGGTATTTGAGCACATACACAATGGTATATTACAAGGATATTCATGCAGAACTATTCATAGCCATGAAGAATTATAAACAACCTAGATGGACTTCAGCGGGGTTGCTGTATTTTCTAACAGTTCTAATTCATGGGTAGTTCTTCCTTACACTGCTGGAATCTATTCACCAGCTCCTGGGTCCAAGGTTTCCCTCCCTGGAGCCTCACAAAGCAAATCTAATCGAAGGTCATGTTGTCATTAATTTTGTCCTTCCTTGGGCATGGCCTGTATATAAACTCCATGGGCTCTATAGGTCAAACTTGGGATACAGCGTTCAGAAACACACGTCAGATTACCAGAATTTTTGGAAGCCCAATTGAATGGAGCAGGAGTCTCAAAACAAAATAATGATTACAACACATTCTAGTCTCAAAGAAATATTCAAGCATCAACATCTGTCCATTCATTTACTTGGCACTCGAGCACTCACTTATTGGGTGTCATTCACTGGGTGGAGATTTACTGCACTGACTCTGCTTTCTTACTCACTAAGCAAACCTCCTACCTCTTATCTGCAGCAAGTTGCTGCCCACTCTTTTTTGAAAGGCCTCGCATACACAGATCAAAACTGGGTGGCACTGCTGCGAGAAGTTCTCATCCTACAGGTAGGGAACAACTGAGTAGATTGTTAGAATGTCTCTAGCCTTCTGGTTAAAAATGGAAATGTTCCTTATGCACACCAAGAACCAAAACCCTTTCATGGGTTCTAAGGATTGGGGAGGGAGAGAAAAGAACCAAAACCCTTTCCTTCATGGTTGGCAGGTATTCTTTTTTCAAAAAAAAAAAGTTTTTAAACTTTATTATTATTATTATTTTGAAATGGTGGCCTCCCCATGTTGTCCAGGCTAGTCTCAAACCCTTGAATTCAAGGGATCCTCCCTGCTTGACCTGTCAAAGCATTGAGATTACAGGTGTGAGAGAGCCTGTAATCCACAAGTATTCTCAAGAGGAAACATAGAAAGATCCCACCTGGCCACAAGTACTCTTAAAAGGAAACACAGGGCTGGGCACAGTGGCTCACGCCTGTAATCCCAGCATTTTGGGAGGCGGAGGCAGGCGGATCACAAGGTCAGGAGATCGAGATCATCCTGGCTAACACAGTGAAACCCCATCTCCACTAAAAATACAAAAAATTAGCCAGGCGTGGTGGCGGGCGCCTGTAGTCCCAGCTACTCGGGAGGCTGAAGCAGGGGAATAGCATGAACCCAGGAGGCGGAGGTTGCAGTGAGCCGAGATTGCGCCACTGCACTCCAGCCTGGGCGACAGAGCAAGACTCCGTCTCAAAAAAAAAACAAGGAAACACGGAAGGAACTTTGCTACTTCCTGACTTTGCCTAGAATAAGCATTACTTGTTAACAATCACAGAGCCAGTGTATTGGCCAAAGACTTGAAAGGGCAGGACTGTGCTCATTTACTCAGGACAATTGACTACCTTAAAAAAAAAATCTGTTGAAAAGAGATTTCTTTTTTCTTTTTTTTTTTTTTTTTGAGATTGAGTTTTGCTCTTGTTGCCAGGCTGGAGTGCAATGGTGCGATCTCGGCTCACCACAACCTCTACATCCCAGGTTCAAGCAATTCTCCTGCCTCAAACTCCCAAGTAGCTGAAGTTACAGGCATGCACCACCATACCCAGCTAATTTTGTATTTTTAGTAGAGACAGGGTTTCACCATGTTGGTCAGGCTGGTCTCAAACTCCTGACCTCAAGTGATCCATCCACCTAGGCCTCATAAAGTGCTGGGATTATAGGCTTAAACCACCATGCCCAGCCGAAAAGAGATTTCTATAAAGAGATTTACATAGGAGACTCCTGACATTTGCAAGAGATTTTTCCAGACCTTTCAGATGCCCTAATGCACTACATACCACATAGTGTCTCCCAAAATTACATTGTAAAGTATAGCCAGGCCAGGCATGGTAGCTCACACCTGTAATCCCAGCACTTTGAGAGGCCGAGGCAGGCAGATCACTTGAGGTCAGGCGTTCGAGACCAGCCTGACCAACATGGTGAAACCCTGTCTCTAGCAAAAATACAAAAATTAGCCGGCAGTGGTGGCATGTGCCTGTAATCCCAGCTACTCGGGAGGCTGAGACAGGAGAATCTCTTGAACCCAGGAGGTGGAGGTTGCAGTGGGAGGCGGAGGTTGCAGTGAGCTGAGATTTTGCCACTGCATTCCAGCCTGGGCGACAGAGTGAGATTCTGTCTCAAAAAAAAAAAAAAGGTTAATCTCTCTCTTGATGAGCAGCCTGGCTGATGCACTCACTGAACAACTTTTCCTTGTATCTCAGTGACACACATGGTGGATCTAATGATATCAGGGATCTTAGACACCACTGAACTTGACACAGCATGCCAATTTATCCAAAACTTCTATTTGTAGCCAAAAAACAAAGTTACTGTCTTATACCTCCCCACTTTCTCTTTGTTTATATCACTGGCACTATTGGATTATTTATTTTATGAATCTTTTCTACTCTGCAAACAAGAAACAAATATTTTAATCACTGCATGCAAACTACATAAAGGATAACAGTCATGTGAGATATCCAGGCAGAGCAGTAGGCCTGGCTCACTAACAGGCAAAGCCAATCATTCAACTCATATTCATTTATAATGGGCCTTTGGGAGTAACTAATAAATTACCAAAATTGCAAGTGTTGAATCTGCAAATGTCAAAGACTTCCAGTGGATTCTTTGACAACATGTACGTAGTCGTCATTTGTCAGTTTTCTTGGGGAATTTATCTTCTCCTGGTGGGCAGCAGGAAACGGATCCCACTACAGACATTAACCATGCCCAATATTCACTTTTGCATGTCCCTAGGCAGCTAGGGCAGCTTGACCAATCAGCTGCATTTGCTTAGGATTTCTGAGGCTGGAGGTGAGGATGGAAAAAATTCTTTACAGTGGTTGCAGCAGTGGCAGCAGTATCCAGTGTCCAGACGCCTTGCCACTGGGGTCAGCATGGCATCCAGCATCCAACGCCAGCTGTGGCTGTGACAAAGGCAGCAGCACTGGGCGTTCAGCAGCAGCAGCACTGAGGCTGTCCTCACCTATCTGGCTCTGTGATGGAATTTGGTGTAATTCTAGGTACCTGGTCTCTGTTTCTGCTTTTTTCCCAAGCCTTGTTTCTACAGCCTTCAAGTGATTCTGTAACTTACTCAATGTGCTTTCAATAAAATTCATTTCCTGATTTAATTAGCCAGAATCAGTTCCCATCTTTTGCAATAAAAAAACCTGACTCGGGCAGGGCGCGGTGGCTCACGCCTATAATCCCAGCACTTTGGGAGGCAGAGGCGGGCGGATCACCTGAGGTCGGGCATTCGAGACCAGCCTGACCAACATGGTAAAACCCCATCTCTACGAAAAGTACCCAAAAAATTAGCCAGGTGAGGTGGCAGATGCCTTTAATCCCAGCTACTGGGGATGCTGAGGCAGGAGAATCGCTTGAACCCGGGAGGTGGAGGTTGCAGTGAGCCAAGATCGTGGCACTACACTCCATCCTGAGTGATAAAGCGAGACCCTATCTCAACCAATCAATCAATAAAAGAATGCTTGTGGTGCTCGCTTCAGCAGCACATATACTAAAAACCGGACCAATACAGAGAAGATTAACATGGTCTCTACACAAAGATGACACGCAAATTCGTGAAGCATTCCATACAAAACATCAGAGTTATTTTTTTAAAAATGTTTTTTAAAAGGAATGCTTCTGGAAGAAAGGGAGGGAAAGAGACAGGGAGAGAAAGAGAGGAGGGAAAAGGGGGAAGGAGGAATTCCAACCACACATTGACTAAGTCTTTGTGTGACTTTATGTTGAAAAGAGCCTTCTACCGGGCAGGGCGCGGTGGCTCACGCCTGTAATCCCAGCACTTTGGAAGGCCAAGGCGGGTGGATCACAAGGTCAGGAGATCGAGACCATCCTGGCTAACATGGTGAAACCCCGTCTCTACTAAAAATACAAAAAATTAGCCGGGCGTGGTGGCGGGCGCCTGTAGTCCCAGCTACTCGGGAGGCTGAGGCAGGAGAACGGCATGAACCTGGGAGGCGGAGGTTGCGGTGAGCCGAGATCGCGCCACTGCACTCCAGCCTGGGCGACAGAGCCAGACTCCATCTCAAAAAAAAAGAAAAGAAAAGAGCCTCCTACCAACCTTTTCCTCTGCAAGGCCGCACCACTTCCATTATCATTCTACCATCACTGGGCACCATCACTGTGAAGCTGCCATGTCATAATGGCTACCAAAAAAAGGGCTTGCCATCTGCCTTTGAAGAATAGCCTGCCTTGTGTTTGACACTATAAAGACCTGAATTCTACTCCCAGCATCCACATTTAGTTTTCCACTGGGCCTCAGTTTCCTCAGCTGTAAAACAGAGCTCACCTCTGCCCTGAGTATCTTACAGAATTGTGGTAAGAATCAAATAAAATAATAAAGAGGTACTAGAATAATAAACACTTACTGTGTGCCAGCATCCAGGCTAAACACTTTATGAGCATTGTCTTCATTAATTTTTACCACTTTGTAAAGCAGGGTAATAATATTCCCATTTTAAGGATAAAGAAACCCAGGCTCCCAAAGTAACTTACTCAAGGTCTCACAGCTAATAAGGGGAGGGCTGGGAGAAGAGTCTCGGGCGCCTGACTCCAAAGCCCCCACATGTTCCACAGCCCCTGTGATTTCTACGCACCAAGTGTTATAGAAAGGTACTCCTTCAACTGTGATGGGATTAGAGTTAAAAATGAAAATTTACTCCAGCCTTGGCAACAGAGCAAGATCCTGTCTCTGAAATAAATAAATAAATTGAAGATTTTAAAATGTAAATTTTTTTCTTTCTTTTTTTTTTTTTTTTTTGAGACGGAGTCTCGCTTTGTCGCCCAGGCTGGAATGCAGTGGTGCGATCTTGGCTCACTGCAACCTCCACCTCCCAGGTTCAAGCGATTCTCCTGCCTCAGTCTCTCAAGTAGCTGGGATTACAGGTGCCTGCCACCACGCCCAGCTAATTTTTTTGTATTCTTAGTAGAGACGGGGTTTCACCGTATTAGCCAGGATGGTCTCAATCTCCTGACCTCTTGATCCACCCGCCTCGGGCTCCCAAAGTGCTGGGATTACAGGGGTGAGCCACGGCGCCCGGCCATGTTTTGTTTTGTTTTGTTTTGAGACAGAGTTTCGCTCTTGTTGCCCAGACTGGAGTGCAATGGCACGATCTTGGCTCACCACAACCTCCACCTCCTAAGTTCAAGAGAGTCTCCTGCCTCACCCTCCCGAGTAGCTGGGATTACAGGCATGCGCCACCACGCCTGGCTAATTTTGTATTTTTAGTAGAGATGGGGTTTCTCCATGTTGGTCAGGCTGATCTCGAACTCCCTACCTCAGGTGATCCACCCGCCTCGGCATCCCAACGTGCTGGGATTACAGGCATGAACCACTGTGCCTGGCCATGTAAAAAAAAAATTTTAAATAAAAAATAATGGGCCAGGCATGGTGGCTCATGCCTGTAATCCTAGCACTTTGAGAGACCGAGGCAGGA